>NC_000003.12:21260000-22510000 GCF_000001405.40 Homo sapiens
TTTGATGAACAAACTCAACGAAATGTCAAATGTATGTATGTTAATTATCTAAGAATCACTCTGATGATGGCCTGCTGCTAATTTATTTGTCAAACGACAGAAGTCAGCAGCCTCCAGCAGGAAGCCATCACATGTACGACAGACAGGGAGACTTGGCAGGCAGGCAGGAAGCCTTTGACTGAGTTAATACTAAACTGTTTTCAGAAATGCACAACCTAAGACTCTCCTGAGTAAGCCCCAAACTCAAGACTTGGCACATTTGGACCCCAAGGACAAAAGTATGCAGATTTTTTTTACATATGCGTGAATATGATTCTCTGAAAACTGACCTAATTTAATGCAAGTTTATATGCGAGATAATTTTGCTTTCCTCACATATACCTTTCATTTAATAGTAGGAATGTTCTCTCTGGTTCAGGCTGGTGATCTATACCACACAAAATTTTACAAATACATTTATTTTCCTTCTATACAACGCACATTATTTCTGCTCTGAAGACCCTGACCTAAATTAAACACACGTGCAGAGGATGACTTAATTTTCCAAGCTACTTGGGAAAGAAAATGAGGATTTGCAAGTTTCAGAGGATGAGATTTAGACAGGCGAGCGTGTCAGTTATAGTGATATGAATCCAGAGGAATGATTTCCCTTTTCCTGGCCCTTAGAAAAAACCAGATATATCCATGTTCAGTCCTAGTACAGGTGACATGGAAGTTGCGTAATTGCCTGTTTCATAGGAAGTGAGAAAGACTGAGTTAATAAAAGCTCTAATCTGAATATCTTTAGTTAAGATAATGCTACAGAAATTATTCTTAGGGAACTGTCCTGAGTATACCTTGTCCAATCGAGAAGAACTGTTTAGATTGAGACTTAAGGAGCATGTGTTGTTCTGGTGTTGTTTCTGCAGATAATTGATCTGTGTAACCCGGTAAGTGACATATGCTCTCCAGAAAACTCTCTTATCTGTAAAATGTGTGAGAATGACTGGAGTCGTTACATTACTTAGAGAACTAAGATCTGAATTTTAATAACTCAATGTCTTAAAAGGAACAGGATTTTAGAAAAGGAGCTCTTAATCCCCAAAGGAAAAATTAAGATACTGAATGTCTGCTAATTTCTACATACACTCTTTTCCAAAGTACTATAGTTGTCTTCCATGTAATTATTTCTTTAACTCAGTTTCTTTGTTAGTTTTATTCTTGTGGAAGATGTATTTACCCTCCATCCTTCAAATTACAATTCTTTTTCTTACTGGTACCCTTCATTGTTCATTTCACTTTTACTCAGTAACTTTTGTCAGGAATTACCTCAAATTTTAATGAGTGTTTTGAAGAAGTGTCTGGAAATTCCTTAGACTACTGCTGTCAAATAGAACTTCTGAAGATGATGGAAATGTTCTTTTTCTGTGTTGTCCAATACAATATACACTAGCCACATGTAGCTATCGAGCGCTTGAAATTTGGCTAATGCAAATAAGAAACTGATTTAATTTTAGTTTATTTTAATTTAAATAGATACATATGCCTAGTGGCTAGTGTATTGTACACTGTAATGTAGAAGATCAGAAAACCTGTCTGCATAAATTAAACTAAATTAAATGTGAGTTACTTTTTAATCTCACATTTAGATGGAAAGAACCTGTCCAAAATGTTGGCAGAGATATTAGGACTGGAGATGTGGTCAGATGAGGATGGTTCATGGAGACTGGAAGTACAATTTTTTTGACATGGCCCAATCAGGGTGTTTGGCAGAAACTGACTGTGTCAGTATTATGGGGGAATTTACATTAAAGCTACAGAGAATCTTGCAGAATCAAAGGAAAAGCTGAGTAACAAGATCTCAGAAGGACAGCATCCTGTTATGGTCCAAATAAATGAGCAATGAGAGGAAATACACAGTCTCTTCTGGAATGGCCCATTGGGATGAGTTCCCTCCAACCAAGCTCTTTCCTGGGACCTCTCTGTCTCAAACTCAAATTCTAGATATAGGTGGTCAAGACTGGATCATGTAGCACTCCTTGTTCAGGGAAAGTCAGATACGATACCTAGATTACCATTTGAGAAAGATAAATTCAGGTTTTCTCTGCTACCAGAAAAAGAGGGCAGGGCAACCAATGATAGATATCAGTTTTTGTGAACTGACAGGTTTAATAAATGCCATGTTCTATATTTATAGATTTGCCCCACCACAAAGACATCTCCCTTTGCTTGGCCTTCATACTTAGTATGTTTTAATGTAAATGGAATACACACACACATATATATACACACACACAAATATACATATACACATATGTGTCTATATATGTACTATATATCTATTTATATCTGTATCTCTCTATGTATATATTATATATAACATATATATAATATATAACATATATAATATATAACATATATAATATATAACATATATAATATATAATATATAACATATATATTATATATACATAGAGCATAATATATATATCATATATATCATATATATACATAGAGAGCATTTATCATGTTAGGTGCTTTGATATATGCAATTTCACTTGTCTTAATGGAAATTTTTTGAGAAAGGGATTAAATTATTTTCCATGTGGAAAGTGCATCTTGGCATGTTTACACAACATATTTAGTTTTATATTAGAAGACAGATGCATCTGGTCCCTGCTTGAAGTTACTGCATATAAGTCAATTTTATGCAAGAGCAGCACCACAGAATTAAATCTTTTTAGGCATGGAGACAGTCTATTCAACTCCATGATTTTACAGGTGCAGAACTGAGAGTCTAAAATGGCATTGTCCATTGCAGTGGTCATGAGCTACATGTGGCTACTGAGCACTTGAAATGTAGCTAGTTCAAATAAAGATGTGCTGTAAGTGTAAAATACTCACTGGGTTTTGAAAATTTAATATGAAAAATGTAAAATATCTCATGAATAATTTTTAAATTGATTGTAAGTCAACATGATAATATTTTGCATATTTCGGGTTAAGTAAAATATATTTTTAAATTAACTTTACCCATTTTTAATGGAGGTGCTAAAAATCCAAAAAGACATTTGTGACTTGAATTACATTTGATTGGACAGTGATGATCTAGAAAGTTAAATGACTTGATCAAATGCTTACAGCTAGACAGCGACAAGGTAGGAATCAACTCATTTCTTGTGATCTTCCCTATTCTAAGACCAATGTTGCAGGCTTGCCTTAGGTAGCTTGATCATTCCTTTATTTGTTTCTCAATCTTTTTAGAATATGTTGGTGTCCTACATGACATCTTTCCATCCCTTTTAAAAATATTACACCTCTTGGGAGACCGAGGCGGGCGGATCACAAGGTCAGGAGTTCGAGACCAGCTTGGCCAACATGGTGAAACCCCATCTCTACTAAAAATACAAAAAATTAGCCAGGCACGGTGGTAGGTGCTTGTAATCTCAGCTACTCGGGAGGCTGAGGCAGGAGAATCACCTGAATCTGGGAGGCGGAGGTTGTAGTGAGCTGAGATCCGCCACTGCACTCCAGCCTGGGCAACAGAGCAAGACTCCGTCTCAAAAAAAAAAAAAAAATTGCACTTCACAATTATATAAATTTGCTTAGCTTTCAATTATTATAATTTTAAAAAACATACTCCAATAAAAAGCAGTAGGCAAAAATAAATTATGTCAATTCATTTCTTTTTCATATCCAAATAGATAGGCATAGAAGGACATGAGAGCTTGAAATATCTGTACACTAGATTTAAACATGGCCTTCCAGAATATTAGATGTTGTACCATTTCCCTCCTTATTTAGAACACTGCTTGAATGTGGCTGGTTCACACCAGCCAGTCAGGTTTATATCTATTCATAGTAATTTTAAAACAAACTTTCTTCCATTTTCCCTCTCTATTCCTCTGCATTAGCATTTGAGCATATTAAAAGGTAGTTTTCTTTTCTTGCACATGGCAGTAGATGGATTCCTATTTGCGTCTGTGACCAGCCCTCCAGGAGGCCTCTCACAGAGCAGTCAACAGTTAAGCCAATCTAAGGGCTGGTCTTCCAGCTTCTACGAGAAGAAGTGGGCAGCAGCATGGAGAAGATGAAGGAAAATTCAATGATTCTTCCAACCTGGAAATGGAGGAGCTCTTCATTTAAAGTGGTAATAAAGAAACAGAAGATCAGACATCTCCAGTTTTAAACTCACTGACAAACACACAGAAATAGTGAGAATATTGGGTCTGTCTTTTGGACATGTTTTACTTGGTGTTCTGCAGTCCAGTTCTACTGGCGATGTAGTGAGGAAGGTAACGTATTTTCAATTATTTAAGCAGGAATGTGAAGCTTATATATGTATTATAACCAAACAAATTTACTTCACAGAGAATAATAATTTTTAAAATATGACCTGCAGTTTTTGGTAAATGCTTAACTTTATATACTTATGCTGCCAAGAAGACATGAAACTCTTCTGAAATTCATTGCTGCAAAGAAACAAGTCTTCAGACATGAATGCCTAGTATTGCTATCTACCTAGAATCATCAGAGTAATTCAATGATATCTTCAGGCCACAGCAGAATGATAAGTTGAGGTTTGATAGCAGGTTTATCATTATCATCATCAACTTCCACCTGAATCCAGTAAGCCAGGTTTTGTACAGGAAGATTCTCATTCTACATATTTCTTAAATGAGGAAAAAGAATCCCAATCAGTTCAATTATTCTCACTATCAAATATAAATACCTAAGGAGCATACCAGATCTTGAATGGAAATAAAGCTTTTCTTAAAACAGAGTTGTCTTAAGAGTTTCTCTTTCTGCTTATAAAGACAATGCACACTTTCTTGGAATTGATATGAGAAGCAACTGAAATAATATACAGAATATTGAAAAAGATTACTTGAGATGATATGATAGTAGACACTAGATCATTTTTTTTCATTTTTTTAACTCCTCAATACAAACTACCTTTTAAAATTCTCTCTACCTGCCCATTACTGATGACAAGGGCAACTGGAGGTCCCTGGGAAAGAAGACTGATAGAAATTTATCACATATTAAAATATATTTTATCACTTAAAAGCATTTTTCAGAAAATGTTTCACAATATATTTCTGAAGTTTTGACTCAATAATGTTTATTGAGAATTATTATGTGCCAGCTGCTGCTTGTGTTACTCTCATATGAGGATTCTAACAACTCTGTTTTAACGGATTATTTTTTATCTCTGTTTGGATATAAAGACGCTGAAACTCAAGGGAGCAAACTGTCTTTCAAAGTTATGAAACAACACTAAACCAAGTTAATACTAGACCTGTGATTTTAAAATTTTTTATCTGACTCAAAGGTCTATTCAATTTCTTTCATCTAAAACTGAAAATGTTACTTAAACTCCATTTAAACATAGTTGTACATTATATATATAATATAGCAATGCATTTAACTCCTTAAGTATATTAATTCATTAATTTTTCAGAATCCTCACTTTTTGTCTCTAACAAATGTGAAGTAAATAATATTATTCATGCTGCCTATCTGTTTTCAACATTTTCCTTGTTCTAGATTCCTTATTTCTGACATCAACAAAATTTGAAAGGAGAGGGAGAGAGAGAGATAGAGAGAAACTATCTCAAAATATTTATTTCCATTTGGTTTTCACTTCCTCAAGCAAGAAACCTATGGTTATAGTATACAACACTGTGAGTATCGATTGTTTCAAAATTAACCTGTTTCTGAAAAGTCAAGTTGTGGAGTCAAGATGTCATAGACTCAGCAACAAATCAACAGGAAGCAATGAGAAGCATCTGGAACAGACACAGTGCCCTCATCCACTTCTACTATAAAGGCAGAATAACATCAAAGGTAAGGTTGTCCCAGGATGTATTGGGGCCTTTCAGCAAAAGGCATGTAAGCTAAATAACCTTAACTAAGACAACAACCCTGACCAAGAAAACATACTTAAGAGCGAATGTGATATTTCTTCTAGAAATTTAGAAAAACAAATTTAACATGGCAATTAAAACTGAGATTGACAATTTAAGACCTGAGATTAAACTGATAAATGGAACCACAGGTTTGAAAAAAGAATTTACTTGCAACTAGAGTAGGATTTACTGAACTAATGGATAGAAGTACCAATGTGTTATTAATTATGTCTTGGAATTTCTTATTTTTTTGTTGCTTATTTTGTTCTTTGTTCTGTTTGGATCTTGCAATATAGATTTTTAAGGTAAATTTTACAAATTATTTTCATAACTTGAAATATGAGTATTTGTATTTAAAAGATTAGTGAGTAATTTCAAAGTATCGATCTTTGTTTTCCTTAATTTCTTTTTTCTTTTTTTTTTTGAGACGGAGTCTTGCTCTGTCCCCAGGCTGGAGTGCAGTGGCGGATCCCAGCTCACTGCAACCTCCACCTCCCGGGTTGAAGCGATTCTCCTGCCTCAGCCTTCTGAGTAGCTGGGACTACAGGCGCACGCCACCAAGCCCCGCTAATTTTTGTATTTTTAGTAGAGATGGGTTTTCAGCATGTTGACCAGGATAGTCTGGATCTCTTGACCTCGTGATCCACCTGCCTCAGCCTCCCAAAGTCCTGGGATTACAGGCATGAGCCACTGCACCTGGCCCTTAATTTCTTTTATTTAATCTTTCAATGCATAAACTCCTCCATGATGTAGCAAATAGTAGCATCGTCTAGTTGTTGATGAAAACAAGTAATAAAATAATTAGGAAGAGCTTCTCAGTTTGCTTAAAACATCAATGATAGTGATACATTGAGAAAATCAGTTAGTCACGATGTTCACCTCTGACATAAAACTCTAATTTGAGGGCAATAGCAAGAGTGAGAGAGAGAATGAGAGTGAAAGGAAAATTAATAAGCTCAATGCTTGAGGAGGCATAGGTAAAATAGAAATTAGGTGTAGTAGGAAGACTTGTTAGCATATATAGGTGATCTGAGCCTGTTGTACATTTAAACAGCAAGAAATATATACTTTCAATCCCAAGTGGCTTTCTCTCTGCTTTCCTGGGTAACGGTCCATTAATCAATCAGAGGGAGTGCCTATCGGAGGAAGAGATGAACACGTGGCATTTATTCACTGTGGGGCTTTTGAGGCTCCAGTTGTTCCTACTATGAGATGTATAAGCATCATTATGTGAGTCATTTAAAATGTTCCTAACAGAAAGCTCAGGGTAGAGTTCTAGACAGATCCATTCTTCTCTGAGAAGGGATGGCTGAAGGCATGGCATGAGAATTCCAATAAATAATTTACATTAATTCACAAGCATTACTGATTTGGCACAATCAAATTGAAGTCAGCTGGAGGATATTAATGTTCATTGCCAAAACGGCATCTTTTCTGTAGTTTCATTATTCAATTTTTTCTCCCATTTTGATTTTTTTTAAATGATACTATTTTGAAACCTTGCTTCAGAGAATGACCTCTCAAATCATTTAAGCCACTTTCTAAAATACATTTTTGTCTTTATCTGTATTGCTACCCCTCAAAATCCATCAGTAAATCTTGCAGGTCAAAAATCACAATTCTTGACACATTTACTTTTCATCTTTCTTTTTTCACAGTCATCTTATTAGCAACTGGATCACATGGTTTTTCAGTTGGCAGTCTTAATTTGAATCATATCCATCCATAAAGTAAGGCCACTTACCTGTCCTTTCGGGACTATAAAGGACCTTGTTCAAGTATATCTCTTTTATCTTGATAAGACAGACGACTCAATGAGACAGACAATCGTCAATAAGACAGACCTCAATAAGACAGACAACTCAATAAGACAATCATCATTTCACATGATACAAGATGAAATTCAAACATAAACTTTGGCACTCAGCTTGATGGAACATTTCCAAATTCTATACTTTGTTCCAGATGTGATGTCATGTGGCGTAAGGAGAGCTTGATTTTATTTTTCTTTCTCTTGCACTTCTTACAAGAATACAATTGAGCACCCATTTTTTAACTGAAGCTAAAGCAGAAAGGAGGAGGGGCTTGAGGCAGCCTGGGAAGCCCCAGACAGAAGAATTGCTCTCTAAAAATTTGAAATGTCAAAGCATGAAAACCATAGGCCCTTCCACACATCCACAGACACTTCAGTACTTGAGGACACATAGGTAAAATATAAATCAGGTGTAGGAGGAAGACTTGTCAGCATATATAGGCAATCTGAGCCTGCAGTACATTTAAAACATTCGGTTGTTAATTTGTTTCTAAAAGATAGAAGTATTTGCAATGGGTTAAAAAATATAAGAGCAGAGATTTTATACTAATTCACATTTCACAAACTTTTTCTCAATAGCATGAGCAACTATTCCAGACTCTGAACATGACATCCTCAATCCCTTCTAACTAGAGAGCCATGCAAGTACATTTTCACAATATCAGATACACCCACCGTGCTGGGAGTGAAAAAGTCACAAAACATTTAGCTTTGTGAGAAATTTGCAGTTTTAAGAAAGTGGTTAAGAATTTCTAAGACAAAAACACATTGACTGAAATCTACAAGTTCATCATCTTTGTTCCTTCAAACATCTAGAGCATGTTACAGTTTACTTCCCAAAACTACTCATTCTTGATGTTCAGAGTCTTTCTTTTTGAGGTCACATTATAATTATGCATTGAGGCATTTCCTGACTCTCCTGTTCATGATCTATAGACCATATATCTATTGATAAATTCCAGGAAAACCCCTCTCCAAACTTCTACCAGGTAAATGGATTTTGGAAATTTCAAGCTATAGTTTCAAGCTTTCATGTCTTATCCCTAAAATAAAACAACACTTGCACTTTTTTTTGTCCTGCCTGTCTGATTAAATTTCACAATTTTCTACTCTAAATATGTTGAGTTCTTGTATATTTCTGCCAGGTTTTTTACCAACAGAAAAGGACAAAGAATATGTCAATGGTCTAGTAAGATTCAGAGAGTACATCATTTAGTATTAAAGGTGTACTCAATAGGCCTAGGATGATAGATGCCATCTAGTCTCTGGTGTGTTCCTTCCGAATGTATCATTGTGTTTAATCACAGCCCAGATGAGCTCAAAATGATTCTGCTTTCTCTATTTGCTGGAAATAATGTATGGCGTTATCCACTTTGAGATTCAGAGGGAGATTGTTGTCTGTGCACAAATGAGGAGGTGCCAGGAGTGACACTCAATACATAAGATTATTCCTATCGATCCATCTTAGAAGTGGAAAGCTTGTGTTCTTGGGCGTCAGAAGGAGTGCTGGTTCCACTTAATCACAGAAGAGAAATGTGCTTACACACCACCCTGTCCTTAGAACAAATCCACTGCCTTGGAAAATTCAAACATACTGAATTAATCCCCATGCTTAAGTGTTAATAAGGAAAGTGGAGAGGGGGAGAGGAAAAGAACCAACAATAATTTTCAAGACATTAAACTTTAACACACCGCTTTGAGGTCCAGAATTCATGTGTGGAGAAATAACTTTTACATGTTAGACGAATGCTTTTATTTTTAGGTGTTTAAATTGTAAGACTCAAAATAAGGTAGTTGAAAGGAAGCAGAGGTATTTTTTCTTTTCTTATGGAGGTAGCTTCAGACAGATCAAATTGTAGCAGGCTATTGGTTCAATCTCCTTCAATTATCGCCAAGCCCTATGGAACATGTTATCTCATATTCCTTTCCTCTGTCTTTCCAAATTCCTACAGCCTGGTAAAGGAGCAAGAGATTCTCAGGTGGAGAAGCAGTGGCAAGTTCTAATAATACCTAACTTCATAACACTTCTCATCCAGGCTAATCATTTGGCAATTAGTCATGAACTGCTATGTAACTTCACACATTCTTCTGTTGATCTTTAAACCTTTAAAGTTAGTTTACTGTGTTTTTTCTTTATTATTTACTAATCTTTCATAATTATGCATGCACGTGATTATTTATTGCAAATTCAATCTTCTTTTTGTCATTTCTTTCTAATCTTTACCCAAAACAACACAAAGCAAAACTTTCCTTTCACACTGTTATTTATGTCTCCTTTACTCTGCAGTCAGACTGAAGTATAAAGTATTTTATACTTATTTCTAATCCCTTCTAATCCTCATTTGTCATCTCTCCTCAGCATCTAGAAATCTGAATTCTGTCTTGACCACACCCTTGAAAATACTCTTGCAAAGCTAACCACTGACCTTGTAACTCCTTGGATATCAGATATACCCTGGAAAGGGTGAATACTATGTTTATATTTACTCCTCCTGGAATGTTTCTGTTCCTGTTTGAATCTATAATATCACTGCCACCTGGTTTTTCTCCAGAATTTTTACTCAAACTTTGTATATTTTGTTCACTGCTTGTTTATATTTCCTTTCTACATTTTCTCCTTGGCTTTCAAAGTTTCTGCTATTTTTATACTCTGAGCAAGCACATGAATGCCATTGATCCCACTCTTGTTTTCTACTGACAGTTGTCTTATATGTTTCACATTTACTTCAAATTTCCAAAATTCTCCAAATTCTTTCTAAATCTGCCATTCCTCATGCCTCTTCTCTCAGCTAAAGGCAATAATCTCCACACAATTATTGCAGATACAATTCTTAAGAGTTGTGTATCAATCCTACTTCTCCCCCTTAGTCTTAACATTCTATGTCTCCTAGAGCATATATGTTTGTAACATCCATCACTTTTACTTCCCCGGGCTCCAACTTCTCTTTGCCTAGACCCAGAATTATTTTAAAAGCTTCCTAATTTAGTTCCATGTTACTATCCTCTTCATTGCTATTAACCTTATATTGTTTCCAGATTGCTATTAACCTTATATTGTTTCCATATATATAATTAGTACAAAAGATGCCACATCTCACAAGCACCATTCATATGGCAGACATTACAGATTTTTATATTTTATTATGGCAAATTTTCAGCAGATGACAGTATGGTCCTTTATCCTAACAAAACTAGTGTGTCTGGAATTGGTGGGTTCCTGGTCTCGCTGACTTCAAGAATGAAGCCGTGGACCCTCACGGTGAGTGTTACAGTTCTTAAAGATGGTGTGTCCGGAGTTTGTGCCTTCTGATGTTTGGACATGTCCGGAGTTTCTTCCTTCTGGTGGTTTCCTGGTCTCACTGCCTTCAGGAGTGAAGTTGCAGACCTTCGCGGTGAGTGTTACAGCTCATAAAGGCGGCACATCTGGAGTTGTTCATTCCTCCCAGTAGGTTCATGGTCTCGCTGGCTTCAGGAGTGAAGCTGTGGACCTTTGCTGTGAGTGTTATAGCTCAAAAAGGCAGTGTAGACCCAAAGAGTGAGCAGCAAGATTTATTGCAAAGAGCAAAAGAACAAAGCTTCCACAGTGTGGAAGGGGACCCCAGCGGGTTGCTGCTACTGGCTCCGGCAGCCTGCTTTTATTCCCTTATCTGACCCCACCCACATCCTGCTGACTGATCCATTTTACAGAGAGCTGATTGGCCCATTTAACAGAGAGGTGATTGGTCCATTTTGACAGGGTGCTGATTGGTGCATTTACAAACCTTGAGCTAGACACAGTGCTGATTGGTGCATTTACAGTCCTTTAGCTAGACATAAAATTTCTCCAAGTCCCCACCTGACTGAGGAGCCCAGCTGGCTCCATCTAAGGGATCTCACGCCAGGGCTGCGGGCGGAGCTGCCCTCCAGTCCCATGCCAAATGTCCACACTCCACACTGGTAGCTGGGACCAGGTGCCGCGGAGCAGGGGGCAGTGCCCGTTGGAGAGGCTTGGGCTGTGCGGGAGCCCACCGGTTGGGGCAGGGGGCTCAGGCATGGTGGGCTGCAGGTCCCACGCCCTGCCCCGCGGGGAGGCAACTGAAGCCTGGCAAGAATTCGAGCGTGCTGCGGGTGGGCCAGCAGTGCTGGGGGACCCAGCACACCCTCCACAGCTGCTGGCCCAGGTGCTAAGCCCCTCACTGCCCGGGGCCAGTGGCGCCGGCCAGCTGCTCCGAGTGCGGGGCCACCGAGACCACGCCCACCCAGAACTTGCACTGGCTTATGAGCACTGCATGCAGCCCTGGTTCCTGCCCGTGCCTCTCCCTCCACATCTTCCCGCAAACAAAGGCAGCTGGCTCTGGCCTTGGCCAGCCCAGAGAGGGGCTCCCACAGTGCAGTGGCAGTCTGAAGGGCTCAAGTGCAGCCAGAGTGGACGCCGAGGCTGAGGAGGTGCTGAGAGCGAGCGAGGGCTGCTAGCATGTTGTCACCTCTCACTAGTATATTAATACAATTTTTTTCAATGTAAGGAGGGAAAATGACTTTAGAAAGAAATATCACTTACTAATTTGCTCATAGGTGCCACATAGGGTGGCTGGGCCTAAATAAAGTTGGATTTCTAGAATATAGATTGACTCTGAGTTTTTCTGGTTAAGTTTTCTACCTGTTATGTCGTTTGTAGAATATAATCTAAACTCTTTAGCAAGTTGTACAAGACTCTGCTCAACTCTATGCATAATGTCTTTCATACACATCCTGGTTTCAGCCCCACTTTGGAGATTTGGTGCCACAACTCTCAGTGTTTTACTCAGTTAGATTCTCTCCATCTTCTTCCCACTCTTCTCAATCTACTTACCAAAATCCTTCTGATGAGATACTCCTAAGTATCATTGATTAATTTCTTCACTCATGCATTTATATCTAGCATTATAGTGAGTATGCAATTGTGCATAATTTGTTTTAGTTAGGACTTACTACATAGGTTGGATCATATGAAATTACCATAAAATTGATCAACTATTGGCAATTTCATATAGCTGAAACTATTGTTTTACCATTTACAAATAAAATTGCTTTTTATAAGTAATTTATTTTTATATTAAACCACGAGTCTGCTTTGATACGACCCATACACCAAGAATGGTTTTTACACCTCAGATATTTGTAAAATGATAAGAGAAAAATGCGGCAGAGATATTTTGTGACCCACTAAGCCTAAAATATTTATATCTGGTGCCTATACAGAAAAAGTTTGCAGACTCCTGCACTAAACTATTATTTATTTGGGGTAGACCTTTGTTTTGTCAACATATAGCACGGTGCTTGGAACTCTTTATGTGCTTAATAAAGCTTTCAAACTGAACTAAATGACTGATCAATTTTCTAAGAAATAACATAGGGTTAAAATAGTCCTGATACATATATTTTTTGTTCTCTTCAATAGAGGCTGTTTGAAAAATAGGAAACACAGACATTACTATTTTGAGCACACTTTTCAGCTCACCCAAACCCAGAAGTCTGTGATCAAGAACATTATAGTCAAATGATCTAAAGCAGTGGTTTTCTTATGTTGCAAGGAACAAGGTGTCTGGGTCAGAATTATCTGTCAGTAATGTGAAAAAATCCTGAGATGAACTAGGGGTGGTGGTGGGAAGGAGTGTATGTGACATAGGGCTGCTATTAGCTTTAACATTTGTTGACACTGGAAGTCTTAGAAAAAAATTCTTTCCCCAAACTGAAGCATTGCAAAGTGTTTAAGAACCTTGTCCAAGAGCCCAGGCACTTCATCACTGGCTACACTCCCGCTGAAGAAGTGATCCCGAAAAGATTGCTCTTAAATAAAAAAATGTGAACGTGTGCTTGGCAGCTGCAGCACAGGAAAGAAAAATTCTGCTTGGAGCAGCAGCCTTTCCCTATATTTTGTACACTCATTTTTTTTCTCCTTTTCTCTCACTTTTTACTTAAATTTTTATTTTTGCTGTATCCTGACAGGTTTGAGACAAAGGATCTTTTTCAGCATTTTCCTGAAAATAGGATCTCCTGAAATAATTTAGTGAATTAAACCCAACCCTTCACAGTTAATCTCAAAAGGTATTGTTGGTATTTTCACCATGATGTTTAAGTGCTTTGGAAATGTAGCATTATCGAAACACTCATTTCCTGTTTTAGGTCTGTGCCATATCACAGCTGTGCTCAATTAAGGCCTTTTGAAAAACAGCAGAAAAGAAAGAAAACAATGTATTTTCCCCTCTGTTCTTTGTAATTCTTTGTAATAAATAAATAAATAAATAAACCCAACACTTTCAATTGGAACACCTCCCTCAGTGCTTTTGGAATTATAGATGTATTAAAATATCATTTCTAAGCACTAGGAAAGAAAGCTCATTTCCAACTAAACAAATAGTGTAAGGAAGTTCTTTATTTTCAACTGTATCCCAGACTTGCTACAATTTCTTATTGAACTTCATAACTGCCAAACTAAGTCATTTTATAAAGCCACAATGAAAAGCTTTTTTCATGTTGCAAATACAACAGTGACTCAGGGACTAGGAATTCAAGGAACAATCTTTCTCAAGAAAGTGAAAAATATGCAAAATTAAAGCATAGGTATAACTCTCAGTCCAAATTTAGGTATTCAATATTGAACTCTCTTAATCTTTTAGCTGTTTTTTGGCCTCTATTTCCCCCTCATGCTGGTATACAACCATCAGAGACATTGGTCTTAAACATGGCTGTGACAGTGTTGCTGCCGGATGTGATCAGTGACACCCTAGCAACTAAAAGTGCTGATTATGAATGTTGGATGAGCGTCAAAACCTTCTGCAGAGCTGTTAAAGTGTGTATATGCTCCTCTCCATCCCAAGAGTTTCTAGGTCATTGGGTCTGGGTTGAGGATACACACATCTGCCTATCCAAAACTCATCCAGAGGATTCTGATGTGCAGAACTCAGGCAGACAATCACTGGGTCATAGAACAAGAGTCAAACCCTTCAGCGTGACGTATAAAACTTTTCACAGTTGGGCTCATTATACATTTCAAGCCCACTGAGCACATATTAGGACTGATCTTCAATGACTTCTGAACAGAATTTGATAGGACTGACTACTTCTGACTTAGAAAATGCTTCCTGTTTGTATTCAGACAACACAGACATCCTTTTCCTTGGGCCGCTTCATCCTCTTCTTCTTTTGTCTGTTTTTCTTTTTCTTCCAATATCTGAAATAATGGTGTTGCATGGCTACGTTTATCGTCATTGCCGGTATTCTCTTTTTGTCACATATTATTTATTCTATAACGTAAATTACCTTGATGGTTAAGAGCATGGACTCTGGACTAAGGGTGCCTGGGTTCAATCCTAGCTCTGCCACTTACTAAGCTCTTTGTGCCTTTGTTTACTTATTTACAAAATAGAAAAATTTAATCTACATCAAAGAATTATTATGAGGATTTATGGAGTGATAGTGTAAAGCACTTAGAAAAATAACTAGAATATAGTAAGTTCTCAATAAGCATTTGGTGTCCTTATGATTACTGCCTTTATGTCGATGCCTCACCAATCTATTCCTTCAGCTCAAACTTTACTCTTCAATCCTATAGCTACCACATCTAACTCTCTACCTCACATTTCCACTCAGAGATCATGCAAATTCCAAGAAAGTAATACTTCTAAAAGTGAACTCCTGTTCTCATCTACCAGGATGCTCTTTCTTGTAGAACCCATAGCTTAACGAGAAACATCACCACCAATCCAGATGCTTAAGATAGAAAACTAGGCATCAAACCTAATAACATTCTCTTATCCTCCACATCAAATCCATCACCAAGACCTGTTGATTTGAGTGTTCAGATTTTTCCACTTCTCTTGAATGCCACTTGTCAGAACCTTATATAGAACCACCTCGACTTCCTTCCCTTTTTAGTATGTCACCTGTGACCTTTCAAGTATTGTCCTATTTCTATTCAATACTCTACGCTTCAAACACAGTAAACATTTTAAATCATGTCAGTGACCACACAAATAAATCCAATGGCCTTTCAGTGCCTTTGGAATGGAATTAAAAATCCTTCTTGTAGCTAACCATATCTTTCTTGGTCTTCCTTGTTGACATCTTCTACCCTACATCATTCCCAACATTGTACTCTATATTCAGCTTCGGCTGAAATCTTTCGTGTTTCCTAACATCACCTCCTGGGTCTCTGACCTTTTGTATGACCTCTTCTCTGCCTGGAACACTCTATTACCCACCAATTTGCCCCAGCCAAGATCTAGCTTCTCCTGACAGCTCTCTTAACATTCCAGGTCCCAATTAGGTGTTACCTCTAGGTGCACCTTAGTTTCTGTCATACTTATGCCATTATTATTTTGTAATTGCTATATCCACTCTTAGACTATTACTTCGAGGCAGGAACTCAGTTATTTTTCTCTGTATAACAGTTAGCACACTGCTTGGCACATAGAAACATACAAGAAATGTGGTGCATAAATGAATAAATATATGAATATGCAAATTCTTTATCACATGCATTATATTTGATTCATATTAAACTTTGATTTTATCTACACCTATATTGAGACTCCTTATGATTGTCTTTCCCAGCATATATAAATATAAATAAATTTTAAACTTCTTTTTTTAATTATTATTATTATACTTTAAGTTTTAGGGTACATGTGCACAATGTGCAGGTTAGTTACGTACGTATACATGTGACATGCTGGTGCGCTGCACCCACTAACTCGTCATCTAGCATTAGGTATATCTCCCAATGCTATCCCTCCCCCCTCCCCCCACCCCACAACAGTCCCCAGAGTGTGATGTTCCCCTTCCTGTGTCCATGTGTTCTCATTGTTCAATTCCCACCTATGAGTGAGAATATGCGGTGTTTGGTTTTTTGTTCTTGAGATAGTTTACTGAGAATGATGATTTCCAACTTCATCCATGTCCCTACAAAGGACATGAACTCATCATTTTTTATGGCTGCATAGTATTCCATGGTGTATATGTGCCACATTTTCTTAATCCAGTCTATCATTGTTGGACATTTGGGTTGGTTCCCAGTCTTTGTTTGCTATTGTGAATAGTGCCGCAATAAACATACGTATGCATGTGTCTTTACAGCAGCATGATTTATAGTCTTTTGGGTATACACCCAGTAATGGGATGGCTGGGTCAAATGGTATTTCTAGTTTTAGATCCCTGAGGAATCGCCACACTGACTTCCACAATGGTTGAACTAGTTTACAGTCCCACCAACAGTGTAAAAGTGTTCCTATTTCTCCACATCCTCTCCAGCACCTGTTGTTTCCTGACTTTTTAATGATTGCCATTCTAACTGGTGTGAGATGGTATCTCATTGTGGTTTTGATTTGCATTTCTCTGATGGCCAGTGATGGTGAGCATTTTTTCATGTGTTTTTTGGCTGCATAAATGTCTTCTTTTGAGAAGTGTCTGTTAATTAGGTATTGATGGGACGTATCTGAAAATAATAAGAGCTATCTATGACAAACCCACAGCCAATATCATACTGAATGGGCAAAAACTGGAAGCATTCCCTTTGAAAACTGGCACAAGACAGGGATCCCCTCTCTCACCACTCCTATTCAACATAGTGTTGGAAGTTCTGGCCAGGGCAATTAGGCAGGAGAAGGAAATAAAGGGTATTCAATTAGGAAAAGAGGAAGCCAAATTGTCCCTGTTTGCAGACGACATGATTGTATATCTAGAAAACCCCATTGTCTCAGCCCAAAATCTCCTTAAGCTGATAAGCAACTTCAGCAAAGTCTCAGGATACAAAATCAATGTACAAAAATCACAAGCATTCTTATACACCAATAACAGACAAACAGAGAGCCAAATCATGAGTGAACTCCCATTCACAATTGCTTCAAAGAGAATAAAATAGCTAGGAACCGAACTTACAAGGGACGTGAAGGACCTCTTCAAGGAGAACTACAAACCACTGCTCAATGAAATAAAAGAGAATATAAACAAATGGAAGAACATTCCATGCTTATGGGTAGGAAGAATCAATATTGTGAAAATGGCCATACTGCCCAAGGTAATTTATAGATTCAATGCCATCCCCATCAAGCTACCAATGCCTTTCTTCACAGAATTGGAAAAAACTACTTTAAAGTTCATATGGAACCAAAAAAGAGCCCGCATTGCCAAGTCAATCCTAAGCCAAAAGAACAAAGCTGGAGGCATCACACTACCTGACTTCAAACTATACTACAAGGCTACAGTAACCAAAACAGCATGGTACTGGTACCAAAACAGAGATATAGGTCAATGGAACGGAACAGAGCCCTCAGAAATAATGCCGCATATCTACAACTATCTGATCTTTGACAAACCTGAAAAAAACAAGCAATGGGGAAAGGATTCCCTATTTAATCAATGGTGCTGGGAAAACTGGCTAGCCATATGTAGAAAGCTGAAACTGGATCCCTTCCTTATACCTTATACAAAAATTAATTCAAGATGGATTAAAGACTTAAACGTTAGACCTAAAACCATAAAAACCCTAGAAGAAAACCTAGGCATTACCATTCAGGACATAGGCACGGGCAAGGACTTCATGTCTAAAACACCAAAAGCAATGGCAACAAAAGCCAAAATTGACAAATGGGATCTAATTAAACTAAAGAGCTTCTGCACAGCAAAAGAAACTACCATCAGAGTGAACAGGCAACCCACAAAATGGGAGAAAATTTTCGCAACCTACTCATCTGACAAAGGGCTAATATCCAGAATCTACAATGAACTCAAACAAATTTACAAGGAAAAAACAAACAACCCCATCAAAAAGTGGGCGAAGGACATGAATTTTAAACTTCTAAAACAAGTAACATTTGTAAAGTGCTACATGTAATACAAATGTGAAGTATAATCATTCCCTGACATAACAAATTTATTATGGAAAACGTATTTGGAATAATAGCAGGAATTCCAAATCCTGTAAGTACTGGCCCTTTGGGTGTTCATCCAAAGCCTTCCATGACTGTGGGTAACCACAGCATCTTTGACATTAATCTGAGCATCATCTGAGATTTTTTATTCTTCCTGATTTCTGGTTTCTGGCCCCATTAACCTGTGAAATCTGGATTTTATTTATTCTAATACCAACAAAACAAGTACCTTATTTTAGAAAGGAAGTGAATCAAAATACCTGAAATGAACACATGGGAAAGACATTACTTAAGTTTCCAAGGAGGGCCAATGCTTATACAAGATATAATATAAAACCTGGAAGAGGTTTTAAATATCAAGTCCAATCCATTCATTCTGTAGAAGAAGAAAGCAATGATTTAGCCAGACAGGTTATGTAACTGGCCACAAATCACCATGATACTTATTAGCAGAATTGAATTTGAATTTGTTCAATCCTGAGCACTTTATGCTCACTCTCATGGCTTAGGAGAACTTTTATGTAAAGCTTTATAAATTCCTTTTAACCTAAGCTAGTGATTGATTACTTAGGAAAATTCACAGATTACACTGGCTGTCAAAGTATTAAAGAAAATACCATTGTGATTATTCTTCAAATGACCTGTCTACATTTAAAAAGTTTCTCAGACCAGAAATAAATATATACTTCCTTGGCTCCGGAAGGAGTGAGAAGGGGCAACCTAGTGGGTGAGACAAGGGAGAGGAACAAAAATGCAGCAAAGGTCAAGCAAAGTAAAAAGCTATCAAACAACAAATAAAGCCAATGATATTTTGGAAAAATTTTAAGATTTAATATGTAAAATATGTTTTCCAGTTTTATTCAGTTATCTTTGCAATCCTGATTTCCTGTACTTTTAAGGTATAGAAAAGGGGAGATGACTTGGTTACTATGGGGCAAAATAAATACACTCCTATTATTGCTGTCCTTATAGGATTGTCTTAGGACTATAGCTGTCAATCTAGGTTGATATGTTTTGTCTCTGTGTCCCAAACCAAATCTCATCCTGTAGCTCCCGTAATTCCCATCTGTTATGGGAGGTACCTGGTGGGAGATAATTGAATCACATGGGGGCAGGTCTTTCCCATGCTGGTTTTTTTAAAAACTTTTTAAAACTTATACTTTAAGTCCTGAGATACGTGTGCAGAACATGCCGTTTGTTACATAGGTATAAACGTGCCATGGTGGTTTGCTGCACCCATCAACCCGACATTTACATTAGGAATTTCTCCTAAAGCTATCACTCCCCTAGATCCCCACCCCTGACAGGTGCCGGTGTGTGATGTTCCCCTCCCTGTGTCCATGTGTTTTCATTGTTCAACTCTCACTTATGAGTGAGAACATGCAGTGTTTGGTCATCTGTTCCCATGTTAGTTTGCTGAGATTGATGGTTTCCAGCTTTATCCATGTCCCTGTAAATGACAGGAACTCATCCTTTTTTATGGCTACATAGTATTCCATGGTATATATGTGTCACATTTTCTTTATCCAGTCTATCATTGAAGGGCATTTGGGTTGGTTCCAAGTCTTTGCTAATGTGAATAGTGCCGCAATAAACATACGTGTGCATGTATCTTTATAGGTCTTTATAGTAGAATGATTATAATCCTTTGGGTATATACCGAGTAAAGGGATTGCTGGGTCAAACGGTATTTCTGCTTCTAGATCCTTGAGGAATTGCCACAGTGTCTTCCACAATGGTTGAACAAATTTATGCTCCCACCAACAATATAAAAGTGTTCCTAATTCTCCACACCCTCTCTCCAGCATCTGTTGCTTCCTGACTTTTTAATGATCACCATTCTAACTGGTATGAGATGGTATCTCATTGTGGTTTTGATTTGCATTTCTCTAATGACCAGTGATGATGAGCTTTTTTTTTCATATCTTTGTTGGCTGCATAAGTGTCTTCTTTTGAGAAGTGTCTGTTCATATCCTTTGCCCACTTTTTGATGGGGTTGTTTGATTTTTTTCTTGCAAATTTGTTTAAGTTCCTCGTAGATTCTGGATATTAGCCCTTTGTCAGATGGATAGATTGCAAAAATTTTCTCCCATTCTGTAGGTTGCCTGTTCATTCTGATGATAGTTTCTTTTGCTGTGCAGAAGCTCTTTAGTTTAATTGGATCCCATTTGTCAACTTTGGCTTTTGTTGCAATGGCTTTTGCTGTTTTAGTCATGAAGACTTTGCCCATGCCTATGTCCTGAATGGTATTGCCTAGGTTTTATTCTGGGGTTTTTATGGTTTTAGGTCTTACATTTCAGTCTTTAATCCATCGTGAGTTAATTTTTGTATAAGGTGTAAGGAAGGAGTCCAGTTTCAGTTGTCTGCATATGGCTAGCCAGTTTTCCCAGCACCATTTATTGAATAGGGAATCCATTCCCCATTGCTTGTTTTTGTGAGGTTTGTCAAAGATCAGATGGTTGGAGATATGTGGCATTATTTCTGAGGCCTCTGTTCTGTTCCATTGGTCTATATATCTATTTTGGTACCAGTATCATGCTGTTTTTGTTACTGTAGACTTGTAGTGTAGTTTGAAGTCAGGTAGCAAAATGCCTCCAGCTTTGTTCTTTTTTCTTAGGACTGTCTTAGCTATACAGGCTCTTTTTTTGTTCCACATGAAATTTAAAGTAGCTTTTTCTAAGTCTGTGAAGAAAGTCAATGGTAGCTTGATGGGGATACCATTGAATCTATAAATTACTTTGGGCAGTATTGCCATTTTCACAATATTGATTCTTCCTATCCGTGAGCATGGAATGATTTTCCATTTGTTTGTGTTCTCTCTTATTTCTTTAAGCAGTGGTTTGTAGTTCTCCTTGAAGAGATCCTTCATATCCCTTGTAAGTTGTATTCTTAGGTATTTTATTCTCTTTGTAGCAATTGTGAATAGGAGTTCACTCTTGATTTAGATCTCTGTTTTTCTATTATTGGTGTATAGGAATGCTTGTGATTTTTGCACATTGATTTTGTATCCTGAGACTTTGCTAAAGTTGCTCATCAGTTTAAGGAGATTTTGGGTTGAGACGATGGGGTTTTCTAAATACAATCATATTATCTGCAAGCAGAGACAATTTCACTTCCTCTCTTCCTATTTGAACACACTTTATTTCTTTCTCTTGCCTGATTGCCCTGGCCAGAACTTCCAATACTCTGCTGAATAGGAGTAATGACAGAGGGCATCCTTGTCTCGTGATGGATTGCAAAGAAAATATTTCCAGCTTTTGCCCATTCAGTATGATATTGGCTGTGGGTTTGTCATAAGTAGCTCTTATTATTTTGAGATACGTTCCATCAATACAAAGTTTATTGAGTTTTTAGCATGAAGAGGTGTTAAATTCTATCGAAGGCCTTTTCTGCATCTATTGAGATACTCATGTGGTTTTTGTCATTGGTACTGTTTATGTGATGGATTACATTTATTGATTTGCATATGTTGAACCAGCCTTGCAACCTAGAGATGAAACCAACTTGATTGTGGTGGATAAGCTTTTCGATGTGCTGCTGGATTCGTTTTGCCAATATTTGAACATTTTCACACGATGTTCATCAGGGGTATTGGCCTGAAATTTTCTTTTCTCTTTGTGTCTCTGTGAGGTTTTGGTATCAGAATGGTGCTGGCCTCATAAAATGAGTTAGGGAGGAGTCCCTTTTTTTCTATTGTTTGGAATAGTTTCAGAAGGAATGGTACTAGCTCCTCTTTGTGCCTCTGGCAGAATTTGGCTGTGAATCCGCCTGATCCTGGGCTTTTTTTGGTTGGTGGGCTATTAATTACTGCCTCAATTTCTGAACTTGTTATTGATCTATTCAGTGATTTGACTTCTTCCTGGTTTAGTCTTGGGATGGTGTATGTGTCCAGGAATTTATCCATCTCTTCTAGATTTTCTAGTTTATCTGCATAGAGGTGTTTATTGTATTCTCTGATGGTAGTTTCTATTTCGGTGGGATCACTGGTGATATCCCATTTGTCATTTTTTATCACGTCTATTTGATTCTTCTCTTTTTTCTTCTTTATTAGTCTGGCTAGCGGTCTATCTAATTTGTTAATCTTTTCAAAAAAATCAGCTCCTGGATTCACTGATTTTTTGAAGGGTTTTTCTTGTCTCTATTTCCTTCAGTTTTGCTCTCATCTTAGTTATTTCTTGTCTTCTGTTAGCTTTTGAATTTGTTTGCTATTGCTTCTCTGGTTCTTTGAATTGTGATGTTAGGGTGTTGATTTTAGATCTTTCCCACTTTCTCCTGTGGGCATTTAGTGCTATAAATTTCTCTCTAAATGCTGCTTTAGCTGTGTTCCAGAGATTGTGGTACACTATGTCTTTGTTCTCATTGGTTTCAAAGAACTTCTTTATTTCTGCCTTAATTTTGTTATTTATCCAGTAGTCATTCAGAAGCAGGTTGTTCAGTTTCCATGTAGTTGTATGGTTTTGAGTGAGTTTCTTAATCCTGAGTTCTAATTTGATTGCACTGTGGTCTGAGAGACTGTTTGTTATGATTTCCGTTCTTTTGCATTAGCTGAGGAGTGTTTTACTTCCAATTATTTGGTCAATTTTAGAATAAGTGCGATGTGGTGCTGAGAAGAATGTATATTCTGTTGATTTGGGGTGGAGAGTTCTGTACATGTCTATTATGTCTGCTTGGTCCAGAGCTGAGTTGAAGTCCTGAATATCCTTGTTAATTTTCTGTCTTGTTGATCTATCTAATATTGACAGTGGGGTGTTAAAGTCTCCCACTATTATTGTGTGGAAGTCTAAGTTTCTTTGTAGGTCTTTAAGAACTTTCTTTGTGAATCTGGGTTCTCCTGTATTGGGTGCATATATATTTAGGATAGTTAGCTCTTCTTGTTGCATTGATCCCTTTACCATTATGTAATACCCATCTTTGTGTTTTTTGATCTTTGTTAGTTTAAAGTCTGTTTTACAAGAGACTAGAATTGCAACCCCTGCTTTTTTTTTTGCTTTCCATTTGCTTGGTAAATATTCCTCCATCCCTTTATTTTGAGCCTATGTGTGTGTTTGCACATGAGATGGGTCTCCTGAATACAGTACACTGATGGGTCTTGACTCCGTCCAATTTGCCAGTCTGTGTCTTTTAACGGGGGCATTTAGCCCATTTATCTTTAAGGTTAATATTGTTATGTGTGAATTTGATCTTGTCATTATGATACTAGCTGGTTATTTCACCCATTAGTTAATGCAGTTTCCTCACAGTGTTGATGGTCTTTACAATTTGGTATGTTTTTGCAGTGGCTAGTACCAGTTTTTCCTTTTCATATTTAGTGCTTCCTTCAGGAGCTCTTGTAAGGCAGGCCTGGTGGTGACAACATCTCTCAGCATTTGCTTGTCTGTAAAGGATTTTATTTCTCCTTCGCTTATGAAGCTTAGTTTGGCTGGATATGAAATTCTGGATGGAAAATTCTTTTCCTTAAGATTGTTGAATATTGGCCCCCACTCTCTTCTGGCTTGTAGGGTTTCTACAGAGAGATCTGCTGTTAGTCTGGATGGGCTTCCCTTTTTGCGTAACCTGACCTTTCTCTCTGGCTGCCCTTAACAGTTTTTCCTTCATTTCAACCTTGGTTAATCTGATGATTATATGTCTTGGAATTGTTCTTCTCAAGGGGTATGTTTGTGATGTTCTCTGTATTTCCTGAATTTGAATGTTGACCTGTCTTACTAGGTTGGGGAAGTTCTCCTGGATAATATCCTAAACAATGTTTTCCAACTTGGTTCTCTTCTCCCCATCACTTTCAGGTAAACCAATCTATGTAGATTTTGTCTTTTCACATAGTCCCATATTTCTTGGAGGATTTGTTCATTCCTTTTCATTCTTTTTGCTGTAATCTTGTCTTCATGCTTTATTTCATGAAGTTGATCTTCAATATCTGATATCCTTTCTTCTGCTTGATCAATTCAGCTATTGATACTTGTGTATGCTTCCCAAACTTCTCATGCTATGTTTTTCAGCTCCATCAGGTCATTTTTGTTCTTCTCTAAACTGGTTATTTTAGTTAGCAATTCCTCTAACCTTTTTTCAAGGTTCTTAGCTTCTTTGCATTGGGTTAGAACATGCTCCTTTAGCCCAGAAGTGTTTGTTATTACCCACCTCTGAAGCCTACTTCTGTCCATTCATCACACTCATTCTCTGTTTAGTTTTGTTCCCTTGCTGGTGAGTTGTGCTCCTTTGGAGAAGAGGTGTTCTGGCTTTTGGAATTTTCAGTCTTTTTCTGCTGGTTTTTCCTCATCTTCCTGGATTGATCTACCTTTGGTCTTTAATACTGGTGACCTTCGGATGGGGTTTTTGTGTGGACATCCTTTTTGTTGATGTTGATGGTATTCCTTTCTGTTTGCTAGTTTTCCTCCCAACAGTCTGGCCCCTCTGCTGCAGGTCTGCTGGAGTTTCTAGAGGTCCACTCCATACCCTCTTTGCCTGGGTATCACCAGTGAAGGCTGCATAACAGCAAGGATTGCTGCCTGTTCCTTCCTCTGGAAGCTTTGTCCCAGAGGGTCACCTGCCAGACGCCAGCTGGAGCTCTCTTACATGAGGTGTCTGTCGGCCCCTGCTGGGAGGTATCTCCCAGTCAGGAGGCACAGGGTTCAGGGACCCACTTGAGGAGGCAGTCTTTCCCTTAGTAGAGCTCGAGCCCTGTGCTGGGAGATCTACTGCTCTCTTCAAAGCTGGCAGGCAGGAACGTTTAAGTCTGTTGAAGTTGCGCCCACAGCCGCCCCTTCCCCAAGGTGCTCTGTCCCAGAGAGATGGGAGTTTTATCTCTGAGCCCCTGACTGGGCCTGCTGCCTTTCTTTCAGGGATCCTTGCCCAGAGAATAGGAATCTAGAGAGCTCCTGTGCTGTTCTTTTGATAGTGAATAAGTCTTGTGAGATCTGATGGTTTTAAAAATGGGAGTTTCCCTGTACAAGCTCTCTCTGCCTGCTGCCATCCATCTAAGACATGACTTGCTCCTCCCACCATGATTGTGAGGCCTCCCCAGCAATGTGGAACTGTAATTCCATTAAATCTCTTCTTTTTGTAAACTGCCCAGTCTCAGGTATGTCTTTATCAGCATTGTGAAAATTGACTAATACAGCAAATTGGTACCAGTAGAGTGGGGTGCTGCTGAAGAGATACCCTAAAATGCGGAAGCAACTTTGGAGCCAGGTAACAGGTAGAGGTTGAAACAGTGTGGAGGGCTCAGAAGAGAACAGGAAAATATGGGAAAGTGTGGAACTCCTTATAGACTTGTTGAATGGCTTTGACCGAAATGCTGATAATGATACAGACAATGACATCCAGGCTGAAGTGGTCTCAGATGGAGATGAAGAACTTGTTGGGCACTGGAACAAAGTGGTGATTCTTGTTTTCTTATAGTAAAGGGATTGGTGGCATTTTGCCTCTTCTCTAGAGATTTGTGGAACTTTGAACTTCAGAGAGATGATTTACAGTATCTGGAAGAAGAAATTTCTAAACAGCAAAGCATTCAAGATGTGACCTGGCTGCTGTTAAAAGCATTCAGATTTAAAAGGGAAACAGAGCACAAAAGTTTGGAAGATTTGCAACCTGACAAAGTGATAGAAATGAAAATTCAATTTTCTGAGAAGAAAGTCAAGTCTGCTGTGGAAATTTGCATAAGTAACGAGGAGCCAAATGTTAATTCCCAAGACAACGGGAAAAATGTCTCTGGGGCATGTCAGAGGTCTTCCCAGCAGCCTCTCCCATCATAGGCCCAGAGGCCTAGGAAGAGAAAATGGTTTCATGGGCTGGGCCCAGGGTACCCATGCTGTGTGCAGCCTAGGGACTTGGTGCCCTGTGTCCCAGCCACTCCAACTGCAACTAAAAGGGGCCAAGATACAGCTCGGGCCATGGCTTCAGAGGGTGCAAGCCCAAGTCTTTGCAGCTTCCACATGGTGTTGACCCTGCAGGTGCACAGAAGTCAAGAACTGAGGTTTGGGAACCTCTGCCTGGATTTCAGAGGATGTATAGAAATGCCTGGATATCCAAGCAGAAGTTTACTGCAGGGGCATGGCTCTCATGGAGAACATCTGTTAGGTCAGTGCAGAAAGGAAATGTGGGGTTGGAGCCACCACACAGAGTCCCTATTGGGCACTGCCTAGTGGAGCTGTGAGAAGAAGGCCACCATCCTCCAGAACCCAGAATGGTAGATCCACTGACAGCTTGTACTGTGTGCCTGGAAAAGTCACAGACACTCAACACCATCCTGTGATGGCAGCCAGGAGGGAGGCTGTGTCCTGCAAAGCCACAGAGGCAGAGCTGCCCATGACCATGGGAACCCACCTATTGCATCAGCGTGACCTGGATGTGAGACATGAGTCTAAGGAGATCATTTTGGAGTTGTAATATTTGACTGTCTTGCTGGATTTTGGACTTCCATGAGGCCTATAGCCCCTTTGTTTTGGCCAATTTCTTCCATTTGGAATGGCTGTATTTACCCAATGCGTGTATCCCCAGTGTATCTAGGCAGTAACTAACTTGCTTTTGATTTTCCAGGCTCTTAGACAAAAAGGACTTGCCCTGTCTCAAATGAGACTTTGGACTGTGGACTTTTTGAGTTAATGCTGAAATGAGTTATGACTTTATGGTACTGTTGGGAAGGTATGATTGTTTTTGCAATGTGAGGACATGAAATTTGGAAGGGGCAAGGGGTGGAATTATATGGTTTGGCAGTGTCCCCACCCAAATCTCAACCTGTAGCTCCCATAATTCCCATGTGTTATGGGAGGGATGGGTGGGAGATAACTGACATGGGGGCAAGTCTTTCCCATGCTGTTCTTGTAATAGTGAAATAAGTCTTATGAGATCTGATGGTTTTAAAAATGGGAGTTTCATTTGTACAAGCACTCTCTCTGCCTGCTGCCATCCATGTAAGACATGACTTGCTCCTCTTTACATTCCACCATGATTGTGAGGCCTCCCCAGCCACATGGAACTGTAAGTCCATTAAACCTCTTTCTTTTGTAAATTGCCCAGTCTTGAGTATGTCTTTATCAGCAGCATGAAAATGACTAATTCATAGATTTAGAATTTTTATGCAGATTCCTGCCTATGCATGCATGTCTTGGTCTCCAAAGAATTAGTATCTAATTCTCAGGTCTCTCTCTCATCAGTCATTAGTCCATTCTTCATTCTGCCACCACATTTCTTCCCAAACCAGAAGATATATCATAATGCTAGACTTTCCCAATAAACCACATCTCCAGGCATGTATGATTGTTGTTTAAATCCAACAAATCTCAATGTTGTATGTCATCTCAAAATAGATAACTACTGAAGTATTGGTAGGATAATTCTTCACTATTAGCTGTACTAGAAGAGCTTCATATTGTCCATAGTCCGTTGCCTGACAGGAAAGTTCATTTATTCTCTGGCCCAACTAACCTTTCCAGCTTTATTTTCTTTCAATATTTCATCCCCTCACTTCTCCTTTCTTATCCCACCTCAGTACACTTAAATTCTCACACTCCTTTCCCAGTCATGCAAACACTCCCTGAACATCTCATCATGCTCATTACCTCCTTCTATATGAAAACCATTTCCTCCTGATCTGCCTCTTCAAGACAATAACCAAAAGATCTCAAAGAATAATTTTGCCTTAATAAATTTTTATAAAAATTTATTAGTCTTTGAGAGCCTAGAATTGTCATTTATTGATATGCAAAGACCACCTCCATCTGGGTGTTTTGTTTTTGTTTTGTTTTGTTTTTGTTTCCTGAGATGGAACGTAGTTCTGTCACCCAGGCTGGAGTGTAGTGGTGAAATCTTGGCTCAGTGTGACCTCCGCCTCCCTGATTCAAGCGATTTTCCTGCCTCAGCCTCCCAGGTAGCTGGGACAACAGGTGCATCCCACCACGCCTGGCTTATTTTTGTATTATTAGTAGAGACAGGGGTTTTGCCATGTTGGCCAGGCTAGTCTTGAACTCCTGACCTTGAGTGATCCACCTGCCTCAGCCTCCCAAATTGTTTGGATTACAGGTGTGAGCCACTGCTCCTGGCCCCATCTCCATCTCTTTAACATTTTCATATTAAACAACTCATGAGATAATGAATAAACTTTGAATGCCAATTTTATATCTTTTTATTTTCCTTTGAAGGAAACATCTAAGTTAGTTATCCAAATTAGCATATTTTTATTCCTATAGGCAGAATTCCTTGGGAGTCAGTTTATAATCAGAAGGTAGTTTAGGTAGTGTGAGATTAAAACAGCATATTAGGACATTCATGAGTTTACTGTCACCATGTCAGCTCAGTCATATTTATCCTTCTTCACAATAGAAAGTCACAGGGGAAATCCTGATGTTTAACATCCTCTCCATGGGCAGAGTTCTCAGGGCTCTGCCAACATCGTCTCTGAGCTTTCATGCCCTTCACTTTCATAGCTGGCCAATGTGTTCTCTCTTCAGACATCTTTGCACCTTCACTCACGTTGCAGTTTAGTGTCACTGACACAGGAGCCAATCTCTTTAAGATGATTTTCCAGACATATGCATTAATCTACAACATGCATATTTTAAAGTTCAAAGAGGACAGTTCTATTTTTCTTTTTTTCTGTCTTTCTATG
This sequence comes from Homo sapiens, assembly GCF_000001405.40. Lineage (NCBI taxonomy): Eukaryota > Metazoa > Chordata > Mammalia > Primates > Hominidae > Homo > Homo sapiens. The sequence continues at coordinate 21,289,188 of NC_000003.12, forward strand.
AAAACTTCCCTGCCACCTTCACTGGCCTCATTGCGCTAGTATATATTTATCAAACTATTGTAGTGGCTTCTGTATATATTTTCAGAGCAAGCATATGCCCTCAATTTTAGTATAAATATCATATTTTTGCATAACAGATACTAGTTCTGTTCAAGCAAATTTGTCAATGATAGGTGAGATATCTTAAAAATAACTACTTCCACCAAGTTGCCACAAAATCTGTCATTATCATCGTGACACTTCTGGTTGATTACATTTAGGCATATTAAAATTCTTAAAAATAGAAGGTAAAAAACTAACATTTGTGAAAATCTACTGTGTATTAGATATTTTATATTAGTTTTATCTCTACTATGCAAAACTACCAAAAGGTAAAAAGAAAATTATTATCCCCTAGGTAACTAGAGATAAGAAAGAATAAATAGTTCCAGTTGCATAGCTGGTAGGTGTTATAACAAGTTTTTTAAGCCAATATTTTTCACAAAGTTTCAGAACCCAGAGTCTCAGGAGAAAAGGAGGGAAGTAAGGCATATTTAAGGAGCATGGGGATAAAATAGGACTGGGCCTACACAACTTTATATAAAGGTATTGACATCTGTAGGGAGAACAAAGAAGCAAAAAGAAAGCCTCTTTCATGGAGCTACCAGAAAAGTGAAGACCAAATTTGCCTATAATGAATATAATTGAGATGCAACCTGATAGAAACGGGGAGCTATTAGCCAGTCAGCTCATGGTTTCAGAAAGAGTTTTTATGAAGAAAGAGGGTAGAGGGCTAAGATTTCAAAAAGAAATATTTCTTGGAAATGGTTTTTCTCTTTTTTCTCTTTTCATAAGAATGGAGAAACTTTCTACTAATATTCTTCTGAGAAACTTCCTATAGTTGTTTATTTTCAGGAATGATACTGAGCTCATTTTTCAAAGCACCTGAATGGGAACGTCCTCAATTTTGTAGAGAGCATCTACAATAAACCTAGAGCCAATAAAAATAAAAAGAACTGTACATAAACACTGAACTCTAATTGAAACCATTGTTTTTAGTAGGGATATAAGTTAACAACTCTAATGTTTTCTGGAATTGAACAGTTAAGTAAATAGATGGAGGATTATTGGGGCCAGGTTTCTTCCTATTAGAGTGTGAGGTTACCAATAAGCAAGTGGAGGAGGCTACAGTAATCCATGTAGTAATAAAATACAGTTGGGGACAGCAGTATGAATTTATATTTAGCTTAAAATATCTATTATAGCCATGTATAAAATATGTATAGATATGGGCATATATACAACTTAATACACAGATGTATTTTTTGCTCGATTAGATGAAAAAGCTTAAAAGCAATGACTCCCTGGTAGTAATGAGCACACCTAACCCAGATTATAGTTTTTAATAAATAGAACCCCAGCTGCTCTTTAGAAAAATGGCTAATTCTAGGACTAGGGCTGAAAATACATAATTGTAGAGTATCTTATATTGCCAAAAAAATAACAAATTTCTAAATTAAAAAAAATCACAATGAGGGAATATATGAAAGGGACATACATGTGTGCCAACCTTCAGTTTCTGATTTTTCAGTGCCCCCAGTGGCCAGAGATGGAACAACCTGAACGCAGAATAATATCATATTGTAATGTAACTCAAAATATAAAATAAACATTCATAATTATATTATGATATTAATAAATACTTGAAGAAATAAATGGGAATAAAACAGATCAATGTGCAACACAGAAGACTTCCAAATAATTTATGTAGTTACTCTGCCCTCAAAGAGAAGGAGAATAACTTCCCACTCCTTAAGCATGGGTTGCACATAGTGACTTCCTTCCAAAGACTGTAGTATGGGACGAAAGAAAAAATAAGTAGATTTGCCATGGAGAAATCTGACAAATACTACCTCATCCAGGTAGTTGAGATTAACGTCAACACTGATAAATTATGTTGATGATAGGTACTCTTTACCTGCCCCCAAATCTTTTAACTATACTCTCAATATGAGAAACATATCAAGTAAATACCAATAAGAGAGAATCTTACAAAGTACCTGAGAAGTACTCCTCAAAAATATCAAGTTCATCAAAACCAAAGAAAGTCTGAGAAACTGTCACAGGCAAGAGGATCCTAAGAAGACAAGACAAATAAATGTAATGTGTTATCCTGAGTGGGAAACTTGGAATGGAAAAAGGACCTCTGGTAAAAACTAAAGACAGCTGAATAAACTATGGACATTTGTTAATAATAATGTATTAATATTAATTTGATATTTATAACAAAATTAGTAAATGTATTATAGTAATGTAAGATGTTAGTTATAGAGGAAACTGGGAGTGTACAAGAATTCCATGTACTATTTTCTTAATTTTTCTGTATATCTTAAAACTAGTCTAGAAAAAAAATTATTTAAAATAATAAAAACAGCTATATTAGTCTGCTATGAAGAACTATCTGAGACTGGGTAATTTATAAACAAGGGAGATTTAATTGACTCACAGTTCTGCATGGCTGGGGAGGCCTCAGCACACTTACAATCATGGTGGAAGGTGAAGGGAAAGCAAGACACTTCTTAAATGGTGGCAGGAGCAGGAGAGAGGAAGAGAGCGAAGTGCCACGCTTTTAAACCATCAAATCTCATGAGAACTCATTATCATGAGAACAGTCTGGGGGAAATCCAACTCCATGATATAATCACCTCCCACCAGGTCCCTCCTCCAACACATGGGGATTACATTTTGGGATGAGATTTAGGTGGGGACACAGAGCAAAACCACATCGACAACTAATGATCATAGCTAAAACAATTTGAGCAAGAAAATAAGTAATGATAGTATTGGGTTATAACCCTAAGAATAAAATAAATATCCTTGAATTCATGCTTGTATAAATAAATGAATAAATGTAGAGGCAATGAGGAAAATAGAAAGGTATCGTTAGAACACAACGGTAGCAGTTACTACCAGCATGAACCATTGGTAGATGATAAAACTGGTGGATGTAAATTTAAGGAAAGAAGATATTTGTGTAGTTTCAAATCATCTACTCTAAGTATTTATTAATTGCAAAAGGAAAAATAATACTTTACAATGGAGAAACTCTGTCAGGAGAAAAGTTAATATTACCAGTAATAAGACGTTTGACTTCACAATACACTGAGAAAGGCATATCACCTCTGTGGTATTTTTACCAATAATGTACACCAAAAATCTAGTCATAAGAAAACATCAGACAAGCCCACAAAGGACATTCTACATTAGTGCCTTTCAAGAGTCTCGCAGTTATGAAAGGCAAGGAAAGACAGGAATTATCACTGATTGGAGGAGAGTAGGGAGACGTGATAACTAAACGCAATATTAGATTCTATATTAGATCCTGGAACAGAAAAAAAGCAGTAGTGAAAAAACTGGTGAAATATAAAAAACATCTATAGTTTAGTTAATAATAGCACTGCAACAATGTAAATTTCTTAGGTTTGATAATTGTACTATGATTATGCAAGGTGTTAATATTAGGAGAGCCTGGGGGAAGGGAATACTGGAACACTGTACTATTTTTACAATTCTTCTACAATTCTAAAATTATCTGAAAATTAAAAACACAAAAAAACCACAAAGTGAAACAGAACTTCTTTTACAAAGTTCTTTATATCAATTTGCTAACTTTGTTTGAGACAGTTATTCTGAGGTAAGTGTATAATGGAAGTGGTAGTGTTTATTTAAGAACGACCAAGGGAAAAATCATCTCTGAGCTCTTAATTAAATGATAAGATAATATTTTCCTCCTTCAAGATGTAATGACTGCTTCAAAATATGTCCTGTTTCTGCATTTTAAAAATAACAGATCTCTTGTCCTTTATAATGTGTCCTAAAATACCTTCAGTTTGGGAAGGAGATTTAGTTCAGGGTCAGTTAGATTTCAATTATTTGAGGAACTGTATTTAACTATGACTCAAAGCCAGGTGTATAATAGATGCCAAGGGAAGAAATAATTCACCCAGCTAGTTCAGACTCGCAGTGAATTTCTTTAGCCCAGTAAGCTATTACCTTCGATGTGTATAAATGCAGGCCCCCATTTTATCCACAGCCAAACATTTTAAGACACAGTGTGACTTGGAGCATTTCATAAATTCATTCATTCCAACAGTAATTTTGTTCTCCAAGTATGTTTTCTTTGTAATCATATTTAGCTTTATAAACTATATGCAAACTCTGGAGGAATTTGCTTTATAACTTTAGCTTTATAAACATATACAAAATAATTCCGCTTTATAAACTAGATGCAAACTCTGGAGGAATATGCATAGCATATTCATAGTCAGTGATTTTTAGCTGATAGTCCTATAACATGGTGGTAAGACTAGATTTAGAACTTATGCCCTTTGATTTATTTGTAAGTTAAAATTTTTCGTTAAAAAGGAGCTCATGTCATTTGATCCTTTTCCCAAGGTTCTGTTTCTGCTTGGAGGGTCTACTATAAGAGAACTCTCTGTGAGGTTTTGAAAAGATATTATCCTCCTTCGTGGGATGTTCTCCTTCCCCCTCAAGACTACTGTGAATTCCTTCTCTGTTCATTTTCTTGAACTATATATCTTTATTCTTTGCTCCTTTGTCAATTTATTTACACATTCAAAAACATTTTTCATTTATCAGGACCAACTTTGTTCTAAATACTAAGAATAAAGACATGAAAACAGATTACGTATTAGAAAGCGTGACATACATATAAACATATCATAATTCTGTTTGAAAAGTTTATCATATGGGGCTCTTTAGGAGTGCTGAAATGGCATAGGTTGTGGATTATAAATCATGGGGCGAGGTATGGAAATGCTTTCAAAAGGAATTATGAAAATTTTCCATAACATAGCTCTTTGTTGTTTTTACTGGGCTGTGATGTTCTTGAGGATTATATTTTCCTCACCTTCCTTTACAAGGACTAACGCTAATGGTGAATGAAAAAATAAATAAGTGAATGAATGTGCTTTCTTTCGCCTCTCCAGTGGAACCTCTAATGTAGATAATTTATGACATATTTACAACAATGCCCTTTTTTGGGCCACTATAGAGGAATATTCCTACATAGCATTTTCTGATAAATCATTTTAATAAGAGTGATTCTGAAGCTCTTACTCATACTAATCTGTCACATTACCTACGGAGAATTTGACCTGATAATGCACCTCAGAATTAGGCTCAAATTATCCCAGAATCACCAATAATTTTTTGTTCTGTTTCAATTGTAGATAGCTACAAAGATCAGGAAAATAATATTTTTATCAAGCATATAAGAAAGCATTTATAGAGTTTGTTTTAGCCAATTTCTGTCTAATAATATTATATTTATTAGCTTTGGACTATTATGCTATTCTTTGTGACCAATTAGTCTATAGATGCTCAGAGTATAAAGCTTTGAACCTGAAACTGAAGATCAGAGATGAATGTCCTCATTCTCTGTACTGTTAGACTGAATTATATGAAGTTGCCAATATGTGCCGTTTTAACCTAAAATGCCTATTTTATGTTCTAAAAAAGACTTTAAAGAAAGTAATCCAATAAGATTTTTTAAAGAATCTATTAAAGTACAGTAGGACAAATTCCATAAAGACAATATACAGAACTATTATGGGGCCTTAAATGAGAGAAATATTGCTTTTAGTTGGAGGTAGGATTAGCACATATTGTTTAGAGGAGATGGCATTTAAAACAGGACTTGACACTTTAAGTTCCTAAAGAAGGCATTCCAATCAGAAGAAGCATTATTAGATTATGAATCAGAGTATATAGAGAAATAGAAAGCAGTTAGTCACCAGTCAAGTATTATGAAAAAAAAGGAATGAGGGTGTGATATAATTCTTATCCTCAAAGTGCTTGCAGTAGAATGAGATATGCTGAAAACTCATTATCCACTAAGATATGCCTAGAACAGTTAGGAAAAAGTTAGGATTATTCTTAAATCATCAAGATATAAGAAGCTACTGAAGATTGTTAATGAAGGAAATTAGATATGCAGAAATGTGCCTTATAAATTTTATTTTTGAAGAGCTATTTAGGACAAATTGAAGTGTTATGGGGCCAGACACAGGGTGACAAACTCATAACAGGAGTCATAAAGAGGTCATTCTATAAGATAGAGAATTGTTTTCAAGTTCTACTAGTCTATATGCTTTTAGAGTAGAGATCACATCTGCTTTCTTCACCATTATTATTATTATTATTTTGAGATGGCATTTCACTCTTGTTGCCCAGGCTGTAGTGCAATGGCGTGATCTCGGCTCACTGCAACCTCCACCTCCTGGGTTCAAGCAATTCTCCTGCCTCAGCCTCCTGAGTAGCTGGAATTACAGGTACCTGCCAACAGGCCTGGCTAATTTTTGTATTTTTTTTTTTTTTAGTAGAGACAGGGTTTCACCATGTTGGCCAGGCTGATCTCAAACTCCTGACCTCAGGTGATCCACCCGCCTTGGCCCCCCAAATAGTTGGGATTACAGACATGAGCCACTGTGCCCGGCCTTCACCATTATATTCTCAGTGTATAGTTTACTATCAGTAAATATTTGTTGAATTAATGAATATCATCCAAAAATCATTCTTGTAAAAAAATTAAGTTATATCTGTAAAGAGATACATTCATAAATAATCTTATGAATCAATATAGTGTGTGTGTGTGTGTGTGTGTATGAACAGAAAGAGAGAAAAACAGAAGCCAAGAGAAACATCATATATATGCATATACATATATATATGTGTGTATATATACATATGTACATATATATGTGTGTATATATATATGTACATATATATATGTACATATATATATAAAGTGAGAAAAGATAGAGAATATGTAGCCAGGAGGAGAAATCAGTTATGCCCTGGAGCAAGTATAGAAAGTTTTTAATAAAAAATTAAACACATTTTAAATAAAAAGTAGGATACACTTTACTGAAGAAGGAACATTATACATAAGGACACAGTATGAGAAATAGAGGGTACTCTAAGATACAGGTGAATAGCTATGATAAAGCTACATGAGCAATGAGCTTGAAAACATAAGATAAAATGTTTGACTTTATCTGGTAGCTATTGTAGTTCACTAAGGAATAATAACAAATGACTTGGGCTTGGAGGAACACTGATTCGATCAAATGATTTAGAGGAGAATGTGACAGCAGCTTGAGATCCAGTTAGAAGGCTAATACACACGTATAGATAAGTGATAAAAGTTCTTGACCCAAAATAGTACCATCATTAATGGAAAAGGAAAAACTCCACAACACTTTAAAAGTGACTTAGTGCAAATGGCAAATCCATCAATCTACACTTTGTGCTTCCCACATTGACCACCATATTTATATTCAATATTTCCATCTATTAAAATGGAAGCCAATATTTTGAGCGACTGAGAGAAACCTTTTCAGGCCAAGAAACATGATCACATGTTTTGGAGAATTTATTTCTATGATGGAAAGAATTTAAAATAATGGAAATATGTTTTGGAAAATGTTAGTATGAACTGAACTTGTGTTTGGTGAATTTAGTAGAAATTCACATTGTTCTAGCACCCTGAACTGTCCCACACTTACTGTGCATAGATTATGGTGTGGTGGAGCCCACTCAACTCCATGCCCAGGAAGATCTCCAGACATTCAAAGTACCTGCTCACCTGGAACAGTAGTCTAAGCCACCCCACCCTTCCTGTGCATAAATTCTGGTGCAGGGGGCCCCCTCCACTCCACACCCAGGCAGATTTTCAGGCATTCAGAGCAACTACTTTCCCAGAACCAGGCTGAGCCCCCTAGCCCCTTCTGTGTACGGTTCCTCTCTGCTACATGCCCAGGTATATCTCCAGGCATCTGGAGTACCCATTCACATGCATTAGCAACCCAAACTGCCCCACACTCCCTGTTAAACATTGTGGTGCAGCAGGGCCCTCTACATCACATGCATAAGCAGATCTCTAGGAATCTGGAACACACACTTTCCTGGATCAGGAATTTAGGCTGTCCCCCATCCCCACACAAGGAACCAAGGCCAAGAAGGTTTCCAAACTCCATGCCTGGGCACACCTCTGGGCACCTGGTGGCGGGGGCCACCCGCTGGATTCTCCCTTGGCACTGGTGCTTGTACCTGCCAACAGGGGACATGTAGGTGGGCTCATCTGGTTCAACTTGGCACATACTGCCCCCCAGACACCCCAGGTCTAAGCAGGGAGCTCACTGCATGCCACAAATCACTCCATTTTTTGAGGCAACAGAGAGCTCCTCCCAGTAAATAAAAATCAAGTATACAGCCAAGCTGGCCTCATCTAGTTATTGCCCATAGCGCCATCCACTGGCTTGTAGGTCAAACTGCACAGCCAATATAAGCCTGTCTATAGAAGTTCTTGAGGCTACAGAAGTAAAGCCAAAACTCCCTACCCAGCATTCTCTAGTCACACCCCCTAGGGAATGGGGGAAAGGTAAAGGAAAAAAACCAATAATATTATATGAAAAGAAAGAAAAGAAAAAGAAATCCCACCCATACAAAAAATAATTATAAAAATTAGAAGTGCCAGCATCTCCAGATGAGAAAGAAACAGCACAAGAATTCTGGCCTATGAAAAATCTAAGTGTAGTGGCAATACCAGTGGTTCACACTAACTCTTCAGGATTGGTCCCTAACCAAAATGAAGGCTCAGAAATGTCAAACAAAGAATTCAAAGCATGGATTGACAGAAAGTTCAACAAGATCAAAGACAAGATTTAAAATCAACACAAAGAAACTTCTAAAGCAATCTAGGATATAAAGAAAGAGAAAACATCTTAAAAAGAAACCAATCAGAGCTTTTGGAATTAAGAAACTCCTTTAGGAATATGAAAATACAATTGAAATATTTTTCAATAGACTCAACCAAGCTGAAGAAAGAATTTCAGAGTATGAAGACCAGTCTTTCAAAGTAACCTTGTCATACAAAAATAAAGAAAAAAAAGAATTTAAGAAAATAAACAGTCTTTGAAAAATATGAGATTAGATAAAGTGACCAAACCTACAAATTATTGGCATTCCTAAGAAAGAAGGAGAAAAAGTGAACAATCTGGAACATATATTTGAGAGAATAATTCAAAAAAATTTCCCTAATCTTGCCAGAGAGATAAACATCCAGGTATGAGAAATCTAGACCACATCTGTGAAAAACTATACAAAATAAACAACACCAGGGAATATAGTCACCAGATTGTCCAAGGTCAAATATAGAAATAAATTTTAAAGGCAGCTAGAGAAAAAGTTTATATCATATACAAAGGGAATCCCATCAGGCTGAAAATGGACTTCTCAACAGAAACCTAAGAAGTCAGGAGAAATCGGGGGCCTATTTTCATCATTGTTTAAGAAAAGAAATTCCAACCAAGAATTTCATGTCTTGCCAAACTAAGCTTCTTAAGCAAAGAAGAAATAAAATAGTTTCCAGACAAACAAGCAATAAGGGAATTTGTTACCATTGAATCAGCCTTACAAGAAATCCTTAAGAAAGTACTAAACTTGGGAATAAAAGAACAATTCATGCTACCACAAAAACACACTTAAGTACATAGCCCATAAACCCTATAAAGCAAGCACACAATAGAAACTACAAAACAACCAGCTAACTTCAAAATAGGATCAAAACTTTACATGTCAATATTAACCTTGAATGTAAATAGTCTAAATGCCCCCACTTAAAAGGCATAGCTGAATTAAAACAAAAAAAAAAAACAAGGCTCATCTGTTTGCTGTTTTCAAGAGACCTATCTCACATGTAACAACATCCATGGGCTCCAACCCCATAAGGCATGAAGAAAGATCTCTCATACAAATGGAAAACAAAAAAGACCACAGGTCATTAATCTTATGTAAGATAAAATAGACTTTCAGCCCACAAGAGTAAACAAAGACAAAAAAGGGTATTATAATGAGTTTAATTGAATAAGAAGATTTAACTATGCTAAAAATATATGAACCCAACACTGGCGCACCAAGATTCATAAAACAAGTACTTTTAGAGCTACAAAAAAAGACTTAGAAATCCACACAATAATAGTGGAGGACTTCAACACTTCACTGACAGCATTGGACAGATCATCAAGGCTGTCTTGGGACCCAAGTCCAAGATGTCTATTGCATCCAATAGACCAGACAGAATACCCCACTCATCACCCACAGCATATACATTCTTCTCACCTGCACATGAAACATACTCTAAGACCAACCACATGCTCAATCATAAAGCAAGTCCCATTAAACTCAAAAAAATTGAAATCATACCCACCATACTCTCAGATCCTAATGAAATAAAAATAAAAATCAATACCAAGAGCATCTCTAAAAATCACACAATTACATGGAAATTAAACATCTTGCTCCTGAAGACATTTGGGTAAATGATTATATTAAGACAGAAATTTAAAAAATATTTAAAACAAATGAAGAGATATAACATATCAAAATCTTTAGAATGCAGCAAAAATAGTATTAAAAAGGAGGTTTATAGTGATATACATCTGCCTCAAAAAGTTAGAAAGATCTCAAATGAACAATGTAACATCACACCTACAGGAACTAGAAAACAAAGAACAAACTAACCCCAAAGCTATCAGAGGAAAAGAAATAACTATAATCAGAGCAGAACTAAATGAAATCGAGACACAAAAATTGATAGGATCAATGAAACCAAAAACTGGTTATTTGAAGTGATAAAAAGGTTAACAAAGGAAAAAAAAGAGAAAAGATGAAAATAAGAACCATCAGGAACAACAAAGGTGACATTACAACCCATCTCACAGAAACATAAAAGATTCTCAGAGACTGTTATGAGCACCTTTATGCACACAAATTGGAAAATCTAGAGGAAATTAGTAAATTCCTAGAAACATACAACCTCCCAAGATTGAATCAGAAATAACTTAAAACCCTGAACAGAACAAAAACAAATTCCAAAATTGAATCCATAATTTAAAAAAATCTACCAACCAATAAAAGTCCCAGACTAGATGCATTGACAGACAAATTAAACCAGACACGCAAAAGAGGAGCCAGTGCCAATTCTGCTGAAACTATTCCAAAACATTGAAGGGGACAGATTCCTTCCTAACTCAGCCTATAAAGCCAGTACCTCTCTGATAACTGAAACCTGGAAAAGACAAAATGAAAAATAAAACTACAGGCCAATACTTCTGAGGAACATAGGTGCAAAAATCCTCAACAAAATACTAGCAAACCTTGAGAGAAAAAAATGGAAAACAGGAGGCAGGACTAACTTGAAACTTCCACTCAGATGGACAGAACAGCATGTGGAGGCCACATTGTGAACTTCTGCTCCAAGAACCACCTCAGAAACATTCTAGGAAAACCAAAAAAAATTCACAGACCCTTTGAAAGCAGCAGCTTGCCGCTGCATACTCCATGAGAAAGGTGAAAACTGTGAGTGCCCAAAGTGTGAGAGGGAGAAATATCTCCTCCAAACACACATCCTCACTGGGGAACCTGAAAATCCAGATCATGGGAGAAGTATTTAACCTTACCTAGAGCTGAAAAAAATTTAGAGAGCTGAGCAAAATATAAAAGTAAAAGAAGCAGCAGGAAGAGCCCTGTAGGCACTCCCAGTCCCCAAGGAAGCCCAGGTAAGCCATTTATGACTTTGTCTCACAGAGGTCCTTGGGGAGAGCAGCCAGTAGAATTGGGGAAGGGCTATAGGGAGAAGGAGACTTCCAGCTGAATTGTGTAATAATTTCAACTGAGCATATTTTTTTTCTGGGCAGAATCTATAGGGTGGGAGTGGGTGTGAACAGGAAGTGCAGGTATGAGTACAGAAGCCACAGCAGGCAGGTAGAGAAGAGGCCCAAAAGCCCTGCTTACTTTCTGAGTAGGGGAGGATTGTATTCTGGGGCAAGATCTCAGCTCTTTGCACTGGAGGCCTGGATATAAATTCAGCTCTGTTGGCTGTTGGGGGAGCACAGCAAGAGTGAGACTGGCCTTGCTGGCTGTGTAGGAGCTGGGTGAGACCTGTCACTGCTGGCTTTCCCCCACTTCCCTGGTGACCTGGGAAGGCAGCCATAATCCTCTTTGTAACACAATTCCATTGTCCTGAGAACCACCCACCTATCCCCACAGTGGCTGCAGCAGGCCCTACTCAAGAAGAGTCTGAACTCAGACATTCCTAACACTGCCCTCACCTGATGGTCTTTCTGTACCCGTATGGGTAGCCAAAGACAAAAGACTAATCTGTGGGAGCTCTATGGCCACTCTCATCACCTGAGAAACCCAAATACCTACCCAGGTGACCTTAGTGCAAGCTTGTATGCCCCCTATACTACCACAGCCGATGCTCTCTTGAAAGCATCACCTCTTGGTTGAAGGCCAACAAACTCAAGCCATTTCAGCAACTCATAACAGAACAACCCTGCTCTAAGAGAAGAGAAAACAACAGCTCATTCCACTGCCTTTAACATCCTGTTTAACCAGTGATCCTGAGTCTGTCCACATGACAGCTTCACTAGTAGCATAACCAGCATGCAAGAAAACCAGTGCACTGAACAAAACTACAACCAAGGACTCTCACAGAATCCACTTCACTCCACTGCTAATTCCACTCAAGCAGGTGCTGGTATCCATGGCTGAGAGACCTGAAGACTGATCAAATCATAGGACTCTGCAGACACTCCCTAGTACCAGCCCAGAGCCTAGTAGCTCAGGCAGGTGACTAGACCCAGAAAAGCAATAACAATCACTGCAGTCCAGATCTCAGGAAGCCCCATCCCTAGGGAAAGGGAGAGAACACCACATCAAGGGATCACTCCATGGGACCAAAAAAACCTAAATACCAGCCTTTGAGTTCCAGATCTTTCCTCTGACACAGTCTACCCAAATGAGAAGGAACCAGATAAATAATTCTGGTAATATGACAAAACAAGGTTCTATAACAGCCTGAAAGATCACACTAGCTCACCAGCAATGAATCCAAACCAAGAAGGAATCTCTGAATTGCCAAAAAAAAAAAAAAAAAAAAAAAAAAAAGAATTCAGAAGGTTGATTATTAAGTTACTCAAGGAGGCACCAGAGAAAGGTGAAAAATAACTTAAAATAATAATAAAAATACAGTATATGGACAAAAATATCTCCAGAGTAATAGATAAAAAAACTGAAACTTCTGGAAATGACAGACACACTTAGAGAAATACAAAATACACTGAAAAGTTTCAACAATAGAATCGAACAAGTAGAAGAAAGAACTCCGGAGCTCAAAGAAAAGGCTTTCATATTAACAAAATTTGACAAAGACAAAGAAAATAGAATTTTAAAAAATGAACAAAGCCTCCATGAAGTTTGGGATTATGTTAAATGACCAAACCTAGGAATAATTGGTCTTCCTGAGGAAGAAGAGAAATCTAAAAGGTTGAAAAACTTATTTAGGAAATAATTGAGGAAAACTTCCATGGCCATGCTAGAGATCTGGACATCTAAATACAAGAAGCTCAAAGAACACCCAGGAAATTCATTGCAAAAATATCATCACCTAGGCACATAGTCATCAGGTCCTCTAAAGTTAAGATGAAGGAATGAATCTTAAGAGCTGTGAGGCAAAAGTGTTACCAGGGGTTCCTTGCTCCCAGAGCTCCCAAGATGGCGGCGGGCCACTTCCAAGATGGTGGCAAGCCTCGTGTTCTCTGACCTGGGGTTGTTGGCCTCACAGTTTCCAAGGAATGGAATCTTGGGCCATGCAGTGAGTGTTATAGCTCTATTAGAAGCCATGGGTCATGGAAGAGAACCGTGGAACCCAGTGACTAGTGTTCAGCTTGATTAGGACAAACCCAGGCACTTAGCCATGCAGGAACAATGGCGAGCCTTTAGCCCCATCAGGAGCAGCAATGGGCGCCTTGCTGGATCAGGAGCACAGTGGACACCCTGCCGGATCTGGAGGGATGGAAGTCAGCGGCGGGTCCGCGACGGCGGAAAACAGCAGTGGTGGATGGCGAGGAAAGTGGATGGTGAGCGAAGCTCAGTTTGAGCCGTAACAAACATGGACCAGAAGAGAGTGCAGTTGCAAGATTTAATAGACTGAAAACAGAGCTCCCATACAAAGGGAGGGGACCCAAAGAGGTAGCCGTTGCCTGCTTGAATGCCTGGGTTTATATCCCAATCATTGTCCCTCCTGCTGTGCTCTCAGGCAATAGATGAATGGCTATTTCTTTACCTCCTGTTTTTGCCTAATTAGCATTTTAGTAATCTCTCTCTACTATCTGATTGGTTGGATGTGAGCTAAGTTGCAAGCCCTGTGTTTAAAGGTGGAAGTGGTCACCTTCCCAGCTAGGCTTAAGGATTCTTAGTCGGCCTAGGAAATCCAGTTAGTCCTGTCTCTCAAAAGCATCAGGTAATCTAAAAACAAAAACCTACCAGATTAACAGCGGATTTCTCAGCAGAAACTCTACAAGGTAGAAGAGATGGGGGTCCTATCTTTAGCATCCTTAAACAAAATAATTATCAGCCAAGAATTTTGTATTCATCAAAACTAAGATTCATAAATGAAGGAAAGAGAAAGTATTTTTTAGAAAAACAAATGCTGTGAGAATTTTCCAATCCCAAGCGGGCACTACAAGAACTGCTAAAAGGAACTCTCAATCTTGAAACAAAATCTTGAAGTAAACCAAAATAGAACCTCCTTAAAGCATAAATCTCACAGGTCCTATAAAACAATAACACAATGAAAAACAGCAACAACAACAACAAGGTATTCAGACAACAAATAGCATGATGAATAGAATAGCACCTCACATCTCAATACTAATGTTGAATGTAAATGGCCTAAATGCTCCACATAAAAGATACAGAATGGCAGAATGGAAAAGAATTTACCAACCAATTGTCTTCCATCTTCAAGTGACTCACCTAACACATAAGGAGTCATATAAACTTAAGCTAAAGGGGTGGAAAAGAAATTTATGCAAATCGACACCAAAAGTGAAAAAAAAAAAAACAGACTTGAAAGCAACAACAGTTAAAAAAGACAAAGAGAGACATTATATAATGATGAAAGAACTAGTCCAGCAGAAAGATATAATAATCTTAAATATAAATGCACCTAACACTGAAGCTCCCAAATTTATAAAAGAATTACTGCTAGACCTAAGAAATGAGAAAGACAGCAGCACAATCCTAGAGGGGGACTTCAATACTCCACTGACATCACTAGAGAGGTCATCAAGACAGAAAGTCAACAAAGAAACAATGGGCTTAATCTATACCCTAGAACAAATGCATTTAACAGATATTTACAGAACATTCTACTCAACAATTGCAGAATCTACGTTCTATTCATCAGCACATGCAGCATTCTCCAAGATAGATCATATAATAGTCCACAAAACAAATGTCAACAAATTTAAGAAAATTGAAATTATAGCAAGTACTCTCTCAGCCCACCATGGAATAAAATTGGAAACCAACTCCAAAAGAAATTCTCAAAACCATACAAATATATGGAAATTAAATAATCTCCTACTCCTGAATGATCTTTGGGTCCACAATGAAATCAAGATGGAAATTTAAAAATTCTCTGAACTGAACAATAATAGTGACATAAGTTATCAAAAGCTCTGGGATACAGCCAAAGTGGTGCTAAGAGGAAAGTTCATAGCATTAAATGCCTACATCAAAAAGTCTGAAAGAGCACAGATAAACAACCTAAGGTCACATCTCAAGGAACTAGAGAAACAAGAACAAACCAAACTCAAACCCAGCAGAAGAAAAGAAATACCAAAGATCAGAGCAGAACTAAACAAAATTGGAACAAAAATTACAAAAGATAAATAAAACAAAAGGCTAGTTCTTTGAAATGAAATGAAATGAAGTTGATAGATCATTAGTGAGATTAACAAAGAAATGAAGAAAGAAGATCCAAATAAACTTAATTAAAAATGAAATGGGAATTATTACAACTGATACCATAGAAATATGAAAGATCATTCAAGGCTACTATGAACAACTTTATGCACAAACTGAAAAAGCTGAGGAGATAGATAAATTACTGGATATATACAACTATGCACATAGATTAAACCGGAGAGAAATAGAAACTCTGAACAGATCAATAACAAGCAGCAAGATTGAAAGGGTAATAAAAAAAATTGCCAACAAAATTCATGTCCAGTACCAGATAGATTCACATCTGAATTCTATCAGACATTTAAAGAAGAATTGGTACCAATCCTACTGAAAATAGTCAAAAATACAGAGAAAGAGGAAATCCTCCCAAAATCATTCTATGAAGCCAGTATCACCCCATTACCAAAACCAAGAAGGACATAACAACAACAACAAAAAACTACAGACCAATATTCCTCATGAAGATACATGCAAAAATCCTCAACAAAATATTAGCTAACCGAATCTAACAGTATTTTGAAAAGATAATCTATCATGATCAAGTGTATGCAGGGATGCAGGGATAGTTTAACATAAGCAAGTCAATAAATGTGATACATCACATAAAATTAAAAACAAAAATCATATGATCATATCAATAGATGCAGAAAAAGCATTTGACAGAATCTAGCATCGCTTTATGATTAAAACCCTCAGCAAAATTGGCATAAAAAAGACATATCATAAGGTAATAAAAGCCATCTATGTCAAACCTACAGCCAACATTATACTGAATGGGGAAAAGTTGAAAGCATTCCCTCTAAGAACTGGAACAAGAGAAGGATGCCCTCTTTCACCACTCCTATTCAACATAATACTGGAAGTCCTAGCCAGAGCCATCAGATAAGAGAAAGAAATGAAGGGTATCCAAATCAGTAAAGACGAAGTCAAACTGTCTCTGTTCCCCAATGATATAATCATGTATCTAGAAAACTCTAAAGACTCATCATAAAAGTTTCTAGATCTGATAAATGAATTCGGTAATGTTTTAGAATACAAAATTAATGTATACAAGTCAGTAACACTGCTATACACCAACAGTGACCAAGGTGAGAATCAAATCAAGAACTCCATACCTTTTATAATAGCTGCACAAAATAAAATAAAATAAAATACTTAGGAATACATCTAACCAAAAAATGAAAGAACTCTACAAGGAAAACCACAAAACACTGCTAAAAGAAATCATAGACAACACAAACAAATGGAACCACATCCCATGCTCATGGATGGGTACAATCAATATTGTGAAAATGACCATACTGCCAAATGCACTCTACAAATTCAATGCAATTCTCACCAAAATACCATCATCTTTCTTCACATAACTAGAAAAAACAATCCAAAATTTGCATGGAACCATAAAAGAGCTCACATAACTAAACAAAAAGAACAAATCTGGAGGCATCACATTACCTGACTTCAAACTACACTACAAGGCTATAGTCACCAAAATGACATTGTACTGGTATAAAAATAGGCACATAGACCAACGGAACAAAATAGAGAACCCAGAAATAAACCCAAATACTTACAACCAACTGATCTTTGACAAAGTAAACAAAAACATAAAGTGAGGAAAGGACACCATTCAACAAATAGCGTTGGAATAATTGGCATGCCACATGTAGAATAAAACTGGATCCTCATCTCTCACCTTATACAAAAATCTACTCAAAATGAATCGAAACCTAAATCTAAATGACAAAACCGTAAAAATTCTAGAAGATAGGCCGGGCGCAGTGGCTCATGCCTGTAATCCCAGCACTTTGGGAGGCCAAAGCGGGCAGATCACCTGAGGTCAGGAGTTTGAGACCAGCCTGGCCAACATGGTGAAACTCTGTCTCTACTAAAAATACAAAAATTAGCCGGGCATGGTGGCAGGTGCCTATAATCCCAGCTACTCGGGAGGCTGAGGCAGGAGAATTGCTTGAACCTGGGAGGCGGAGGTTGCAGTGAGCCAAGATGGCGCCATTGCACTCCAGTCTGGGGTACAACAGCGAAACTTCATCTCAAAAAAAAAAAAAAAAAACTAGAAGATAATATTGGAAAAACTCTTCTGGACATTGGCTTAGGCAGAGACTTCATGACTAACAACCCAAATGCAAATGCAACAAAAATAAATAAATATATGGGACCTAATTAAACTAAAAAGCTTCTGCCCAGCTAAAGAAATAATCAGCAGAGTAAACAGACTACCCATATAGTGGGAGAAAATTTTTTGCAAACTATGCATCCGATAAAGGACTAATATCCAGAATCTACACGGAACTCAAACAAATCAGGAAGAAAAAACAAACAATCCCATCAAAAAGTGGGCTAAGGACATGAATAGACAATTCTCAAAAGAAGATACAAATGGCCAACAAACATGAAAAAATGCTCAACACCACTAATTATCAGAGAAATGCAAATCAAAACATAGTGTGATACCACCTTACTCCTGCAAGAATGGTCATAATTAAAAAAATAAAAAAATAACAGATATTTGTGTGAGTGTGGTGAAAAGGGAACACTTAACACTTTTACACTGCTGGTGGGAATTTAACTAGTACAACTATGGAAAACAATGTGGAGATTCCTTAAAGAACTAAAAGCAGATCTACCATTTGATCTAGCAATCCCACTACTGGGTATCTACCCAGAGGAAAATAAGTTATTATATGAAAAAGACACTTGCACACGCATGTTTATAGGGCACGATTCACAATTGCAAAAATATGGAACCAGCCCAAACGCCCATCAATCAACAAGTGGATTAAGAAAATGTTACATATATATATATATAAAACATTTATATATATGTAACATTTATATATAACATTTATATATGTAACATTTATATATAGACACATTTATGTATATACACCTATGCATACACACACACACACACACACACACACACACACACATTCCTGAGTGAAGCAACTCAGGAATGAAAAACCAAACATCTTATGTTCTCATTTATTAGTGGGAGCTAAACTATGAGGATGCAAAGGCATAAGAATGATCCAATGGATTTTGGGGACTTGGGGGAAAGGGTGGGAGTGAGGTGAGGGATAAAAGAATACACATTGGGTACAGTGTACCCTTCTTGGGTGATGGGTGCACCAAAATCTCAGAAATCACCACCAAAGAAATTATCCATGTAACCAAACACCACTGGTTCCCCAAAAATTATTGGAAAAAAAAACCTAGCAATATGAATCCAGCAACACATCAAAAAGGTAATTCACCATGATCAAGTAGGCTTCATTCTTGGAATGAAAACTTGGTTAACATACACAAATAAATAAATGTGATTCTCCACATAAACAAAATTAAAAACAAAAAGCATATGATCATCTCAATAGGCAAAGGAAAAGCTTTCAATAAAATCCAACCTCCCAGCCAGGCGCGGTGGCTCATGCCTGAAATCCCAGCACTCTGGGAGGCCGAGGCAGGCAGATCACGAGGTCAGGAGTTCAAGACCAGCCTGGCCAACATGGTGAAACCCTGTCTCTACTGAAAATACAAAAATTAGCCAGGCGCGGTGGCGTGTGCCTGTAGTCCCAGCTACTCGGGAGGCTGAAGCAAAAGAATCACTTGAACTCGGTAGGTGGAGATTGCAGTGAGCTAAGATCACACCACTGAACTCCAGGCTAGGCAACAGAGCGAGAATCCCTTAAAAAAAAAAAATCCAATATCCCTTTGTGATAAAAATCCTCAAGAAACTAGGCACCAAAAGAACACATCTCAAAATAATAAAAGCCCTCTATGGCAAATTCATGGCCAACGTCATACTGAATGGGCAAAAATTGGAAGCATTTTTCCTTAAGAACTAGAAAAAGACAAGGATGCCCATTCTTACCACTCCTATTCAAATATTACTAGAAGTCCTGGCCGGAGCAATCAGGCAAGAGAAAGAAATAAAAGGCACCCAAATAAGAAAAGAAGAAATCAAACTATCTCTCTTCATGAACAATATGATTTTATACCTAGAAAATCCTGAAGACGTCATCAAAAGGCTCCTGGAACTAATAATCAACTGAAGTTGATAATCAAGTGAAGTTTCAGGATACAAAAACAATGTACAAAAATTAGTAGCATTTCAATACATTATGGAAGCAGTACAGCTGTTCCTCAAAAAATTAAAAATAGAACTACCATTTTATACAGTCATTTCACCTCTGGATATGTATCCAAAGGAAAGGAAATCAGTATGTCAGAGAGGTATTTGCACTCTCATGTTTATTGCGGCTTCACTCACAATAGTCAAGATATGGAATCAACCTAAGCATCCATCGATGGATGAATACATAAAGAAATGTGATAGACACATATGTTAACACAAAATGGAGTACTATTCAGCCTTATATATTAAAAAAAGAAAATTATATCATTTGTAATAACAAGAATAAACCTGAAGGACATTATGCTGAGTGTAACAAGCCAGGCACAGAAAAACAAATGCTACACAATGTTATTTACATGTGGAATCTAAAAAAGTTGAACTCATAGAAGCAGAGTAGAATGGTGGTTCCTGGGGGCTGGGAGGCAGGGGTAGAAGGGTGTTGAGAGCATGGGAATATATTAGTCAAAGGATACAAGTTTCAGTTAGGAAAAATAAGTTCCAGAGACCTACGGGACAGCATGGTGATTACAGTAAATAATAATGTTTTATATACCTGAAAATTACTGAGAGTAGATTTTAAATGTTCTTATCACAAAAAAATAAGTATGTGAGGTGACAGATAGATAGCTTGATTCAATAATTTTACAGCGTATACATTTTCCAACATCACATTGTACATCATAAAATATACAACTTTATTTTTACTTAAATATAAATAAAAATAACATAAAACAGAGACATATAAATTGAATATTTAGCCAAAAAAAAAAAAAAACCCAGAAATTTAGAGAAGGCAATCATTTAGAATTAACCATTGGCTGGATCACATGATATTACAGCTAGTAGAAAAATTAGAAATTATTGAATCCAACCTTATTTTATATGACTGAGATGAGTGAGATCCAGAGAGAGCAAAGGGCTTGCCCAGAGAAATACACTTCTTTGTGGAGCCAAACTATAATACTGAGTTTCTGACTCCTGAGTCAGTATTTTTATACCACATTATTGTCTCAACAGATATCTCCCCAAAATATACTTTCAATGTGTACAGATACATCCACTATTTAAGTATGTATAATAATATGGCTACAGGACAAAATCCACATGTAGAATACACTACAAAAGCCAGTTTTCTTCTTCATTTTTCCCACTCCATTACTCATACTAATACTCATATTGTTTACTCATCTGCCTAACTTATATTTTTACTCATTTCCTCTAAGAATTCCTGCGTCTTACTACTATTTTTAAACCAATTATCAAAAAGCATGCATAAAAGTTACGAAAACCTAACTTAGGAACATTAAAAAATATTCAAATAAATGGAAAGGTTTTTCTTGGCTTTTATTAGGATTCAATATTACATATATGGTAGTTCTTAAATTAATAGTGGAAAATTTTGGTGAAGAAAAAATAATATTAAGATAAACAGGCCTTTCCTATTAATATTTAAAATATATTTCAAAACTGAAATAATTAAAGCTCTGTGGCACTAGCATAAAAATAGACATAAAACAAATTCATGTTTAATTCTTTTTGCAGACATATGTTTTCACTTCTGTTGTATAAAATCCTTATAAACAGAGTTACTAGTTCACATGGTAATTATATGTTTAACTCAACTAGAAACTGCCAAAATGTTTTCTAAAGTGTACTATTTTTGATTCCCATCAACAGCATGTATGTCCAGTTGTTTCATATTCATTTAGTCAACAATTGGGATAGTGTGTGTGTCTCTGTGTGTGTGTGTGTGTGTGTGTGTGTGTGTGTCTGTGTGTACTAGCTTTATAATGGTTGTCTATGGGGTATCTTACTGTGGCTTTAATTTGTCTTTCCATGATGATTAATTATGTTGATTGAGCATCTCTTCAGATGTTTATTGATGACTCATGTTTCTTCCAATCTATGGTTACAGAAAGAAGACTGGCAGTTACTTGGGGGCTGGTGATGAGAGTTTGAATCCAAAGCGACATGAGGAATCTGTTTGAGTTGATGGAAATGTTCAACATCTCAACTGTAGTGGAAATTATTCATGTGTATATATTAGTCAAACTTTACCAAACCATACACTTAAGATGAGTACATATTACTTTAAATAAATTATACCTAAAAGCTTTTTTTTAAAAAAAGGAAATGAAATATGAAAAAATACATTTATAAGTGAATTTGATTAGGATGCGACACTTCCTATTCCAATGTTAAGATTTCTTAAACGTAGATAAAATATATATTGACTTATTTAATGGGGTAGACTATAAATCAAGATTCTTTAGGTGTGATTGTATTCAAAATAATGTCCTCTGTTAGAATAACATAGACCTACTTAATATATAATTATTAGACAGCTTTTATTGATATATAATATACATAGTATACATTTCATTCCTCAAAGTGGACAGTTCAATGATTTTTTGTATAGTCACAGAGTTGTACAACTCTCACCACATCTAAATTTTGAATACTTTGTACCCCTTAAACAAAACCCCAAGCCCGTTAGTATTCACTCCTCATTCACTTCCCCACCTCCATCCCTAGACAAACACTAATTTTTTTTTCGTTATAGATTGCCTAAACATTTCATGTAAAAACATTTCATATAAAAGACAATCTATGGTCTTTTATAACTGGATTTCACACAGCATAATGTTTTCAAGATTCATCCATAATCTAGACTGTATTTGTATTTATTTTTATGGCCAAAAAATATTCCATTGTATGTATATACCATATTTCATTAATCCATTCATTAAATGACACACATTTGGGTTGTTTCCACATTTTGGCTACTATGAATAATGCTGCTGTATTATTCTGCTTAGGCTGCCATAACAAAATACTACAGATTAGTTGGCTTAAACAATGTAAATTTATTTTTCACAGTTCTGGATGCTGGGAAGTCCAAGATGAAGGTATTTGCTGATTTGGTTTCTTCTGTGGGCTTTCTTCCTTTTTGCAGATGGCCACTCTCTTGCTGTGTCCTCACATAGCAAAGAGAGAGTGAGTTCTAGTGTCTCTTCCTCTTCTCATACGGGCACCAGACCTGTTATATTAAGGCCCCACCCTTAGACTTTAGTAAACCTTAATTACCTCCTTAAAGGACCTAGCTCAAAATATAATGATATTGGAGGTTGTTTAAGACTTCAACATATAACATTATTTGGAGAGAGGGACATAGTTCCTTATAGCAGCTGCTGTGAACATTCATGTAAAAATCTGGGAGGGAAGTATATTTTTATTTCTCTTGGATAAATACATAGGAGTGGAATTACCAGATTATATGGTAACTCTATGTTTAACTTTTGAGGAATGGTCAAACTACTAGAAAAAGCCTAGATTGTCATGAAGGAAAGTTAAGGATGATTCTGGGGAGGGCTCAGAAGAGACAAGCTGTAGGGGAAGCCTTAATCTTCTTGGAGATTACTTAAGTGATCATGATAAGAATGTTGGTAGAAATGTGAAAGGTAAAAGCAATTCTGATGAGGTCTTAGATGGAAATGATGAAAAATATATTGGAAGCTGAAGGAAAAGCCATTCTTGTTATAAAGTTGCAAAAAACTTGACTGAATTGTGTCTGTACCCTAGTGCTTTGTGGAGGGCAAAACTTACAAGTGATATACTAGGATAGCTGGTGGAAGAAATCTCTAAGCAAAATTTTCAGAGTGTAGCATGGCTTCTCTTGACTGCTTATAATAAAATCCAAGGAGAGGAAAATCAATGAAAGATGGAGTTTAAAAGAGAAGCAGAACTTAAAAATTTGGAAAATTTTCAGTGTTTCCATGTAAAAAATAAAAGCTGTGTTTGGGAGAGGGTGTAGCCCAAGAGTGTAGCCACACGAATATTTGATAAGGAGGTTAGTATGGATATAAGGAAGCCAGATGCTATTCCTTAATCAAAACAAGGAAAGAATGACCTCAAAGGCATTTTGGATATCTTCAAGGCTGCCACTTCCAAAACAAGCTCAGGGTACCAGGGCCTTGAGGGTAAAAGGGTTTCAAAGGAGGGTCCTCCTGGAACACTGGGGCTTGCTGTCCAGCACCACCTCAGGGCTCTGCCCCTGTATCCCTGTGCAGTTCTCCTTGGCTGCCCCAGCTGTGGTTCAAGGGAGTCCCAGTTTGGCTCAGGTAGTCTTTTTGGGAAGGCACAAATGGTAAAGTTTAGTGGTGTCTCTTCAATGTCAACTCCAGGCATATAGAATGCAAGAGCTGTGCAGTCACTACAGAGAGCCCCCACAGGGTCATGCCTAGTGGAGTGATGGGAGTGGAGCCACCAGAGACAGTCCCCACTAGGCCAATAGCCAGAAAGCTGTGGGCTTGGGGCCACCAGAGAGAGCCCTCACTGTCTGTGCAAATGAAGCCACCTCCAAGATGCCAGATTGTAAAGCCAACAATGTGTGATTCCAGCCTAAGAGAAAAGTAAGCATCTGATCTCAACACCTCATAGCTGGGGTGTGGGTTGCACTCAGTGAAGCTGTGAGGGTGGGGTCACCCTAATCCTTGGCCCCCTGTCTCAGCATGTCCAGAAGGCAGGATATGGAGTCAAGAAGGATTATTCCCAAACTTCAAGTTTTAATATTGTTTGTCTTGTTGGTTTTGGATTTGCTTGGGACTTCTTTCTTCTTGCCTATTTCTCCCTCTTGAAATGGAAATGTATATTATGTGCCAGTCCCATCTTTGTATTTTGAAAGTGTGTAACTTGTTTACTTTCACAGGCTCATAGTTGGAAGGGAATTTGCCTCTGGGTCAAATACGTCTTTGGGTCTCACCCATATTTCATTTAGATGACACCCTGGATTGTAGACTTCTGAATTGGGGCTGGAACAAGTTAACACATTCAATATGAAATGAATGCATTTTGCACATGAAAAGAACATGAATTTTGGAAGGCCAGGAGTAGAAATGCTATGGTTTGAATGTATATGACCCTCCAAACTTTACATGTTTGAACTAAAACAAGTAGGTGATAGTGCTAAGAGGAGGGGATTTGGGGAGGTAATTAGGCCATGAGGACTCTGCCCTTACAAATGGAATGATATTATTGATTTATAAAAAAGATTGAAGAGAGAAAGCTAATCCATCTCTTCCGCCATGTGAAGACAGCTTTCATCCCTTCCACCTTTTCCACCCTGTGAGGATGCCACTAGAAAACATCATCTGTGGAACAGACCCTCACCACACACTGAATATACCAGTGTCTTGATCTTGGACTTTTTAGACTCCAAAACTATAAGGAAATCAATTTATATCATTTGTAAACTACTCAATCTAAGATATTTTGTTATAAAAGCAGGAGTGGACTAAGACAGTCTATCTAAAATTTATCCATTTTGTTCATCTTTTTTAAAGAACAAGGTTTTGGGGGTCTATTTTTCTCTATTGTTTTTCTATTCTAAATTTTATTAATTTCAATTAATTTTTAAGTCTTATTTCTCTGAGGACCTGGTAATTTTGTTCTTTTTTTGTTTCTGTTTCATGACTTACCTAAACTGTTTTTTGAAGTCTATTTTTTCCATAGTTCTTCTTTGATGGTGCACCTTTAAGCACGCAATCACCCTGGATGACAATGTTGTTGGCAACTGTCTCTTCAACTGTTGCTTTTCCTGATCTTTGTTAAGTTATCTGCCTGGTTTGGCATCACACTCAGCTATGTGGCTCCACTAATGGGCAATGATTTGCTCTACTGTTTTTGATAATGCCCGGGGACATAAATTATTTCACAGTCTGATCCAATTAAATGCAGGCCTTGTTGCAGAGGTAGTTTTACAGGCCAGTCTTTGGGATTTGTTCTGACCCCTGTAGGGCTCTTTTTTTCTATTTTTTTTTTTTCTGGTAAATCTCCTAGCATATAGTTTAATTTGTTGCTCTTATAGAGCTATCAGCCTTTTTAAAAGATTGTTTACTACCAAAATCTTCATATTTTTGAAAGTGCCCTTGGGCTTGAATTTCTCCACAGTTTCAAATGTAGTCAATTTTTTTTGAGAAAGCTTTGGAGCTCTCTCTTTGCAGAAGTGTTTCTCCCACTGCCCAAAATCTCTGAGCCATGGCGTCAGAGATTAGGGTGAAAGTCACACCTTTGTTTACAAGCATGGCAGAAAATACGGGTGGTAGCCTCTTGTCTTCTCACCTTACTTTCTCTAGCACTGACCCTCTGCTCTACCAGTGAGCTAGTGTGAGAGTGATAAGGAACTCAGTATTCCTGGCCTGCCTAATGGAAATAGGGACTCCATTCTATGAATGGTGTTGGGGTGGAAGAAGTTTTAAGTTTACAAGAATTGCCAAACTTAGTAAAAACCTTGCCAGATCAGTGTTGTTGTAATAATTATTTGTTTCCTAATAAAATCTAGTTAATTGTTATCTATCTGGTTATTTCCATTTCTTGCAGTATGAGAATTACTAATCAGGCATGTTTTACTTACTGATGTTGCTGTGATATTTAATTTAGTAATTTTTCCAAGGCCATAAACTAATTTAGACATTCTTTACCCTTTTCAAAACTATAACTGATATTCCTGAGTCTAGTAATTTAAGTTGGGAGAGGCACATAGACTGGTATATAGGGTGAAAGAAAGGATATTAAGAAATTAGTCTTCTTAATATGCTATAATTGTTCAGATAATTCTATAATGTGTGTTTCAATGTGTGGGTTATTGTCTGCATGTTTAAAAAGAACAGAAGATCTTAAATATTACTCAGTTCAATATGTTTTTGTAGAATTCTGAGATAAATGTAAAAATTAAGCTGAAGCAAAGAAATTCCTCTTCAAGAGACTGATAAACAGTGCCTGTTTTGACTAATATCAGAATGTTATCTTCATTTTTCTGGTCTCTCATATAAGAAATTGGAAAATAATAAGGACACATTTCTTCCTGCTTTCACTCTCATTGTTCACATATCAAATCCATGTCAAAATCCTAATCATTACAACATACAGTAAAAATCTTTGGACTTTCGTTAATTTATATATTTTATGTAAATCATTCTGGTGCAAGCCACCATTATCTCCCACCTGAATTTGTGCAATAACCTCCTAACTCCTCCTCACCTCTCATCGTTTTTAATTTTATCCTTCTCAAAATTCTTCTCTATATAGTGTTAGACTTTTTAGTCACAAATCTGATAAAAAGAGCCACCTGATGAAACTCTTCAATGGCATTTTCTTTGAGGTAAAATTTCTTATCTTCATTCTGCTCTACAACAGTCTGTATAATCTGACCTGCACGTGTTTCTTCAGCATCCTCTTGTACCCTCCTCTAACCAGATGCTTACCACCTCAGGGTTCTTTTTCATGCTGGGCTGGTTGCCAAGGTGGCATTGTTTTCCACTCTTCGCCTCACTTTTCATTTAACTTAAATTAAATGTCCTTTCCTTAAAGAAACTTCACTGACCCTCCCAATCTAAATCTGACACTACTCTGACAATCTCAAATATATTAACTTCATATTATTTGCCACTGTTTAGCCTGTTTGTGTGATCAAAACATCATAATATTCAATAACACGCCCAGGAATTTCAAGCTTGCTTAGCTCCTCTCTGCAAACTTAATCTCCCCAAAACACACCCTACCAGTCTAGGTACAGTTTTTGAAGGATCCACATTTTGGTCTACAGAATTCCCAAAGTATAAGGGAAAGGTATCCACAAGTGATGGATAGGAAGTAGCAAAGGGAAGTCTTGTAATCCAACTGCTCATTTTCTTCTGCATGATAATTAACCTCAAAGGCCCAGATATAGATGAAGTCAAGTTTCCCTCCATCCCACAGATGAAACTGAAGGATTACCTCATCATATAACTCCATTCAGGTGATAGCAGATAATCACTTGTAAAAGAGATGCTGAGTACATTGATCCAGCAAAGTGCCCGAGACACTCCTGGGTCCAATCTCTGACACTTCCTTAGTGCTTGTCTCATCTCTGGCAACCAGAGTTGTAGCTACTTACTCCTCCTTACTTACCATACACTGAATTATTGATCAAACTTAATTTTGAACTATTCTCTGTCTAAATTAATTTGTATGTGTATACAAAACTTTATTTCATATAAATATATTAATTTACCCAAAATTCATATTACAAGTAACTTGCTTAACTCTCTTACAAGACAAAACATTTCTTCAAGTCACATTATTCATTCAATTAAATGTATCATACATATTCTTGTCTCTGAGCCCATTAACCTTATTATAATCTGTTTTTCTGTTTTCTCTGTGTATATGAGCGCAAACATCTTCCCAGGGCTTAGATCCAATTCTTAACGCTTTGAATGACTTCTTTCTATGTATATTATTTTCTACTACCCAACCCGTTATGAAATTTTATATTGCATTTTATGTTATTTACTTGGTATCTGTGCCTTCTTGTTCTGTTAATCTTTTTTATATATGTGTCTTTTCTATCCCAGGGAAAGTTCTACATTTTTACTGCTGAGGAGTAGAAAAGTGTTTTTGTATTCCTAGAAGATTTTATATATATATATATGTGTGTGTGTGTGTGTGTGTGTGTGTGTGTGTGTCTGTGTGTGTGTGTATGTGTATATATATAGATATGAGAGGAATAATACACATTGATGACAATTCTAGATATTTGAAAGCTATGCATACTTCAGAATCAGCTTGCTAACATCTTTATTCTCTGGGTTTTTAAGAGTTTTATCTACAGGTATTTGTATCACTTAGATCTCCCAGCCACTTCTTCTGTTTGCATAACTCATTATAGGGGATATATTGATCCTATTATACAGTCTGTTTCCCAGAGCTAACATACTGCCCTGTATATAGTGACAGCTGCATAAATGTATGTTGATAATGGCACTATTGCAACTCATATTCAATGCCTGCCTTTTTCTTATTCAAATAGTTGAGCATATTTTTAAATATATGTGTTCAAATACTATATAATCACAATGATTATATTGATTGTAATGCACCTAAACAGAACATTATGCAAGAGGCATAAAATACTATCCATTCTTAATATTGAAATTAGCTTAGTTTCAGAATTTAGGGAGAATATAGCTAGCATGATCCTTCTCAGGGCTGTATTTTGATTCTTTTTTAACAGAATGCCTCTGAGTAGCTATTAAAAAATTAGTCCAAAAGAACTGGAGATCATGTCCTCATACACAGAGTTGTACATCCTGAGGGTGTAACAGCCACAGTGAAGGGAGTTCGGATGAGTATCTGCTCTGGTAACTGGAAAACAACTAAAGCAACATATTTCTAGGATATATGGATCAGGTAGACCTAGCATTGAAGCATACTGACAAATAACTGATTGATGCTCCTTTCATTCATTCATTTTACCAAGATTTACTGAACATCTACTATGTGTCCCCTGAAAATACAAAGGTATTTCCTACAAGGTGTATATGGTCCCAGGTTGAGCTAGAATGCTGTTCTTCCTTGGGAGCAAAGTTTTTTTGTTTTTTAATCTAGTTTTTATAAAGGCAGAAGATAAGTTCTTGTTGATAGTTTCAATGATGTATCTTGGACCAAAAGTCAGAATCCATTTTAGGAAAATATAGGCAGATATTAGAAAAATTATAGCATAAACTATGTCCTCTCCCTTCCTCAGTGGCAACCCAGGATTATTTTAGTGTTTTCTATCTCTTTTGATCTTACTGTCCCCTTCCTTTATTATAAAGATAAGCCCTGCAAATCTTTACATCTGTCAATATCCATGTTCTTTTATCAAAAAGCATCTGAAACACATTCACACCCAATAATAAATGGCTTAAAGTCCCTTAAACCATTATTGTTTTCCCATAGGTACTTTCATTTTAACCAGAAAAAAAAAAAAAAGTAATGGCAGTAGGTTTGAGGACCATTAGGTAGTACGTTGCAGGCCAACCACACTTTAAAGATGGCTGCATATACTAATTACATCTAAGAATAGAAAGTCCTAACACAAGCAGAGAGTGATGAGATTGGATTGACAATCAGATTTAATGAAGAAGATAACCATTCACTGTTGTTAGCTCTCAAGAGGCAAAATTCCTTTCTATAGGAGTTTTCATAAAGTTGACAAATCATGGTATTGAACCCCACCTGGCACAGTTCTGAATCCCAGGTGAGATGGGCAATATGAGTTAGTGCCTCCTTTGTCAAGTTCTGTTAAGGTCGTCCTTAGCACTCTGATTTCCATGTTGACAACATGGAATAAGTTTGTTTTCTCATCACTATCACTTTTGACTTTTGTACCAGTAATGGCAGCCAAAAGGCCCTTAGTCATTGCCGTTTTTCCTACATTTATTCAGAGACATTTCAGGACTTAAGATCAGGTCAGAATATTTTCTTTCTGCTCAGTAAGATAAAACCATATTAGAATTCAAGACGGAGTTGTAATGTTTCTCACAGCTGTTTAGAGCAAAAATATACAGAAGATTTAGTTGCAATATAGTTACTATAGTTGTATCTTTAAACTAATGCTACAGTCACTGTGGGAGTGACAGTTTCAATGCTAAAAATTCAGCCTTACAATTGGCTGAGTAGATACTTAGATTGTGATTTATCTTCCACGTGATTTATATTTCTGCTTCTGTACAAACTTCTAAATCAACTTGATCTCAAAGTTGGAGGTTTCTTATATACAGGGATGTGAACAATTATTCTTACTCTGTAAAAATTTAAAGAAAATTAGTTTCCATTTTCATTTTGCTTTCTTTCTTTTTTGTCCATTTGCTTTTGCCTAACTTGGTAATGCAATGCTCTCATTTATTAGCAAAGTTTCTCTATACAGAGTGCTGAATTCCTCGTGATAATTGTTTACTCTGCCAAGGTTTTAAACTATGAGAAAAGTTTTCTAAAATAGGCTGGGGAAAAGAAATCAAGGGCTATATTTGAACATCAGAAACATATTTTTCTTCATCAAAGAGAAAATGGTTAGAAAATGTAAGCCTAAAAGTTAGCCCAAAACAGAGATTAATTTTAATTAAGGCTCAGAAAAAGAAGACAAGAGTATTGATAAATGACTTTCTTTGCTTTGCTTTCCTTTCCATTTTCTTTCACGGTGTATGCTTGAGGTCATAAGATTTTCTAGGCTTCAGTAGAGGCTCATTATAGAGTAAAAAATCATGGCAGTTTCAGGAATTCCAAATGAAGAGTCACTAGTGTTAGGCATGGTATGATGTTAAGGTACATCCTCAGACTTCATAATTATTTTAGTCTAAAATATTCACTGAGCTCCTGCTAACTAAAAGACATTGATCTAGACACTACAGGGAATACAGAGCTAGACAGACTTTAAAAATCCAATCTACTGAGCTATTGACATAGATGTACATTAACTATATACGGAACCAATATGAGGCAGGGAACTGGGCTACAAGTTCACGTTGGATACAGGGGTAAATAAGGCTTCAATGCGATCAGTGAATACTGTAGTGCCCAGGGAGAGCTCTGCATCCACATGGACCTAAAATGTGCAAGGGAAAGGAAGCTGCTATTGATTAAGCACTGAATCAGTACTAGGCACGCCAGTAGGAGTTTTATATATACTTTCATCTTTAATTATTACAACAGTCTTGTGAAGTAGATGTCAACCCCAATTAGAAAACTGAGGCTAAAATGATTACAAAATGATCTCCATTAGAAGTCATTAATTAAAATCTGTACATTTCAGCATGGTTTCTGTAAACTCAGTAGACCCTAAGTAAAAAAAAAAATATAAATTACTGGTTGATTACTTCATGTATTTATTATGAAAATTCTGCCTCACTATATTTTACTCTTAAGCAAGGTCTCTCTGCCCTTCATCTATTTCAACATATAGGGTGGGTAATGTTCAGAATTTAGAGCATTCTTCCAGGAATGTAATCAGAATCTATCCCCCAGCATTCCTCAAAAACAGTAATTTTGAAAACAAATTCAAACCAAAAGAGAAGCTGAAAAAATAGCCATACATTCAACACTTGTAATATGTTCATTATTCAACAACTGTCAAAATTTTGGTAAATTTCCTTTATCACACTCCCATCCGTTCTTCTCTCTCTATTTTCCCAAGAATCCAGTCTAGCTAGTTGTCTTGTAAAATATCTCACAATCAGAGTTTACAGGATTATTTCCTCATGATTAGATGCAGGAGAAAAGATTTTTGGTAAGAATATTGTGTTATATAATGTTATTTATGTCTTTTTAAAATCACATTGGAAGTACATAATACCAGGTTGTTCCCTGAATGGCGATGCTAAGTTTTGACTCTGGGTTTGTGTGGTTTCTACCATTATCTCTTATAAAAGAACCATTTCCTTTTTA
The DNA here is from genome assembly GCF_000001405.40 of Homo sapiens. NCBI lineage: Eukaryota > Metazoa > Chordata > Mammalia > Primates > Hominidae > Homo > Homo sapiens. The sequence continues at coordinate 21,321,463 of NC_000003.12, forward strand.
TAAGTAATAAGAAGTCTATGGGGTATACGGCATAAAACTTAAAGATAAGCAAATATTGTATTTCCTAACAACCTTTCACCCAGTAATTTTAGCATTTATTAGATACCCCTTGCCCTGACAAAATACTATAATGTAGTTATATAATGATGATTTTTAAATTTCAACATTCCTGCCATGTATTTTAGTTGGCATGTAACAGTATAGTATTGAGTTTATCACATATGTAAAAGCAAAGTGTATGAAAATCATACCACATAGGTTAAGAAGAAAAAAATGGAAGTATATTAGTTTGTTTACTATGCTGTATGTGCAATGATATATTATCACTTGAAAGTAAACTGTAATAAATTAAGATACGAACCCTAAAGTGATTACTAAGTTAACAATCTAAAAGTTATAGCTAATAGGTTAAAAAAGATTAGTTTAAATCATTTTAAAAATTTAATCTAAAAGAAGGCAGAAAAAAAAGGGAAACGAAAAAACACAGTCTAGTACAAATGTAAACCAAATAGACGATAGAGTTAAACCCAATCCTGTTAATAATCAAATTACATGAAAATGATCTAAACATCTTAATTAAAAGAGATTGTCATATTGAATAAGATAGCAAGATCCAACTATATGCTGCCTTATAAAAGGAATTTCAAATAAAGACACAAATTAACTATAAAAGTATGGCAAATGATATACAATACTAACACTAATAAAAAGAAAACTGAAGTAGCTATATTTTATCATAGAAAGTAGATTTCACAGTATATAATATTAGCAGGGTTAAAAAAGATAACTTCATAATTATAAAGGAATCAATTCTCCGATAGAACACAGCAATCCTAAACATTTACACACATAGTAATAGATCTTCAAAACACATGAAGCAAAAAACTGATAGAACTGCAAAGAGAAACAGACAATTACCTCTGAAAATGTCAATGCAACTCTCAATAAAAGATAGAAAAATAGAAAATAATCAAGAATATAGTAGATATGAAAAACTCTATTAACTTATTTGACCCAATTGAATTTTTAAAACACTCCATGCAACATTTCCTCAGATAGACTATATATTGTGGGCAATAAAACACATTTTGGTAGATTACAAATGATGAATGTGCTACAAAGTATATTCTCTGATCACAATGGAATTACCTTAGAAATTAATAACAAAACAGTACCAGAAAATTTTAAAAGGCTAATCATAATGACTAGAATGTGGAACAATTGAAACCCTCACAAACTGCTAGGACATACTCACTTTAGAAAAGTTTGGCAGTTTTTAAAAAATGTAAACATTCACCTCCCATGTGATTCATTAACTCCACTCTTAGAGAACTGAAAGCATGTAACCATAAAATCCTTGCATGTAAGTATTCATAGCAGCATTATTTGTTAGAGGCAAAAATGACAAGTAATTTGTTAGAGTCAAAAACTATAATGGACATAACTGTCCATTAATATTTGAATGGATAAACAAATTGTTGTATAAATGTATATACACAATATATACACACTATATACATTGTGTATACATTGTACATATGTACAATGGAATACTATTCAGTGACATAAAGGAATAAACTATTGACATATAAAACAGCATGAATAAATCTCAGCATAATTATGCTGAGTGAAATAAGCCAGAAAAAGTGTATACTATGTGATTCCATTTGTATATAATTTTAGAAATAGCAAACTAATCTAGCATGACAGTTGACACTTAGATTGCATACTTTAAACATTTGCAATTTATTTGATGTCAACTTTACCTTAATAAATCTAATCAAAACTAAGTAGAGTAAAATTAATGGCTCAAAAATAAAAGATATATAGAAACAGGTATGTATAGACCTCAGAATAGTCTCCCCCTCACCTCTGTATCTTTCACCACACATCATACAACAGAATAAATTACTAATGCACAAGACAGAACAAAAAGAAATATTCAAGTCCTAGAAAAAGCATAGATAAATGTCTTTTAACTGGTTACTGTTTTAATATAGGAAGGCCTTAATTTTAGTTATTTTAATTTTACATTTTATCCTTTTCTGAATTATTTTATTATTTGTGTTAGCTCTCTCATAGTTTGTCTTGGGTATGTCATATCATATCATCTGCAAATAGAGAGATTTACTCTTTTCCAATTCTTATGTCTCCATTAGATATGCTAATGTCAGTTCTGTCAAAAAAAAGCATATGCCTTGTGTTGAATACCAAAGATTCATAAACTCCCCCATGAGCAAAATTTAATCTAATTCTCTTTCTTATTAGATATCAATAAAAAATCCTAACTGGAACAATGTTTAAGGCTATTTAAACATTCATATACCTAGTATTTAAAGGAAAGGAGACACTGAAAAGAAGTCATTTATCTTCAAAAACTGCAAGCTGCAAACACATTATGTGCATCAGTGAAGTTCTTAGGATTCAAAAAAATGATATGGCAGAAAAATAGTTTTCATTCATTGCCTTATTTAATTCTCAGAATAGCCCAAGATGGTAGGTAATGTTATTATTGTCATTTTATACATAAAGTCTCTGAGGCTCAGAGAGTTTTAATAAGTTGATAATAGTCACCCAGTAACTAATTGTGGAGACACTATTTTATTTCAGGTCTACCTGATTTCAAAGTTCATGATCTGACCATTGCTTTTGGCTAATTTCAGACTATATAAATTTTAGAAATTTACATTGAGTTATCTATTATTGTGCAACAAATCACCCCAAAACTTAGTGGCTTAAAACAACAATTAGAAAGGCTAATATTTGGGCAGGATTCAGTACAGAAGTCTTCTCCATTTCCCACAGCATCATGTGGGTTGATTTGACTGGGGCTGGAGAATCATTTTGGAAGATGGCTCACTCATATGGTTGGCAAGTTGTTTAGGTCTCAGCTGAGTGCTTAGCCGGGATTGTTGGACAAAATACCTACACACAGCCTATTCAAGTAGACTCTTTGCATGGACTAGTTTTGGCTTCTTCGCATGTATAGCAGCTGCATTCCAAAAACAAGCATCATAAACGTACCATGAGGAACCTAGATTGTCTTTCATAACCTAGTACCAAAAGTCACACAGCATAGTCACAGCTTACCCAAATTCAAAGGGAAGTTACATGAACCCCTCACCTCTTACTTGAGGTGTGTCAACACCACATTATAAGAACATGTGGGATAAGATATAATATGGGAGCTATCTTTAAAATATACAATCTACCATAGAAAATCTACAATATTTATTCTCAAAGCATATTCGATTAAAATTATCTGACATATATCTTAGTCCATTTGTGCCACTGTAATAGAATACCTGAGACTACATAAAAGAACAGAAAATTATTTTCTTACGGTTCTGGAGGCTGGAAAGCCCAAGATCAAGATGCCAACATCTTGTGAGGGCTTTCTTGCTGCATCCTCATATCGTGGAAGATGGAGGGGCAAGAGAGGGCAATGGGGGGCCAAATTAACCTTTTTGTAAGCATTAATTCCACCCACAAGGGTGAAGCCTTTATGGCTCTATTACCTCCCAAAGGTCCCAACTCCTGACACTGCCACAGTGGCAACCAAATTTCAACATAACCATAGCAACATACATGCCAAAATAATGATTTTTAGGTATCTGTTGAGAATTAAATAATTTAAAGCTTTGATATCAAGACCTGGGAATGGCACCTTTTTGTTTTGTTTTGTTTTTGAGACGGAGTCTTGTCCTGTCGCCCAGTGGCACAATCTTGGCTCACTGCAACCCCCACTTCCCGGGTTCAAGCAATTGTCCTGTCTCAGTCTCCTGAGTAACTGGGACGACAGGTGCATGCCACCACACCCAGCTAATTTTTGTATTTTTAGTAGAGATGGAGTTTCACCATATTGGTCAGGCTGGTCTCAAACTCCTGACCTCAGGTGATCCACCTGCCTCAGTCTCCCAAAGCGCTGGGATTACAGGCGTGAGCCACCACACCCAGCTAGAATTCACATTTCAAACAAATTATTTAGGTGGGTTTTATGCATCCTAAAATTTGAGATCTACTTGTCCAGTCCAATATTCTCATTCGAAGGAGAAAGAAAATAAGAACTAATGAAGTTAAATTGCTATCCCAAGAACACAACATTAAATATGGTATTTTCAGCCTCTTCTTTGGTGCATGAATTATTAGGAACAAAGTTATTTTTTATTTATACAATAAATGTAGTAACTATAATACAGAGTAAATCTGAGGGAGAACACTAAAAACTCCAATGCCTAAAGGGACAATGAGTGTGGAAGACCTGGTATTAGATACAATGGGAAATTCAGGAAAAAGTGATGAACAGGAAACAGAATGATCAAAGGTCATAAATTGTCTTTGGCTGAAAGACCTCTAGAGAGGTCTAACTCTCACTAGAGAGTGCCTCACTCTATTCATAGTGGGCAGGAGATGTTTATTGAATGCTTATTGAATAAACAGTAGGATTACCTGAGAGAAGGAAGGTTTCAAGGCCTGCAGGAAGTAGCTGAAAATGAACCGATGATATGCACTGATTTGTTTGTCTTAGATTTTAAATGGATGTACATTCTGATTTTCCCTGTCTCTTTGGGTACAGGTACACAGAGATATCCATATAAATATACAAACATACACACTTACGTGAATAAAAGCCTTTGCTGTTGCCATGATTGAGCAGAAACAATTCCTTTAAAATGTATAATTTTACGAATACTCTGTCACTTCCATAGATGATAAAGTCAATGAGGAATTTATTGTTTTCCCAAACCAGTAGAAGTTCTCCAAAAGGCTGACATCAGTGCTTTCCAATGGACAAGATCCCTGCAGACCCCTGTTTGTGACCCTTTAAGTGCTTGCCCTCTCTAGACTCTGTGAACAATAGGCAAATACTCAGATACCCTTATTTCTACGCAAAAAAAAAGATAGATATATATTTATATATTCTAATTCTAATTCTGATGGAGAAACTAACTTTGGTTCATCAAAGTACTTCTAAATGAAGCAGAAACAACCCTCTCCTTTAATAAAAAATAAATAAATAAAACTCCAAGGTAAATAGCCAGAGGCATAGTGGCAAACATAAGACTTGTGTTTAAACTTCTGGGACAATGGATAAAGCGTATTTAAAAGAATCAAAACCAGCTTTAAAAGAAAAAAAAAGTGCTGCTGCTGCTGTTAACATCTCTGCTGATGTGAACCTCTCACTGGCCTTTGCCTATCAGAGGCAGTTGAGATTCATCCACATGCCCGTTTTGTCTTTCTGCTATTGCTGATTGCTAATTTTGTGGGTATTAATTACAAAGTTCAGTCCTTCCCCTATTGAGTCTGAAATAGAGAATGAGGGCTAAGTATAGAACAAAAGCTGTCAAATTCCCCTATCCACTCAGTACATTTAAGGCCAAGGACACGCAAAGCAAAGAAACACATTCCTCCCCTTTCAGGAAATTTTCTGTGAAATTAGGATGACTCAAACTTTCCTTCTAGGTCCTTAAAGGGTGGGTGTTACAGACATTCCATTTTTGAATGGCCCTAAAAAGTCTTTCTCTGTAAGATATGGGCAGAGGGGTAAAATTATCTCAGCTCATTGAACACAAATAAATGTTCTGGCCATTCTTTCCTGCATGATTAAACCATTGTCTTAGTCACAGCTCGGCCTCTAATTCTCAAATTAATTCATTGCTTTAGAGTTGTTTTTCAAGAGGAGAAAATAAGAAAAAGAATTTTCTTTCTTAGTGAATAGAATTAACTATTTCACTTTTCATCTCAGGGACAAATCCCACACTCTGGGATTGCCAACTGGTTGTTTCAGCCACAAGGTTCAATATGTGGCACATCCTCACACTTTCTTCCCAAGAATGTGTTTCCTGGTTGGCAGTTTCCATATGAACCAGAAAGGAGCGCTAGACAAAGAAAAAGCCAATCCACCACACTAGTAGATTTAACAGATGGCAGTGATGAACTTTTTCTCTGCTAATTACAAAGATAATTTGACTCAAGTGTACTATCAAGGAACTTGTTTTTCCCTCTTCCTTCTCTTCCTGCCCCATCACTCTTTTTTCTGTTCTCCCCCTCTGCAAAATATGTGTCACATACAGTTACTTAGCTATTACTTTTTGAAACTTTATTATGTCTTTGAGTTTTCATTTTTCACTCTACATTGAGTGAGTGGTTTGAGGGTATGAAAGGTTTCTCCTAATCTCTTAACTATTTGTGAAAATATTAGTTCAAGCACTTCTACCTTCATCCCCTGGACTTATAGCAATGACATTCTCTTTTTATCTTAGATCCTTCAAGAACTACTTTTCCCTCACTTACATCACCTATATATTATTTTGTTGTGGTGGTTCATTTATTTTGCTAAGATATTCTTAGAATGAGAAGAAAGAAATGCCTATTGTTCCAAAGCTTATCTCTTAGAATGTTTTAAGGATGTGAGAGTATGGAAAAACTTTTAAGTGTGGAGGAATTAAAAGTAGGTCAAAACAGAAATGTAATATAACAATTACCTGTAGATTTTTATTAAATGGACTTAAATAAGTTTCAAAGTCACTTTATAAACTTTAGAATAATCTCTGGGCAATCAGCATTTTCTCCTCTTTCTCCTGCAAAATTTTGCTTTCTAAACCTGGGCAATTTAAAAAACAATGAAGAATGGCACTTCTTCCCATAGCCTTTCTGGTTCCCTGTTATTTTTCATAATGTCTGTATTTCTGAAAAGTTTGCCATTTAGAAGAGTTTTTCTCTGTGTAGATGAATGACTCTAAATGTTTAAGTTTGTTATGTTTGTTAAGTACAGATGAAATTAGATCTTTTATATATTTAAATTAGATGAAAGAATAAACGCCTGTCTGACAAAAATACAAAAGCCCCTTTCAAGATATGATCTTGAAAAAAAAAGTAAAAGCCCATTCCCGTCATAGGTCTCAATTTGAAAATCTGTGTTCATCTTTTAAAATACTTTTTAGAATTAATGTGCTTTCATGGAGATAAAAATGGAAAAATAATTAGACACTATCCTTCTTATTTGCATTCTTCAAACCCATTCCTGATTAAATAAAATTAGTAGGATTTTTTTTTCATTGATGGCATTTTCTGCAGAGTGGTAATTAAGTCTCAGCCATGATGAGTGACCCACCAGCGCCATAGGAAACCCATTTCCAGAGACACAGCTCTCAACTAGCCTTTCTAATAAGCAGTTGTTTATGAAATGAGGATTTTACAGACTGTGCAGCGTTAGAACCAACATTTGCGAACTCCATAAGGTAAACCTGAGCTTAAATTTTCCTTTGCGAACTGCTGAAATCTGGCCATAGTTCCCCTGGGGTTTGTGCGCGCGCGCGCGTGTGTGTGTGTGTGTGTGTCTGTGTGTGTGTGTACGATGAGACTGAAAGGAAAAGATTCAAAAATCCCTGTAAACTTGCTAACACAATGTGCAAATCACTGAACCAAGTTACAGCGTCTGTTGGGTAGAAATGGCAAGAAGCCAGAGCTGAAAGTAATGGTGTGGACAGCCTCACTCCATTACTTACAAAGCAATTGATTCTGTTGTAGCCATTATATCACTCTCAATTTAAAAAGAAAAAAAAAAAATGGAGGTGGTTTATCATCTCTGCCTCTAATGGATAAGAATATAAATTTGCTCTCAATGTGGGATAAGTGAACTAAATATAAGGTGTTCAGCTTGTCAGTCTCTGCATCCAAGCCAATGATGAGAAGACATATGCTCAACTCTGTTGCCAACTTTCATATTTGCTTCCTGTGAGAGGGCGTTCCCGGGTTGTGTGCTTGTCTAAATGGCTTCTGAAAGTCAAACCAGACTGAGGAAAAAATAGATATTTATCAAAGTCTGTCACCCCAAATGCTTGACTCTAGTGTATGATATGATGATTAAGATAGCAGGAAGATTTTTTAGGGTCTGGCATCACTACTGTTTTCTGTCTTTGGACTTGTGATTTTTGTTGCATTTATACTATTAGCTGGAAAGAAATAGATTATTGATTAAAAATACCTATATCATTTTATGGAGAAAATGTTTTTTAAAAATTTAAGCTGATGACTCCCTAATGCTAAAGCCAGTTAGAGAAAACTCTGTACTTTCCTGTCTGATACTCAATACAAAACACACAGTCGAGCATACACGATATGCTTTTTATTAGAAACTTGTTCTGCTAACACTGTTTTAAAAACAAACAAATAAATAAATATATCCAAGAAGACAATATAATATCAGACAGGAAAGTTAAGAGAGCAAATTAAGAATGAGGAAAGATACATTTTATCAGATTGCAGTTGCTTAGTTAATTGTTTATGCAAATTGCTCTCTGCCAGTTGGTTTGATTGCTGGGTATGAAAGGAGAAATCTGGACATGGTTATAAAGGGCTTTGCAGCATTGTTCAAGTTGGCAAGGTTATGAGCAGTTCATGTCTCTGGGTTTAATGTAATAGTTCTCAAACTTGGCTGAACATTGCAATCACCTTGGAGCTTTAAACCATACTGATCCCTGTGTTTCACACTCAGAAATTCAATTTAACTATCTGGCTTTTCGTCTGGTTATCAAGACTGTTGAAAGCTCCGAAGGTGAATCCAACTGGCAGCCAGAATTCAGAACCTTGACTTTCAGAAGTGAGATTCCCCAGTCATGTCCAACTGTTTCTTAAATGTAGGCATTTGAGCTCAAATTAGTCTGGGTCTTAGGAAATCCCTGTTACCATTAAAGGAAGAACAGGAGACATCTGTTGAATAGGTGAAACACAAGGACATTTTGGGGGAGTGAAACTATTCTGTTTAATATTGTAATGGTAGATGTAAACTATGCATTTACCAAACCCATTAAACTTTATAGCACAGAGTGAACCTTAATGCATATACATTAAGAAAAATATTTAGGAGCTTAAGTTATTTCAGTATAAAATTTCAAATGTAACAAAAGATGTAACTGTGTTACAAATGTATGAAATAACCTCACTGAAAGAGAGAGAAAAAGGTGCTGACCTAAGTAAGTTTGCAAAATGAGTGAGGTCTGTGAAACCAAAAGTGAAAGTTATCTAAACACTGTACCGTAGTTGATAGGTTGTGTTACATGTCAGTACAGGTTACAAATTCTGAAACTACTCTGGATGCACACTGGAACTGAACAATTAATGAAACGGATGGCAGACAGTGGAGGGAGATTTCTCACTGGTGGAGTGTAAGATTACAGAGAGTGATCTATGTGGTAATGAATTAGCATTGGAAATATCAGTATGAGCTCCTATTTAGCTTAATATTGATAAAAGTGTTAGAAGTAAATATATATATATATATATATATATATAGACATGAGTTTGTATACACATATATATATTCCTTCTCTGTCAGCTCAGAGGGTCTAGAAGCAATGATATTCTAGTGGAAATGCAGAAATATAGCACGTAGATCTTGGTTTCTAATGCTATTCTACAGTACAATGTAGAGCTCCTTGCAGAAATGACAGATTGTAGAATTGGGGTAGAAAGTTTACAAGATGAGCCTGGAGTATTTGATAGTGCCAGAAATTAAGAAAAAGCCATTCCAAAAAACAGAACAAAACAAAAACACAATGATAAGGTATGTTAAAGGTTCACAGGAGACATCTGAAAGAACTCCCAATAGCCAAAGTTAGAACAATTTGAACAACAAATAAAGTGATATTTGATTATAACTCAAAGTATAAAATTAATATCCAGATGTAACTTACAGGGTGGTGGTACTTTTTAAATGTAGTTTGCACATAGTGACTTCCTTCCAAAGAGTACAATATGGAAAGCAGGAAAACAAAAAGATAACTTAGAGTGGAGAAACTCAACAAACACTATTCATCCACACAATCAAGTGATAAATCAAGTTGGTATTATAATAAATACCTTTTATAAAATGCAATGATATTGGACTTGACTGTAGAAAGAAGACTGTGGTCTTCCTTTCAAAAACTCGTTAATTCTGTCTTATCTTGAGAACAATATCAGACAAATAAGAATTCAAGGACATTGTACAAATACCTGACCAGCATACCTCAAAATTCTTGAGATCACTCAAAAGAAAGTGACATCAGCAATATGGCGAAATAGGAGTTTTCTAGTTTCACTATCTCTCACAGAAATCCAACTAGCAACTATCCACAGGCACAAATACCTTTGTGAATATTCTGGAACTTAGTAGTGAGGCTGAGATACCTCCTTGGATCACAGAACTGAGAAAAGCTACATTCAAAGGGTAGAAGAAATGATTCTCTTTGACCACAAACCCCCATCCCCAAGCCAGCACAGTGCCACACAAAGAGGATTTCCCTGGACCTATGGTTTCTTTAGTGGGAAAAGTAAGTTGTAGGTGGACAATCAGCTTCCTTATTATTCTGGGACCATTAACAGATGACTCACACCTGTCTCATTAGACTTAACAAGAGCGTCAGGACTATGTGGGGAGATGGACTTGATCCTGGTGGACCTGTGGACCATGCTTCCTGCAGCATAATGTCATTGGCTAGTCTCTTTAGTGAATGTTTCCATTAGCTGAAATGCAGAGCAATGGCCAGGGTCTAAGCACTGGTTCCAGTGAGCCCCACCCCTTTTCTGTTTCTAACTGATCCCAGATGGTCTGGTCATGCATGGCTCTACTTAAGCCTATTATAGGTTAGGAGGTAAAAGCAAGTCTACCCATATCTGTGAAGCATAGCCTGTAGCCCTGCCCACCCTGTGTGGCTGAGGAGCAACCACAGAGACTTCACCCAGCCTCAAGGACCAGCACACATCCCTGTCCAATTACAGATTTCAAACAACAATATTGCCCAGCCAGGGAGTACAGCCTGCAACTCTGCCCAACAGAGATAATTGCAGAGCCCAGTCAGCAACTTCACCTAACGGCAGACTCTAGACAGTGATTTCACTGGACTCCAGAGCACAGCTAGCAGTAGCGTTTGGCCTCAGAGCACAGGAAAGCTACCCAGCTCAACTAGAGAACTTGACACCAAGGTCTGCCTGTCTAGGGTTGGTACTAGCCAGCCCGTCCAGAATTCCAGTCTAGCCTAAATAGTAAAGGTCTATCACCATCAAGAATACACGCAAAGGCAGAAGAGATGGCTATATCCTCTAATGCACAAGCATCAATGTAAGGACATAGGATGATAAAAAATTAGGAAAATATGACACCACCAAAAGAAACTAACAAAACTCCAATAATGAACTCAAGAAGAAAGAAGATTTATGAAATAAAAAATAATTCAGAATAATCTCCTCCACTTCTTAGAGTTCAGAGAACTCTAAGAAAATACAGTTAGAAAAATAAATGAAATTTGGAAAACAAATCATAAGCAGAGTGAGAAGTCTGACAAAGAAATAGAAACAATTAAAAAACAGAAATAGGAGATAGTACATTTGAAATTACCCAATCACAGGAACAAAAAGAAAAAAAAAAAAGAAAAGGCATATAGAAAATATGGGACATCATTGAGCAAACTGACCTTCACATCATAGGAAATTAAGAAAGAGATGAGAAAGAAAAATGCCTGGAAAGCATATTTAAGAAAATAATTGCAAAATTTCCTGAAATTTGGAGAAAGATGACAACATCAAGATACAGGAAGCTCAGAGGTTGCCAATCAAACTCAACTCAAAGAAGATTTCACTAAGACATATCATAATCAAATTATCAAAAATTAAAGACAAAAAAAGAATACTGTAAACAGTAAGATATAAACATATCACATTAAAGGCAGCTCCAATACAGCTTTCAGAGGATTTCTCAGCAGAAACCCTACAGGCCAGGAAAGAGTAGAATGATATGTTTATAACACTAAAAGGAAAAAAAACCACTAATCAAGAATACCAGGTAAAGCTGACCTTCAGAAATGAGGGAGAAATAAAAACTTTCACAGAAAAACAAAAGCTAAGGGAGTTAATCACCACTAGGCCTTCTGTACAGGAATTACTAAAGAGAGTTATTTAAGTTTAAATAAAAGCTTTCTAATTAACAACAAAAACATATGAAAGTAAAGAACGCAATAGCATACATATTCATACACATAATTTTCTCATACAAAAATTTGTAAAGCAATTTTTTCCAAGTATAAATGACAAAAGACAAAACAAAAACAACTGTAGCTACAATAAATTATTGAGGGATAAAGATTACAAAAAATGTAAATTTTGACATCCAAATCATAAAAGATTGAGGGAAAGAAAAATGTAAAGATCCTGTATTCAATTAAAGTTCAGTTGTCATTAGCTTAAAATAGCCTGTTATAAGGATAAGACATTTTGTGTAAGCCTCATGGTAACCACAAAGCAACCTATCCTAGTTGCACAAAATATAAAAGAAGGGATTCAAAGCACACCACCATAGAAAACCATCAAAGCACAATGACAGCAAGAGAGAAAGAAAGAAACAAGGGACCTATGCCACAATTAGAAAACAAGTTACAACTCATACCACAGAAATACAAAGAACTATTAAAAATTGCTATAAACAATTACATGTCAAAAAATTGGATAATTTAGAAAAAATCTATAAATTCCTAAACACATAAAACCTACCAAGATTAAATCATGAAGAAACAGAAAATGTGAACAGACTAATAACAAGTAAGGAGATTGAATCAGTAATAATTCTTCCATCAAACAAAAACCCAGGCCTAGATACCTCACTGCTGAATTCTACCAAACAGCTCAAGAATAACTAATAGCAATTCTTCTCAAATTCTTCCAAAAAATAAAAGTGAAGAGCATACTTCACATTAACCTAACTCATTGTATAAAACCAGCATTATCCTGAAACCAAAGATAGACAAGGACACTACAGGAAAAGAAAATTATGGGCCAATATTCCTGGTGAACCTAGATGAAAAAAAATCCTCAAAAAAAATTTAGCAAATTTTTTTTTTAGCAAATTCAACAGCACTCTTCAGGATAAATGTGATTTATCCCTGGCATGTAAGAATGATTCTACATATGCAAGTCAATAAATGCAATACATCATAGTAACAGACTGAAGGATAAAATTTACCTCAATTATCTCAGTAGATACAGAAAAAGCATTTCGTAAAATTCAACACCGTTTCCTGACAGCACTCTCAACATGTTAGGTATGGAAGGAATGTACCTCAGCACAGTAAGGGCATTTATAACAAATCTGTAGCTAACCTTATTCTCAGTGATGAAAAGTTGGAAGCTTTTCCTCTAAGATGAAGAAAAGTATACCCACTCTTACCACTTCTTTTTACCACTTCTAGTCTTAGCTAGAGGATCAGGCAAGAGAAGGAAATAAAAGGCATCCCAACAGAAAGAAAAAAAAAGAAAATTTTCTTGTTTTGCTGACAACATGATCTTATATATAGAAAACCCTAAAAACTTCACCAAAAAACTTAGAACTAAAAAACAAATTCAGTAAACTTGCAAGATTCAAAATCAACATTAAAAAAGTAGTTTTTATATTTACTAATAATGAACTATCTGAAAATGAAATTCAGAAAATAATCTCATTTATAATGACAACAAAAAATATTAAATTCTTAGATGTAAGTTTAACCAAGGTATAAAAGACTTGTGTAGCAAAAATTATAAAACCGTGCAAAAAAAACTGAAGAAAACACAAGTAAATGGAAACATGTCCTGTGTTCATGGATGAAGAGTGAATTAAACATTGTTTAAATGTTCATGCTATCTACAGTGGTCTCCAGATACATTGCAATCACAATCAAAATCAGAGTGTCATTTTACAGAAATAGGAAAAACAATCCTTAAGTCCATATGAGTTGCAAAAGATACCAAATATCCAAAACAATCCTGAACAAAAATAACATAACTGGAAGCACCTCACATCCTGATTTTAAGACATATTATAAAGTAAATGTAATCAAAACAGCAAGGAATGGCATTAAAAAAACACACATTAACCAACTTAAGAAGCTAGAAAGCCCAAAAATAAACCGAAAAATTTATGGTCAATTGGTTTTTGTTAAAGATGTCAAGAACACACAATAGGGAAAAGACCATTTCTTCAATAAATGCTGTTGGGAAAACTGAATATCCACATACAGAATAATAAAATTGGACCCTTGGTTCACATGATATACAAACATCAATTCAAAACGGATTAAAGATTGAAATATGACACCTGAAACTGTAAAACTACTAAAAGCTAAAATGGGAGAAAGTTCCATCACATTGGTTTGGGCAGCAAATTTTTGGATAGGACCCTGAAAACATGGGCAACAAAAACATCAGACTAAAAAGCTTCTGTAAAGTGAAAAAAAAAAAAAGAAAAAGAAAAAGAAAAAACAATTGACAAAGTGAGGAGGAGACAACTTACAGAGTGGGAGAAAATGTAAACCATATATATTAGTTCGTTCTCATGCTGATAATAAAGACATACTCGAGACTGGGTGATTTATAAAGGAAAGAGGTTTAATTGATTCACAGTTCCGCATGGCTGGGGAGGCCTCACAATTACGGTGGAAGGCAAATGAGGAGCTAAGTCATGTCTTACATGGCAGCAGGCAAGAGAAGGAACGAGAGCCAAGTGAAAGGGGAAACCCCCTTTAAAATCATCAGATCTCGTGAGAATTATTCACTGCCATGAGAACAGTATGGGGAAACCAACCCCATGATTCAATTATCTCCCACCAGGTCCCTCCTACAACACATGGGAATTATGAGAGCTACAATTCAAGATGAGATTTGGGTGAGGACACAGCTAAACCATATCACCATACATCTGATGAATAGTTAATGTCCAAAATATATAAGGAACTCAATTAAGGAGCAAGAAAACAAACAAGTAAAAAATGGGCAAAGGGCCCAAAGAGACATTTTTAAAAAGGAAAACATACAAATGTCCAACAGGTACATGAAAAAACACTCAGCATCACCAATCATTCGGAAAATGCAAATCAAAACCATGCTGAGATATCATCTTATGCCTGCTAGGCTCTTATCAAAACGATGAGAGATCAATGTTGATGGGAATATAGAGCAAAGGGGGCTCTTGTACATTGTTGGTAGGAATGTAAATTAGTACAGTCCTTACAGAAAACAGTATGGAAGTTTCTCAGAAAACTAGAGAACTACCATATGATCCAATAATCCCACTTCTGAGTGTATATCCAATAGAACTGAAATCAATATTTTGAAAGGATATCTGCACTCTCATGTTCATTACAGCATTATTCACAACAGCTAAGATACGGAATCAACCTAAGTGTCCATCAATGATTGAGTAGATTAAAAAACATGTGGTACATATACACGATAGAATAACTGTCAAACTTGGAAAAAGGAGAAAATTTTGTCATTTGTAGCAACATGAATGAATCTGGAGGAAATTAAGGTAAGTAAAATAAGCCAGGCACATGATCTCATTTATATGTGGAATTTTATAATGTTGAACTCATTGAAGTACAAAGCAGAATGATGGTTCTACTCTGAGAACTAGAGGCTGAGAGGAGGGGATCAGGATGGAGGGAATGGACAGTTTTTTTTTAATCAAAGTTTACAAAGTTTCAGATACACAGGAGTAATAGGTTTTGAGATCTATTGCACAGCAGGGTGACTATAGTCAAAAATAATGTACTGTATATTTCCGAATATCTAAGGGAATAAATGTTTAAGGTCTTACCCAAAAAAAATAGATAAGCAAGGTGATAGATATATTAATTAGCTTGATTTAATCAATATCATATTGTACCCCATAAAGATATACAACTATGATTTGTTCATCAAAAATAATATTAATAATAAAAAGAGAAGAAAATAGAAAAAACCTCTGGGATCATCAAAACGAGAAGTGAGAGAAGTCGTCACACATGAAAGGAGACATGGCAACTAAATATAATACCATTTCCTGGATGGGATGCTGAAACAAAAAAGCAACATTATCTAAAAAGGAAGGGAACATGAAAATCTTATGAGCATTAGGTAATAATAATATATAAATTTGTTTATTATCACAAGTAGACAATAGTGTTATAATATGCTAATAGTAAGGGAACTGGGTATGATGAATATAGAAATTCTGAACTCTCTTTGTAATTTATCTGTACACATAAAATTATTATTAAAAACAAAGTTGGTTGCAAAAACATGCACATAGTGTATCTCGTTTGTCAAATTCTTAAATGTTTCAAAGATATTAATGGTCTATCCCTTGCAAGCATGTTATATCTGCAAAAAGATTTTCTACTTGCTCCTCTGAACCTGGTTTTTCTCCTTATTAGTCTTTGTGAGTATGTGTGTGCACATGTGTATGTAAAGTAAGTCCTCACTTAATGTTGTCAATAGGTCTTAGGAAACTGTGACTTTAAATAAAATAACATATTACAGAACCAATTTTACCATAGGTGAATTGATATAAACAAGAGTTAATTTCCTACACTATATTTCTGGTCACAAAACATCACCCAACTTTTAAAGAAAGGCCAAAACACACCTAATATTAAACATTGAAATAAATGTAAGCTATACATACATTTAAGAAAGAATAACAAAAACAAGTATAATAATTATTTACCCAATTATTCCAGTTCAGGGCTGCTAATGGCCAAAATCTATCCTGGTAGCTCAGGATGCAATGTGGGAACCAACCATGCACAGGACACCATTCCATTGCAGAGTACACCCACAAACATACCCATACTTACTTATACTGTGATAATTTAGACATATTAATTAACCTAATATGCACATCTTGGGGATGTGGGAGGAAATCAAAATACCCAGAGAAAACCATGCAGACCTGTGAGAAAAATCCAGAAGGTGGCCCTATCTGGGAATTGATTTTTTAAATATATTAAATAAATATATTTAAATATATTTATATTTAAACATAAAATTTACTTCATCCATGCCAACATAAATCCTATAGAGCCATCTGTTTATTATCATATAAAATAGCTATTTTCTAATCTGCATTGCTAAGACTCTTTGCCATGTCTTCAGATAGATTACACTATTTTAATTATTTCTCAGATATGTTTTTCTTTGGGACAAGACTACATTTTTGTTCTCACAAATGTGGATTAGAGTCAAATTGCTTTCTTTTAAGGAGAACTGGTTTTAATCCACTAGATTAACTTTTAACAACACATTGAAAAACTGTGATTAAGACTTTAAAGCAGAACTATAAATAGTTTTTAATATACAGATGTACCATGTTTGAGCTTTAAATAATCAACGGAAATTAATTTAATAATAGAGATTCATCGGCCTTGCTGGTTTCCCCCATTTTCCAAATTAGAGTCTGCAGTATAGTGGCTTGTGAAAAGCTGGTGACTCTCAGAGCGCCTGCCTTTTGGAGGCACATTTACTATGGCACCTGAATGCAAACACAAGCAGAATCATAAAATGGCAGATTGCATGTTCAGACGCCAAACTGCAAGACCAGATTTCTATTTACATCTGCAATTACAAACCAAATCACACAGTGCATGACATACTCCAGAGAGATGTGAGACTACGTTTCACAAGCACAGGCTGACTGCTGGAAATCATGGCCTTCGCTGCTACACATGAGATTTCCTGCCCATAAGCATAATTGCAGTAATATGGCCATTTTGAAGTTATTATTTGGAGGAGTCTTCCATTACATGTTCCAGCTTTAAGGCTGCTTCTTTTGCCAAGGAGATGAACTACCACTGCAACCAAAGTAAGTAAGAGGGTAATTTTTATTTGTTGGTGGTAGACATTTTGTCATTTGGGATCTCTGAGGGCCTCAGATTATTCTATTGAAAGTTTATTACGGAAAAAAGGAGAAAAAGAAAAAAGAACTATGTATGATGAAACTCTTGGGTGAAATGTTCTACAAATGTCTGTCAGAACCATTTGGTCTGTGGTGCAGTTTAAATCCAATATTTCTTTGTAGATTTTCTGTTTAAATGATCTTTCCAATGCTGACAGTAGATTGTTGAAGTCCCCAACTATTATTGTATTGGGATCTATCTCTCACTTTAGATTTAATAATATTTGCTTTATGAATCTGTGTGCTCCAGTGTTTGATACACATATATTTTAAATAGTTATTTCCTCTTGCAGCTTTATACCTTTATCACTACATGGTAATCTTCTTTGGATTTTTTATTTGTTTGGTTGGTTGGGTTTTTTTTAATTGTTTTTGACTTAAAGTCATTTTGTCTGGTATCTGCTTACTTTTGCTTTCTGTTTATGTGGAGTATCTTTATTCATCCCTTCACTTTCAGTGTATCTGGGTCTTTACAGATGAAGTGAGTTTCATGTAGGCAGTACATAGTTAGGTCTTATTTTTTTTAATTCATTTGGACAGCATATTCCTGTTACTTGGGGAATTTAATTCATTTGCATTCAGGTTATTATAGGTGAAGACTTCCTCCTATCACTATATTGATTTTTTTCTGGCTGTTTTGTATATCCTTTATTCACTGCAGAATACACATCATTTTCATCAGCACATAGAACATTCTCCTAGATTGACCTTATGTTAGGACACAAAACAAGTCTCACAACATTCTTAAAAATTGAAATCACATCAAGTATCTTTTTGGACCACAATGGAATAAAACTATAAATCACTAACAAGATGAACATTTGAAACTATATAAATACATAAAAATTAAACAATATGCTCCCAAATGACCAATGAGTGAAGGAAGAAATTAAGAAAGAAATATAAAGATTTCTTGAAACAAATAAAAATAAAAACACAATATACAGAAAAACCTGTGAAACACAGCAAAAGCAGTATTAAGAGGCACATTTATAGTAATAAATGCCTACATCAAAAAAAGTAGAAAAATTTCAAAATAACCTAGAAATCCATCTAAAGGAACTAGAAAAGCAAGAACAAACTGAACCCAAAATTAACCGAAGGAAAAATAAAGATCAGAGCAGAAATAAATGAAATTATGACTAAAATAATAAAGAAAAACAATAAAACAAGAGGTTGGTTTTGAAAAGATAAACAAAATCAAGAAAAAGAGCTAGATTTTTTTTTAAAAAGAGAGAATAAATAAATCAGCCCAAACAAACAAATCATAAACAAAAAAGAAGACATCACAACTAATACCACAGAAATAAAAAAAGATTGTTAGAGATGATTATGAACAACTATATACCAATAAATTTTTTAAAACCTAGAGGAAATTGATAAACTACTGGACAGATACAACTTACAAAGATTGACCCAAAAGGAAATAGAAAATCTGAACAGACCAATAATGAGTAATGAGATTGAATCAGTGATATTACATCTCCAACCAAGAAAACTCCAGTACTGGACAGGTTTACTGCTGAATTCTACCAAACTTCTAAAGAGAACTAATACCAATTCTTCTCAAGCTATTCCGGGAAATTGAGGGAGACGGAATAACTCCAAACTCCTTCGATGATGCCAGCATGACCCTGATATCAAAACCAGAAAAGGATACAACAAAAAAGAAAATACAGGCCAATATTCTTCATGAACATAGATGCGAATAAACTATTTCGAGACCACAGAATATAAAAATTGTGAGTAGATATAACATGACAGAATTGCAAGCTACAATATAGAAGACAAAATAAATTACATAATCAGTGATGCTGGCAGATCTGGGAAAATAGTTCAAAACCAAGTTGTAAAGAAGTAAGATGTAAGATTTCTTGTAACTAAAATTAGAGATATGGAAAACAAAGGACAGCGAAATTCCTGAAAATTAGAAATAAACAAAACAGAAAAACATTAGAAATATAATAGAAAACTATAATGAATCCACAGATTAAAATAACTCAGCATATCCTGGTATTTACTAGATAAAGAGCAATTTCTAACCAGGCAAACAAAACATTGAAGATCATTTCAAAGGTTCAAAGAAAGAAGATTCACAGAAGCCTACAGGGAGGAAAAACAAGGCAACTAGAAGTTGCAAAATTGCAGTTTGGCCACAGATCTCCCCACCATCATGTTTAATACCAGATGTGAAATAATATCTTCAGCATTTATTAATTAATGGTTGCATAATATTACACTATACATATGTACAAAATTATCCCTTCTTGCAAATATCTTAAATATATCCACTGTCTTTATAGACAAGTTTTATAAACCAGACAGTTCTTTCTTTGGTAAAATAACAGCTTCATAAAGTCACACATTGACAGACTCAGATAGCCACTCTCAGAAGCTGAAGTTTTCTAATCTCATGATACGTAAAACTTAGAAATAATTCTAGAAAAGTTATTCCACAGCTGCTCTCATTCCAGGGCTTGGAGGAAGTCATTTTATTCAAAATTTTTACATACTCATTCAGGCCAACAAATGTTTCAAGAACTTTTTACCTGCCAGGCACTATGCTGAGTAATTAGGTTAACATAAGTGAGACAAACTGACATGGTGCTTTGCCCTCATGGGGTTTACAATCTTGTAAAAAGACAGGTTTAAATCAAATAATCATACAAATAAGTATAAGCCTTGGTAATTGTTACAAAATGTAGGGTACATGAGGGCATGTAACAATTGAGAAAGCAATGTGTTTACTGTAAATTGATGGAATAGAAGTGGGTGATGAGAAAGAGATTTCTATATCAAGGAAACAGCAAGGGCAATCTCTCTGAGGAAGGACATATGATGGCACATTTAAAAGGCAGAAATCTCACATGGTAACCATTCTGAGGGACACTGGGTGAAGTGGCAATAGAAAAAGCCAGAGACCTTGAATGGATTTGAAAGGTTGTTCATGATAAAATCAGAGGTAAATTGATGTGGGTGTATGGGAAAGGAGTGGTGAGGGCATTTGAGAGGTCTGCGCACCTGGAGAAAGTTGGGGCTTTCTTTACAATAGAAAATACTGTAAAAGTACTGGTATAAAATTGGAAGATGATTTTGGGTCAAGAAACACCAAATTTGTAGTTCCTGTGAGATATCCCAAATGAGATGTTGAATAGACATTTGAGTATGTAGGTCACATATCTTTGTAGTATGCTATGCATTGTGTAATTAGGTTTGTAATTGCAGGTGTAAATAGCAATCTGGTCTTGCAGGGTTGGCATCTGAACATGCAGTTTGCTATTTTACGATTCTGCTTATATTTGTGTTAAAGTGCAGTAGTAAATGTTCCGCAAAGAGGCAGGCACTCTGAGCCTCACCATTATTTCACAGTCCACTGTACTGCAGACTAATTTGGAGAATGTAAGAAACCAGCAATGTTGATGAATCTCTATTATTAATTTAATAATATGTTTTATATGTACTATATATTCATTTTTAATATAGGATCTTTCTGAAATTTAGGAAATAAATCAGAGCACACATTTATAATAGACAGATAATATGTAATAATTATGCCCATCATACAAAAAGCAATTTCAGAAACTAAAGATTGTTTTTACAAAATCACATTAGACAAAAGGAGATTGGTAAAAGGGACAATGTCTCTGCTGATCTCTTTTACGGTTTTGGTTTTGGTTTTCCTGGTTGGAATGCAAAGAGTAGAAACCATGAGGCAGAAATAACACAAAAATTCCTTTCTGCCATGTTCCAGTAGTTTATGCTTCCATTTCAGATTGTTTCTAAAATTATCTTGAAAATGAGAAGATACCTTGCCTGAGTAAAAGAAATTAACCCAGGGAGGCCAAGGCGGGCGGATCATGAGGTCAGGAGATTGAGACCATCCTGGCTAACACGGAGAAACCCTGTCTCTGCTAAAAAATACAAAACATTAGCCGGGCATGGTGGTGGGCGCCTGTAGTCCCAGCTACTCGGGAGGCTGAGACAGGAGAATGGCGTGAACCCGGGAGGCAGAGCTTGCAGTGAGCCGAGATGGCACCACTGCACTCCAGCCTGGGCGACAGAGCGAGACTCCATCTCAAAAAAAAAGAAAAAGGAAATTAACCCACCATGATAGAGTTTTTTTCCTTCAGGTCATGTTAGGCTCATGTTAAGAGAAAAACATTTATCTGAGAAAGACCTGAAAGATACTGGTCAGAGTTGGCCAGGCACAGTGGCTCACTCCTATAATCCCAGCACTTTGGGAGGCCAAGGTGGGTGGATCACCTGAGGTCAGGAGTTCAAGACCAGCCTGACCAACATGGAGAAACCCCGTCTCTACTAAAAATACAAAATTAGCCGAGCGTGGTGGTACATGCCTGTAATCCCAGCTACTTGGGAGGCTGAGACAGGAGAATTGCTTGAACCTGGGAGGCAGATGTTGCGGTGAGCCAAGATCATGCCATTGCACTCCAGCCTGGGCAAGAGTAGAATATGATAAGAATCCAAATAAAAAGTGCAAAATCATTGAGTCTATAGATGTTGAACATGAGGGAGGGAGTTAGGGTCTTGGACAAGGCATGCTAGATGGGAGTAGGTAATAACTTGCTCTTGGTCAGCAACTGGTTAATCAAGAACCAGGAAAATAGCTTCATACCAAACACAAGTACTAGCGATAATTTTTTGAAACACAGTCATTTTTTACTTATTTGGGAAATTGCTTTTTTTGGTTTTTTTTCCTAGGATGGGAGCCAATCCATATGCAAAGCCCATTCTGTGGAAGCAAGTTTTGAATTTGTCAGTTCAAACATTTGATTGAAGTGAAGCATGTAAATATAAAAAAAAATTTTAATGGCATTCTAATAGCAAACTCTGTAACATAGAATTTCTAAAGTTGGCTACAAAGGATGTTATTTAGTTGTCCTTAGCTGAAGACAGTTGCCTCACCCAAGATCTTATCACTTTTCTAGATAGCCTGCATCTGGTAAATTTGGCTATAAAGGTCTGGACTTTTTGGCGAACACTGGGATAACTCTGAAGGTACAACTAGTCCATAATACTCTGTGTTCATCTGACCTTTTGTTATGATTATATTATGGACCAATTTCTTGATCTGCTCAATCCTGCTTCACTTCTTTCATACATTAATGTAAATCCAGAGAGCATTCTCTAATTTCCCGAATGTTAATCACGGCATCAAGGGTGTTTTCCTAGGGAATTTAACCTGCAATATTATCCAGAGATGGTTAATTGAGTGGTTTCCTGGCCGGGCGCGGTGGCTCATGCCTGTAATCCCAGCACTTTGGGAGGCTAAGGCAGGTGGATCACTTGAGGTCAGGAGTTGATCACTTGAGACCAGCCTGGCCAACATGGTGAAACCTCATCTCTACTAAAAATACAAAAATTAGCCGGGTGTGGTGGCGGGCACCTGTAATCCCAGCTACTTGGGAAGCTGAGGTAGGAGAATCACTTGGACCCAGGAGGCGGAGGTTGCAGTGAACCGGGATTGTGCCGCTGCATTCCAGCCTGGGCAACAGAGCGAGACTCCATCTCAATGATAATAATAATAATTGAGTGGTTTCCTTAAGATGGAGTGAATACTCTATAGCTGTACATTATTATGAGTTTGAAAAATACATGTATCTTATCAAGACACGGAACATCTCATAATGTGACATTGAGTAAAAAAGAAGCAAGATATAGCATAAGATTATGAAGAAACATGAAAGACAAAGAGAGAGACACAAAGATCTGAACGTACATGTCCCTAAATGCTTATATAGGCTCCAGGATATAAAATTAGTAATCTTTCTCTTTGTGATTTTCTGTGTTTTTAGAATATTCAGCAATTCATATATACTGCTTTTCTATTAGAAAGGATTATTTAAATGGACATCTCAACCCTTGGTCTAATAGCATAGAGCATCATAGGGAATTTTGGTGTCAATATGATGATTTTATGCACACAGCTGGGATGACTTTTTTGCATTTATCATTTTTAAGGGAGCTATGATCTTTTTCATGCTAGTCACTGTAATAATTTTTATGATAAAATCACATTTCATAGCTTCCTTTGAGATGAAATATTGAATAATTGTTATTTTCAAATGTACATAATTAATAAGAACTTCCCAGCTTCAAATCTGACTTGTCTGCCTTTAGAACAAGAGACATGGGAATGTACATTTTACATCTTGCAATGCTCAAATATGAGAATGGGGACGTGTGTAGGCTGCTGTGCTTGGACTGTGACAAAGCATCTAATCCACAGGCATCAACTCTGCCCATTAGAACCCAGGCTTCCAAAAAATGCTTACCAGAAATGCTCTCTAGTCAACAATTTCCAGTTTCAAGCTATGCTCCTTTATACTCATGACTCATTTCCCATCTGATAAATTTATTATCCCCTCTCATTCCTCCAACACTGCCATCTAACCTTGAGCTCAAGAGCAATAAAGTCAGCTGAAAAACAGGGGTGTGTGTGTGTGTGTGTGTGCGCGTGTGCGCGAAGGGACATGGTGCTGTCTTTTTTAACAACCAATTCCCTCAATAACTGATTTCTTCTAAATTGGAAAGATCCTTTATTTTGACTGACTGACTGATGTGATGTCTGGTTAAGTGATTGCTTTCTGAGTTCTGGCACTAGTGACGGATACAGGTTGACAGGCCCAGGTAACTGAAATAGGCATCACTGCCAACTATTGCTAAATGAACCAAGGAAAGAAGAGGATTAAAATATCCTACAATTGTGGTCCCAAGAATGAGAATATAGCAGCGCAGTAGTAACAGGAGCAGTGAAATAGAGGTATTAACTAGCTTTCTATTCTTGTTACCATTTTAAGAAAAGATGGCTCTGCATTTTGGAGGTAAATCTCACTCCTGTTACATATTTTCTAAAACTCATGTGATTTCCACAAGTGTCGTGCTACCCTGAATCAGCCATATGCATTTCATTCCTTTTGTTCATTCTCCTTTTAATATTCTCTCCCAGCAAAATCATTATATCTAGCAAACAGAAAATGAGGCATGTGACATTTGTTAGAAAAAAAATTCTTGCCTTGCTTTTGGCAACTTATTTCTACTTTTGTGTATCTATATTTAATTTTAGTTATTATTTTGAAATAACTTGGACCTTTAAAACTAGCCTAATAACCTGCACGGCAAATATAACTATCAAAAAACCTGGTTTGTTGGAGAAAGCTTGCCAACAAATTAAGGGGAAAGATTATTACCCAACAAATGCCACTATAAGCTGAGGTTCTGTATTACAAAATCATTTCCAAGGTCTAATCAACAGCTCATCTATTTTCAGCTACATTTGACACAAAATAATGCCATTGCATCAAAGACACGTGGACAGTCTTATGGCATTCCTGACTGTGATCCATTTGACTAAATGAAGAAAGTTTTAGTTTATTCTGGAATCTCTGCTTCAAGTGCAACAATGTAGAGCTGAGTATGCTGGAAATTGTTGACTGCTTTCTTCCCTATGTACCAAATTTGGGTATACCTTCACACAGAAGTGACTTACCCCAGAGGAAAAGAATCAGATTAACCACATATCTAATCATTACTGGCCAAAGAGCCCAAATTAAGCGTATTCATTAAAAATAATTGAACTCACTAAACAATGAAAAGTTGATAATATTAACTACACAGTAATGTGTGTGTGTGTCATATGTGCGAGTCTTTAACTTAAAAAGAGAATACAAAATAATCAAGAGGTGAATGGTTGATTTAATATGACTGACAAGCACAATGTTTGAAATGAAAATGGAGGGAATTATCTTGATAATTGCCTTTATAATAATTGTGACTAAAACGTTCCTGAGATATTCAGATAGTTGTTTTACTTATCCATCTCATTTTGTACTTCAAAATAGAGAATTTTGAGACCTCACCTATCAAAAATTTATCAAATGAATAAACATTACAGAAAGAAATAGATGTGTTGCATACAAGTTACATAAATTGTTTAAAAAACAGATGAATACATTTAAAAATGAATATGAATGAATGCAGCTGATAGCAATTTAATACCTTCTAGGTTTCAAAGATGTTCACATATATGTTTTAAGTGTGAACGGTTAACAATAAGACATATACAAAATTCAAATTTGGAATTTCAGTTTCTTTCTTTATTTCTCACTGCCTCTTCTAACACCAATCTATCCTAAGCCCTCTACCCCAATTATTTATAAAATGAAAATACATAACAGATAGTAATATATACCACCTGACTTCCCAGCAGGCACAACTTTACTCATCCATTTTACTTTCTTTTCTTACACTCATGCATTAATTCATTCATCCACTTAACAAATATTCACTTCCCAATACTAATTAATACTGTGATATATACAAAACAATAGGTATAAACTTCAGTTTCCTATTTCTAAGTGCTTACTCCACATGTGATAGGCTGTGTGATGTAGTAGGGAGTAAGTCAGTGAGATCTGGGTTGAGAATGTGACTATATCATTTACTAGCTGTGTGTAGTAAAGATTGCTTGCGGCCTAACCCAAACCTGTCTTTGACTTCTTTAGAAATAGAGGCTTTTCCTTCTAAGCACCATTGTATCCATTCCTATGATACTGTGATTGACCAATAGCATGTGAGAGAGTGTTGTTGTTTGTGAAGAGTGTTGGGTCTCAGAACACGATACCCCCAAGTAAGCACCTTCGCAATTGACAAAACAGTGGAAGCAAGAAGGTCACCCTGACCTTCTTACACCTTTCTCCTCTGTAACATGATCATAAAGGAATTATTTGACTTATCTTGCCTGAAAGTAGGTCATAAGACCCTCATTCCAGGGAGATTCTGCCCTATACCAAAAAGAATCTGAACAAACTGATTGCTAAATTCCCTCCAGTTTATTACCATTAGGTCATACCCTCTTTTATTCCAATCACACTTCTGCACAACTGTCCATAAAATACACCATGAAATTTCCCTTATCTTTGGGTTTTCATTTCTTAAGGCTCCTATGTTACATAAAACTTCAGTCAAATAAATTTTTGCTTTTCTCTTATTAATCTGTTTTTTGTTATATAGGTTTCAGCCATGATCCTTGTGATGAGTGAGGAAAAGATATTACTTTTTCTCCTCTACAGGCAGCTCCGAGAAAAGGACAGTCAGATAGAAAATGGACCTTTTCTATCTTTGCCCATACTTTCTTTTCCTTCCTGCCTGAAATGTGGATGTGAGTTCCATAGCTCCAGCAGCCATATTGGATAATGAGGCAAATTTCTGGATAAATGTCAAGCACCTAGGTTCACAGAGCAGGAAGAGAAAGAGCATAAGTCCATGAAAACTTATTGGAGGCTGAGATACCTACTTCTGAATTTGTTTAAACTGTTATTAAAATTAATTTCTATTATGTTTAAGTTCACAGTCTTATAACAACAATTCCTAGATGATTAAATGAATTATCTTGGTTAGTCTCTCATTTTCTCTAAGCCTGCTTCTCTTCAGCTTTAAAATAATGCTAAATCTGTAAAAGGTTTAATCTATGTAAAACAATCTATACTAAGTAGGGGTACGCATAGCAGATATTTTCTGGGCTTGGAACCCTCTGACACAGTCTTACTGCTTCATTATAATGGGTTCTGTTTTGATGGGTCAGAATCTGCATCATACTAGAAATTGATCTGGCTTCAAATCTCATCCTAAAATATGCAATAGAAATTAGCTCCTTTTGTCTAAGCTACAGAAAATTCTTACCTACATAAACACTGAAATCATAATAGTATTGAAATAGAAGGAAAAGAAAGCCAGTAGGGATGTCTATCAGTGAGGGGCCAACTATTTGGTGCCAACCATAGTTCTTTTCCTTTTGATTTGCTAGGGTTACTGGGGAGAGGGAAGTACCAATGAGGAATATTGAGTTCATCGCCATGGCATGTTGTCATTCATGGGAGATGAGGCCATCAGAAAATTGTAAGATATACAGCATGCCACATGGAGATATGAAAAGTAGAAAAATACCGTATGAAAAAGCTGTAGTCTTGTAAACAATTAATGTCCAAATTGCTATTTGCAAACCAAATGTAGGTTTTGTACATGCTTTTGAAGTTTAATTATTATTTAATCATTTCAAGTACTCCCCAAGTATTTGTGTCTATTTTAAGCTATATCAAATGCTTTTTGGAAATAAGTGGGTATACAGTAAACATTATTTATTAAACAAGTACATTGACAAACAGATACAGAAGAATGTAGTGAAAATGTTTATAATTAGTTTTGTCCTTGCTTGGTTTTAGGATTTATTATTTAACAAAGGCTTTATTATTTAAATCTTGTCATGAAATGCAGAACATTTTCAAAATAATATTTGGAAGTTAGTTTTAGGCTTTGATATTTAACCTAATTAATACAAATAAAGAAAATGATAATTAATACATGTCAGCCCCTACATGATGTTTATGGCCCTCAGTGTGTAAATAAGGGAAATGCTTGACATTTTGAATGATGTGATAATTAAGTAGAGAAAGGAGAGCTGGCCAGATGTAAAGCTGGCCGGGCGTGGTGGCTCACGCCTGTAATCCCAGCACTTTGGGAGGCCAAGGTGGGCGGATCATGAGCTCACGAGATCGAGACCATCCTGGCTAACACGGTGAAACCGCGTCTCTACTAAAAATACAAAAAATTAGCTAGGCATGGTGGCGGGCGCCTGTAGTCCCAGCTACTCAGGAGGCTGAGGCAGGAGAATGGCGTGAAACTGGGAGGCGGAGCTTGCAGTGAGCCGAGATAGGGCCACTGCACTCCAGCCTGGGCGACAGAGTGAGACTCTGTCTCAAAAAACAAAAAAAAAGATGTAAAGCCTTTCTAAGAACACAGCTTGCCTTCAGGGCTTGCACAAACTCTGCTCAAGGCCAGAAAGGGAATACTTGAACATCTTTGTGGTCTGTATTTATATAAAGTTTAGAGTTAGTTTTGATTCTTCAAGATATTTCCTTTAATTACTCTACCATAAAGTAATTTAACAAGTGAAGAATTTTCCACTTCACAAAGAGGAAGGGAAGTATCCGACACAGTATAACAGACAAATTAGAAGAATTCTGGAGATCCAAAGGTTCTTTTTGTGCAGAAGAAAATTAAGGCCAAGAAGGGCAATAGTAATTTTTTAGAAATTTTTCTGAAACAAGAAAATGTGACAGAGGGCTTTTAGGGTCAAAGTACATGAAGGGCACCTTATAAAAATAATATAAATCAATTTCTTTTGTGTTTAAAGTAGTTTCAGTGAAATTTCTGTCATTTGCAAGTAAAGGAACATTAATTCAATTTTCAAAGCTCTCCATTTTATAAACTGATGAAAAGTAATAATGATGATATAATAAAATAATATTTAGACCAAAATTGATGTTGAGAAGGTAAGCAGATAGCCTAATACGTGTCAAAGATGAAATAAAAAATACAGCTCTTAGGGCCTTTGCTGGTGGTAGCAGTATGTGTGGGGAAGGGGGTTACAAAATAAGATCCAAACTGAATAACTGGATATGTATTTAAAAGTTTAGAAAAAAGTTTTAGGGGTAAGTTCTAGAGTAGGCTGAACTTTTCAATATATAAAAATGAGGCTTTTCATTTTTTGAGGACTTTTTGTTGGTTTGTCTCATTTGACTTCTGAAAAGGGAGAGTGAGTGACATAAGAGTGAAGGGTAGAGCAGTTTTGCAGAATATTTGAAGGATATTCAAAAACAGATTTTAAATACTCAATTTTAAATTATTTGCATTTTTCCAATATCAAGCTCTTCTACTTCCAAAACTTTCAATAAAATCTGTGATACACATGACAACCTAGAGTGAATGATATATGGATGCGTGTGTGTGAATAAAAAAGGGTCTGAATTCATGGTAAACATACACACACACACACACACACACACACACACACACAACCTGTAGCAGATACACAAAAGAAAAGAGAAAAAAACAAAGTATACCACTACAAAAATATCACCAAATCACAAAGAAAGACAGCAAGACAGGAATGAAGTACAAAACAGGAAACAACTAACAAATGGCAGTAATAAGTCCTTACGTATATAATTACTTTACATGTAAATATATTAAATTCTTCAATCAAAAGACACAAAGTGGCTGCATGAATTAAAAACAAAATCCAACTATAAGTTGCCTTTCAAGAGACTCATTTTAGCTTTAAGGACATACATAGACAAAGGGAAGGATTAAAAATTTATTCCATGCAAATGGTAAACAAAGAGCAGAAGCAGTTATATTTATATAAGATAAAATTGAATTTAATTCAAAAACTGTCAACAGTGACAAAGAAGGTCATTATATCATGATAAAGAGGTCAATTCACCAAGAGGATACAACAGTTGTAAATATATACACCCAACATCAGTACACCTAAATATATAAATCAAATATCAACAGCAATGACAACAGAAATAGCAGTATAATAATGAGAAACTTCAATATCCCACTTTCAACAATAGACAGATTATACAGACAGAAAAATTAATGAAGAAATGGTGGACTTGAATTACACTATAGACCAAAGGGACTTAAAAGACATATATACAACCCTATCATCCAACAGCAGCAGAATGCACATTCTATTCAAGCAACATATGGAATACTCTCCAATATAGATCATATGTTATGCCACAAAAAAAGTGCTAACTAATTAACAACATTGAAATCATATCAAGTATTCTTTTGAACATAGTGATATGAAACTAGAAATCAATAACATGAGGTGAACTGGAAAACTTACAAATATGTGGAAATTAGACCTTACACTTCATAAAGACCAACAGGTCAAAAGGAAATCAAAAGGGAAGTAAAAAAAAATCTTGAGACAAATGAAAATGAAAATATAGCATACCAAAACCTATGGGATGCAGGAAAGGCGGGTCTAAGAGGGAAGTTTATAGTGATAAAGGCCAACGTTAAGAAAAAATACCTCAAATAAACTACCTAACTTTACGTCTCAAAGACAAAAAATAAAAAATAAATAAAGAATTAAGCCCAAAGTCAAAGAAAATAAATAATAAAGATTAGAGTAGAAATAAATGAAATAGAGACTAGAAAAATAGTAGAAAATAGAAGTAAAACAAAAAGTTGGTTTACCAAAATGATGAAGGAAATTAACAAAAAAATTAACTAGACTAAGAAAAAAAGAGAGGACTTAAATAAAAGAAATGAAAGAGGAAACATGACAACTGATACCACAGAAATACAAAGAATAATAGACTACTATGAACAATTATAAACTAACAAATTGGATAAACTAAAAGAAATAGACAAATTCCTAGAGACGTACAAACTACCAAGACTTAATCATGAAGAAATAGTGAATCTGAATAGATCAATGAATAAGAAGACTGAATCAATAATCAGAACCTCTCAACAAACAAAATCCTAGGACTTGATGGCTTCACCATTCAGGACATAGGCATGGGCAAGGCTTCATAACTAAAACACCAAAAGCAATGGCAACAAAAGCCAAAATTGACAAGTGGGATCTAACTAAACTAAAGAGCTTCTGCACAGCATAAGAAACTATCCTCAGAGTGAACAGGCAACCTACAGAATGGGAGAACATTTTTGCAATCTATCCATCTAGCAAAGGGCTACATCCAGAATCTACAAGGAACTTAAACAAATTTACAAGAAAAAAAAAAAACAAACATCCCCATCAAAAAGTGGGCGAAAGATATGAATAGATACTTCTCAAAAGAAGACATTTATGCGGCCAACAAACGTATGAAAAAAATCTCATTATCACTGGTCATTAGAAAAAAGCAAATCAAAACTACACTGAGATACCATCTCACACCAGTTAGAATGGCCATCATTAAAAAGTAAGGAAACAACAGATGCTGGAGAGGATGTGGAGAAATAGGAACACTTTTACACTGTTGGAGAGAGTGTTAATTAGTTCAACCATTAACCATTAGTTAATTCCTCAAGGATCTAGAACCAAAAATACCATTTAACCCAGCAATCCCATTACTGGGTATATACCCAAAGGATTATAAATCATTCTACGACAAAGACACATGCACACGTATGTTTACTGCAGCAGTGTTCACAATTGTAAAGACTTGGAACCAACCCAAATGCCCATCAATGATAGACTGAATAAAGAAAATGTGGCACATATACATCATGGAATACTATGCAGCCACAAAAAAGGATGAGTTTATGTCCTTTGCAGGGACATAGATGAAGCTGGAAACCATCTTTCTCAGCAAACTAACACAGGAATGGAAAAGCAAACACCACATATTCTCTCTCATAAGTGGGAGCTGAACAATGAGAACACATGGATATAAGGGAGGAGACCACCCCTCATATCGTCTTATGCCCAATTTCTGCCTCCAAAGAAAGAAGAAGTAAAAACTAAAAGGCAGAAATGAAATCCTCAGGCAGACAGCCCGGCGTGGTGCCCTGGGCCTAGTAGTTAAACATCAACCCCTGACCTAATCGGTTATGTTATCTATAGGTTACAGACATTGTATAGAAAAGCACTGTGAAAATCCCTGTCCTGTTTTGTTCCGATCTAATTACCGGTGCATACAGCCCCCAGTCACGTACCCCCTGCTTGCTCAATCAATCACGACCCTCTCACGCGTACCCCCTTAGAGTTGTGAGCCCTTAAAAGGGACAGGAATTGCTCACTCGGGGAGCTCGGCTCTTGAGACAGGAGTCTTGCCAACGCTCCTGGCCGAATAAACCGTCACTTCCTTCTTTAACTCTGTGTCTGAGGGGTTTTGTCTGCAACTTGTCCTGCTACAGACACAGGGAGGGGAACACCACACACTGGGGCCTGTCGGTGGGTAGGGGTAAGGGGAGGGAGAGCATTAGGAGAAATACCTAATGTAGATGGCAGGTTGATGGGTACAGCAAACCACCATGGCACTTGTATACCTATGTAACAAACTTGCACATTCTACTCATGTATCCCAGAACCTAAAGTATAATAATAATTTTAAAAAGAAAACAGACCTATTAAAAGGATGATGTAACACTAAAATAATAAACAGACTTTGTAAATAATTAAATTAAAATGGCTATTGTTTTGCTCACTGGCAACACTAATACAGAAGGCCCAACTCTAAAAATGGACTGCTATTATGCAGCCACATTCCTTTTTTGGTGAAATAAAAGCTAAGAGATAAACCTGTCTCTTAACATGGGTATGCAAATTTTAAAATGCCATTGAAACCTTTAGTTCTACAGGAGGAATTGTGCTTTAGCTAAAGCAAGACAGCTTTAGGCTAGACATAAGTAAGAAATTATTTTCAGAGTGTGATTAAACACTGAATTAGGATGCTCAGAAAATATTTAAATGATTTCAAATGACATGTGGATTTGGCTATAGAAGAACTGGCTCAGTCAGTCCAAATAATGAATCCTTTCTCCCTGTGTTGGACCTAGCCTCCCTTAGAAACAGCACTTGGATTTTAAAAACTTTTCACCTATATAGATGGTTTCAGTGGGAGTGTTACTGCCCTCTAGACACGAATTCGTAATGTTTTTCATTGATATGTTCACTGGTGGCTACTAATAGGCATTTACTGGGTAGGAGACTGATATGATGGACATTCTACAATACCCGAGACTAACACTATAAAGAAATGTTTTACATTGTTCACACCTTTTGAAGAATATGTCACTAAATCACTAAGTAGGTGAAAAGCCTATTTGTATTTATCTGTAGCTACCTTCCATAATAAAACTGTATTTTCATACAGTTTTAATGTATGCTAAATGCTCC
Source organism: Homo sapiens (assembly GCF_000001405.40). Taxonomy (NCBI): domain Eukaryota; kingdom Metazoa; phylum Chordata; class Mammalia; order Primates; family Hominidae; genus Homo; species Homo sapiens. Next base: position 21,354,912 of record NC_000003.12, read on the forward strand.
AGAAATGCCACTACTGTGTTTATAGAGTGAATTTCTTGCTTTTTTTTTTTGTAAAAAATTTTATGTAGAGTTGTTAGCTATTTCAGAAAAACACACCCCAACAGCATTGCTTGATATTTGGGCTTCAGTACACACTCCTATGTGTACTCATAGCTGTCACATTTCAAGGATGCTACAACGTGGTGGAAACATCTAGCTACCTAAACTAATGCAGTAGTGCCACAGGATTTGTATATTGAAAAATTCATTATTTTATTATAAATTACATTGCTTTTATTATAATTTTACATAATCATTTGGAATTATATTAATCTTTAATGCATACAGATATAGTTCAATAAATCTATGATTTTTAAATTTCAGATTAGTAAAGGAGCATTACAGAATCCTTGCTATCAAAAGGGGATAGTAGAGATGATAGTCTGATTAATGACAGAACCAGATTATCTGAAAGCTGTTGGTCCTAGGCACTGGAACTAGAGAGGTTTCTCATTCAATTCTAAGAGTATTGCTACTTATATGAATGGCTGAAGACTAATACTATGAAAACTGGCAGACTCAAAAGTAACCCCAAAGCAACCATTAAAGATTTTATATTAAGTCCCCTAGTATGATTTATAATTGAATGCACATTGTCTAAACACCTGCTTGGTCAAAAGGTCTGCCAGACCCAACAGGGCAGAGGGAGGGAGTGTTTTCTGAAGTCATGGACAGGGATAGCAGATTTTGTTGGGGTTATAATAGAGTAAAAATCTTTTCTGAGGATTGTGGGATAATGCCTAACGACAAAAACACAAAGGATTTTTATAATTGAAATACAAAATACTATCAGAATATCCTAGATACTTTCTATATTATGAGTCAAAACACAAAGTGTAAAAGTTCTGGTACAGTGATAAATGTGGAGTCCTCCAAAAGGAAGACAGTTACCATAAGTCAGGAGTAAATGGTGAATATATGAAGGTGTGTTGAAGTCATTGGCATTGCCCAGAATAAGGAATATTTAACCCTGTTCCTTCCCTAGCATGAGAACCTTCATCCAGTTACATCAAGGTAAGAAGAAGTATAATTACCAAGGTATATCAGAGAGAAGATGGGGCATACTCCCAAACATTGCTTCTCTTCATCCACAGCAGCAGCTCTACAATGCCAGAATTTATGTTAGGTCTTCCAAGTGAAGCCTATTATATCACTGTCTTTTATAGATTGAAAGACACTGTTCTAACTCAAAGCTACAGTTTTCATGTGTTTGTTTGTTTTGGTTGGTGGCAGGCATGGATATAAAGTTGAGACAGACCACTGGTGGCCCTCAATGATCCATGCTTCCCATACTCACCTCTTGTCCAATCCCTTCCCATACTGACTCTGGACTTGACCATGTGACTTATTTTAACCAATAGGACACAAGCAGAGGAATGATAAGCACTTACACATCATGTCTTCCTCCCAGGAAATTCTCTCTTGAAATATTCATAGTGTGAGGAAGCTCAATTTAGCCACATGGAGAGGCCAAGTAGAAAATAATGAAGGAAACTAGACAACAGCCAGAACCCAGGCCCAAGATAGGTGGTTCCAGTGATACAGTCACAGGCAGCTCCCAACTATTTGAGCTTCACAGCTGAAGCCCTGGAAAAGATGAAGAGACAATCTATCTTCAGGCCATGTGTCATTTCTTGACTCATAAAAGGATAAAAAAAAAAAACAGTATTTGGTTCAGATTACTAACCGATGTAAGATAAGTGAAACAGGAAGTCTTTATGATTCCTCAGCGAAGGGGCCAAGGCTGCTGTAGGTGTGAAAGCAAAGATGATCTGTTTCAACTCTAGTTTTTCTTAGAAATGCTGCTAAAAGTCCCCGTCCTTCATTCTGGATCGAAATTCAGAGTACCTCTGGATGCAATAAACACTATTTTCCAAAACACAATAACATAAGAGTTTTGGCATAATGTGGATTAAATTGTTTTCTATTTGTTTATTTTAAATGTCGGTGTCATGGCATTGCTACGGTGTCACTGGAAATTCTCAAAAATAGAAAATGATGTGGAAAATTGCTAGTTTGACTCTTTTCAAAAATTAAAAATGTACTAAATACAACAAGATTACATTTAGAGAGTGGGAATTCACAGTCTACAGCTCACTGCATTTGCACTTTAATATCTTTAATATTAATTTAGTGGTATATAGCTTACTGTGCAAATTGATCTTAACTTCCATGTACCACAAGACAGTTAGAAATCTACAACTATTTGAATCTTTTAAATTCTCAAATTTAGCTCTACATCCCATTGACTGTCTTATTGCCTTTAGTGGAACATGAGGGCCATGGTATTTTATTTCCTCCATCAAGTATCTATTTGAGTGAAAATTACACACCAATTGCATAAGATTTGGAAGTTCTCCATTAATGCCAGAAAGGCCACCCCCAACCCTCCAGCCTGGCCATGCTCACATCAGCCCTGACTCCATTCTGATTGAATAACTGTTTTCATAAAAGTGTATGTAAGCACTCAGTGGAGCATAAATGAGTAGTTGTGTGGAAAATATTGCTTCACCCTGCTACCAGCTTGAAAGGACATGCTGTCTCTAAGTGTACACCATTTGGTAAACACGTGATGGGACTTCCAAAGGCTCAGAAACCACCAAGGTAGAAGGTAGCCCAACAGCAAAATTTCAGCTGTTTTCTTCCTTGTCTGTTCTAATATGAGACATGGAACAACCTACGAAACTTCCCCAAGTCCCAGTTTACTGAGAAGTAGACTGTGATCTCTATATTGTATGGTTGTTGAAAGATAAAATTAGAAGATACAATTATATGCAGATGTGTTATGATTTGTTATGAGCTTTTAGTGGGGAAAAGAGGAAGCTATTTGGTAATAAATATGTGCAAATCGAAGATAGTATTTTTAAAAACATTGTTTTTGCAGTATTTAAAGTTTGAGTCAAAGAAAAGTTTACACTGACCTCAAAATTGGCAATTTTTTAAAATTAAATTTTTTATTAATAGTAGATATTTAATAGATTCCCACTTACTTTAACAACAAAAAGTTTTAATTACATTTAAAGTTGTTTCTTTTTTTATAATGAAATTAATTTCCAAGATAAACTAAAATGTCTTAGTTTTTAGATGGCTTAGTTCTTAGATGGCTACATCTCTAAGGAGTATACTTAAGCAGCTAAATGATTTTTGCTTTAAAATATCATACAATGCTTTTGCAGAATTAATTTAAAAGGGCATTTTTTTCTGTTTTATTTTCATCTGTGTACTAGTTGTATAAACTTACTTACCTAATACTTCAACTATGACCTAATCCAATAGGAGGTTATCATACTTTAAATATTATTTCTGGGATTCTGTAGAAAAGGAAAATGTAGATTGAAAAATGTAGCCATATTTGCAGACTAGAAAGGGGAATCTTAAATGGGAAGCTAGAAACCATCACAGCATTGCAGTTTCAAAAAATATCCAGGGCAATATTAGAAGAAAGAGGTATGAGACTGTGTTTGCAGGAGGAAATTGAAGGGACATGTGGGTAACGAACTGAAGAACTTCCATGCTGATGTCAACTTAATTTCATTAATTTTGTTTTGCTATTACATAACAGTTTTACTTCACTCCTCCCAAATCTACTGTCTTGTATTATTTCTGTTTTTCTTTGTGGCTGTGCATAACTTCATACAGCATGAACTTTCGATACAATTTCCATATGCTACGAAGTTCCATATGCTATGAAGTTCCATATGCTAAGAAGATTGTAAAGGCCTTCAAATCTCCCAAAGAGTCAAGGATAAATTCCAAAAGTAAATTCTATGGAGCAACGGAAAATAAATTGGACTAAATCCCAGAAGTCATGGGTTCTTTCTTACTCCTACAAGGTGCATTTGTGCAAGCTACTTAACCTTTCTTAGCCTCTATTCCTGTGGAAGAGGAAAATAAGTAAGAGATCTTAATTTTCATCTCTGAACGCCAAACACATTGCCACTATGCAATAAGTGTCCATATGTTGGTATCTTTGTTTTTTATACTCTGTATGGTAGTATGCTAGGGCTGAAGGTTTCCTTTTAGAATGTAATTTTGTAAATGCATCTTTAGATTCATACAGTAAAGAGTCACAAGGATAGCTAATAAGATGAAATGGGTATGATAGCAAATATATAAATATTATCTATTCAGTATGAAAGTGTGTCATTGTGTTTTAGTCTGAAATATCATTTCATGTGGAGAATTCCTTACTGTCAACCAGTTCCTTGTTTCGTTTATAGTGAATGATATTCACTTGTATCAGATGGCACCAACTATGCTCAGTAATAAGCCAAGTTTTAATATTGAATTAAGTGCAGGTTGTGCCTGTATGACAACTTTTTTCTGCAAGGCTGACTATTGTAAGTCATATGAAAGCAGACATAAATGTGTCAAGCACTCTGTGCCTGGCACTTTGCTAAGAAATTTACATATATTATCTCACTTAATCATCACAAAATCCTCCGGTGAAGTAGACATTTCACAGTTCAGTCCTTTATAAGCATTATCACATTAAATCCTTACAACAAATTTCAAACATGGATACTATTATCCCTTCTCTAGAAATTAAAAAACACACATAAATGTTAAAAAAAAAGTTGAATCGGTTGAACAAGTTCCCTTAGGTAGTAAGCATAGGAGAACAAATTCAAACTCAGGTCTTTTAGACTTTACTACTATACCATATGGCATAGTTTTTGCAGAAAGAAGAATGCAGACATTTTAGAATAGATAGTAAACTCAAGTGCCACAGTAAAAGTATTTGGCAAATTTAAAGGAGAAATCCCCTACTAGCATCTCCATGAATCAATCAGCATTCATCCAGTTCAGTCAACTTTTGTCCTTGCCTTGTGAGATTTTACACCATATAAACACTATCAAAATATTACACAGAGGAAAGAAACTTGTGGAGACAAAGAAAGAAGGAGAAGGAGGTTAAGGAGAAGCAGGTTAAGGAAAAGGAGGAATGTGAAAGAAAAAGGAGAAAAAAGAGAAAAAAAGGAATAAATCATTTCTAAATGATAATATGGCAGGAATACAGAATGGTGACTATAGTATATGAAACCAGTACAAGGAAAACTAAATTATATTCTTACTAGAGAAGGTCAAACATGCATATAATTGAAATTTTTAAAAAAGATAATAAAAATGGTGGGTCATAATTAATAGTTAAATAATTTAAAGTTTACATTTAAATTTACATACTAAACTCTGTTTACAAAATGAATAGTAATAGAAGGAAACAGACTGCATTTATACAAAACAACTCTAAGAAAAAACAAAATCCGAAACAAAATATCTTAGGTAATAAAAGATTTTCTCTCAAAATCAATCACAAAATATAAGAAACACATAATATTGTATTAGTTTCTATAGTTTCTGTAATAAATTACCCCAAAGTTGGTGGCTCAAAGCTACATAAATACATCATCTTACAGTTCCAGAAATCAATTTCACTGAGTTAATTTCAAGGGTTGGTACCAGGAGTGTTGGTTCCTTCTGAGGATCTAGGGGAGAATTCATACCCCACCTTTTCTAGCTTCTGGAGGCATGCATTCCCTGGCTTGTGACCCTCCCCTCTCATCATTCTCTACTCTTGCTTTCAGTGTTACATCACTTACCTCCTCTTGTTCAGTCTAATCTTCTCTGCTTCTACTTTATATGATTACTTGTGATTACAATTAGAATCTACCCAGATAATCCAGGATAATCTTCCCATGTAAAGATCCTTAATCACATCCACACAGCCAGATAAGGTAACATTCTCAAGTTCCAGGGATTAGGACATGAATAACTTTGAGGACCATTATTACCATGATTTAGACTACTGTAATCACTCTCTAAACTTTAAATATCCTAACACACAGCTGTGGGATATGTAAAAATATAATGAATCTATTATTTAAAACTCAAGCACAGAAATGGACAAAAACAGAAACCAATAAAATATGATGATTTAATTTAAAAAGATATAGAAGCAGAAAATATAAAATCATATCTAAAATGAAAATTATAAAGTACCTAAGGGAGAATATATATATATATATGAAAATTAAATAAGAAATATTTCAAACAGACAAGATAATGAAAATGAATGAAATAAAGAGTAAAAGAAGTCAAAGAGAAAGTAGTTGAAATTGAAAACAAAGGAAAAGATGTACCATGATATATTGTGAAAAAGAAAAATGAAAATACTGGAACAGAACCAATATGTAAAAGAGATCCAAGAAACATTTCTAGATGATAATAGAACTGAAAGGGTCCACAAAGTGACTGGAATAACTTACTGGCAATAATCAAGTCTTTGATGCATTACAGTAAAATTATTAGAATTCAAAGATAAAGAAAATGTCTTCAGTGGCTCCAAGCAAAAAGATAAAACAAATAACTTACAAGGATAAGACAATTACACTACATCAAACTCTTAAAAAACAACATCTATATAAATCAACAATGATGCAACATTTTCTAAAAATAATAATAATAAAAACGTATGAACAAAAGATTTTCTATTAAGTATCAAAGCTATTGGAAAACAATTTTAAATCTTCCAGAACTTAGACAATACTATACACATGTATATTTTCTGAGCAATCTATTACAGGTTGAGCTTTATCCAACCAAGAGATGGCTGGGAAAACTTTGGCAAACAGACTGATGATACTTGTTTCATATATTTAATTATAGAACTGAGTCCAAAACAAAAGGTGCAAGAATAATATGTTTGCATGATGTGGTTTGGTTATGTTCCTATCCAAATCTCACCTTGAATTCCCATGTGTTGTGGGAGGGGCCCAGTGGGAGATAATTGAATCACAGAGGCAAGTCTTTCTCATGCTGTTATTGTGATAGTGAATAAGTCTCACAAGATCTGATGGTTTTAAAAAGAGGACTTCCCCTGCACAAATTCTTTCTCTGCCTGCTGCCATCCATGTAGGAAGTGACTTGCTCTTCCTTAACTGCCATGATTGTGAGGCTTCCGGAGCCACTTGGAACTGTAAGTCCAATTAAACCTCTTCCTTTTGTAAATTGCCCAGTCTTAGGTATGTCTTTATCAGCAGCATGAAAATGAACTAATACAATGCATTATATGTTGTTATAAAATAAAAAAGATGCAACTAAAAATTAGGAGTATATGAGAGAGATAAAAAGTAGAATCAGTCATAGACTGTTTTGTAAAGAGACTAGTTAAGACTAGCCAACCAGATAGTAACAGGTCAGCAAGAACTATGAGAAGAGAAGATTAAGAGCACTATAAAAGTTATAGATGTAAAGATAATCTCTACAGCAAACAAACCCCAAATCTTTATAAATACCAAAAGGAGCTTTTTAAAGCAAGGAAGACACACAAAATACCAAAAGAAACACAGTAAATATGATGTAATATGTAGATGAGATCAAACATATCAGTCACCGAAAATGTTTATATATCTAATTCATCATTTAATGGAAACACATTTTCAAGCTGGTTCATAAAGCAAAAGCAACCTCTATGTGCATACAAAACACATTCCTAAAATATAATGATTCAAGGAGGCTGAAAACAGAGATAAAAGCAAAACAAAAGAAAACAAAACAAAAGCAGCTATTACAATCTTGATAAACAAAGTCAAATCCTAGACCAAAAGAAAAAAAAGATGGCACAATAATGCCTTTTTGTAAGACAAATAAGACACAACAATGCTAACAGCACATGCTTGGAAGAAAAACAGCTTTGAGTTCTACTTCTCCCTAAAACTTTGAGAGGTTAGGTAAGTTCACTATCCTGAACCTCAATTTCTTCACATTTGAAATGGTAGTAATACATTTACCACAGAGAGTACTTTCCTTTTGTGGTAAATACAATCCATATTCAAATAATGGGAAATAATTCCTGTTACCAACCAGATATTTTAATACTGAGTGGATTTACATGCTCTTTAGTAGTTTCTATGTCCAGAATATTTTTAGGTGGTCTGTAGATTCTTTTTGAAGTATATAATTTAAAATTAAAAACATTCTGGCTCTTCTGAATGTCCATGCTGACTGAACCATATTTTGGCTGTGACTTTCCAAAGGAAGTGTATTAGTCCATTTTCACGCTACAGATAAAGACATACCTGAGACTGGGCAATTTACAAAAGAAAGAGGTATAATTGGACTTACATTTCCACGTGGTTGGGGAAGTTTCACAATCATGGCAGAAGGCAAGGAAGAGAAAGTCCTGTCTTACATGGATGGCAGCAGGCAAAAAGAAGAGGGACAAGCGAAATGGGTTTCTGCTTATCAAACCATCAGATCTCGTGAGACTTATGCACCAGCCGGAGAACCGTATAGGAGAAACCGCCCCCATGATTCAATCGTCTTGCTCTGTGTCCCTCCCACAACACATGGGAATTATGGGAGTACAATTCAAGATGAGATTTGGGTGGTGATGCAGCCAAACCATATCAGAAAGCATCCTTTAGTCTCTTGTGATAAACATACATAGAAATAACTGACAAGAGTTTATACAGATTTTAGCAAAACCCTTTGCTTTTGCCTCCTTTGGAATCAAAGCAAGTTTACTGAATTGTGCTATGTACCAACTACATATGGCTCTGTTTCTTGTATGTTATTCGTTTTGATTCCACAAACTTTTATTGAGGGACTATTGTGCTGGCACTAAGGGCTGCCGGTTGCAGATATATACAACGTAGAGTCACAATACTCAGTGACCTCACAAGGTAGCCTGATATCCTCATTTCCTTATTCTAAGGAGTTTGTATGCTTCCACCCTATGGATTCTGGAAATGATTACTTGTTCACAAATCGGGCTGAAGAACCTCTAAACATTCATATGTGGTGGCAGTTGAAGCTTGGGCACCCAGCCAATAGGACTCTCCAGTGTAGATCCATAAAGGAACCTCCCCTTGACTTTCACAGGTTGGATTGGGTGTCCATAGATGAGTTGACAAAATCAGAGCTTTCACTCTCTGCAGCCACATAGGCAAGAAATTTCTCATTAGGGCACTAAAAGAAGGGAATAAGAAGAGAGGAAGGAAAAAAGTAAGGGATGGAGAGAGGAATACAAGAAGAAGGAAGGGAAGAAAAAGAAGATAAAGTGAACATGCACCTTGTATATATTTATAGATCTTCAAATGCCACATATTTTGGCCTTTGAATATCACTAAGATGTACCTGTATTTGACTTCAGCTTTTGCATTATGTATTTGTGTAAAATACATTTAACCAGGAGGAGCCTTTGAAATTCTTACTACTATTCCATGTGGGAAAATTATAAAGCTGTTCCTGCTCATACGAACTCAGGGAGAGTTGTCTGAGATCCTCAACAACTTAATTATTTAATCTGAACCTAACCATGATATGTCCCTCTTCTCTTTCCTGTCACCTGATTGATTGGCATGAAATTATACCACAGTTATTATATTTTATTAAATCTGTGTTAGTGTTCCCATTTTGTTGCACCATTATTGATTTTAAATGCATTACATATGATCAGTTTAATCCCAGCTATATTATATCTAATGGTTTGCCACCTACAGAATTTCCAGGTACACATTTGGTTTACAGAATAAACACAGAATTCTGGGCCTCAGCCCTAACTGAAAATTGCAAATATTTACTAGAATGGTAGAAACTGAAAGGACTGACATCCAAAGATGTGAGCTGTTTTTGTTTTGTAAGACTTGAATATTTTAAGACAACTTTTAGCAAATAGTTTATTTGATGCTACCCATCCCCCGAGTGAAGAATTTGTTTATGTAAAAACACAGCAAAGTCTATTAAAAATATAGACATTGTGGGGTTTTTTTGCTTTAAGGCCTACAATTAGATAACATAAAAATGTAATTTAACTGTTCTGTAAGTATGAGTTTTAACAATCCATCTTTGACTTTGTCTATGGACTGACTTCCATGCCTTACATCAAGATAGTACAGATGTGGGGGAGGAGCCAAGACGGCCGAAGAGGAACAGCCCCAGTCTACTGCTCCCAGAGTGAGTGACGCAGAAAACAGGTGACTTCTGCATTTCCAACTGAGGTACCAGGTTCATCTCACTGGGGAGTGTCGGACAGTGGGTGCAGGACAGTGGATGCAGTGCACTGAGCGTGAGCTGAAGCAGGGTGAGGCATTGCCTCACCCAGGAAGTGCAAGGGGTCAGGGAATTCCCTTTCCTAGTCAAAGAAAGGGGTGACAGATGGCACCTGGAAAATCGGGTCATTCCCACCCAAATACTGCACTTTTCCAATGGTCTTAGCAAATGACACACCAGGAGATTATATCCCACGCCTGGCTCAGAGGGTCCTACGCCCATGGAGCCTCACTCATTGCTAGCACAGTAGTCTGAGATCAAACTGCAAGGTGGCAGCAAGGCTGGGGGAGGGGCGCCCACCATTGCCAAGGCTCAAGTAGGTAAACAAAGCGGCCAGGAAGCTCGAACTGGGTGGACCCCACCACAGCTCAAGGAGGCCTGCCTGCCTCTGTAGACTCCACCTCTGGGGGCAGGGCATAGCCAAACAAAAGGCAGCAGAAACTTCTGCAGACTTCAATGTCCCTGTCTGACAGATTTGAAGAGAGTAGTGGTTCTCCCAGCACATAGCTGGAGATCTGAGAATGGACAGACTGCCTCCTCAAGTGGGTCCCTGACCCCCGAGTAGTCTAACTGGGAGGCACCCCCCAATAGGGGCAGACTGACGCCTCACACGGCCGGGTACTCCTCTGAGACAAAACTTCCAGAGGAACGATCAGGCAGCAACATTTGCTGCTCACCAATATCCACTGTTCTGCAGCCTCCACTGCTGATACCCAGGCACACAGGGCCTGGAGTGGACCTCCAGCAAACACCAACAAACCTGCAGCTGAGGGTCCTGACTGTTAGAAGGAAAACTAACAAAAAGAAAGGACATCCACACCAAAACCCCATCTGTATGTCACCATCATCAAAGACCAAAGGTAGATAAAACCACAAATATGGGGAAAAAACAGAGCAGAAAAACAGGAAACTCTAAAAATCAGAGCACCTCTCCTCCTCCAAAGGAACGCAGCTCCTCACCAGCAATGGAACAAAGTTGGACGGAGAATGACTTTGATGAGTTGAGAGAAGAAGGCTTCAGATGATCAAACTACTCCGAGCTAAAGGAGGAAGTTCGAACCTATGGCAAAGAAGTTAAAAACCTTGAAAAAAAATTAGATGAATGGCTAACTAGAGTAATCAATGCAGAGAAGTCCTTAAAGGACCTCATGGAGCTGAAAACCACAGCATGAGAACTACGTGATGAATGCACAAGCCTCAGTAGCCGATTCGATCAACTGGAAGAAAGGGTATCAGTGATGGAAGATCAAATGAATGAAATGAAGTGAGAAGATAAGTTTAGAGAAAAAAGAATAAAAAGAAACGAACAAAGCCTCCAAGACATATGGGACTATGTGAAAAGACCAAATCTACATCTGATTGGTGTACCTGAAAGTGACAGGGAGAATGGAACCAAGTTGGAAAACACTCTGCAGGATATTATCCAGGAGAACTTCCCCAATCTAGCAAGGCAGGCCAACATTCAAATTCAGGAAATACAGAGAACGCCACAAAGATACTCCTCGAGAAGAGCAACTCCAAGACACATAATTGTCAGATTCACCAAAGTTGAAATGAAGGAAAAAATGTTAAGGGCAGCCAGAGAGAAAGGTCAGGTTACCCACAAAGGGAAGCCCATCAGACTAATAGTAGATCTCTTGGCAGAAACTCTACAAGCCAGAAGAGAGTGGGGGCCAATATTCAACATTCTTAAAGGAAAGAATTTTCAACCTAGAATTTCCTAACCAGCCAAACTAAGCTTCATAAGTGAAGGAGAAATAAAATACTTTACAGACAAGCAAATGCTGAGAGATTTTTGTCACCACCAGGCCTGCCCTAAAAGAGCTCCTGAAGGAAGCACTAAACATGGAAAGGAACAACTGGTACCAGCCACTGCAAAAACATGCCAAATTGTAAAGACCATCGAGACTAGGAAGAAACTGCATCAACTAATGAGCAAAATAACCAGCTAACATCATAATGACAGGATCAAATTCACACATAACAATATTAACTTTAAATGTAAATAGGCTAAATTCTCCAATTAAAAGACACAGACTGGCAAATTGGATAAAGAGACAAGACCCATCAGTGTGCTGTATTCAGGAGACCCATCTCACATGCAGAGACACACATAGGCTCAAAATAAAGGGATGGAGGAAGATCTACCAAGCAAATGGAAGACAAAAAAGGCAGGGGTTGCAATCCTAGTCTCTGATAAAACAGACTTTAACCAACAAAGATCAAAAGAGACAAAGAAGGCCATTACATAATGAAAAAGGGATTAATTCAACAAGAAGACCTAACTATCCTCACGAGCATTCTTATACATCAATAAGAGACAAACAGCCAAATCATGAGTGAAATCCCATTCACAATTGCTTCAAAGAGAATAAAATACCTAAGAATCCAACTTACAAGGGATATGAAGGACCTCTTCAAGGAGAACTACAAACCACTGCTCAATAAAATAAAAAGAGGACACAAACAAATGGAAGAACATTCCATGCTCATGGGTAGGAAGAATCAATATCATGAAAATGGCCATACTGCCCAAGGTAATTTATAGATTCAATGCCATTCCCATCAAGCTACCAATGACTTTCTTCACAGAATTGGAAAAAACTACTTTAAAATTCATATGGAACCAAAAAAGAGCCCGCATTGCCAAGTCAATCCTAAGCCAAAAGAACAAAGCTGGAGGCATCACACTACCTGACTTCTAACTATACTACAAGGCTACAGTAACCAAAACAGCATGGTACTGGTACCAAAACAGAGATATAGACCAAGGGAACAGAAAAGAGCCCTCAGAAATAATGCTGCATATCTACAACTATCTGATCTTTGACAAATCTGACAAAAACAAGAAATGGGGAAAGCATTACCTATTTAATAAATGGTGCTGGGAAAACTGGCTAGCCATATGCAGAAAGCTGAAACTGGATCCCTTCCTTACACCTTATACAAAAATTAATTCAAGATGGATTAAAGACTTAAATGTTAGACCTAAAACCATAAAAATCCTAGAAGAAAACCTAGGCAATACCATTCAGGACATAGGTATGGGCAAGGACTTCACGTCTAAAACCCCAAAAGTAGTGGCAACAAAAGCCAAAACTGACAAATGGGATCTAATTAAAATAAAGAGCTTCTGCACAGCAAAAGAAACTAATCAGAGTGAACAGGCAACCTACAGAATGGGAGAAAATTTTTGCAATCTACTCATCTGACAAAGGGCTATTATCCAGAATCTATAATGAACTCAAACAAATTTACAAGAAAAAGACAAACAACCCCATCAAAAAGTGGGCAAAGGATATGAACAGACACTTCTCAAAAGAAGACATTTATGCAGCCAACAGACACATGAAAAAATGCTCATCATCACTGGCCATCAGAGTAATACAAATCAAAAGAACAACGAGATACCATCTCACACCAGTTAGAATGGCAATCATTAAAAAGTCAGGAAACAACAGGTGCTGGAGAGGATGTGGAGAAATAGGAACACTTTTACATTGTTGGTGGGATGGTAAACTAGTTCAACCATTGTGGAAGTCAATGTGGCGATTCCTCAGGGATCTAAAACTAGAAATACCATTTGACCCAGCCATCCCATTACTGGGTATATACCCAAAGGATTATAAATCATGCTGCTATAAAGACACATGCACACGTATGTTTTATTACAGCACTATTCACAATAGCAAAGACTTGGAACCAACACAAATGTCCAACAATAATAGACTGGATTAAGAAAATGTGGCACATATACACCATGGAATACTATGCAGCCATAAAAAATGTTGAGTTCATCTCTTTTGTAGGGACATGGATGAAGCTGGAAACCGTCATTCTCAGCAAACTATCACAAGGATAAAAAACCAAACACCGCATGTTCTCACTCATAGGTGGGAATTGAACAATGAGAACACATGGACACAGGAAGGGCAACATCACACACCAGGGCCTGTTGTGGGGTGGGGGGAGGGGGAAGGGATAGCATTAGGAGATATACCTAATGTTAAATGATGAGTTAATGGGTGCAGCACACCAACATGGCGCATGTATACATATGTAACAAACCTGCACGTTGTGCACATGTGCCCTAAAACTTAAAGTATAATAAAAAAGTATAGATTTAATTTTTAATATTTTGAATATTATGAATACGTTTTCTGACAGTTTAGATAATGAAAATGAGAACAATTACAATACCAGTGCTAGCATGACTCAGATTTCTCCAAAAAGAGGGCTAAATATCCATATTACTTTAATCAAAGGAGAAAATATACATATAACTGGACTTGGGAGGGAAATGATGTAACAGGAATACTGGAAATAATTTGGGAATGAGCAGGAAGGAGAAGAAGATATGAAAGCACATATGAAATCTAAACCTCACAAGTTTAGAGTTAGATAGGCTAATTAAGATTTTTTCATCTCCCAAAAAGATGATTCTCAATAAAAAAAATAGCAGCCACTGAATTAATGTGGGCATTGTTTGCAAATGAACACACGCTATTGTTTCATTTCCTATATTGCCCTATGAAACTGAGTAAAGTTACATTTCTTGACTCAGATGTATCAACTAAAATGTTTTATGGGTAAACAAAAGGAGATATTTGAAAACAGATATGTTGACCCCCTACAGTGTATAGCTGATTCTGTCAGATTATACCAACAATCATACTTTCTATAGTATATCAAGTGATAAGCTGAATCTTGGCAAAAATATTTTTTAAAAACCTGCTATCTTTTGCTCGTACATACTTCTACTTGAATAATGCAGTTAGAAGTTGTTTTCTTGATTTTTATGAAGATTTTAATAAAAATTCAGTAAATGTAAAAAAAAAAATTGTTGATAACTTGTCCAAATGCAATCTGAACTTTGCTTAGAAATCTGCATATTTGACCAATGGGGCAAATGTAAACTTTTGCAAGCTTCATTCAGTCTGTAAACAGTTTATCAAATAAAATGGAAAGATCTTACCTGATAAATGCTCTGTATACCTTGTACACAACACTGTTAAAAAGAAATGTTATTGATTTCCTGTGATATTGAGGATTTATAATGAAAAAATTTTTATTACTTTTCTATTTCCTCAAAATGTGTAAAAGCAGTTAATGATTTTCTACTTTATTGAAATAAAAGGAGATAGATTTTCATGTGTCTGCTAGATGACTGTCTTTGATTTCCTTGATATTAAAATGTTGGCCTATTGTAAAATAATATTTCAAAGTTTGAGAAAAAAATGTTCTCCAATTTCTCAATATCTTTACTCATATTGTAACTTATTTGGAATCCAACTCTGATTTTACAAGTTCATATTCTCTCTTTGTATTAAAACTGCTTTCCCAGAGAGATTTAAATGATGATGAAATCCAATGTGCTTCTAAGTGATTAAAAATGATGAACATTTTAGACATTCATAGTCAATATTATGATTTATACAAAAAGACCTGATTGGCAAACAGTTCATTTATCAAAACAAGGCTATAGATAGAAAGTGGATGACATTATTGTCAGTGTTTCAGATTTTAGCAATTCTAATAGGTGTGTAGTTGAAATATCTCATTGTTATTTTAACTTGCAGTTCCCTGATGAAATATGATGTTTTATATTCTTATTTTCCATCTGTATGTATTTTTTGGTGAGGTTCAGATATTTAATGTATTTTATAATTGGGTTGTTTTATAATTGTTGAATTTTAAGAGTTCTTTGCATATTTTAGATACAAATCCTTTGTCATCTGTATGGTTAGCAAACATTTTCCCTTAGTCTGTAACTTATCATTTCATTCTCTTAACACTGTCTTTTCACAGAGCAGAAGTTGGAAATTTTAATAAAGTTCCACTTAGTTTTTTTCATGACTTATGTTATTGTAGTATATTTAAAAATTGATCCTCAAACTCAAGATAACTTGACTATATTTTTGTAGGTTTAATTCTGGGATCTCCAGTACGTTTCATTGATTAGTTTGTCTCTCCTTTCACCAGTATCACATTGTCTTGATTACTGTCACTTTATAGTTTGTGATGTCAGGTAGCATCAGTTCTCCAATTTTGTCCTTCATCTTTAATATGGTGTTAACTATTCTGAGTCTTTAGCTCCTCCTTATCCATGGTTTCACTTTGTGATTTTAGTTACCCACAATCAACCACAGTCCAAAAATATTAAATGGAAAACTCCAGAAATAAATAATTCATAAGTTATATATTGCACACCATTCTGAATAGTATGGTGAAATCTCACACTGTCCCCTCAGGACGTAACTCATTCTTTTGTCCAGTGTATCTGCACTCTATACCATACTCGCCTGTTCATCATTTAGTAGCCATCTTCAGTTATCAGATAGACTGTCCCAGTATTGCAGTGCTTGTGTTCAAGTTACCCTTATTTTACTTAATAGTGACCCCAAAGTGAAAAAGTACTATGCCTAATTAATAAATTAAACTTTATAAAAGATATGCATGTTTGGGTACAAAGCATAGTGTGCATAGAGTTTAGTACTACCCACAGTTTTATCTGTCCATTGGGATCTTGGAATGTATTCCCTGTAAATAAAGGGAAACTATATTTTTGAGTAATTTTGTTAATATTCGCAAGATAACATACAGAATTTGAACTGAGATTGTGCTGAATATATTGATCAAGTTGGGGAAACTGACATCTTAAAAATACTGAGTCTTTTTATTCATGAACATGAAATGTCTGTTTTTTCATGTAAATCTTCTTTGACTTCTTTTATCAGAGTTTTTTTAGTAGTCTTCATATAGGTCTTATACATATTTTGTAGGTTTATGACTAAATATTTAATTCATAGGATGTTAATGTAAGTGGTATTGTGTTTTTAATATTGATTTCCAATTGTTCATTGCTGGTATATAGTAAAAGAATTGACTTGTGTATATAATCTTACTTTCCGCAATCTCACTATAATTGCTTATTAGTTCCAAGGGGTTTTTCTTGCTGTTGATTATTTGGAATATGCTAAATAGACACTTATGATATCTGTTAATAATGATGGTTTCATTTTTTCCTTCCAATCTGTATATTTTAATTTCCTTTTCTTGTTTTATTGCATTAGTTAAGACTTTCAGTATGACGTTAAGAGAGGTGAAAGGAGATATTCTTGCTTCATCCCTGATCTTAGAGAGAAAGCATCTAGTTTCTCGTCATTAATTATGATGCTATCTGTAGGTTATGTTTTACTGTTTGCTCTAGTTGTAGATTTCAGAGGCTAAAATTTCCTCTAGTTCCCTTTTTTCTCCCTCCCCCGCTATTGCTCTAGGGTTTTCTTAGAGATGCCTTAAATAGGGTCTAAGACTTGCAGTTCTTTCAACATAATCTCCTGTATTACATAGATGTGGTGGTAAAGTGTGGGATTAGGGAAAGCGTTCTGTAGTTTCATTATTAGGTCTCAGTCTTTGAGGGTAGCCTGTGCCCCTGGGCGGTGACCTTTACAAGTGATCCTCCACTTTTCTTTTTCTCCTCTTACTTACGTGAGACAGGAGAGCAAGAAGGAACTGGAGCTGAGTATTTTCCTCTCCCCACGTCAGTTGAACGTTGATAAAACCCAAGACAAGATGCTTGTACTCTGGCAAAATTGTTTCCCTTGAGGGCAGACTTTTGTTAAGAAAAACAGAATGCTCTGGACTTACTTTATAAATGCCTGTTTTCTACTCTGCCTATTCCAGAGGCATGAGAGGATTTTTATCTGATCTTCATCCTGAGAACCTAGTGGGGCTTTTGAATGTGAAACTCACAAAAGTGTGGGGATGATCCTCCCCAGAATGGGACCCTTGAAGCTTTTAACTCCTAAGTTTGCAGTTAGTGAGGGCTCCAGTGGTGAACTTCTGCTCTTGGGCTCTGTTCCTGGTGAACTGTGAATCTCTTTATTTACCTGACTCTCCTATCAAAGTTTTGAACTGTGGCTTGACCTACAATCTCAATTCTTTGATGGATCCAAGAAGAGTTGATTTTCAGTTTGTTTAGCCCTTTCCTCACTGTAAAAGTGGGGGTCATAACATCCAAACTCTTATGTTGTACCAGAAACCACAAGTCTCCAGATGACATTATTAAAAAGCTGAGAAGTAATCCCTATGAATTGCAAAAGCCTGCTGTTGTTAGTAAGTAAAATACTAAGTGCTTTATTGCCCATTGCCTTTGTTGAGAGGATATTTAGTTTGATGTTATCTTAATGGGCTGACACCAGGTATGAATGTAATGTGGCTTTGATAAGAGAAAAGCTCAAGTCAAAGTGAATTTTATGTTTGACTATATTCAGTTTTGTTACTACATAAAAGAAAAAAAAGAATATACTAACGGCTATACGCAGATCAGAGAAGTGTTACTGGAAAAAGAGACAGAGTAAAGACATCCTCTTACATTACAGGACAGGAAAAAAGTGTTATTGTTTTTATTTTTTATTAAAGATAATATCTTTTAATTACTCTGATTGCATTTATATTCACCTTTTAAATGTTTTAAATTTATGTATGCTAAGACTATAGCCTACAAAATATAAATATCCAATTCAGAATTTTCTAAAAGTTAAATTGCTATTTATACATATAAGAGGACAGAAAGGAACATTATGAAAATAGTTATATTTTCCACACATTAT
The DNA here is from genome assembly GCF_000001405.40 of Homo sapiens. NCBI lineage: Eukaryota > Metazoa > Chordata > Mammalia > Primates > Hominidae > Homo > Homo sapiens. The sequence goes on from NC_000003.12 coordinate 21,373,616, forward strand.
TTATTTAATTAGTCTAACAATTACTACTAATTGTCACTGTTACTTTATCCTGTTACTGTTTTGTTTAAATGCTGAAATAATAGCATTTATGTAACAGAACATTAAATAACAGAATAATACATAATTTCAAACAAATATACTGTTTTTTTACATTTGCATGTTAATGTAATAACAGTGGACAATTATATAATATGCACTATATTACAATATTTTAGGCCTGATATTGCTATATTCTGGGCTGGCTCTCTAAAATTTGTTCACCCTATATGACCTTCACTCTAAGAAGTATCAGCTTTCTGAAGGCAATTTGGAGCAGGAGGCAACAGGCTAAGGACTAGTGAAGGAAGTACATCATAGTATGCCCTACAAGCCTATGCCAAGAGCCTATCCAAGTCCATAAAGTATATATCAATGTCATTAGATTTTAATGTAATTTAAAAATAGATTAAAAATCCTATTAAATATTGTTAGCTTTCTTCAGTACTTCAGGGAATAGAGACAAGGGACTCTACATATGCTTGGAAAATGGTGGTAAAGAGAAGAATATATGCTCTACATACCAGCAGAGGCCCAAGATGAAAATCAGGAGGAGGCATTTATCATCTCTGAGTCTCAGAGGGAAGGATAAAAACAGGTTACTGAGGACAGGTTGGTGTTGACCAGGAGGCCAATCATATATGAGACACAGAATCTAGAGCATCACCGAACCAGAAGAACACAGAAGGGCTTCTCCATAGAAAGGGTGGCAGCCACAATTGTTTAAGAATGACCTGTCAGAACATGTGTGGTCTTTATAAACTCCTAGAACTACCGGAAGGAGTAAGAAAGCTTGAAGAACTTGCATGGGTGGGAGTAGGGTATAAAGAAAGAGAATAGGTTGCTATAAAGTTGGGAGCTGCAAGCCAGCAAAAACATGATAAACATATTCATATGACCTTATTTGCACATAGAGAAGGATAAGCTTAATGACATTTAGGTATCTGTATCTATAAGGTTAGCCCTTATTAGTTATATGATTCAGATCCTTGTATTAGACGTATGTTACTTGTTCCTGCTCAGCTTTCTTTTCTTCCTTGGAAACAAATATCTTAATTTTCCTATCCATGTGGTTGGAATGAGACTGACCCTACCCTAGCCCCAGAGTTAAGCATCTGTCCTGGTGCTAGCCAATCAGGATATTCAGTATTCAGTCATAGATATTGAATCACAGAAACTCACTCAATTCATAAGAGGAAAATATAGCCGCAGGTATTTGCTAGAATTGTTAGGAAAAATAAGGTCTCTGTATATTTATATTCCCAGTTATACATATGATGTAAACATGAAGCTATGTATAGAGACCCAAAGACAAAATACAATAATGCAGAACCTAGAGGTAAAGAAGGAAAAAGGGAGAGAGCAAGAGCAATAGATGGGGGTGGGTGGGGTCTCAGCAATAATAAAATCAAAAGTTTCCAATCTTTGGACTTTCATCCACAGATTCGTTACTTGGATCCGTTTAAGTTTTCTTTATTTAAGTTTCACCTAATTTAGCTTTCACTTGAATCCATAAGACTTGTACCACAACCCTCTATATTTACTTCGAAAAATCAAGGACTGATACAGATTAAAGTCTTGCCATGTTTTTTTGTATTTCTTTAAATTTATTATGTTTCCAACAGTTTTTGCCTTATATATTTTATTACAAGCTGCCTAAAGGTTTATGGTCATGCTATCTTCCACAAAAACTTCTTGTTATGTGTCCTTTAATTTATTTAACCTGGAACTCTAGTTTATTTAATATTACTATGAATCCCAATTCCTTTTGTTTACATTTGAATGTTATAATTTTGCCCATCCTTTTTGTATCTCGACCTTGTTAAATCCATTTTTCTTGAGTCTATTATAGACAGCTCGAGATTGAGTTTTGTTTTGTAATGCAAACTGAGATTGCATGTGTATCTGTTTGTAGATTACATTGTTTCATTTTCAATTATTTCATGACCTCTTTATTGTCTCATTTTTGTCATTTTGTTCTATTTCCTGGCTTCCACTTGATCTGAATATAAATTATTTTTTATAATGCTGAATTCTAACTGCTAATATTTTAAGAATCTTTGCATCTGTATTCAGGAGGGATATTTGTCTGTAGTTTTCTTTTTTGTACTGTGTCTACTTTTTGTATCAGGGTAATACTAACTTCACAATATGAATTGATAATTATTCCTTCATTTCAAGTTTCTGAAAGAGATTGAGAAAAATTTTTCTTAATTCTTTAAACATTTGGTAGAATTCTCCAATGAAGCCATCTGAACTTGGAGATTTCCTTTTTGGAAATTTATTAATTACAAATATAATTTCCTTACTAGTATTAGGATACTTCAAGTTATCTACTGAATAGCGTGTGAGTTGTACTCATTTTTGATTATTGAGAAATTGACTCATTTTGCTTACATTGTCAAATTTATAGTGTAGAGTTTTTTGTAGTGTTCCTTTATTATCCTTTTTATTTCTGCATGGTCTGTATTGTTATTTCCTGTTTCATTCCTAATATTGATAATTTCTGGGTTTTTTCTTTTCCAGTTTTGCTAGAAGTTTGACAATTTTATTGACATTTCAAAGAACCAGGCTTTGTTTCACTGATTTTCTCTATTGTTTTTCTACTTTCAATTTCATTGGTTTCTATGGTTATCTTTATTATTTCCTTCCTTCAGCTCCGTTTGGAATTATTTTTCTCTTCTTTTTCTAGCTCCTTAAGGCCTGACCTTAGATTACTAATGTGAGATTTCTCTTTTAATGTATGTATTTAATACTACAAATTTCCCTCTCAGCACTACTATAGCTAGGTCCACATCTTCCATTATATTTTCATTTTTATTCAAGTTCAATGCATTTTTTTAAGTTTCTTTAAGACTTTCTTCTTGAGTCAGGGGTTATCTAGAAGTGTCTTGTTTAGTTTCCACGAGTTGGGAGACTTTCCGGCTACGTTTCTGTTATTTTCTGGGTTAAAAATATTAGGTATATTACTCAGGTCCTTGTTATACACATATGCTGTTTGTTCCGGCCTAGTTTCCTTTTCCTCTTTGGAAACTAATACCTTAACTTCCCTATGTAATCATCCTATTCAATGTGTGTGAGAGATGTAATTTTTATGGTTTTAAGTCTTTTAAGTTTTTTGAGATTTATTTGTTGCTGCAGGATATGGGAACTCCCTCATAAGCTGCTCATTGTACAACTACTTTTTTGGTACATCAGTGTGGCAGTGTATTAGTCAGGGTTCTCTAGAGGGACAGAACTAATAGGATAGATGTATATACGCAGGGAAGTTTATTAAGGAGTATCAACTCACACAATCACAAGGTGAAGTCCCACAATAGGTCATCTGCAAGCTCAGGAGCAAGGAAGCCAGTCTGAGTCCCAAAACCTCAAAAGTAGGGAAGTTGACAGTACAGCCTTCAGTCTGTGGCCAAAGGCCTGAGAGCCACTGGCAAACCACTGGTGTAAGTCCAAGAGTCCAAAAGCTGAAGAATTTGGAGTCTGATGTTTGAGTGCAGGAAGCATCCAGCATGGGAGAAAGGTGAAGGCCAGAAGACTCAGCAAGTCTGCTCTTTACATCTTCTTCTGCCTGCTTTATCCTAGCCAAGCTGGCAGCTGATTAGATGGTACACACCCAGATTGAGGGTGGGTCAGCTTCTCCCAGTCCACTGACAAATGTTAATCTCCTTTGACAACACTCTCACAGACACACCCAGGAATGATACTTTGCATCCTTCAATCCAATCAAGCTGACACTCAATATTAACCATCACAGGCAGTTTCTTAAAAAATAAAACATATATCTACCATATGACCCAGACATTTCACTCCTAGGTATTCAACCAAGAGAAATGAACCCACATGTCTATACACTGATCTGTTTACAAATGTTCCTGCTAGCTTTATTTGTAATAGCCCAAAACTGGAAGCAACCCAAATATCCATCAACTGGTAAATGAATAACAAATTGTGGTATGCTAATGCAATGGAATACTATTGAGAAATAAAATGAATGACTTATTGATACATGCAACAATATAGTTAAATCTTGAAATAGTTACTCTCAGTGAAAGAAGCCAGACAAAACAAAATTACATACTTCATGGTTCTGTTCAAATATAATTTTAGAAAACAATTTATAGTGACAGAAAGCATGATAGAAGTGGTCATATGAAAATGTGTGGGGTATATGAAAAAAGGCAAGAGGGTGAGTTAACATATAAAACTTTTAGGGTGATGGATATGTTTATTACTCTGATTGGGTGATTTCACTACTCGTGTCTGTGTGAAGAGACCAACAAACAGGCTTTGTGTGAGCAACAAGGCTGTTTATTTCACCTGGGTGCAGGTGGGCTGAGTCCGAAAAGAGAGTCAGCGAAGGGAGATAAGGGTAGGGCCATTTTATAAGATTTGGGTAGGTAAAGGAAAATTACATTCGAAGGGGGGTTGTTCTCTGGCGGGCAGGAGTGGGGATCACAAGGTGCTCAGTAGGGGAGCTTTTGAGCCAGGATGAGCCAGAAGAAGGAATTTCACAAGATAATGTCACCAGTTAAGGCAGGAACAGGCCATTTTCACTTCTTTTGTGGTGGAATGTCATCAGTTAAGGCAGGAACCGGCCATCTGGATGTGCACCTGCAGGTCACAGGGGATATGATGGCTTAGCTTGGGCTCGGAGGCCCAACATTCCTGTCTTCTTATATTAACAAGAAAAATAAAACAAAATAGTGGTGAAGTGTTGAGATGGCAAAAATTTTGGGGGGTGGTATGGAGAGATAATGGGCGATGTTTCTCAGGGCTGCTTTGAGCAGGATTAGGGGCAGCGTGGGAACCTAGAGTGGGAGAGATTAAGCTGAAGGAAGATTTTGTGGTAAGGGATGATACTGTGGGGTTGTTAGAAGAAACATTTGTCACGTAGAATTATTGGTGATGGCCTGGATATGGTTTTGTATGAATTGAAAAACTAAACGGAATAAGAGGAGAAAAACAGGTATTAAAGGACTAAGAATTGGGAGGACCTAGGACATCTAATTAGAGAGTGTCCAAGGGGGTTCAGTGTAATTACTTACTTGGTTGGCAAGTTTTTGGGCTCTATCCTTGAGTTTTTTATGTTGTCATACACCAAGCCAGATTGATTTAGGTGAAAACAACACTCTTCATTTAAGAATATACAGAGTCCTCCTTTTTCAGCAGTAAGTCAAGGTCTCGGCGGTTTTGGAGGACAACTGCAGCTAAAGAGTCAACTTGGGCCTGGAGGACTGATAAAGTTTGTGATATGTCTGTGATGCTAGCAGAGAAGTCATTAGAAAGGCTACGGAAGGTCGTGACAGAAGTCGAAATGCCTGCTATTCCAGTACTGAGAGCAATAGTGGAGGCAGAAAGTCCTAAACCGACAAGCAAGGGAATTAGTGGAATAACTCTTTTTTGTCGTGTCGGTGTCATGAGGGGAACAGGGAGCTCTTCGGTCCTATTTGCAATTTGAATTTTGGGAGTAAGGAAAACTAGTGTGCATGTGCCTGTCCAATTAGCAGGTAGACACATGTAGGTAGAGGATCTACAGAGGAAGAAGAGACCTTGTGCGAAGCAAAACTGGAGATGCAAAGTAAAAAAGATGAGAAGGAGTGCTGAAAGAGGTGTCTTGTACCCAGACTCCTAGGGATCCACCTAGGGCGGCAGCCGTCAGAGGTTGTAATGGGGACTGATGAGGTAACTGCGTAGAGGGGGAGGTTCGATTTTCATGGTGTATGAGAAAACGTTGAGTGTCTACGAGCAACCTTTCACTGTTATTTTTGGGGCTGGGTATAAGTAAACAAGAAGAGGACTTTGGAGATGAAGAGTAAAGGAACATCAAGAAGGTGAAAGGTTACCCAGGGGAATTCCAGTGGGTCTTTGCTGAGAGATACATAAAGGAGCAGCCACAGGAATAGTAGTTTGTGTTGTGAGAGGTCCAAATATGGGGGAAGTAGAGTTGATATAAGGAGAAAGGTTTTTTAAGTAAGTGCAGAGGAGGGCGGCAGATTGCTGATGTGAAATGTCTGGGAAGGTCTTGCTGGACCTGTCTAAAAAGTAAATGAGTTCTTCAGGAGGGTAAAGGTGAGGGCTGTTAAAGGAAGTTTGGAGATGTAGGGAGACAGGAGATGTTGCCTAGTCTGCACGTAAGGTGGGGAGATGTTGCCTAGTCTGCATGTAAGGTGGGGACAGCTGTGTAGGCACTGGAAGAAAGGGAAATGCAAAGCCAGTGGTTGTTCGCTAAGGAGGGATTAGAAACGGCTAGGAGAGAATGAGTAAGGTTGATAGTGTGGTAGAGATAGCTGGGGAGAGGTAGAGGGTGGCATAAGAATGGGAATGAGAATGAGTGAGTATAAAACTATAGAAGTTCATCAGGGTGAAAGTATTGAAGGGTCCCCTGCCAGCAAAGATTATCTATCCACCCTAAGAGGGAGTTAAGAGTTGCCAGTCCTGGGCGGGGGCAAATCCTCGAGCTTGATGTGTAGGAAGGGAGGGGGCCTGAATACTCCCTGAGGAGTAGTAGAATAGCAGATGGAACACTGAGAAGTTATTTCCTTGAGGATAGATTTCCACAATGGAAAGGAAATGAGAGGTTCTAAAAGGCGGGCTGGTGGCTTGTACTATAGCATAGCCTGCCCTTGCTGGTGTGTGGCGATTAGGCCTGATGGAACTACCATCAATAAACCAAGTGTGTTCAGGGAGAGGAACAGGAAAGAAGGAAATATGGGGAAATGGGGTGAATGTCAGGTGAATCAGAGAGATACAGTCATAGGGTCAGCTGTGGTATCCAGAATACTGTGGGAGGCTGGATTGAAGTCTGGGCCAGGAACAATGGTAATTGTGGGAGACTCAACAAAGAGCGAGTATAGCTGAAGGAGTTGGGGAGCAGAAAGTACATGCATCAGGTGTGAGAAAGAAAATAGATTTTGGGAGTTATGAGAACTGTAGAGAGTGAGTTGAGCATAGTTTGTGATTTTAAGGGCCTCTAAAAGTATTAGGGCAGCGGCAGCTGCTGCATGCAGACATGAGGGCTAGGCTAAAACAGTAAGGTCAAGTTGTTTGGACAGAAAGGCTACAGGGTGCAGTCCCGGCTCTTGTGTAAGAATTCTGACCGCACTAACCATGCCTAGGAAGGAAAGGAGTTGTTTTGTAGAAGGTGTTGGGATTTGAGAGATCAGTCGGACACGATCAGCAGGGAGAGCACCTGTGTTTTTATGAGAATTATGCCGAGATAGGTAACAGATGAGGAAGAAATTTGGGCTTGACTGAAGTAATAGGAGCTGTCTGTGAAGCCTTGTGGCAGGACAGCCTAGGTAATTTGCTGAGCCTAATGGGTGTCAGGGACAGTCCAAGTGAAAGCGAAGAAAGGCTGGGATGAAGGGTGCAAAGGAATAGTAAAGAAAGCATGTGTGAGATCCAGAACAGAATAATGGGTTGTGGAGGGAGATATTGAGGATAGGAGAGTGTATGGGTTTGGCACCACGGGGTGGATAGGCAAAACAATTTGGTTGATAAGGCATAGATCCTGAACTAACTTGTAAGGCTTGTCTGGTTTTAGGACAGGTAAAATGGGGGAATTGTAAGGAGAGTTTATAGGCTTTAAAAGCCTTGCTGTAGCAGGCGAGTGATAATAGGCTTTAATCTTTTTAAAGCGCATTGCAGGATGGGATATTGGCGTTGAGTGCGGTAAGGGTGATTAGGTTTTAATGAGATGGTAAGGGGTGCATGATTGGTCGCCAAGGAGGGAGTAGAGGTATCTTATACTTGTGGGGTAAGGTGGGGAGATACAAGGGGAGGATGTGAAGGAGGCTTTGAACTAGGGGGAAAGGTGGCAATGAGGTGTGGCTCTAGCCCAGAAATAGTCAGGGAAGCAGATAATTTAGTTAAAATATCTTGGCCTAATAAGGGAGCTGGGCAGGTGGGGATAACTAAAAGGATTGCTTAAAAGAGTATTGTCTAAGTTGGCACCAGAGATGGGGAGTTTTAAGAGGTTTAGAAGCCTGGCTGTCAATACCCACAACAGTTATGGAGGCAAGGGAAACAGGCCCTTGAAAAGAAGGTAATATGGAGTGGGTAGCCTCCGTATTGATTAAGAAGGGGACAGACTTACCTTCCACCGTGAGAGTTACCCAGAGCACCTGTGATGGTCCTATAGGCTTCCGAGGTGATCGGGCAGTGTCAGTCTTCAGCTGCTAAGCTGAGAAGATCTGGGAAGGAGTCAGTCAGTGAGCCTCGGGCCAGAGTTCCAGGAGCTCTGGGAGTGGCTGCCAGGTGAGTTGAACAGTCCGATTTTCAGTGGGGTCCCGCACAGATGGGACATGGCTTAGGTGGAATCCTGGGCTGTGGGCATTCCTTGGCCTTGTGGCCAGATTTCTGGCACTTGTAGCAAGCTCCTGGGGGAGGCGGTTCTGGAGGAATGCCTGGCCGCTGTGGTTCAGACATTTGGAAGTTCTTGTGTGCATGTGGCTGGGGTTTGTCTTAGAGTGGAGGCAAGGAATTGCAACTTTTTTCTATTATTGTACACCTTGAAGGCGAGGTTAATTAAGTCCTGTTGTGGGGTTTGAGGGCCAGAATTTAATTTTTGGAGTTTCATTTAATGTCGGGAGCAGATTGGGTAATAAAATAAAATGCACATGGAGAATAAGACGGCCTTCTGACCTTTCAGGGTCTAGGGCTGTAAATCGTGTCAGGGTTGCTGCCAAACAAACCATGAACTGGGCTGGGTTTTTATATTCGATGAAAAAGAGCCTAAATGCTAACTGATTTTGGGAGAGGTCAGATAAAGAAAGAGGAGCATTAACCTTGACTATGACTTTAGCTTCAGCCACCTTTTTAAGGGAACAAAGAGCAGGAGGACAGGGGATTGATCTCCCAAGGGAGGTCCCCCGATCCTAGTCACGGCACCAAATTTCACTCGCGGCCCTGTGAAGAGACCAGCAAACAGGCTTTGTGTGAGCAACAAGGCTGTTTATTTCACCTGGGTGCAGGCGGGCTGAGTCTGAAAAGAGAGTCAGGGAAGGGAGATAAGGGTAGGGCCATTTTACAAGATTTGGGTAGGTAAAGGAAAATTACACTTGAAGGGGGATTCTCTGGCAGGCAGGAGTGGGGGTCACAAGGTGCTCAGTAGGGGAGGTTTTGAGCCAGGATGAGCCAGGAGAAGGAATTTCACAAGATAATGTCATCAGTTAAGGCAGGAACAGGCCATTTTCACTTCTTTTGTGGTGGAATGTCATCAGTTAAGGCAGGAACCGGCCATCTGGATGTGCACGTGCAGGTCACAAGGGATATGATGGCTTAGCTTGGGCTCAGAGGCCTGACAGGTATGGTTTTATAAATGTATACATATTCAAAACTTAGTTTATGGTACACTTTAAATATATACAGTTTATTGGAAGTCAATTATAGCCCAATAAAGCTTTAAAAAACAAAAAAGTTGTCTTTGCAAACAGAAAGTTTTTTTTGTTTATTCCAACATAACTCTTCTCCCTCTATAGATAACCGTTTTAAAATTTGATATAATTTATATTATTTGTTAAATTAGTAGCATTCCATACACAAGTTCTTCCACCCTGCTTTCTCACAGTGATATATCCTGAGTCACAGCAATACATGGATATAGTCTTCATTCCTTTTTCCAGTTGCATAATTCCTTATTATGCAAATATGCCATGGTTTATTAATTTTTAAATATTAATCATATTTTTTAGTTATTTTTGATATTTAAATACATACATAACATAACATAAAATAATGGTGCAATGGGTTGTCTTGATTATTATTTTTATACTTTTGGTAGTGGACTTTTGTAATATATGCTTTGAAATGGTTTTTCTGAATGAAAGTGCAATGATTTCTGATTGGAAATGCCATGTAAGTTTGCTAGAGTTGGCCAAATTCTCTTTCATAGGGATTGTAACATTGTATTCCCACTATCAACAAATTAAGTGCCTGTTTTCCCACATCCTGACCCATGAAGTTTGTTTTCCAATGATTGAATCTTTGCCTGGGTGAAAAATGTGGCATTTTATTATAGCCATTTTGCTATATGACTAGACACGTGTCAATATCTGGACAATTTGGCAAAAATAGAACACCCCTGTATTCTTGCTGTTATATGCCAAAAACTTGATACTTCATAGTAGCCTTAAATTACCAAATGATAGGTGTCATGGGCTGAATCGTGCTGCCCCCCACCCCTCACCAAAATTCATATATTGAAGTCTCAAAATCTATTGAAATGCCATTAATGGTCAAAACTGAATTACTTTTGCAACAATCTAAAAGTACATCATAATGTAATTGTATTTGGAAATAGGGTCTTTAAATAAGTAATTAAGGTTAAATAAGGTCATATGGATGGGCCCTAATCCATGTGACTATATTTGGAGATAGGACCTCCTAAGAGGTGATGGAGCTAAAATGATGCCAATAGGGTGGAGCCCTAATTTCATATGACTGGTGACCTTGTAAGAAGAGAAACACAGCTACTTGGGAGACTGAGGTGAGAGGATCACTTGAGCCCAGGAATTTTAGGTTACAGTGAGCTATGATCCCTCCACTGCACTCTAGCCTGGGTGACAGGAAAAGACCCCAATTCTAAAAAAAAAAAAAAAAAAAAAAAAGAAACGAAAAAGAAAAGAAACAGACACCAAAAATATTCATACACAAAATAAAGGCCATGCAAGGACATAGTGTCGATGAAAAGAGTCAAACTCTGTAAAATGTTTAAAGAAATTTTTTCTGAGCCAAATATGAGTGAACATGGTCTGGGGACACAGCCATCAGGAGATCCTGAGAACATGTGCCCAAGGTGGTTGGGGCACAGCTTGGTTTTATACATTTTAGAGACTCATGAGACATCAATCAAACACATTTAAGAAATATATTGGTTTAGTCCAGAAAGGCTGGGAAATTCAAAGGTGGGGTAGGGCGGGGGAGATTCCAGGCTATAGGTGAATTTAAACATTTTGTGGTTGACAATTGGTTGAGTTTGACTAAAGATTGAAAGAAAGAAAGGGATTGAAAGAAAGGGAAAGTAAGATAAAGACTATGGAGATCAAAGTTCTTTTGCAGTTTTATAGTGGCTGCCCTTAAAGACAATAGATGACAAATGTTTCTTATTCATATCTTGGTTAATCTCCTTAGGATTGGGAGGGTCTGGAAGAAAAAGATCCAGCTATGTTAACAGAGGTTCTCTACAGATGCAAATTTCCCCCCACAAAGAATAGCCTTGGAGGGCCATTTCAAAATATGGCAAATAAACAAGTTTTGGGGTAAAATATTTTGATTTTCTTCCTTGTCTCATAATGCTATGTCAGAGTCAGGAAAGTAAGTCATAATATATAGGGTTAAATAAAACCCATCTGATGAGAATTTATGCTTTGTAGAGCAGGACTCCCAGCCCCTTAGATAGGAATTTGGGCAAGATAAAAGAATCAGAGTTTTGTCCTCAATAGCAGGAAGGAAGCCATCTGCAAGCCAAGGACAGAGGCCTCAGAAGAAATCAAACCTACTTGATCTTGGACTTTTAACCTTCAGAATTTTTGAGAAAATATATTTTTGTTGTTTATGCCACCTAGTCTTTAATACTTTTTAAAAATGATAGCCCTAGCAAACTAATACAGTGGATTTACCATGTATTAAATACTGAAGTCTTCAAGAATCTGGCCATTGCTCCATTCAAAAATTGGTAGTTACTACCAATAAGTGAAGGTCTCATAGACATAATTCAGAAAATGGAATAAAAATGTTGATATTCTAACAATGAGGCAGGAAACAAGATATTACATGCCCACCATGCACTACTCAAAGTGTCAACTAGCGCTAGCCAAAATAAGCGTTGTTTCAATCATACCTTCTTCAAATCCAGTGAGTCTCAAAGTGTGGGAGTAGCATCTCCGGAAAGTTGTTAGAAATTCACATCTAAAACCCCACTCGAGGGACACTAAATAAAAAACTTTGGTGGTACGCTCCAGAAGTTTGTGTTTTAATAAATCTTCCAGGTGATCTCAATACACTTTCAGGTTTGAGAGCCACTGTTCTAATCCACCTCCACCAACCACCAGATTAAACTATAGATCTAAAATTCAGGATTGCTTATGACTGCTCCTCCTTGTTCAACACAATTCAGTAAGTTGTTTGTAACCCACAAGATTATCACTAGGATTTATACTAGGAGAAGTGGTCAAATGCTTATGGGTTAGGAATTGATTTCCATAGGTTTGAATCTCAGCTCTACCATTTATTCACTCCGTGTTCATGGGAAAATTAACTTCCTCACACATAGGTGAGGTAATGGGGTAAATAATCTTTAGCTCAACGGCTTACTAAGAGGATCAAAATCAGTTGATACACATAAAATGCTTCTAACACAGCACATTGTATAGCAAGTGGCCGAGATGTATTCCCTGCTATTAGTAGTATCATTATACCACATCTTCCTTTTCATTTGCCATATTCCATCTCATATTTTTGTTCCAGTAATACTGTGTCTGGAATTGGTGGGTTCTTGGTCTCACTGACTTCAAGAATGAAGCCACGGACCCTCGTGGTGAGTGTCACAGTTCTTAAAGGCGGCGTGTCCAGAGTTCGTTCCTTCTGATGTTTGGATGTGTTCGAGTTTCTTCCTTCTGGTGGGTTCGTGGTCTCACTGGCTCAGGAGTGGAGCTGCAGACCTTCACGGTGAGTGTTACAGCTCTTAAGGCGGTGTGTCTGGAGTTGTTTGTTCCTCCCAGTGGGTTCGTGGTCTCACTGGCTTCAGGAGTGAAGCTGTAGACCTTTGCGGTGAGTGTTACAGTTCATAAAGGAAGTGTGGACCCAAAGAGTGAGCAGTAGCAAGATTTATTGCAAAGAACGAAAGAACAAAGCTTCCACAGTGTGGAAGGGGACCCAAGCGGGTTGCCACTGCTGGCTCGGGAAGCCTGCTTTTATTCCCTAATCTGGCCCCACCCACATCCTGCTGATTGGTCCATTTTACAGAGAGCCGATTGGTCTGTTTTACGGAGAGCTGATTGGTCCGTTTTGACAGGGTGCTGATTGGTGCGTTTACAATCCCTGAGCTAGACACAAAAGTTCTCCACCTCCCCACTAGATTAGCTAGATACAGAGTGTCGGTTGGTGTATTTACAAACCTCGAGCTAGACAGAGAGTGCTGATTGGTGCATTCACAATCCCTTAGCTAGACATAAAGATTCTCCAAGTCCCCATCAGATTAGCTAGACACAGAGTGCTGATTGGTGCATTTACAAACCTTGAGCTAGACACAGAGTGCTGATTGGTGCATTTACAAACCTTGAGCTAGATACAGAGTGTTGACTGGTGCATTCACAATCCCTTAGCTAGACATAAAGGTTCTCCAAGTCCCTACCGGATTAAATAGATACAGAGTGCTGACTGGTGCATTCACAAACCCTGAACTGGACACAGGGTGCTGATTGGTGTGTTTACTAACCTTGAGCTAGGTACAGAGTGCTGATTGGTGTATTTATAATCCCTTAGCTAGACATAAAGATTCTCCAAGTCACCACCAGACTCAGGAGCCCAGCTGGCTTCACCCAGTGGATGCCACACCGGGGCTGCAGGTGGAGCTGCCTGCCAGTCCCGCGCCGTGCGCCCGCAGTCCTCAGTCCTTGGGCGGTCAATGGGACTGCACGCCGTGGAGCAGGGGGTGGCGCTTGTTGAGGAGGCTTGGGCCGCGCAGGAGCCCACGGCGGGTGGGGGGAGGCTCAGGCATGGCAGGCTGCAGGTCCCGAGCCCTGCCCCACGGGGAGGCAGCTAAGGCCCGGCGAGAAATTGAGCACAGCAGCTGCTGGCCCAGGTGCTAAGCCCCTCACTGCCCAGGGCTGGTGGAGCTGGCCGGCTGCTCTGAGGGTGGGGTCCACCAAGCCCACGCCCACCCAGAACTCATGCTGGCCCACAAGCGCCATATGCAGCCCCGTTCCTGTCTGCGCCTCTCCCTCCACACCTCCCCGCAAGCTGAGGGAGCCAGCTTCGGCCTTGGCCAGCCCAGAAAGGGGCTCCCACAGTGCAGTGGCAGGCTGAAGGGCTCGGCCAGAGTGGGCGCCAAGGCCGAAGAGGCGCTGAGAGCAAGCAAGGGCTGCAAGGGCTGCCAGCATGCTGTCACCTCTCAATACTGAACTACTCGTGGTTACCCTGCTTGTTTATTCTTTTACTTATACTATGCCTTTCCTTGTGTTATTTCCACTGCCTCAAATTCTCTCTCTTGTCCTTTGTAGTCTAGATTATGTTTATTCATTTTTTGACAAAACCCAATTACAGAAACACCTTGTTTTATTGTGCTTTGCTTTATTGTAATATACAAATATTGATTTTTTACAAATTAACGATTTGTGCTAACCCTGCATCAAGCAGTTTTTTTAGTGCCATTTTTCCAAAAACATGCTCACTTGATGTCTCTGTGTCACATTTGAGCAATTGTCATACTATTTCAAGCTTTTTAATTATTTTTTTATCTGTTATGATGATATGTGTTCAGAGATCTTTGATGTTACTATTGTAATTGTTTGTGGGTACCATTAACTGTGCCCATGTAAGATGGCAAACAATCAACAAATGTACTGTGTATACTAAATTCTCCACCAACCAGCCATTTTTCTGTCTCTTTCCCTCTTTTTGAGCCTTTCTATTCCCTGAGTCATAACAATATAGAAATTAGGCCAATTAATAACCCTAAATGGCCTCTAAGTGTTCAAGTGAAAGGAAAAGTCACCATCTATCAATTTAAATCAAAATGTAGAAATGATGAAGCTTAGTAAGGAAGGCATGTCAAAAGCTGAGACAGGCTAAAAACTTGTGAAGTCAAAGGAAAAGTTTAAATGAAATTAAAAGTACTGCTCCAGTGAACACACATATGGAAAAAAAGTAAAATGGCCTTCCTGCTGATATGGAGAAAGTTTTAGTGGTCTGGATAGAAGACCAAATCAGCGACAATATTCCCTGAAGCCAAAGCCTAATCCAGAGCAAGGTTCTAACTCACTTCAATGCCATGAAGGCTGAGAGACATGAGGAAGCTGCAAAAGACAAGTCTGAAGCTAGCAGAGGTTGGTTCATGAAGTTTAAAGAAATAAGTCATCTCCACAACATATAAGTAAAAGGGGTGAAGCAGCAAGTACTGATGTAGAAGCTGCAGCAAGTGATCCAAAAGATCCATCCAAGATCATTGATGAAGGTGGCTACACTAAGCGATATATTTTCAATGTAGATGAAACAGCCTTCTATTGGAAGAAGATGCCATGTAAGACTTTCACAACTGGAGAGAAGTCACTATTTGGCTTCAAATCTTCAAAGGACAGATTGACTCTCTTTTTAGGGAATAAGGCAGCTGATGACTTTTACTTGAAGCCAATGCTCATTTGCCATGTTGAAAATCCTAGGGTTTTAATAATTGTGTTAAATCTACTCTGTCTGTGCTCTATAAATGGAATAAAGCCTGGGTGACAGCACATTTGTTTACGGCATAGTTTACTGAATATTTCAAGCCCCTTGTTGAGATCTACCACTCACACAAAAATACTCCTTTCAAAGTATTACTGCTCATTAACAATGTACCTAGTCATCCAATAACTATGATAGGGATGTACAAGATTTATGTTGTTTTCATGCCTATTAACACCCATTCTGTAGCCTACAAATCAAGAAGTAATTTTAACTTTCAAGTATTATTAGTTAAGAAATACGTGTTGAAGCCTTTTAGAAAGAATTTACTATTATGGATGCATTTATGGATATTTGTGATTCATGGGAGGAGGTCAAAATATCAACATTAACAAGTTTGGAAAAAGTTGATTCCAACCCCTATGGATGACTTTGAGGAGTTCAAGCTTCAGTGGAGGAAGTCCCTGAAGATGTGGTAGAAATTCCAAGAGAGCTAGAATTAAAAGTAGACCCTGAAGATGTGCCTAGATTGCTGCAATGTCATGAGAAAATTTTATGGATGAAAAATTTCTTCTTATGGATGAGCAAAGAAAGTGGTTTCTTGATATGGAACCTACTCTTGGTGAAAATGCCGGGAACATTGTTAAAATGACAACAAAGGATTCAGAACATTACATAAACTTAGTTGACAAGGTAGTGGCAGGGATTGGGAAGACTGAGTGCACTTTGGAAGAGGTTCTTCCATGGGTAAAATGCTACCAAACACCATCACATGTTACAGAGAATTTTTTTTGTGAAAGGAAGTCTATCAACGTGGCTGACTTTATTGTCTTATTTTAAGAAATTGCCACAGCCACCCCAACCACCACACTGATCAGTCGGTAGGCATTAACATCCAGGCAAGACACTTTGTCAGCAAAAAGATCACAACTTGCTGAAGGCTCAAATCATTGTTAGCATTTTTTAGCAGTAAAGTATTTTTAAATTAAGGTCTGTACATTGTTTTTTAGACACCATGCTACTGAACATTTAATAGACTACAGTATAGTATAAACATAACGGTTATATGCACTGGGAAATCAAAAAATTTGTATCCCTCACTTTATTGTAAAATTCACTTTATTGTGGTGATCTCAAACTGAATAAGCAATATCTCCAAGTCATGCCTGTCTTATTCCCTCCCAGAACTTCTCATACCTCTTTTACAACTCACTACAACCGATTTGGGGAGTCATGCTCTGTGTTTTCTTAGTATCTGTACTTAACTCTGGGTTGCAGAGGCTATCCAGATGCTCATAAACCACTTCATTCTTCTTCGTGTGCTCATAGCTCAATGGCATATTCCAGTCTCCCTGGCAATTAGGTGAGGCTATGTATTTGCTTTCTGGCAGTGAGATACAAGCAGAAGTGACACGTGACTTACCAGCTCTGGCCTTGGAAAACCTTTCTAGTATAATCCTCCATCCTGTTTGTGTGCTACTCTGTAGATTAAGGAAACATTTTCAGAGAAGGGCAGACTCATAAGACAAAAGGATCCTGGGTGCTAAATAAACGTGGAGGTCATTCACCTGCCCATTAGGAACATATAGGTTGAAGTTATGAAAAAATATTAAAATACTGGGATTTTATGTGTTATAGTAATTAGCATTACTTCCAAAATACCCACTGATTATACTGAAAACATTGTATTGAAATTATATTTTTATATATAAAAATATATTTGAAAGATCGAAACTTTCAAAAATTCCAGAAGTAACTTTCCTTTCTAGGGATGCCTTATCACATATTATTTTCCCAAATATTTATTTTGTTTTATAAAAGTCTTTAGGTTTTTTCATTTGAATAAGTACCCTAGTTTTTAATGGAAGGGATAAAGTGATTTTTCTTTAAACAATGAGGTAGTGTATGATTTGATCCAAAATAAAATACCAGTGGCTTGTTATCTTCCAAAGAGAACTCTACAGTCCTTTGCTTGCACATTCCTTATTAGTCTCCTTGGCAACAGGTAATCACTTGTTTCCCTTAAATAGATGAGATGCCAACAAATATGTAATAGTGGTTTGATACATCAGCAAAGAAAAGTGCTATAATGACAGCATAATAAATCTGAACATGAAAAGTTAATAGTCACATTAGTGACAGCCTAACTATAGTGTGAGAAGCACACGGAGCTTGAATTTTCTGCTTCCATTTCATTCTTTTTGTGACACTTGGTTCTTCCTAGAATGCTCTCCTCCTCTCTCCCTCCCTTTGCGTAGCCTGAAACCTATAAAGGAATAAAAACCTGCTGGGCGGGGGTGGCTCATGCATGTAATCCCAACACTTTGGAAGGCCCAGGTGGGTGGATCACTTGAGTTCAGGAGTTTGAGACCAGCCTGGCCAACATAGTGAAACCCCATCTCTACTAAAAATACAAAAATTAGCTGGGCGTGGTGGCAGGTGCCTGTAATCCCAATACTCAAGAGGCTGAGGCAGGAGAATCACTTGAACCTGGGAGGCAGAGGTTGCAGCAAGCCAACATCTGACCATTGCACTCCAGCCTGTGTGACAAGAGCTAGACTTAGCCTCAAAAAAAAAAAAAAAAAAAGAATAAAAGAATAAAAACCCTTCAAAATGAAAACAGACCTGTTAATAATTCCTTTTTTTTTTTTGCCCTGTAAGAAAGTATGTTAAGTTTATTTGTCTTCTGGTAAATTATTATATTAAAAAATATGACTTCAGGGTCATCCCTAAATAGTTAAATATATAATTTGAACCCTATATATTTACCTAAATATATTCCATTTTTGGAGTGTCACCTTCATTTATTCTAGTCAGGGTCATCAATCTCCATCAGGGTTTACTTTCTACTCTCTCATTGGGTATGCCAGCTCTGTCATAAAGGCAAATGTAGAACTTGCTGTGGTCCTCTCAAGGTGGCACCAGCAACAGCTGGCATGGGCTTAGAGCCATTGCGTCAAAAGATACAGCTAGGAGCAGTAACTCTGTTTGACCCCTGGGTAGTTATCTCCCCTTCTTATTATTGTTGGGTACATATGGACATTGGAAGTGGCCAGTGGAAAACCATTGCTTTAACATTCATCCCCAGAATTCACCATACCTAGCAGTAGCAGCAGATTTAGGCCAAATGAGAAGTCTGTTACACAGGTCTATTATATTTGCTCCCTCCTTTGTTTTTAGCTCTACTTTCTCCACTTCTAATGGTTCCTTCCAGTCTTCATCTTTCCTTAATTCCTTAAACCCAATTCTGATCTTTTCCCATGACAGAGTAGCAGGGCTATCTGAAAAATGTGTCTCCTCTACAATATTAAGTAGTCCAACATAAAAAGGTGACTATAGATTAAAATGGATTGGAGAAGTAAAAACCTAAATAAATATAAGTAATACAGTAATTTAACAATTGTTGGCATTGTCTGCCAAGTAGTTAACAATTTATCAAGCAGTGGGCTAAATTTTATGTACACTATTTCTATTGAATCCTTACAACATGGATATTATTGTCTTGATTTTACAGGCAATTGATATTTTCACAGGTGTTAAACATTTTGTTCAGAGTTACATGACCTGGAAGTGGCAGAATCAGGATTTTAATACACATTAGCTTGTTCCCAAAGCCAGTGTAGAGTGGAAAGGATCATTCAAAGCCAATTAATAATTTACTACAAATGCAGTCATCTTTTATCTAGAATTCTTGGAGGGTTATTCATCAACTTGTAAATAGTTCCAGATTCCTGCCTTTCAAGGCATCTACTCTGTTATTAAAAATAAGAGGAAGAATAGCTACAATTTATGTAATGTTTGTAATGTTTCAGGCACGTTCCTAAGCCCAGAATATGATCAATCATTATAATTATGGGCTCTGGAGCCAAACTGCCTAGATTTGAATCCTTACTTCACCATTGTGAGACCTTGGGCCTCGGTACGTTAATACCTCAGTTTTCTCATTTGTGAAGTGGGGAATAATATTCCCTATAATGTAGAGTTATTATAAGAATTGGGTGAGGTAGTATACATATAACTCTTGGGACTGTAACTCTTCATAGGCAGCATTCAATAAATGGTAACTAGATTGTTAGTTGTTTCTATTGTTTCATGTAAAACAAAGTGCTAAGCAATTTACATCTATTATTTCACCCAGTCCTCTTAGTAATTTTGTGAGGTATGCATTATGCGTGTCCTCATTTTACAAAAGGTGTCAAAGATGAGGCAGGGGTTATATAATTTTCCTAAGGACACAGAGCCAGGATTCTAACACAGACAGTGTGTCTCCAAAGCCTGTCTTCTCAGCAGAAGTTGTACACTGGTTCTTTACTGTTGGACAATGTAAATGCTCAGAAAACATGTTTCTATTTTAAGTCAAACTATGCCCATAAAACTTCAACCTCTTGATTTTTGTTGTAGTTATTAATAGTTATTAATAGTTATTAACACATCACTGAACCCTGAGAACTTTTTCCTCTTTCTCTTTCTTCTCTTTCAATGCTCCACACCCCTCTTCATGAATCCCCACTCCAACAGTCTTACTTCATCACGTTTCCATCAGAAATTTGTTAGATATTTGGGAAGAATGTGCAAAGTAAATGTATGTAACCCAAAGCAAGAAAACAGATTTTTCATGTGCTTGACCAAAAGTGTGTTTTAAACAATAAATGCAGATCTACTTAGGAATCAGTGCTTTTCTTATGATATAAAATAATCATCAAGAGGCAACACATTAAGCCTGGGAATTTCCCAGCAAATTCTCTGAGAAGAGTCAGTTCTGTATCTTTTTCTTCCACCAAGAGAAGAGTCGAACATGTCCAGATTTCACCCTGCCCCAGAGGGGCTGGGGGGCCGGCTTGGCAACCCTGGGTACCACACAATCACAACACACTGGGACTGCCTTCCAGGATCAGCAAATTTGGGGAAGTTATGTGCCTGTTGTGAATTTGTATCCAAGCAACACGCAGATTTTTAATAAATAAATGGCTCTCCAAATAACTTTATTCACTGAGGAGAAATTTCAAGTTTTTGTCTCTCAGTCTGAATAGCACTTGATGTTCTGTTCTTCCTATGTTGAATCTAAAAACCACACAAACTTTGTTCCCCCTCTGTAAATTATTATCACAAGTGGAAAGTGCTTTGGTTTTCAGGAGATGATGAAGCATTGTTTTTCAAAGTTCTCCACTTGTTACAGAAACAATGTCAGGATGAGAGTTTGATTTAACGGGATGGATGTTTGTCAGATATCATTTTTGAATCCCCTGCTAGAACAGGGAGTTGGCTAAAGAGTTGTTCTGATTTCATTGCCAGTCAACTCACAGCTCGAGTGTTCTTCTCAAGAATCTTGCAATGAAGTTAGAGAAGGGGGATGGTGGAGTAGAGTAACAGGAAAAAAGTGATACAAGATAGGACATTAAATAATTTTACACATAATTGTGTGAGAAATTATGTAGCTGAACCAATGGAATCAGCCTAAGTTCCAATAAATCTCTGTAGGAATGTCAAATATTTCTAAATCTCTATCTGCTTGGAAAATACTTGCCCAGGCTCTGTAGAGCAGAACTTCATCCTTTGGAAGGATCATGGCGTCCCTTCCTGTGTAGTTCAAGAAAACATTTGGCTCATCTTTTTATTGTTTTGTTTTGTTTTGTTTTTTGAGACAGAGTCTTTCTCTGTTGCCCAGGCTGGAGTACAGTGGCACGATCCTGGCTCACTGCAACCTCCACCTCCTGCATTCAGGCAATTCCCCTGCCTCAGTTTCCTGAGTAGCTGGGATTACAGGCATGCGCCACCACACCGAGCTAATTTTTTGTGGGGTTTTTTTTGTGTGTTTTTTTAGTAGAGACAGGGTTTCACCATGTTGGCCCAGCTGGTCTCAAACTCCTGGCCTCAGGTGATGCACCCACTTCAGCCTCCCAAAGTGTTGCTATTAAGGTGTGAGCCACCGCGCCCGGCCTTGACTCACCTTTCAGCTTTCTGAAATGCTCTAACTTATGGAAAGCCTTCCCTGACCTCCCTTTTTCCCCTTGCACCTGGT
Source organism: Homo sapiens (assembly GCF_000001405.40). NCBI lineage: Eukaryota > Metazoa > Chordata > Mammalia > Primates > Hominidae > Homo > Homo sapiens. Next base: position 21,395,049 of record NC_000003.12, read on the forward strand.
AATTAGGTAGTCTCTCTTTTAGTTTTCATAACATTTTGTATATTCCCCCCCAGCATAATCCACATTTATTTGTTTGCATGTGTGTTTACCCTCTAAAGAGTGAACTTCTTAAGACAGATACTATGTCTTAGGCTTTTAAAAAAAAATTCCAATTGCCTAACAAAGTGCTATTTCAAGACATCTTCATTGGATGGGTGGATGGCTGGGTGGATGAATTAAATAATGAGACATAATAGTAGAAATCTTGGCATCACTACATTTAGTGGTCACTAATTAAAATTCATTAATTAACAAGATGATTAAATAGGGTGGAAATAGCAACTAGCTTTGAAGCAATAAAACTCAGGTCTGAATTTCCATTGCAATACTTACATGCTATTTTGTCTTGCTTTGATTGCTTGACTTCTTAGACCACCAGCTATCTCTTTCATAAACTTATAAAACTTACCTCCCAGAAATTTTATAAAAATTAGTTAAGATTACATATATAAAAAGTGTGGTCAATTATAGGTGATTAATAATAGTAGCCATTATTATATCAACACCAAAAACTCCTCTACATTTTTAAACATATTCTTGTTTCAAAATAAATTTTCTGAAGACCTCCCAGAACACATAAATACATGCATAGACATTTCTACCTTAACACTTTCAAACCAATAGATGATTTATGCACACACACATGAGCACACATACACAATCATGAATACAAAACATGTGTTTTTCATTTAAAACACTAATTTGGGCCTAAGAACTCTTGCTTTTTTAGAAATAAGACTTATAGATAAATAATGAAAATTATAACAATAATGGTAATATTTACACAGCATTTATCCTGTACCAGGTGCCATTTTAAACACACACATATATATATATATAGGCATAAGAACACTATGATATGATGTAGGCATATTACTAGTATTTCCATCTAACAGATGGGGAATTTTAAGCACAGAGTACTATAAAGAAATAATTGGCCTATGCTCATGTATAGTAAATAGCATCAGTTTGGAAAACTCATTAAGGTAGCAGTTACGTAATGTTACTCATGAAACAGGTGTCTGTGCAGGAGCCATTCGATATTTGCACAACAAAATATAGCCAACCTTATAAGCTAAATAGTTTGGAAAGGAAGACTCACTTATGGAAGCACGCTCTGCAAATTTAAGATAGTCATGGTGGAAACAGAAGTCTTCAGATTCCCACCACAGTGAATAGTGTCTTTGTACTCTTTGAAACTAATGGTTTCCAAAATTTCAAGCCTTTCAAGCATGGTGGGTGACAGGCAGGGGCAGTGTCAATGTAGTCACTGTGGGTACCATTTGGATTTCGCCTCTCAATATACTGTTTGTAGTTTGTCCCTGAAGTGGAATGCATAGATATCTGGGGCATGTAAACTTTCTACAAGCTACCTCAGCTATGTAATCTTATCAGCTGGTATCTAAACCCTCTCATTTTTTTCCAGTTTAATGGAAAATGCATAATGCTTATATATATGAAACACCATATTCTGGTCCTTTATTATGGAGACTTACAGAGTCATCCCTGAAAATGAGTGTGTGTGTGTGTGTGTGTGTGTGTGTGTGTGTGTACATTTTGCTCCTGATATATATATATCAGGAATATATATATATATTCCTGATATATATATCAGGATATATATATATATTCCTGATATATATATATATTCCAAATTGTTTATTTTATCTATGGAAGAGATATGGTATAAAGGAATATCAAGTTCTAAAATAATGTATCTTCTACTTAATAGTATCTTAATACTTAATGTATCTTCTACTTAAATAATATATCTGTCCATTACAGAAAATCAATGCCAAGGTGGAAAAGCCCTTTTGGTGGAAGAAGCCTGATCACAGTAGTGACAGTATTCCAGTGTTCTGTATCATGCCAAAAATTATAAAGGAAGGCTGTGAAAAGATGTCAGAACTAGCAGCTCTTTTAGATGGTAGTTTAATGTACATAGGAATCACTAAGAGTTGGAAACAGGAAGGTTTCTGGACATCTCCTTTAGAGATTCTGATTCTCTGTGGGGTAGAGCTCAAGAATTTGCATAACAAGCTCTCCTAATAATTCTGACGGGGGTGGACCAGGTACCATATTAGGACAAACTCTGCTTCAGGGCATCTTTTGTTATTTAATAGTTAATATTATTTATTTTAAACACTTCAAAAACTGTAAAGAATTACAAAAATTATCTCTTAATCATTATGTCATCTACCCTAGATCTTAAGATGTGCAGACATTCTTGTAGCAGGTATTGAAAGGCAATTAGTTTCAAATGTATCATAGTTTATAACAGAATTCTCTATTAAATGATAGAGACATTTTAGTTCTCAGAGCTTTTAGGGTGCTATTTGGAAGGCAAATTTTGTCTTGCAATCTGTTCTACCACTTAAATAATATTTATTTTATGTTCTACATTTTACCCCTCATTAGTTGCTCATAGGTAGTGGGGATAGGCAAAACATCTTGCCCAAAAGCCCTGGTTTCTGAGATTTTGGACTTCTGTTAAACAATTTAAATTCAACAAGGCATCTTATTGCTGATGAGTAATTGATGACCCTTCTAACACCAATCTCATCATTGTATTAAAGCAACTGTAACACACTGAAGACTAAATAAAAGAAAACTGATATTTGAATACAACAGGTATTGAAAAAGCAGTGAAAGGGTAGAAGAACGAGCATAGATTTTGCACATTGGTCTTAAGACCCTAGGTCACTCTACTGTGAAAGAAAAGATTGTAGACAAACAGTGACATGCTCTAAACTTGAAATGAGCTCAATGTCATTATCACCATCATCATCATTATCATTGTTATCATTGGCATTATTATTATTCCTAAACAAATTTGATTAAAAGTTTGAACTTTTGTTCTTTACTAAAAGTGATGTCTACTTACCTGTTTTTTGCTAGATTCAATGAAATTGTTATTCTCTCTGTGAAATAGCTTGATAGAAAATCTGACATTGTTTGATAGAAAAAAAATAGGCATTGAAGTTCTTGATTTAGGTATTTTCTCCAAAGATCACCTACCGTTTATCTCAGGGCAGCTGTTTGATTTCCATAATATTATTTATTTTACATTTGTAATAGGGGATAGTAATATTTTTCTCTGGTAATCACTGAGAAGATGAAACAAAATATGCATTTGGCATTTTCAGGGTAAGGTTTCAAGATACTTTATTAAAGAATTTTGTATTCACTTCCTCCATGAAGAAGATCCAAAATAGTGAATAAATAATCACAGTTTTAATGGACTGCCCAAAAGAAAACACTGGGATTCAACAGAAAATTGACAGGCAATACCTAAAGCAAGGAAGGAGAAGGAAGTGAGACAGCTTGCTTAGCCAGGATCACCTGGAAGCCAAGAAAGACTTCTCAATTTGGGGAAAGGGTGAGTAAGAGACCCTCAGGGGTCCACATTCTCACCATGGATTCCTACAATTCTGGACACAGTATATCCCCATCATGAGTCCTGAAACTAACATAAGGAGCTGCTAGAAAATTGTACCACAGGCACTGCCCCAGGGAGGAAGCTCGTACTCCATCTTTCACATTCCTCGAGACCTAAGCAGCTTCAGCGAGGTTCCACTTTAGAACTCCACCCTCAGGAGACTACGCACTGTCCTGGACCCAGTGGCCCTGGGGCTGATGTGTAAGAGAGTACAGCTGCTGCCCCCAGGGCTTAAGCACAAGTGACTGAGAGCTACTGCACCCAGCATGGAGGTGCAACTGAGGCACATGCTTCCACCCTTAAGACTGAGGCATGAATGAGGCACCATTCTAGAGCCCCACGCCCAACAGACTTCACACTGTCTTGGAGCCCAGGGCTGCTGAGGCTTAGGTACAAGAAAAGAGCTGACTGCTGACTCTAGGGCTGAAGTTCCAGTACCACTTCCAATGACACATGAGTGAAGTGTGTTCTATCACCCACCAGCCTAGGCTACTGTCACTGAAAGTGGCACTTCCTTCTCCCTCAATGACAGGGAAGTAGTGTGGCCATTGCTATCCTCTACCTAAGCATGTTATCTGTGGCCTAGGGACCGCCCCACCCCTCCTTACCATGGCCAAACACTGTATACACCATTGAAGACCTGATAACAAGCCAGCATAATCCAGCTTTTCCCCTCCCTCCCATGCCAGAGTTCACAGTTTGTGGGCCAGGCAATTGCCCGGTCCGGTCTACCACCATTGGCACGTGAATGAACACTCCTCCCAGGAGACTGATATTGGGACTATGCACCTAGCCACTACCACCCCAGCTGGCACCTATCTATATATGCTACCTGCAGACATGGAGACTGGCCCACCCACCATATTTCAGCCACTGCCAATACTAGTGCATAGGGGGACACAGAGGATTGTTCCACCATGGCTACTGTCATTGCCCATGCCATATTGGCAGGCCAGAAGCCTTGGAACCCACCAACCTTCCAGCCCATGGCTGCCACTATTGGCATCTGAGTAAGCAACATGGAGATCCCAAAATTGGCCCACCTGGGCCCACTAACCCAGGTACCAGCATACACCACCCTGAGGTTTACAAACAGGCATACCCAGCTCACCAATGCAACCACTGTGGATCAAAAATTGGCCTAGCTGGCACCCCAGTGGCCAGCAAAACTGTACCACAACCTCCACTAATAACTGCATAAGGAAATATCAGATATCGCTGATGCTGCCTATAGCTGTAGAAGTCATACAGAGACTATACCACTGTATGAACACAGAATCAAAGCCAAAGTGCCCAATCCAACCAACCCCTTAGATTCATCCTTAGGAAAATGTTCTTTCCTTTGACAGCAAATTCAAAAAATTGGAAGAAGCAACTGACACACTAGATATGAAGATATTAAGGTATTAACACAAGAACAGGAAACATGAAAAGCAAGAAAGTATGACACCCCCAAAGGAACACAATAATTACCCAGAAACAGGTCCCTAATAAAAAGAAATTAACAAAATCCCAGAAAAAGGAGTCAAATTATTGATTCTAAAGAAGCTCAGTGAGATGCAATAGAACTCCAAAAAGCAATACGAACAAATAAAAACAATTCAGTATATGAATGAGAAATTTAGCAAAGGGGTACCTATCATAACAAGAGAACTAAACAGTCATTCTGGTACTGAAGAATTCATGGAATGAAGTATAAAATACATTCAGAAGCTTCAATAATAGACTAGATCAAGCAGAAGAAAGAATCTAAGAACCGAAATACAGTTCTTTTGAAATAATCCAATCAGAGAAAAACAAAAAAAAAAAGAACAAACTTTTGTGATATTTGGGATACTCTAACCAAATATGTGAATTATAAGTAGCACAGAAGGCAAAGAGAGAGCAAAAGAGTTAACAAATTTGACAAAATAATAGATGAAGACTTCCCAAGTATAGAAAGAGATTTACAGGACACAGGAGGCCCAGCAATCTCCAGACACAATGCAAAAAATCTCCATGGCACATTATAGAAATAATATCTCAATTCACTTACAAAGAGAGAATTCTAAAAACAGTAAGGGAAAAGCATCTAATCACCTATAAAGGAACCCTCACCAGATTAACAGCAAGTTTTTCAGCAGAACCTTACAGGCCAGGAGAAAATGGGATGTTATATTCAAAGCAATGAAAGAAAAAAAAACTGCTAAAGAAACATGCTATGTATCTCCAGCAAAATTATTCATAATGAAGGCGAAATAAAGTATTTCCCAAATAAGCAAAAGCTGAGGGAATTCACCACTAAGTCGATCTTACAAGAAATGCTCAAGGGAGTCCTAAATCTGGAAGTGAAAGGACAACATCATGGAAACACACAAAAGTATAAAACATAATTGTAAAGCAAATACACAAATGAAAATAATGAAAGACTCAAATAGTACCACTATAGATAACCACCAAATCACAATGAGTAACAATGAGAGGAAAAAAACAGAATAAAGAATATACAAAATAACCAGAAAACAATTAAAAATATAAAAGAAGAAAACCTCACATATCTATAAATAACAATGCATTTAAATTAAATTATCCACTTAAAAGATATACACTTGCTGAGTCAATTTAAAAAACAAACACCTGATTCAACTATATGTTCTCTACAAGAAATGCATGTTAGTTGTAAAGACACATATAGACTAAAACTAAAGGCAGAGAAAAAGATATTCCATGCAATGAAAATCAAAAGTGAACAGAAGTAGTTATACTATCAGATAAAACAGACTTTAAGTGAAAAACAGTAAAAAACTGTAAAAAAAAAAAAAAAAGACAAGGTCACTACATAATGATAAAAGAATAAACCAGCAAGAAGAAATAACATTCTAAATATGTATGCACCCAACACTGGAGCATCCAGATTCATAAAGCAAACATCACTAGATCTAAAGAGAGCAATAGACTCCAGTACAATAATGATATAGGACTTCACCCCACACTTAGCATTAGACAGAGCGTCCAGACAGAAAATCAACAAAGAAACAGTAGACTTAAACTGGGCTTTAGACCAAATGGACCTAACAGACATTTACAGAACATTTCATCCAACTGCAGAATATACATTCTTCTCATCAGCACATGAAACATTCTTCAGGATAGACCATGTTAGGCCACAAAACAAGTGTCAACAAATTTTTAAAAATCAAAATTCTATTAAGTATTTTATCAGAACACATTGAAATAAAACTAGGAATCAATATCAACAGGAACTTCAATAACCATGTAAATACATGAAAATTAAACAACATGAAACAACCATTGAGCTAATTAAAAATTTAAAATGAAAATCAAAAAAATTTTTGAAACAAATTGCAATGGAAATACAACATATCAAAACATGTGAGGTACAACAAAAAAGGAAGTTGATAGCTATAAATGCCTACATCAAAAAAGTAGAAATATTTTAAATAAGTAATTTGACAATGCACCTCAAAGAACTAGAAAAACAAAAGCAAACCACACTCACAATTAGCAGAATGAAAGAGATACTAAAGATCAGAGCTGAACTGAACAAAATATAGACTAAAAAAAATGCAAAGGATAAATGATCAATTAAACAAAAATGGGCTCTTCAAAATGATAAACAAGGCCAGGCATGGTGGCTCACACCTATAATCCCAGCACTTTGGGAGGCCGAGGTGGGTGGATCACCTGAGGTCAGGAGACCATTCTGGCCAACATGAGAAAACCCGGTCTCTACTAAAAATACAAAAATTAGCTGAGCATAGTGGCGCATGCCTATAATCCCAGCTATTCGAGAGGCTGAGGCAGGAGAATCGCTTGAACCTGGGAGGCTGAGGCTGCAGTGAGCTGAGATCACACCACTGCACTCCAGCCTGGGTGAGGGAGCGAGACTCCGACTCTAAAAACAAAACAAAACAAAACAAAAAAAAAAAGGATAAGCAAAATCTATTAACAACTAGCTAGACTAACAAAGAAAAGAAGGGATAAACCCCAAATAAGTAAAATCAGAAATGAAAAATGAAACATTCCAACTGATAACACAGACATCAAAAAGTTGATTAGAGACTATTATGACCAACTATGCACTAAGAAACTAGAAAACTTAGAGCATATGGATAAATTCTAGGAAACATGCAACCTACGAAGATTGAATCAGGAAGAAAGAGAAAATTTAAACTGTCAAAAATGAGTAGTGAGACTGAATTAGTAGTTAAAAGTCTCCCAACAAAGAAAGGCCCAGAACTGCATAGATTTACTGCTGAAAGCAAACATATAGAAAACTAATACTGGCCAGGTGCAGTGGATCATACCTGTAATCCCAGAACTTTGAGAGGTGGGGGATTACTTAAGGCTGAGAATTCAAGACCAGCCTAGGCAGCATAGTAAGACCCCATCTCTACAAAAAAGTATTTTAAAAAATAACCAAGCATGGCAGCACATGCCTGTGGTCCCAGCTACTTGGGAGGCTGAGGCAGGAGGATCACTTGAGTCCTGGAGATCAAGGCTGCAGTAAGCTGTGATTATGCTATTGCACTCCAGCCTGGGTGACAGAGTGAGACTGTGTCTCAAAAAATAAATAAATAAAATAATAATAATAATAATGAAGATAAATGCAAACCCTCCTGCAACTGTTGTATATTTTAAAGAGAAAATAATTCTTCCTAACTCATTTGACAAGGCCAGCATTACCCAATACCAAAACCAGAAAAACACAACGACAAAGAGAAAACTACAGGCCAACGTCACTGATAAACAAAGTTGCAAAAATTCTCAACAAAATACTAGCAAATTAAATTTAACGGCATATCAAAAAGATAAGACACATGATTAAGTGGGATTTGTACCGAGGATGCAAGATGATTAAACATACACAAATCAATAAACATGATGTATCACATCAACAGAATGAAAGGCAAAAACTATATTATTATCTCAATAGACTCAGAACATTTGATAAAATTCAACATCTTTTCAAGATACAAACTTCACATTAACTAGGCATAGAATGAATATACCTCAGTAAAGGCCATATATGACAAACCCACAACTAACATCATACTGAATGGAGAAACGTTGAAAGCCTTTTTTCTAAGTACAAGATGCCTACTTTCAGCACTTCCAGTCAACATGGAAGTCCTAGCCAGAGTATTCAGACAAGAGAAAGAAATGAAAGGCATTCATATTGGAAAAGAGGAACACAAATTGTTCCTCTTTGCAGACAACATGACCTTGTGTTTAGAAAAAACAAAAGACTCCGTCAAAAAACTTGTAGAGGTAACAAACAAATTCAGTCAAGTTGCAAGATACAAAATCAACATACAAAAATCAGCTGCATTTCTTTATATTTATCTATTTATTTATTTATTTATTTATTTATTTATTATTATTATTTAGACAGAGTCTCACTCTGTCACCAGCCTGGAGTGCAGTGGCACAATCTCGGCTCACTGCAACCTCTACCTCCCAGATTCAAGTGATTCTCCTACCTCAGCCTCCTGAGTAGCTAGGATTTTACAGGTGCATGCCACCAAGCGCAGCTAATTATTTTTGTATTTTTAGTAGAGATGGGGTTTCACCATGTTGGCCAGGATGGTCTCGATCTCTTGACCTCATGATCCGCCCACCTCGGCCTCCCAAAGTGCTGGGATTATAGGCGTGAGCCACTGCACCTGGCCAATCAGCTGCATTTCCATATTCCAATAATGAAATAGCCAAAGAAAAAAACAAAGATGGCAATATCATTTACAATAAATGCAAAAAATAAAATACCTAGGAATATGTTTAACCAGAGAGGTGAAAGATCTCTATCAGCTAAACTGTAACACACTGATGAAAGAAATTGAAGAAGATACAAACAAATGAAAAGACCATCCCATGCTCATGGATCAGAAGGGTTATCATTAAAATGACCATAATTCCCAAAGCAGTCTACAGATTTAATTCAATTCCTATGAAAATACCAACGTCATTTTTCACAGAAATAGAAAAAACAATCCTAAAGTTCATAGGAAACATTAAAAGACCCAAAATAGCCAAAGCAATCCTGAGCAAAATGAACAAAGCTGAAGGCATCACATTACCTTACTTAAAAATATATTACAAGGCTGTAGTTACCAAAACAGTATGGTTACTGGTATAAAAATAGACACATAGACAGATAAAACATAATAGAGAACCCAGAAAAAAATGCATATATCACAGTCAACTGATTTTCTACAAAGGCACCAAGAACATACACTGGAGAAAGGACGACCTCTTCAAAAAATAGTGCTGGGAAAATTGGATGTCCGTATTCAGAAAAATGAAACTGGACTTCTTTCTCTCCTCATCTATAAAAATCAACTCAAGATGGATTAAACACTTAAATGTAAGACCTAAACTTATAAAACTACTAGAAGAAAACACAGAGAAAACAATTCAGAATATTAGTCTAGGCCAAGATTTTGTGGCTAAGACCTCAAAAGCACAAACAACTAAAACAAAAATAGGCTAACCAGACTATATTAAACTAAAAACCTTCTGCACAGTAAAAGAAACAGAGTGAAGAGACAACCAGTTGACAGTTGAATGGGAGAAAATGTTTGCAAATCATTCATCTGAAAAGGAATTAATCAGAATATACAAAGAACTCAAACAACTAAACAATTAAAAAAAAGAAAAATTCCATTAAACAGTGAGCAGAATGGGGCCAGGCAAGGTGGCTCACATTTTTAATCCCAGCACTTTGGGAGGCCGAGGTGGGCGAATCACTTGAGGTCAGCAGTTCAAGACCAGCCTGGCCAACATGGTGAAACCCCGTCTCTACTAAAAATACAAAAATAAGCCTGGCTTGGTGGCACACACCTGTAATCCCAGTTACGTGGGAGACTGAGGCACGAAAATCACTTGAATCAGGGATTCAGAGGTTGTAATGAGCCGAGATCCTGCTACTGCACTCCAGCCTGTGTGACAGAGTGAAACTCTGTCTCAAAAAAAAAAAAAAAAGTGGGAAAGAACATGAAAAGACAGTTCTCAAAAGAATACATACAAATGGCCAACAAGTATACGAAAAAATTATCAGCATCATTATTTATCAGGAAAATGCAAATCAAAACTAAAGATTACATATCATCTTATCCTAGTTAAAATGGCTATTATTAAAAAGACAAAAAGCAAGCTGGATCCTGCGCCTGGCCAGCCCCGCCCGACCTTCCCTCCGGCCCACCTGACCGCCATGTGTCTCTCCTCCTCCCCACCTCGTGGCTGGCAGCAGCCCTCCAGCTTTGGCTCCGTGGACTGGCTCTGCCTGAGCAGCTGCTCAGGGTCGACCCACACCCCCAGGCCTGCCGACGTCTCCCCCGGGAGCCTCCCTGGCCCGGGCCAGACGTTCGGCACCCGGGAGCCCCCTCAGGCTGTCAGTACCAAGGAGGCTAGCTCGTCAAATCTGCATGCGCCGGAGAGGACTGTGGCTGGGTTGAGTAAGGAGCCAAACCCCTAGCTGGCTCCCGGTGTCCGCACAGCCTTCACCACGGAGCAGGTCCGTGCCTTGGAGGGCGTCTTCCGGCACCACCAGTACCTGGGCCCTCTGGAGCGGAATTGGCTGGCCAGGGAGATGCAGCTCTCAGAGGTCCAGATAAAAACCTGGTTTCAAAATCGCCGGATGAAACACAAACGGCAAATGCAGGACTCCCAGCTAAACGGCCCCTTATCGGGGTCTCTCCACGGGCCCCCTGCTTTCCACTCACCATCTTCTGGCCTTGCCAATGGCCTGCAGCTGCTGTGCCCTTGGGCACCCCTGCCTGGGTCCCCTGGCTGCCCCTTGGCTCCTTCTGGGGTCTCCGACAAATGGATCAAGAGGCCCTGGCCTCTTCGTGGGCTTCCTGCTGCGGGCAGCCTCTGGCATACCACCCCCCACGCCCAGGAAGTGGTGCGCATAAGCTGGGACCAGCCCTGTCCACGGGGCCCCGGGGCCTGTGTGCTCTGCCAGAGACAGGGGATGCATTTGAGGAAACGCCTCCGACTACATGCCTCCCACACAAGCGGTCTGTGCAGATCGCATCTGACGCCTACCCGGAGGACTCAGCTGTTCTGTTTACATCGTGGCGGCACCTCTCACCCTGACCCTCGCAAAGGTTCTGGAGATTTCTGGAGAATATATTTGTTAAAGTCACCTCTTCACTTAAAAAAAAAAAAAAAAAAAAAAAAAGGACAAAAAGCAATAGATACTGGTGAAGTGTGGAGAAAAGGGAACTCTTATACACTGTTGGTGGGAATGTACATTAGTACAACCATTGTGGAAAATACTGTAGAGATTTATCAGAAAACTAAAAATACAGCTACCATATTCATCAGCAATCCCACTACTGAGGGTCTATCCAAAGGAATAGAAACCAGTGAATATATCAAAGGGATACCGGCACTGGCATGTTTATCACAGCTCTATTCTCGATAGTAAAGAAATGGGATCCATGTAAGTGTCCATCAATCAACAAATAGAGAAAGAAAAAATGTGGTATACATTCACAATGGTGTACTATTTGGCTATAAAAAAGAATGTAATCGTGTATCAGCAACCAGGATGAAAGTGTATATCATTATTTTAAGTGAAATAACCCAGGCACAGAAAGACAAACCGCATGTCCTTACTCATGTGTGGGAGCTAAAAATGTTAATCATGTAAAGGCAGAGAGTAGAATAATAGATACTAGAAGCTAAGAATGTTGGGTGGGTGAGGGGAGGATGAGAAGAGGTAGGTTAACAGGCACAAATACACAGTTAGATAAAAAGTATAAATCCTATCTTTCCACTGTAGAGTGACTATAGTTAAGAACACATATTGTATATTTCAGTGTTTCTAGAAGAGAGGATTTGAATCGTTCCCAATGCATAGAAATAATAAATACTCAAAGTGATGGATGCCTCAAATCCTTGACTTGATTATTATACAGTCTATGCATATAAAAAAATATCACATGTACTCCATAAATATGTAAAATATTATGTATGAATAAACATAAATAAATACGCATTTGGCACAGAGTGTGTTGCTGGGTATGTTTTAGTTACCCTTCCCTCTCCTATCCAATATAGTATAGGGTACATTATAACCGCATATTAATAAAGTATGCACGAATGGATGAAGAGTGGACAGATGGAGAAATAAGATATTCAGTAATATTATTGTAATCTAAAATATCAATTACTTTTCTAGGGTAAACATTTTATGTCTTCTGAATTAGATTCCCTCATAATCTGTTTTATTAAATACAAATTACTTTAAAAATTGTTATTGGAAAAGTTCTTATTTCAGTCCACTTGTTTTATAAATTTGAAAAAGATTAAACTCATACATTTTATTAAACAAATAAAAAAAATGTTAGCTTGACATGGAGCATGATTAATGATTGCTTCGGTGTAACAGGCATAAATTGGAAGTATTTCAGGCAAACTAGAATGACTAATCAGACTACCTAAAAATGACCCATAACTTTCAATGGCACTAAGAGTTGATGTTATGCATCTCTTTTTTTCCTTCTAATTGCACCTGTCTCTTTCATACCTTATCCTTGGATTGTATTAATGATCACATGCTATTTTTAAAAAGTACTAGAAATATTTGAGCTTCTTATGAGACTAGCCTGAAACTGGACGTCAAGTTTTTTACTTCATCCCATTCTACATCCTTGACCCCTTTCCCCCTGTAAGTACCCCTTCAGTAACAAAGAACTTTGCTGAGAAGCCCATTTTGGGCTCTGCTTCTAGAGGACCTAACCTAAGACAATGGGATTTGGTGTGGCTAGCAAGGTATGGCATTTTTAGAAAAAAGAAAAAAATAGGAACAAAGATAGTTTTCAGGGCCCTGTTTTGCTTGCCTGCACCTCAAATCTCAACAATAAAAGTGGCTTTATGATGGTGGTTTTGTTCATGAACTAGCAAAGTATTAAGATAGCAAATGTCTCCTTAAAGGGAAGGGTACAAATTGAATGTGAGTTCTCGAGGAAGGGTAAGAGAAACCTAATGTTGTGGGTTGATTTGATTCTCCCAAAAACATATGTTGAAGTTCTACCTCTAGAAGAACCTGAAAATGTGGCTTTACTTGGAAATAGGGTCTTAGCAGATGTAATTAGTTAAGATGAGGTCACACTTGAGTAGGATGAATCCTAAATCCAATATGACTGGTGTCCTTATAAGAAAAAGAGAAAAGACAAACATGCAGAGAAACGAAAGTCGTGAAGACACATAGGAACAAGCCCAATAAATGACAAAGGCCGACACTGGAGTGCATATCTACAAGCCACAGAATGCCAAGGATTGCCAGCAACCACCAGAAGAGTGAGACATGGAACAGTCTTCCTCTGACAATCTAAGAAACAACCAATCCTGCTAATACTTTGATTTTTGACTTCCCACCTCTAGAACCGTGAGAGACTACATTTTTTGTTGTTTCAAGCCAACAAAGTTTATGGCAATTTGTTTCAGAAGCCCAAGGAAACTAATATACCTGAGTATACAATGGCAGTGAGTTAGCATAAAATAGGCTTTCTTAAATAAATCTGGCAGAGCCATATCTGTACCAAGCAAGCATCCCTGGCAACTGTGGCCCTGTTTCTCCTACCTCCCACCTAAAAGGAATCCAGAGGAAAAGAAACAGTGGCCACAATAGACCTCGTTTTCTACTGCCCTGTATAGCATTTTGCTTCCCATAAGTTCTGCATCTTTGGCTAAATAAATCACAAACTTGCAGAGGTTATGATTATCTAGTCTTTTCCATCATAACCCAACCCACCTGAAATGCTCTGACACTCTAGAAAATAATTCTAATTAATGAATAAAACATGGTAAACTGATAATTAGCTTTTGAAGGTGAAAGTGAGCTCTTTAACAGGAGGGTAATTCAGTAATGTTCTAATTGTTTTCCCCAGCATCAGACATTACCTGACACTTCATTTTTGCTTCAGCATAACAATTCCCAGCCTATGTTTAGAAAGATCATGTACAATTTCTTAGGATTTGGCTAGAAATTATTCATAATGCCTGGATTACACACTTTGAGAAATGTGAAGTTGTATGTTATTTAAGCTTCCAAATCCAGCTGTGGCGAGGGCTTTCTGGCTTGGAATACTCAATGGAAACTTATGAACAGCCCTATTTTTTATTTCTAAGCAAAACAATGTGAAAGAGACCTCTGCTATTAGATAATTAGTGATTTCAAAAGTATAGATGCTAATATCAACGTTAATTGGGTTAGTTTATTGCATAGGCAGATGAAAAGGATAGATATTTAGCATGTGATGGATAATTCTGCATTTTAAATGCTGTTCCTGAATGTTGGGGAAAAGGGGGGTTATTTTGAAAGTTGATAAAACATGTTTGTATGGATCTTTTTCAAACTGATAATCTGACAGGTTACATGTATTTGGGGGAGAGTGTCAGTGGCCCTCTAAAGAATCAGAATGTATTCAGCAAATGTATATTCAGAAACAATATTTCTGAATTTTCTTCATATCTGACTTCAAGAGAGAATTAAATAGGTAAGGACTTGTTTTCATATGAAAAATGTTTGGTCTTTCTTCCTAAAGTCCAATTTCTGCTATTAGCAGAAGCCAAACCTTCCTGTAGAGAAACACACAAAAAAAATGACAGAATTTGTTTCTTGGTATAGTCACCCACTGCATAAACCAAATCAAATCTTTCCTAGGTGTCAACTGTAAGAAATCCCACACACACTCAAGTCACTAATTTGTCACAGATCATACTCTGGTAAAGAAAACCTTTATTGAAGGTGTTTGTAAAAAAAAAACTCCCCTTGTTGAAAATGCCTATCCAAAATAATAATAAAAAACATTACAAGGGGAACCCACTGGGAGAGAAGGTAGATGGATGAAGACCCTTAAGACTAGCTAGTAAAAGAGTACCTGGTGGCTAAGAACCTATAAGCCATGCTGGGGGTTGCAAACCAAACTTATTACAGGGACCTGCACAAAGCAAAGACTGGGGCCTTCAAGTACAGATTGTAGAAAGTTGTAAAATTCTGTTTAGTCCAAAGGGGCCAGTCGCAGTTCATTTAGCTAGTTCTGCAGCCAATAAACGCCTAGTGGGAATTCAGTACCAGGACACTCTCAGATTTTTTTTTTTTTTTTTTTTTACTTTTCAAGAAAAATCAGAAATTCTCATTTTATTTTAATTTTGGAAGCAAATGTTTATTTTTCCCTTAGGCATATAATTCTTTCAGAGGCTTTAAAGTTTACTACTGTTTTTCCCACAAAGTCTATTCGTTCAGTCTCCTATTAGAGTTATATCTGGGCATTTTAAGGTTGTTTTTATAATGTTACATCTTGTCTAACTTTTTTTTCTTCCACTTTTCCTTTTTCTTCCCCTCTTTTTGGTATTATTATTTCTGCTCTTTTCGCTAAGATGAAATATAAAGACATCAGCCTTAGAAGACCAGTAGAGAACGTTTCAGGCACTTGCTGATACATTCCTTCTTTCCTAGTAAAATAAGTTTTGAACACACGAACTAGATTTCTTTTAGAAATAAGTTGTGTCATCCATAGCTCCCCACTGGGATGGAGCATTGGTATCAACACCAGAAACATGTTTTGAACTAACATGGAAGAAAGAGCTGGTTTTGTAAATAGGTGAACCTGGTATTTGACTACGTAGTAGTCAGGAAATTGGTGGAGTCTGCAATCTGTGGGGCTCTGGTGTCTGGAAAATTTTACAGTTGCAGATTGATGTGAGCATGTAGCATTAGGCAGAATATTCAATCCAACTTTCCATTTTATAATGCATACAAAGAGAACAGTTGTGTTGCATCATTATTACATCAAAAGGTCTAACTTTTATTATTCACTTATGTAAGATTCACATTGATTTAAATATGGTTATGGTAATAAATGATAGGCATAGAGAAATGCTACTGACATCTTTCATGTTCATCTCCTCTGAGTTGAAATATATTTAAACCTGTTACTTAATGGGCCTGATAAATTATTTTGACCTGTCAGAATAGACTAAAAAAATTTAGCAATGATAATTTTCAATTTGGCAGCAAATATATACCGTATGCATAATAATTTTTTTACAATAGTTTTCTCTGAATATTCATGTCTTTGAATTTCAATACGATACCATTTGTATCATAAAATTGTATACCATTTTTGGTATATTATTCATTGTATATTCAGAGAGTGTGAAAGAAAACCTTAGTTGGTGCGCATACTTTTCATCTCCTGTTGTTCTCGAACATGAATGAGAACTTATTGCAACACATTTTCTTTTCCATGTGTTGGCGTTAACATGTTTTTATGGGCTTATAGAATTTTAAATGTTGATAAACGATGTTTCCAAAGGTTCAAGTTTGGATTTTCTCTATCCACCAGGCTTAATCAGTCTAGCAGTGTCTTTAGTAGCAGATAGAAAATAAATTATAGAAATTCTCATTTTAAAAACACTTTTTTCAAAGCTGTTTGGGAACTAAAATAAAAAAAAATTTCAGCCCTATGGAAACATGGATTACCATCTTGCAACCTCTTGTCGTCACTAAAATTTTATTTTAGCAAAGGCCAACTATAAGCATTCAAAGTTATGGGTAACATTATTTTTCTGCCTTACATTAAACTGAAATGCTCTAAGTGGTCAGTTTAAGTGTGAAAACATTTACCTTGTTTAACAAGGGAGAGAGAAGGGGTAATGGAACAAGCATCATCCAGAACTGAATGAAAATAAGATATTTTACTTTTTTTCTTTAATCAGCACATTTCTTTTGATAAATAGTCATGAGACGTGTTCTGTGAGTCACTACAATTCTCACTTGGCACTTGGAACAGTCGTGTTATATAGGTTTACCATAACTCTCAGAACAGGAGTATATTACAAACAAGTGGAATAGAACATAGAGAATACATAATTTGTTCTAATATTCCTCTTCCTTAGAGCCTTCAAACTTAAACCAAGTTGAAAAAAAAAGTTTCCCAAATTGAAAACATTGCCTATGGATTATCTACAGAAGAGAGGAAAATAAGCAACCATTTTGATTCCACAAACCAAGCGAAGAATAAGGACATGAACAGACCAATGTCTTGACACCACTGGCAATATTACATTTACCTGGACAATTTTGATATTGTCAAAGAGAGAGGATATAATGGCTAAGGATGTTCCTAGAGCTGCTGAAGGAACCAGAGAGCTTTCATCCATAAAAATATCACTGGTGTCTTTCTTTTACTAAAACTGAAAATTCATCTTAAAGAATTCCTAATAAAAATAAATATTAATTTGTTCACAGCTGCAAGTTTAACTTAGTACAGGACCACAGACAAGATAAACTGTGCTATATTTTACATTTCTGAGTCAATAATATTGGAAGCAGCTTCATTTTATAGTGGGGGAAATTATTGGCATATGGGGGATTTTATCACATATCATGTAGGGTGAGAAATTGATGTTTGGGGAGATGTTATCACATGACTTAAAACAGAAGACTGGCATAAAACAAACTATGTGAATTGCCTTAATTATTATTATTATTACTTTTTTTCAAGAAAAAATAGTACTTTACTGGTATACAAAGGGTAGTTCTTTGGGTTTTTAATGAAAACAAATATAACAATAACATATAGAATCATCATTCAACTATCATAATATAAAACACAATAAAATCCTATCTCACGTTTCCAAGCCCACCTGGGGATATGTAGAACTCTGATGAAAGGTTTATTCAGTAAGATTTGACGAGATGTAAAAAGCAAATTTATTTACCGAACACATGGGCCATTAAGGTGGCACAAATTAGCATTCTGAGCGTTTTGGCTTCTGGTACTCAAGTCAGACTTCCAGATACATTGATAAAGATGGAACAGGCAAGTTTGATGCCAAGGTGGCATCACTGTGGCTGACCAATGATTCGGAATCTCACATTGGTGTGACTAGTGATTATAGTTAAGTCAATGCTTTGCCACCCCCCAGCTTTGTTAGTTTTTGTAAAATCAAATTCACCATGTCAACTGTACCTCCCTCCAATGCTTGTGGTAATGCTCTTTCAAATGAGGTATTCTTGTTAGCAGGTAAAACCTTATATGATCCTTTGCCAAGAGATTGATATTAGATAAAACCCTGGTTATATTTTTTAAGCCATAAGAATATAAGAGGAGAAAAATAGCATGAATATTTTTCCTTTATTTTTTGCAGGGTCACAAGCATGTAGAGCAAACCATAGTCTATTTTTAATTTCAAAATAGTGCTCATGTTTGTGAACATTAATGCCAAAGTTTTCAATAAGCTTGGTTGTCAAAAGAACACTGCCTTCAATTTATAGTCACTAAATGCATGTGGATTAAAATATTTTTAGATCTCAAAACTAAAGTTCAAATTGGCTCATGTTAGTAAATAGACATACTTATCACTCAATTTATTCGACAGTGTCTGTTTGTAGTTTTATTGTGAAGAACAGCCATTTTAAAATAGCCAAACATCCAGTTTTTGTGAGAGCTGAATATTTCATCATACATTGGATAACACTAAATTTTCCCCGACTGACCACTCTTGGTAGTCGATTTAAAATTTGTTGTAAAATTTCAGTGAATTAAATATTATTAGAAGAAATTATTGACTAAGTTTCATGTGCTAGGATATAACTTATTTTTCTCACCTAGGCTTTTATTTAATAAAAATTGCTGTGGATTTACAAAACAAAACAAAACAAAACAAAACAAAACAAAAAAAAGTTCAGTTAGGAGACCTTAGTTGAAACTGACATAAGATTTTTGCTGATAAAATAAATGAAAGAAACTATGACTAAAAATATTCCCCGAAGAAACAATGTTCTTTGCATATAGCTCCATGTGCAGATTAAAAACTATATTTTTAAAAACACTCCAACCTTTTTTCAGGACAAAAGAGAAAGCTAATATAGCTACAAATGATGTAGCTTTGGCATCAGGTCAGTTCCATCTTAAATATGTAGTAATATAAACGCTGTAACTATAAGTCACATTTTAAAACGACTTTATGAAATTTATAGAAATATGGCTTAGATTTTGGAGCTATTTTGAGTAGCAAATGACTTGCTTTTACTAAATTCAGCTTTTTTAAAAGCACATTTCTGTAATCAGTCATTATCCCTATTTTTATCAGAGAGAATCATCAAAATGTCAAGTGAATTGGCCCAGTTTCCTCGTAGATGATTGGTAGTGAAGCCAACAACTGTGTTCACTGTTCTGTGATGCTCGATCTTGTGCCCAGATCCCTTGGCCACAAGGCTTTTTCGCCAATATCCAGTACTTCCACACATTTTTCTATAATCCATTTAAAAACCAGATGCCATAAAATGGAATTTTTCTTGACTATTTGATAAAAGTTAAACTTTCCAGGATCTCACGAACTCAATTCCTTTTTCATCTCTACTAATGTTAGCATAACATCATAAGAGACATAAAGCATCTCACGAAGGGTCTTTATCCAATATTAGTTGCCCCTAGCCCTAGGGTCCTATACTGAAATTATATAACAATGTGTGTTAAGTTGGGTTGACAAACGTCCAATAAAACCCATATCATTATTTTGGTTAACAAAATTTAACACACTTCACTATAGCTTTAAAACTCTCTGACATCATTGTTTCTCAATAGATTTATGTTGAACAATCCTATTAGTGAGAGACTTTAAAAATAATATTTGTTGTACTGGCAAAAATACAATCTGGGTTTCCAATGAAGGCTCTCTCTGCTAATTTTCCGTTGTCTTGTTATACCATGTCCTGCACACTACCTGGATTTGAGGAAGATTTTATAAGCATTCAAAGTCAGTACTCAAAGTCAGTAGCTGATGTGAAATGATACAATTGTATGACCCAACTCAAACTGTTAGCATAATAGTCTTGCTAGAGTGCATAACATCTTAACATTATATCTACTTCCCAGCCCCTCCAATGCCCTAAAATGATTAATGCCCCAAAATGATTAAGACTCCCAAGTGTGACATTGGAGTTCCTTTTGTTAAAGTAAAACCAACCTAATCATTGAAAATAAAATGATTTTACCATGGCTTTGTAAAAGAATGACAGGTACTAAGACTCATATTTTTACAATTCTGTATGTGTGTGCGTATATAAGCATTAACCTTAGAACTCGTCACTATACTATTACTTATTTTTAATTATACTTCTTTGCTCACAAATCATTTTAGCCCTAATCTTTAAAAATTGCCTTTAGAGATGACCTGCCAGTCTGAAAATAACATGACCCCATTATCGGCTGTCTTAGTTAACCAAACTCTAAGATACTCTACCTGATCATATATATTAATAGTCAGATTTTACTTCGTTTGACAAATACATTTTAGCAGTTTCTACAGTCAACTTAGCCACCTAGGAAGGATGAGTTTCCATCACTGAGAAGAGGAAAGAGAAGACCCTCAAATTGAAGGTAATGTTCAGTCCCTTGACATCTGAACATTGATGACCCAACCAGAGAATTCTTTAAACTCTGTGACTCTTCATGACCTGCATGAACTTCTTTTTTTTTTTTTTTTTTTTTTTTTTGAGACGGAGTCTCGCTCTGTCGCCCAGGTCGGACTGCGGACTGCAGTGGCGCAATCTCGGCTCACTGCAAGCTCCGCTTCCCGGGTTCACGCCATTCTCCTGCCTCAGCCTCCCGAGTAGCTGGGACTACAGGCGCCCGCCACCGCGCCCGGCTAATTTTTTGTATTTTTAGTAGAGACGGGGTTTCACCTTGTTAGCCAGGATGGTCTCGATCTCCTGACCTCATGATCCACCCGCCTCGGCCTCCCAAAGTGCTGGGATTACAGGCGTGAGCCACCGCGCCCGGCCATGAACTTCTAATAAAATAACACATATTTTTCCAGAGTAGAACCTGCCTTTTGTCACCATTCACATTCTGGTAAGTTGTAAGTCCATTCCTGGCAGTAACAACCTTTAGGCCAAATGAGCATGACATGTCAACCTATCCGTCTTTCACTGGACACCCTGATACCACTCTCAGAAATACCATGTAGGCAATGGAGACCTACCATTAGAAATGATCCATTTCACTTCCTGATAGTAGCCTCTCTAGCTACTGAAGCAAACCATACAAAAACACAAGAGATGCTCCAGAGATAAATCTCCCCATGTAGAAAGAAAAAAAAATCAGCAAAAGTCAGGTAAAACTTTCACTGTTAGGACTCAGTTTAAATAATTCCTGTAACAATGACAAGAGCGCATAACTGATATACTTGTCTGTGGAAGAGATGGTCTTAATAAGGCAACCATTAGTTAAAATACATGCAAACGCAGGACAGAATTAGTTATGGCTTAGTCGGGACCCCTTCCTATTGAAGAGAGAAAGTGCAACAAAAGAAATAAGGATGATGCATTTAAATTGTTGTTCCCTTCCACACCCCCACTGCCAGCTGTCTATTGCCTTTTTCAGGGTTGGTTTTGTTCAGAATTTATTACATTCTTGACTGGGAAAATAGAAGTAGCATATCTTACATGATGTTGGCATAAGTGCGATCATAATAAGTGAGTACTAAGTGAATTAGCAACTACTCCAATATTGGTGAAATGTACATTCTGGTTGAGCATATGAATGACCTACAATATGGCTTACACTCAGGATGGAAAGGAATACAGAATATTTTTCTGGACATATGCAAGTATGTGAGTAGCTGCATTGGTCACTCGAATAAAGAATTTTTATTCCTGAGAGGATAAAAGCAATGCCCCTCTAGTGCTGATGTATTAAACCAGCTTAGCTATTAATCACTGTCATCCATTTTACTGATGAAGAAATTAAGGGCAAGGCATTAGTTGACTATTTAAGTTACCCTGTTGGTCAGGGACAAAGTCTACAATAGACTCTGGCTACTCTAAGGCTCCTCATTGCTTTTCCCACCACTTCATGCGGCTTTTGGGTGAACAAAGTTATTAATACAATGTCATCCATGCTTATGTATAGAAAGGTAATTTTCTACTTCAATTCAGATCTAAAGAAACAGGCCTATATACCACTTCAGTTACCTTTTAGCTTTCTGATCTGATTTCTTCAGAACAATTGAAACATTACACTGGTACAAAGACAAAGATATTAATTTAAAATTTAATTGTAATTGGTGATATTTATTGCTCATGTCTACTATGTGTTGGTTTGTGCCTTAGAAACTCAAATAGGCACAGCCTCTTTGATTCTATTTTGAAACTTCTGCTGTCTTTTAATTCTTAGTCTTTTATGATTTCCTGCTCTTTTAATTTTCAAGTACATATAAATACTCCTTTGCTAACTAGTTTCTTGGCAACAAAATATGTAGCACCTTTAGAAAAACCAAATTTCATCTCTGATGATAATGGCAGTGAATTACTGCGATAGATCAGGAGAAGCCAAATAGTACCTAAAGATAGAAATCCTTTCAAATGAGGCAGGGGTGATATAAATTGCCAAAAGCCAAGTATGTTTGCTTATGTGAATAAAAAAAGTACTCTTCAAAGTTGAGGTCCAGTGAGAGGAGCAATTTATCATGTGTAATTGCCTGTTTTCTCATAAGAGAAATACAGTACCTCCCCAATGACTGTTTCCCATTTGTCTGGACGATCTGATTGAGGTGCAACAATGCTTTTTCCAGAGGCATTTGGCTTCTGCAATGCATTTATATTTGTTTCAAATGAATCAGAGCTGCTTTCTCTATCACTTTCCTTGCCATGGTGTGATGCATGGGAAGGAATGTAAAACCATAAAGTCAGACCACCCTCAGGGATTTTCACAGCACACTGCTGACCAATCTAAATTGTGGATCTTTATTCATGAAAAAAGTTCCCTAAGGGAAAAGATACAGTTTTATGGCAGCCTGAACTATAATGGATGTTAATCTGGTATTGGTAAATATATGGAGTGTGGGGGAAACAACTCACAGAGAATCCACTGTAAGTTCTGTGGTTAGGCTTCATCCTTTATTAGGTAGTGAATAAAAGACAACTGATGCTTACAACTCCAATTTAAAAGACCATTTAAACAAAAATGGTTCCATAGCGAAGTGAGGCAGAAGGGATCCAGGTATTTCTGAGATTTCTTATATGGCTGATGGAGAAAATATGGCTGATTCGTTTGTTCCCAGCAAATCATTAAAGACAGTAATGCCTTGTGACCCAGGACACTGTGTATCCCATAGGCCCTGATTTTTAGTGGACTGGCTCATTCACTTTGGTGAAAATGGGAAAGAACAGCAAAAGCACGTTTTAGTGAGACTGCTTTAATTAACACTAAGTTATCTAACAGAAAGTGAGGCTGTATCAGTTGTAAAGGTTGTTGGATAGGGACTCAGGATGATTATGGAAAATCAAAATATTTGACATAGCAGAAAAGGGAAACTAAAGTTCAAAATGGTTAGAAGCTGGTCACATGGGATACAGACAGAGCCCCAAACAACAGACTTATGGGCAACTATCCACCTGGCTGAACTACCAGGGTCTGTAGGTGAAAAAGGAAACACTTGCTAAAACTAGAGAATAGAGATGCTGGTAAATGCAAAATCACCAGATACTTTCAAAACAAATTTTAATGCTAATCAATATATTTAACCAGAGAAGCATGGTTTGAAATTCTTTCTACCAGAATACTGATGGAACACATTATCTTCCTTTCTTCCTTCCTTCCTTTTCTTCCCTTCCCCATCTCCTTTCCTTCCTTCCTTCCCTCCTTTCTTCCTTCCTTCCTTCCATTCTTCCTTCCTTCCTTCCTTCTTTCCTTCTTTTTTTTTGTTTTTGTTTTGGTTGGTTAACAAAGGATATATAAAGCCAACTGCTTTAAAGATTCATTTATATGACAAATTTCTATAGCTAGATGGTGGAGAAGAACTCCAAAAAACCATGTTTAATGTTGAGCACCAAGCACGCTATGGTGTTTCTTAAATATAAAATGATAAATGCTAAATACCTATGTCTCAAATGGTTTCCTCTTGATTCTTTATACCTCTCCAAGGGTTACAACACTTTGAGAGCAGTTTCAGGAAGGCCACACCCAATCCTTCCCTATATTTTTAAATAGTCTTTAGAAAACCTTTTCAAAAATAGTTTTTTCTCTAAACCTAAATCATGTATGTTTTGTCATTATTCTAAGTTTCAGTGTCATTGCTCTTATTAATGCAACAGACTGGCTGCATCAAACCCCACCATTTTGATAGGTATATGTCAGCTTTCTATGGGAAAAAGCAAATAGCCTTTATCACAAATTAAAGGCACAGCTATTTTTATGCCATTTGTTACCAATTTAATGATAACATGTAACACTGGATGGTTATATAATTATTTTATATAGATTTTTTCTTTTTATAACTTATTCTCTTAATCTTTCTAACATATATACAATATACATATATTTATATATACCCCTGATAAATCTTGTTTTAAAGGTAAAACATCAACTTCTTTCAGCCTGATGGTGAATATCAAAGGCTCTCAGTATTTCACAACTCCACTGGAGAAATAATTGTCGAGTGGAACTTACCAGTATTTTTTAACACTATGTCATTGGTGTGCAATTAACTCAGATTCATATTTCCTGTTGTTATTAACATTTAAATATATATTAATTGTTTATATCATGTCAGCAGGTAATCTAAAAAACAAGAAAAACCCATAAAAATAGCTAATGCTTAATTCTACCATCATACTTAAAGCAGAAACCTTTGCCTAAGAAACAACCCTACTGGTATGATATAAAGGGGATACTGCAGAGATGCAACATTCTCCGTTTTTACTGGATATGTACTAAATGAAAGATCTTTACTTTGCATTATCATTCTAGGTTATGATTCTTCATCCTTGAAATAGAAGAGTTGTATTGATTTCTTTCTTAACACTCATGATGCATGGGTTTCTCTGCTTTCAGATATAGGTTCATTATAAACACTTCCCTGTTTCCAGCAATATATCTTCAGGGTGGGAAGTTACTACTTTATAAGAAATCACCTTTATTAATGCCTCCCCCATCTCTAAGCTTAGCCCTGTTATATCTTCAAGCTAGACAGGAGGGGAGAATGCTGACCAGGGAGACCTCCATGACACCATCCGGTGTATGTTTATTTTTTGACTGCTTATTGGTATGAAATAGTTGTTCATTCTACCTTTGCAATTCTTTAAAACCTAGTGGCATAGATTGAGACACAGCACTATTGTTTTACAAGACATCTACTGTATCTACTTTTGTTGGGATAAATACCCAGTAATTGCCGTCATAGCAAGAGGACCAGCACGGGTAGTACTATTCACAGTGTTGCTTTTGTTTTTGTTTTTTTCCTTTTTTTTTGTACGATTTTAATCTACAGAGTAAATTATTTTATATACATTGGAACCAGTTAATGCCCTTAGACAATGTATAGTTGTTTCATAAAGCAGGACAGACAATGCAGAGGGAAATAGGTGCCCAAAAGCACAGTCACAGAGGCTTCAGAAGGTCTAGATACCACTACAAATCAATGCTGGAGATCACTTCTAAAACAATCAGCGTTCAAGAGGAATGCTTTAATTTGGAGAAAATACCACTCCCTCCCTCCCACCCCCAAACCTCCCCCACTTTTTTATAACCTTTTCAATTCACTATCAAAAGTCCTGGCTCTTCAGATATACTTTAAACTATAAATAAACACTGCATAGTTCTCTTTTGTTTGTTTTGTTTTTTGTTTTTTGAAAAATTATTGCAGTACAATTACTCCTATTTGGAATTTAGTAAGGAGCAAACAGCACAGGAGTGTGGGCGGTCCGAATGGGTCCAGGAGCTGGCCGCAGGAGTGCCGGAGGAAGCGCGGAAGTCTGGAACAGTGTTGCTGCTGGAGCAGTTCGAAGACTGAAGGGGGAACTCACTGCCACTGCTGCTGCGGCTGCTGCAGCTGCTAGAGGATTTGGTAGAATTCGTGGAGCCAATGGCTTTGAAGGTTCTTTTGAAAATACTAATTTTACCTGCAAGGGAGAAAAAATATTGTAAAAAAAACAACAGTTTTGGAATTTGTACTTAAAACCCAAAATGGCAGGGAGCTTTTAAAATATAGCAGTAAACAACTATAAAGAAAAAAGCTTCACACTTGTGAACTGACAACAAAGAAAATGGGAAGTATAGAACATTTTCCCTTTGGAAGAGTTGGAAGATACCTGAAAATGGCCAACCGGGAATGCTTGAAAAGTTCTCTAGAAAAGTACTCAGCAACCTTATTTTATTATATGTTTGTTGAAAATTATATTTCCAGAGGAAAGTATTCATCATGAGAAAATATAGAATATTTTTATCACCCTTTACACATACATTAACTACTAAAGAGCATATATTTCTAAAGGGATTTTTAATGCTGTCAAATGCCATTCGACTAGCCAAGGGTGTAACCTGGGTTACATAGAGAATGTTGTTTCCAATTGTATGAGGTACTATTCAAAATAAATAAAAACAATAAAATTCCACTTTCAACTGAGAAATTTAAAAAACAACCAAAAATACCTTTTCTCCCCTAAATTTTGACACGTTCCACTTTTTCTTTATGCAAATGGTAACCACATTTTCTCAGTCCTTCTCTACAAAGCCAGTTCATTCTCTGGCTAGTAACATCAATAAAATACCTGTTCTCACTGAGAGAATGTTCCCATTTGTGGAGTCAGTAACATAGTGATGGTGAAGAAGGAGGGTTTGTATACTAATAGCAACACAATTTTGACTACTCTGTTTATTTAAGAACCATTCACTTGATTGTCAAAAGCTGCATCTGTGCTGGACAGAGATAGCATTCAGGGTTATGACTAGTGGTGCTGAAGCACTGTGCAGAATTCTTCACCTCCCAATGCAGCTAAAATTGTGTCTTTACAGAAAAGTAAAGTAACTTTACTTTTTTAAACTTTTATTTTAAGTTCAAGGGTACATATACAGGTTTGTTATGTAGGTAAATTTGTGTCATGCCTTGCTGTACAGATTATTTCATCTCCCAAAATTGAGGAGGAACTTCTCCCTAACTCATTCTATGAGGCCAGCATCATCCTGATACCAAAACCTGGCAGAGACAAAACAAAAAAACAAAACTTCAGGCCAATATCCTTGATGAACATCGATGCAAAACTCAACAAAATACTGGTAAACCAAATCCAGCAGCACATCAAAAAGCTTATCCACCACAATCATTTTGGCTTTATCTCTGGGATGAGAGGTTGGTTCAACATATGCAAATCAATAATTGTGATTCATCACGTAAACAGAACTAAAGACAAAAACACATGATTATCTCAATGGATGCAGAAAAGGCTTTCAATAAAATTCAACACCCCTTCATGATAAAACTCTCAATAAACCATGTAATGAGGGAACACATCTCAAAATAATAAGAGCCGTGTATGACAAACCCACAACCAACATCATACTGTATGGGCAAAAGCTGGAAGCATTACCCTTAAAAATCAGCACAACACAAGGTGTCCTCTCTCACCACTCCTATTCAACATAGTATTGGAAGTCCTGGCCAGGGCAATTG
This sequence comes from Homo sapiens, assembly GCF_000001405.40. Lineage (NCBI taxonomy): Eukaryota > Metazoa > Chordata > Mammalia > Primates > Hominidae > Homo > Homo sapiens. The sequence continues at coordinate 21,422,995 of NC_000003.12, forward strand.
GGCAAGAGAAAAACATAAAGGGAATCCACATAAGAAGAGAAGAAGTCAAACTATCCTTGTTTGCAGACAAAATGATCCTATATCTAGAAAAATCTATAGTCTTGGCCCAAAAGATCCTTAAGCTCATAAACAACTTCAGCAAAGTTTCAGGATACAAAATTAAAATAACTTCATTTGAACAAAAATGGGCAATGCTACTAAACTAACAGGACAGCTTGTACTGGGGTCTCATAATAGATAATTGCAGTTTTCCTTTATTTATGTTTTCATGTGTCAGCAGCACATAACAGCATCCAATAGTAATAAGATCTATTTTGTATAAATGTTTCAAAATGCACAATTTAGCTTATGTTATAGAACAGTTGTTCTTAACTTTTCATTGAGCTCTGAGTCTCTCTGATGAAAGCTATGGTCACTTCAACCAGAAACAAACTAACAAAACAAAATAATATACCTGTTCATCAATATTCATCTACAATGTCAGGAGGTTTCACAGGATTCCTCTAAAGTCCTACCAAAATATCCAGGTCAGGACATTATAATAGTATACTTAGCAATATAAAAAGCTTATTTGCAGTCATGGGGAGAGGAAATTCCTACAAAATATTTCCTGGGTTTTATGGAATGTCCTTGACTGTTATTCAAAATCCAAAATTGTTGAGAATACCAACAATACAAATACTTTGTCTCTTAAACACATTAAAAAAGATATACATGAATTTGTTTTTTCCTGACCTTCCTTCCAAAAGTACTAACTTACATCAAGACCAGATTTCATGGGATTACTTACTTGACTCAAAAGAGTTTGGTTTTTCTCTTTTCCCTATGATCTATGATAAATCTGAACTCAACTCAAAAAGGTAAAAGGTACTGGGCTGTGGTTAAAGGTGGCAAAATGCCAGAACAAATCAAGAAACCAATAATTCCATTTGGGAATAGAGGCTGGACTCTTGCAAAATGACACTCACCCCCAGTGGATGTGCTGTCTTCTGTAGTTTGTTGTAAGGACTGTATTTAGGTTTCGGGGGCTTCCCAGCAGCTCTGTCTTTGTGCCTTCTACTGCTAATGTGCTATTAAAAGTAATTTAAAATGACAGCTTTAAAAAAATCATCTGCAAAAACCTCTCACAAATATTGCTTTAACCTGGAGAAAGATATTCATTATTTCATGCAAGTTTCAGAAAGACAAAAATAAAAGATCATGCACTTTTGTCCTGAGATTCTGATGCCTTGAGGATATATATTTTTATGCTATCCATATATATATTCATATATATACTATTATATATATACTTATATATATATATTTATATATATATATATATTTTTTTTTTTTTTTGAGATGGAGTCTCACTCTGCTACCCAGGTTGAAGTGCAGTGGCGCCATCTCAGCTAAGTGCAACCTCTGCCTCCCGGGTTCAAGCAATTATCTGCCTCAGCCTCCCAAGTAGCTGAGACTACAGGTGCCCACCACCATGCCCAGCTAATTCTTTGTATTTTTAGTAGAGATGGGGTTTCACCATCTTGGCCAGGCTGGTCTTGAACTCTTGACCTCTTGATACACCTGCCTCAGCCTCCCAAAGTGCTGAGATTACAGGCGTGAGCCACTGCGCCCAGCCTATTTTAGTGTATTTTTAAACAAATAGTAGCGTCTTTTTTTTTTCCGAGCTTTTCTTCTTATCACTACACACATCTCTTTTTTTTTTTTTTTTGAAAAACATTTACAAAGGGAAGGAATGTCTAAAGGAATTTTACATGCAAATAAACAAAGATGCCCAGGGACGAATGAATTTATTTCCATACTAATGTTTATCCTCACATTTGTACAGTCAAATGTCAAACCCTTAAATTCTAAAGATAAATAAGGTGCATAAAATCAGCAAAATATTGTACATATATACAAAACAAAATACAACATGAGGGCTGAACGTTTAGCTGGCAATGTATAAATGATCTCTTTGGAAGACTATTCATAGTAAAAATGAACACAACTTGATTAGTCATTCCTATTGCAGGTGGCTGCAAGATCTAAACATACAGAACAACACCATATAATAAAACACATAAAATGAAAGAATAGCTCAGTGTAAAATTACTTGTAGCACGTAAATATCTAAACAAATTAAAACGGAATACTGCAAGTTGATCTTTAAAGAAAATCAACACTTTTGAGTGGAAAATCCGGTAGAGAAAAGACCTGATATCCCTTCTCCACCCACTCTTCGTATACAAGAATAGTAAAAACTCACAGCCAACAATTTCTGAAAGATTCTAGAATCTATTACATTTTAGTATTTCCTCAAGTAACTAAAATAAGTATAAATAAATCAGAACAGTGAAAGGAAGATAAGTGGGTTAACAGATGGGCAGATGGAGGGATGGATGAATAGATGGGTGAATGGGACAGAAAGACAGAAATAAAAAGGAAGGAAGCACACACATCCTGCTTATAAGGCTGTCCCTTGTTGGTTTTCATTCCTAGAATACGTGCTGTTTACCTGTTTAAGTTGCGTTTCCGAGTTGACGTGCACATCACAGATTTCACAGTGAAATGTTTTATTTTGGAGGCCTGTGTTTCCTTTATTAACAGGTCCTTTGCCTTTCACTCCTGCCCTAGGAAAGGCTTTGATAGTGCCACTTCCATTCCGGGCTTCTAACATGGTTTTGTGCTTAGTACCTGTCAGGAATATTGAAATGAAGGAAGGAAAGGAGGGAGGAAAGAAGGGAGGGAGAGAAGGAGGTGGGATGGGAGGAAAAAAATCTTAGCTAGTATATACCTTTAAGAAACAGTACAATAACAAAATCTGATGCCTCATTTTAGTGCAGTTTTTCCTGGCATTATGGGCAGAAGTATATACATGATACAGCAGACTGTAACAATGTGCTTTCATCACTTTATATGATGTTATTAAATTATTCATTTTTTTTCTAATGCTCCGCATTACAAACAAGCACCGTTAGTATAGTAACTAAACTTTAGAGTCCTGAGGGGAAATGAAATGGGTGTGACTTCATTTCATTTCCTCTTGATACTAACAAGACATAAATGATACCTGATGAGGAAGAGTCATTTATTTGCTAAAGATATAGCTGGAGGTGATGTGTAACAAGTGTAATCAGTTTAAACATGGTGTGTTTATAGAAGTGGCACTAATTAAATACCCACTTTCTAAACAGAATACAAACAAGCTTTCGTGGCTATGTATTTTAGGTTCCAAGTGAGAGTAATAGTATAAACAGCTTAATGACTCTGAAAAACAAATCCATATTAGAATAGTGAAGCCCACACAGGTGGGCTATGTAAACAAATGACCAAGAAGATGAGGGGTGGACTCGTAACCCAAGCATATACACGATGGATAACTGCTTCCTTTTAATAAACAAATAACATCTTCAGGCCTTCACACATCATTCATGCAACTCTGATTGTCAACCGTTAACAACCCATTTGTGTTTTGTTTTCTTGAGATCACTGTAGTTACATACTGTTCATAATGGCAGTTTTCTCTGAAAATTTTGCACAAAATTTCTTTTTTTTTAGAGTTGATAAGTATTCTTCATTTTTTTCACTTGGTCATGTGTTTTTTCTGTGACATTTTCTTTTATAATCATTTGTGTTCTTTCTGCCATTCTGATTTTAGAAATATTTGGTAGTAGTTTCCCCTGCCTATTTGAATGGATTAGATTGTACGTTCGGCAACCATTAAAGAAATGATTCCTAACTTCTGAGTTACAGGCCAGCTTCCCAGAACCACTAAATGTTAATGAGGAAAATATATTGTGAAGGGCACTCGAGGTCACTGCAGATCACATTATATTAAGTAAGGGACAATAAATAAATTAAACAGGTTTCTAGCCACATGTTTCCCTTCTTCAAAATGATTACATTTTACTGAGTCCAATGTAAAAAGTATTCATTCTTACAACCTAGATGGCCTATTTTAAATATCCATATTCTTTTCCATTCTTATTAAAATGTTCATATTTCAACACATTAGAGAAAGGAAAAAGTCAATATCTCGCAGGAAGATAGGACGAATTGAAACGTGGAACCAGAGAACTGCTCCAGTGTAATGACTGTGATGCTTCACGGGAGCTTATTTCAGTCACCTCCTTTGCAATATAGTGAGCACAAATGCTTTCCACTGCAGCTGCAAATGACATAAGTGGGAGCTGAAGATGACATAAGTGGGAGGAGGGCAAAGAAAAAATAGTCCTAGGGAGCAAGAAACAAAATATGTAAATGATTATGAAAACTTCTTTATCCTAACAGATGATTTTATACAAAATGTTTCTATGCAGCTCCTTCAGTGACACTGAGAAGCATTATTAGTAGGGCTAGTTTAGTTTATGAATGCCTAAGAAGTTAGTTGGAGATTGACTCTCATCCTGATTTTCTTGAGGCATTCCAAATTCACTTTTGGTTAATATCATCTGTGATTGGTAGCTGGTGTTTCATAGGTGGAAGCTGAATGGGTCCAAATACTATTTTAACCTATTCAATAATACTTAAGTAGTTTATGTTGATTGGGAAGAGAAAAAAGCCAGACATAGGTGGCTTGTCTCAGCATTGAGTATTAAGTATTCAGGAGATAATGGAAAATTTAAGAGATTTGGCCCCAGTAGTAGGGCTTAGCAATAGCAGGCAAAGATTCAGAAAATATGGTGCTTCTCAGAATATCTTTGGCAAGCTAAGACCCATCTATGTCATGTTTTTTAGAGGAAGAATAGAAATGGGACATATGTGAACATTTTAGAAATACCCATCTTTTCAGAAAGTCATTGGGTTGTTCGAATTATTATTTAAGTATAGTCTCTCCATAGAAGCTAGAAAAGATAGGACAATTAAATATACCCATACCTTATAAACATACACTTACACACACATGCACATGCACACACACACAGGTATACATATGATTAAAAATGTGGCAACATTGGGGAAGGGAACTTCAATTAATAACTATTGAGTCTAGGGTTACTATTCACCATTAAATGGAGTAGAACTTTTAAACAGTGTAACCTCATACATTTAGTAAGATATTGTCAATCATAATTCAATAACTATTAGATAGTTTTATAAGATCTTAAAGCTTGAGTAGGCAGTAAGTGTAGCTGTATTTCCTCCAAATACAGCTAAAATTTAGGAAAATGTATTCTTAATTATAAAGCATTTAAATGTATGAGATAAAATGTGCATTAATAATATAAACATAATTAGTATTAGAAGAACCCCTTTGTATTAAATCTGTAATATGTTTCAGATACTGTGCTAAATTTTTTACCTGCTCACAGCTACCCTATGAGCTGGGTGCTATTATTATCCCCATTTAGGAGATAATAAACTGAGACTCAGAAAGACTAAGTTACTAGCTCGTGGTCACAAAGCAAGCATTACTTGAAGTCCCTGGCAGAAAGAAAGGAGATTTCTAGCTAAGTTCCTTAGAAATTCACTAAGAATTTCTAAGCCACCTGAATTCAGTTACACACAAATCTTTAATTTTCTATTTTGTTAATACTGTCTTTTCTAAACTTGGAATTTGAGTCTACAATTCTCCTTCCATCCCCGCACCCCCACCCCCTGCTTTTTCTCATAAAGCTTTTTTTGCTGAGCAGAGTGCCACGAATGGTGACACTTTGCGAAGATATGGCTCTGTGTGGCCGGTGGTCTCCTCTGGTTTCAACATCATGTAAACATCTTGCAAGGCTGTCCCTTCTTTTGTGATGGCTCAGCTAGGCACTCATAAGTCTACTTCTGCACTACATTCCTTCCTCTGAGGAGAGACTCTGCAAGGAGCTAAGTGGACTATTTTTCTTTTATCACCTTTAAAAGGCTGGTACTGACAAATACCTTCACCTGAAGCTTCATGATTTCTGAAAGGTGAAATCATACTCCAACCACAGTCTAAATTCAGCACGGCATAAGGCTCCAAGAAATCCTTTTTTTTTTTTGCTTTCTGCTTAATTGTTCGTTTTGGAGTATTTGGGGGAAAGATACATATTACGCTTAAAATCAAGTTAATATGGGGGCAAGGGGCTAGACTTCCCTTTCGTTTCCCATCATTCTTACAATTCCTCTTTTTAGCTGGCTTTCAAGTTTGGTACTGGCATAAAGGAAAGATAGGTAAACAAGAAAACTGGCAAATGACTAAAAAGTTAAATAAATCATACATTAGAAATAATTTATTAGGTCACAAGATAAATTTAAAAAAAATTTTAAGGAAAAAACCCCCTAATTTCACCAACTAGAGGTATATAAAAATATTAATAATAGTTATCATGTACCAGTCTTTTATATTCTATTTGTACATGTGCATTTTAAAAAGTTGGAATAAGTTAGCTAAAGTGGCTTTGCATAAAATTCCTGTGAAATTATATATATGCTTTTAGAAATGCACATGATTTTTAATGACAGCATAGACTTGTAATACATCGAGATGATATATTTAACCATTATCTAATATTAGACATTTGTATTATTTCCCTTTATTTCCCTATATAATTATGTTGTAATGAGCATCCTACTCATTAAATCTTTCATCACATTTTTGATTGTTTCCTTGGGATAGCTTTTCATAAGTGGTATTATAGGGACAAAGAATATAACTATTTTTAAGTCTCTCGATTCACAGTGCCAAATTATTTTCTAAAAATTACAAAGAAAGTTTCAGAGGGGTTTACTTTATAGGGAAATCTAGTTGGTATAGTCTGAAAAAGTTGCCCCTCTCTAAAATAAATTTGAATACCTTTAAGTTTAGTTTTTCAGAAGGCCCATTAAATACTATTTAATAGCATTTGACTAGATTTTTAACAAACTCATACAATTGCCAGCAATAATTTAGTTACCATCATATTGACAAGTTCAATGATTCAGCTTATAAATGGGCAGTAAAGTGGTCAGTCTCCATACAAACAGCAAAATGCAAAGCTGTTTTTTTTTGCTAAGGTGTTTATTTATGATATTTGGTATAATAGCATTATAACTCTTGTGTGTACTAAGGAAGGAAAGCTCTCTCAAATCTACGTACCTGGAATGTGTAATTAGCATCAAACGCTTCCATGTGTTCTTTTAAAAATCTCTAAATATCAAGTTAACCTTTTATTATGTTGACCTCCTATATAGTAGCATTTTCCATGTTAATTTTTTCCTAAAGAAGAAAACTTTGGTTTACATTATCAGAATATCAACAAACATTAAGCACCTGGAATGGCATCTAGGTATCAGGTGACCAAATATTGCCCCAAATAAGAAAAAAAAAATTCTATCATTTCTGTTAGTTCCTTGGTTGAAAGTAATTCACTGATTTACCAGTAATATATCCAAAGTCCAATTTGGAAAGGTGAAAATAGAGACAAAGAAAACAAGAAGTCTAAAACAGAGGAAAAAATAAGCATGCTTTTTTCAGAAATGGTCCTGGAGGGAAAGCTCTGAAGTCATTATGGGGTAGGAGACAAGCTGCACAATGGACCCTGTGACCAAAGGAAACCCAGGGAAGAGCTCTGCAGGCTGAGGGACCCAATGGGCAGAACACATGGCTTATCTGATAGTGGAGACAAATGTGAGAACTAATATAGCAGCAAGCCTTGAAATTCCAGCCTGTGAAGAGAAATATCAGACATCCAGAAAGCTTTTTTTATCCATAATGCCCTGAAAGTGTGACTATAGAAAACACTAAGGCTCTACCCCGCTTCTCTAGACACACACTGAAAAATCTTTATATGCACCCATTTCTTCTCCTTAAAAACAAGGCCCTTCCTTAAGGCCATGGAAAATACCACATTGCTTTTATATCCATTCCCCAAGAAAGCCTAGTGAAAAGGTCTTAAACTTATTAACATGCAACAATTAATAAATGGACAAATTAATCACACTTCCATAGTATAATTGCAACATAATGCTGTCTTATTTATAAAAACAGTGCTTTTGTTTGCATTTTGTGTAAACTAGTTTTATTTTTTATTTTGTTAATGAAAGCAACAGATGTTCTTGCTAGAAAATTCAAAGAGCACAAAAGAATATAAAGTAAAAAGCAAAAGCCTACCCACCTATCAACTTTAAGCTCCAAGTCCTCAGTAGTAACACATTTTCACATGTATACTTTCAGAAATTTTTTAAATATCAGTGATTTTATATGAGGCATAGACAGGAAAAATGACCCAGGTTGAACTTTCCACTGTTTTGCACTTGAAACCTCATTTAACAAGAATAGTCATATAAAACAACATAGCTAGAAAATGCGTCTTGACACATTTCTGAAGTCACTCATTCTGGTTGTTAATCAGTGAGAAGTCACCAAATGTGAAATTAGTAAACCCTAAATGCTCACAGTGATGTAATAATTCTTATTATTAGGTAATATACCTGAAATCATTTACTATCAAAATCCCCCAAACATATTATTTGTGAATTACAGCTCTAGTACCTAGAAACTTCTGTGATGATAAAAATATTCCATATCTATACAAATGTATGGTTAATATGGTAGCCATTAGCCATGTGTAGCTCTTAACCACTTGAGATGAGGGCACCGCAACAGAGAAATGGTACTGGCAATTAATTTCAATTTAAATAGCCACCTGAGGCTAGTGGCTGCCATTTTAGATAGTACAGCTCCAATATTCAAATATGCCCTGTATGGCCATGTGGAGCACAGGGAGTTATGAGGCTGTTTTCATCATCATTTGTAGAAAGTTTAAAGAAGTTACAACAGAAGAATTGTGATAGACGAGTCTCTATCTTTATTTTCAATTAAAGGGAAGCCTTATCATTACCCTAGAAGATGTTGAATGGAAGTGGCAAACAATCTTTGGGCCTTAATAGCAATAAGGTCATGAACACTAACCACAGCTGAATGGCTTAAATGAGCTTTTCACATGAAGCAAGTATGTATTTCACTTCTGAACACAGAGTCACAATTAGACATGGACTTCTTGAAGACAATGACTAGGTCTTGCTCATAGTTGTATTCTCTGTGTCTAACACATAGTAGATAATCAAGGAAAATTAACTGGGGTATTAGATATCAATACAGATTGATGAACAAATACAACTTTTTTTTTCATTTGTAAAAAGAAAGTTATGAGCTCAGGCTCTAGAATTGTGCGGGACAGATTTTGCCTCCATTAGCTGTGTGAGCTTAGGTTTCTTTGTGCTTCAATGTCCTCATTTATTTTGAAAAGAAATTATCTGCTCTATTGAAATGTATTAAATGCATTTATTGTTTTAAGGATTATTCTTGACACTTTGATCTGCTCAACAAATTTTAATCAATCTTATCCTTCTTTTTTACATTGTTGCTTTTGTTAAGGCAAAAGTTTAGAACCCTCTGAGCATTTTAAAATTTAGTAAAGTCTGTCATTTGATAACTATCTTTTCTGCATATTGAAACTTGGTGAGGGGATAGAATAAACTCTGTCTAGACATATAAGACAAAAACTAGAATGTGTTTAGCAAAAATTATCCAATGTTGCTAAATTAGTAATGAGCTTTAACTATAAACGATCTCAAAGGTTTTTTTCTTTTTTTCTTTCAAATTTTACAGGGAAAACCATCAAAATTAGCTAAGCAGAGCACTACCTACTAGGATATTTGGGGGAATTTTTTTTTGTGGGGGGAAATTTTTTTAAAGAAAAAGAAAAACACATCTTTTGTAATATTTGTATCTATAGCATATAGGTCAAGGGAAGGGCTTCCAAATCTCTTTAAAAGACTATGTCCTCTTAAGGTGTTTAAAAAATTCTTAGACTGTTGTAAACACCACTAGTTAGCTCAAAAGAGGTACTTCCCTTTCCAAATTAAAAAAAAAAAAATCAAAGTAGGAATGCCTCTGTTCAAATCCTGTATTCTAATCTTATGGAATATATATCAATTAATTGCAACTTCAAATGGTTACACACTAGTGAAAAATCAAAGGGAAAGCGAATGAAAGAACACAATTGATCCCCAAATAATGCCAGGAGCAGCTGTGGTCATGCTAATAATCATGACATAATTTGATCCTTAAAAATGCCATTATGGCTTCTTAACTCCATTAGCAACAGAGAAAGAGAAAGAGAGATAGAAAGACAGATATATACAAAGGCCCAGAGAGGACAACTGACTTGCCCAGGTCCATATAGAAATGTTCTCTGCATATCTGGGGGCAAAATTTAACTCTTATCACTTCTAGTCCATTCTGCTGTCCTATATCACTGATAGCATTTAATGGAAGTTGCATTCCCAAAATTTGGCTGTGGTCATTTGTTTAGAATTCAGAATGCATTTTCTAAGATTGAAAAACATGTTTTGAAAGATCATTGGCTTTCCCCTCATAGATGCACATTTCTATACTTAATGCTACAGACCCTATTTTATGTATATAATGTGTTTCTAAAGGGGAAAAACAAGAAAAACAATTAGAACTATTATTCGGATGCAAGGGAAACATTTCCCCACCCTGCAGCCTGGCTGCTTCAGATCAGAATTGGCCTTCAAACCTGGTTCCCTGAAAACACAATCCAATCTTAACACTGGCTTTCTAATATCTGGCTCTGAAAGAAAGCAGAGAAGTGTTTCTGAAGCACTATTAGAGGGGCAGGGCTAAGTGTAGGAAACAGTGGAGTTCTAAAGGTGGGGCATTGATTGCTGTCTTCTCTGAATGCAGACAATAGTGGGGTATATTTAAAGAGAATTTAGAAAACAACAATTAAATGAACTAAACGGCCTAGGCAAACTACTTTCTACCAGCACTATGATCTGGCAACTCTAAATAACATCAGCGATAAAGGACTACTCCCTAAAAAATATTTTGTTAGTCTATATTTTAAACAATTAATGTGGTTACCATTAAGATTTAGTGTATATTAAATTCGCAGATTTTTATTACTTATCTTGTAATTGACACCACATGAGCTCCAGACACACACAAATTCAGTAACAAGTTTTTGTGTCATTAGTAAGTTCATAACAGTTCCAAATACTTTGAGCTCACTAAGGGCACGGTTCATGCATTTAAGCCCTGCGGTATTACATCTTTTTTTAAAAAATGTAAACATTAGGTTATAAATTAACAATGATAGCACAGTGATTATAAATATGAAGAAATAGAATCGGAATTAATTTAATTCTGTCATTTTTCATGACCAATAGAAGTTTTTATGTTTAACACAGTGAAACGGAGTGCAGGCCAGAAGTCTAACAGTTTCATTTGGTCAGCCCCAATTGTTCAACTTGGTAGTTGGCTAAATCATGCATTCCGTTTGGGCTGCCTTCCTTTCCCTCTTTCTGTTACCCACTCCCTTAACCTCCTTCACCTCCCTAAGAAACTATTTGCCCTCAAATCCTTGTCTCCAAATCTGCTCTTGAGGGAGTCCAAACTGAAACACGCCACAATGATCATATGATGAATCCTACATCTGTGGCTAGTATTCCTGGCAGAAGAGCAGGTATCTCTAGATTTTCTCTTCTTTATTTTGTTCCCTGGATTTCCCCATACCACACCCTAGGGAGAAGATATAGAGGGAGCCAGTATGCATGTGGCAGTTGTTTAGTGCAGGTAAGATTGCATTCACATTTATCCACATCTGGAAGAAATCCTAGACATGGTGAGCCTTCCAACACTGTTCAAGTTACAAATAATAGAGCTGGATCTGAAGATCAAAAATGGTGGACAGAGGGGGTCAAACAGCAACTATTTATGTGTCTTTTCCTCTTCCCTTGCTACCTTTAGTCCTGACACAGCTTGCTAGTGCAAGTCTAAGGAGAGCTCTAAAATGAGCATTAGGCCAGGATTTTGGAGTGGGTTCTTTTCAAACAGAAAAAGATCTCAGATGCAGGAGGGAAAATACAGGGAAAAGGCAACCCAAGGAGCAGCTTAGAAAGAAGGCAAGTGGCCTTCTTTCCACCGATTAGGCCTAAGGTTCAGAGAGAACACTCTTATAAGGGAATTCAAGTAAAGGGTGACAGCCACATTTCACCTCCTTAAACTCTTGGATAAGATTGTTATAATAGTTCTCAGCTCTGCCTGCAAAACACTGAAGTTTTATTTATTTATTTTTCTCCAAAAACTACAGCTTCCCATGACTTGGATATAATAATCAGAATCCCTGGGCATAGCGCTTGGGTACATACATTTTTAAAGCTCTGGGGTAATTTTGACACACAAAGTAGAGATAAGGACCTGGAAGTAGAATAGGAAAAATGTTGCCCTAATTTGACAAGTAATTCCTTCTTTGTTTCTTTATCAGATATTTCTAATAAGAATTCAAGAAGAACAACTCCCAATTTTTTTTTTTTTTTTTTTTTTGAGACAGGGTCTCACTGTCAGCCAGGCTGGAGTGCAGTGGCGCGATCATGGCTCATTGTAGCCTCAACCTCCTAGGTTCAAGAGATCCTCTCACCTCAGCCTGCTGAGTAGCTGCAACTACAGGCACATGCCACCATGCCCAGCTAACATTTTTTTTCATAATTTTTTGTGGAGATGGGGGTCTCCCTTTGTTGCCCAGGCTGGTCTCAAATTCCTGGTCTCAAATGATTCTCCTACCCCAGCTGCCAAAGTGTTGAGATTACAGGTGTAAAACACCACAGCCCACCAAAATTCTTGATAAACTCTAGTCTCAAAGGACATGGTGTGTTTATCTGTCAAGATTGATGCTTTCTCAAAATGAATGTGTTTCTCAGTCACTATGCGGAATGACCAAGGATTCTTGGGAAATAAATGGACTACCAATGATGTTTATACTTTCCCAAATATCTTGCGTTCAAGAAGAAATGTATTTGCATGAATAAACACATGGAAAATCTGCAAGGTATAGATTCTACCTTAAGGCCAGGTACTTTTCTGTGTTTCTTAGTACCTGAACTCATGAACTCTCTCATTACAACTAACGTTATATGCTGGAGGAAGGTGTGTGTTGAAGAAATTGTTCTCCATCTGCTATTACTCCTTAGAGTCTTGAAGTCAATACTTGAATATTACCAGTGCAGCACAATGACTGGTCAATGACTCAACATACAGCTGCAATATTAACTCAGGGTATGATTCACAAATGATTCTTTTTCTATTATAGTTGCTGACAGAGTCCTGGCAATGAACCCAGTCTTTTTGAGAAAAGTTGATCTTGGCAATGAATCCAGTCTTTAGAGAAAAGCTGATCATTGTTTGCGAGACTGTGTGTATGTGTGTGTGTGTGTGTGTACACACAGATGAGGGGGTATATATATATACACATACAGAGCAGCAAGATGGAACCAAAATATATGGGTATATTGGGAGAGCATTTTATCCCGGCTTGTCAGTATTCCAGTATTTTCCTCCCTGCTATGAGAATTAGTGTTGAAGTCAGACAGATCTGGGTTCAAATCATGGTTCTGTCACTTAATTGGTTATGTTCTGTGCCTTCTCTGAGCTTCAAACAATTGAAAAGAATAACATTTTTAAGCTACTGCAAAGTTGTTGGAAAGAGTAACTAAAAAGAGTACATTTAGAAATCACATCTGAATGGGCACATAATAAACACTTTTTTAATTGTCCAGGTTCCATAGATTTAGCCCAAATAACATTATTTTTTTCATAAAAATCAAAATAGAGGGGTTTTAACCAAAGGTGCTTAGAGTCACGCAACTACACATTTTGCGACAATATTATGGGTACAGTTTTAGAAAATGTCATTTAGATGCAAATGCATGTAAATAAATAAACAAACTAGAAATCATATAAATGCAAAACACATTTTAGGATTGTATTTCATTTTATCTCCTAATGTTTAATAACACACACATACACACACACCATGGACTTCGAGCCCTGGAAACCACCCCTTGCCCCTATATAAATGACACTTTGCTCGTCATTTTTATTTTTTAATGGTTAATGATTTCCATGTAATAATTGCCAGTTTTCCTCCACCCCTTTGTCCCCTGCTGCAAAAGATCTAATCTATTCAGAGGAAGATAATTGCAGAGCTGTTGAAACAAAAAAGAAATCGCTGCATCTCACCACTGTTGTGCGCCTCCAGCTGCGAGGCAGAGTTGACAGCAACCTTGCATAGCGAACAGTAAAGAAGCCGTTTTGCCTTTTCTTCCTCGGTCTCAGTAGAAGGACATGAGCTATTGCCAGTGGCTGTCGTTGGGCTTTTTTCCACTTTAGAGGTGATCTCAGTTGTCATAACACTGCTTTTGCGGATTTCCACAGTTGTCGTCGTTGATATTGCTGGTGTCCCTGCAGTACCGTCTGTATTCAAAATAACACAGAAAAAAGGGGGAAAAACAATGGTATTATCTTTCCCTATTCAGGAATGTATCATGAATATTGCATTCTGCTTATAATGATAAGAGCAGCTAGCAATTGCTGTTTGTCAAGGATGCATCAATCACCTCACAAAAAAATTCACATAGATGACCATATTTAATTTTATGTATTAAAATAACACTTTCAGATGATTCTTGAACATCAATATAAATACAAGTTAAAAATATTCTATGGGGTAAATATCCACAAATTTCTCTTGTTAACACATAGCCTTAGTACAACAATATTTATAATATATTGTAGTCTCTCAATACATATTTCTAAATGGCTTTTTCTAGATTTTTAAACAATTAAAATAGAAGATAAATGCTTTTAAGATACTTTGATTTTTCTTTACTACTTATCTATTTTACTTCTGTCTTTCATTGTTTCTTTTTTTAATTAAAAAACAGGTACAGATCCTTTTGCAAATGCTTATACAAAAAAAAAAAAAAAAAACCGGAACCCTGATGCCATAATTGCTTTGACCAGATCAACAGTTCAGAAAATCATTGCTCTATTTGCAAAGAGTTACAATTCAACACAAGGTACAAAAATCATCAATATTAAAAGAAGAAGAAGACTAGTCTAGCATATCTATTAAATACATGCCCTGTACCAAGCTGTACGCAGGGAGTTTGTGGCAAAAATATTCAGACATCAATAGCCACTATTCACAAGGAATTCGCAGGATGGCCACACCATGCTGTTGTCACATTGTTTTAAGAGTTAAATGATCATGAAAATGTTGATGCACTGTAACTCTACAACCCTTCTGGCTCTAAAGTCTGATGCTAAATCTGGAGAGATCAATCTCCAAAGTAAAACTACCCTGTCTTAACTTTACTTGGGTATGCACAGCTCCCCTTCCAAATATGCCAATCACTGTTACGTTAGCAATGTTTGCCATACCCAATAACAAATTGCAAATAAGCTCTACACTCATATCCTATCTACCCATATACTACTTTTTTGCCTCTCAGCTAGTTCTTAACTTCCTCTCCAAAATATTCCTAGGCTGCCTCTCCAGCTACATCTGCTATTGAAGCTGTCTCTCATTCCATATACTGCTATGGTCACTATCTAATGCTACACTGAAAAGTCCATGATAAAGAGACTTGGCCAGGATGTAAGGACAAGTGGTCTGTCTGCAATTAAGTGTTGTCTGCATAAATGCTTACTTCTTGTTAGTTCATTACTACCAAGAGTTGACTGCAGCTACAGAATGACTCTTAACTGGAATATCCCCTTTCATCCAGGCATAGGGGTGAAAATATGGGTAAGGTTTTTCATTGCTTTTCTAAATAGGGCATCAGAAACACTAGTCAATAAAAAGAGAAATGAATCCTTGTTGAAGGGCTGTTGTATAAAAAAAACTCATCTGGATCTTGTTTCCTTTGCCTGACACTTCACACACTTTCAATCACTTATCTACCTGCTAAGATCATCAAGTAAGTCTCTTTCAGTGTCATAAAGAACATTCACCTGCCAAGTTTTCAAAATCATGCTGCAAATCTGTGTCTCATGGCTAGAGAAAAATAAGTAAAATTACCCTAACACTAAGTTTTGTCACTAGAATACATTTATTCCCTTGCACACTGAAAGGTCCACTCCCTGATTAGTTTTTATTTGCCTGTTAATGTTCCATTATTAAAATATGAAGTAACTGCCAAAAATATATCTTGAGAACCTAGAGATGGAATAAAACATGACAACTTTAAGATGGTGCCATAGCTGATTATTGCCCCCTATATACCAGAAATGATTGTTTGAAAGCATGTGTGTATGCATCTGTGAATAAACAACAAGTAGCTAATTTGCGAAGTGTTTTACATACTTAAAATAACTGTACATACTTATAAAATAATTTCATTTTTTATTGTATAAATTGTATGTATTTATAAAGTAATTCCACAGTACAGAGCTGCAAAAATGAGAAAACTCTAGAAGTTAAGAAAATTTCCCAAGGACACAAAAGTAGTATATTGTGAGCCCGAGCCAAGCATTTCATGGAACAAGAAAATCAGATTTTGAGGCAAAAAAAAAAAAAAAAAAAAAAGTTGGGAATGATACTCTTGGCCATGACTGTGATTCTGCATAGTAAGGTCACAGGGAGCAGTGGGCTAAAACCACTAAATTGTTCTTAGGATCAGCTCTATCAGGAGTGATAACCGTAAATACAGATATTATATTTAAACTTAGTTTGGCCACACACTGAAGCCAGCGTGACACTGTGGGTATTTACTTCATTGAAATCTACTATGGTAAAGATTTCCCTAGTAATACCCTGCTCTAACAACTTTTCCTCTGGATTGACTTGGTCTTAATCTGAAAATGGCACATAGTATAGATCATAGTAATCCTAAACTAACTTTCCTATTTATAGTGCAATTTGTTAACAAAAGCATAGAATAAACAAAACCAGGAATCTTTCGATTCCTGTGACATCTACGTTAGTGTTTCTCTGACCCCAGAGGATAATGTACATTTAAACCAAAGACAACAGAAGATTAGAGACATCAGATTCTCTGTGCCTAGGGGTTAGTGAAGTATTAACATTTCTTAAGGCAAGTTCCTTGCATGAGACAGGCTTAGGGGAATTAATATCAACACTCAACTTCTGGTGTGTCTACTTTCTGGAATACTTTTGACCACATAGCTAACCATAAATTTGTTATTTTCTAAGCATGTAGTTAGTGTGAAAGAAATAAAAAGTTATATTTTTTATCTTAAATTTAATATGTAGAACTTGACTCCATAAAGATAGGAATACTATTAATTTTTAAGTAGTAATGGATTTTTCACTTACCTTTTAACAGTGATAAAGGGGTGTTTTTTAAACCAAGAAAGTAAGGTAAATATATTTTAGCATTATGACTTATTCAAAGAAAGTCATCTGTTCTATACAATGCATACATATAGCAAAGAAGTTTACTTTAATATGGTACATTAAATTACCAGTTATAAATAATTATTGTCCACACATTAAAATAGAATCTTAAATGAATGATAATGTTAACAGCAGCATATACCCTTGACATGATGTGATGAAAATTACCTCTGTGGGCTTCCTTCTCGTAACCCCTGTCTAACCATGAGAAAAACAGAAAACAAACCTAAACTTAAGGACATTTATCAAATTCCTGACCAGTACTCCTCAAAACTAGCAAGGCTATCAAAACAAGGAAAGTGTGCAGAACTATCACAGTCTAGAGGAGCCTAAGGAAATATGAGAAATCAGTGTAACATGGGATCCTGAATGAGATTCTAGGGCAAAAGAACATTAGGTAAAAACTTGGAAAATCAAATAAAGAATGGGCTTTAGTTAAACTAATGTATGAATACTGATTCATTAGTTGTGATAAATGTACAACATTAATGTGAGATGTTAACAATAAGAGAAGCTTGATGCAGGGTATATGGGAACTTTCTGATATATTCTTGAATCTTCTCTGCAAATCTAAAACTATTCTAGAGTTAAAGTTTATTACTTTAAGAAAAACAGAATTATAACCAGTCAACAAATGGTGCATCATTCAAGTTACTTTGTAGAATCATAATCAGAAAGAAGCTTAATGGCTTTATAGCATAGTTTTCTTAATTTTTAGATAGAGAAGTTTCAGGAAATTTCTCAAGGTCACATAGTGCTCTGAGATAATAACTAAGACTTGACATTGTATCTCCCAATGCCAAATCTAGTGTGTATTATCTTACCTGCAGTTACTCATGCACTCAAACTTTATTACATCAACATTTATTAAGGAACTATTTTGTGCTAAGTTCTGTCCCAAGCCACTGGGGATAAGAAGGCCAATAAACATAGATCATGTACTTAGTGGCAGAATAGTTTATGAGACATCCCATAAAGACTTGAAATAATAACTATTATTATAAACTTCTTAATCTGCTTTATTCTTTGCTATATTCTTGCACTTATACTTGGCATGAAATGGGCACTCAATAAATATTAAGAGAAAACAATGAATAAATTAATAATAGCTAATCATCGTGGAAGCACTTTTAAAGTATTTACAAGTATTAACTCATAAAAAACAAGAGGTGCACAACATTTGCATTATCATCATAGCAACAAAACTGAGGTATGGAGAAATTTGGGAACTTGCCCAACGCCAGAGCTGCCAACAGGTAACACAATGATTTGAACACAGTCTGGCTCAGTTGCATGTGCTCTTCATTTGTTTTTTATTGTTTAAAATTTAATTTTTTATAAAATAATTGAATTCATCCTGATTTATTATGCATGCTGAAAGACAACATCTTAAACATTTGACTATAAAAGAAACTAAGCGTGGCCCAAGCTAGAGTCAATTACGTATATCCAAATACCATAATGCTAAGGTATTAAGTTGCTTAAAATCATTTAGAAGGAGGAAAGAAAAGGAAAACCTATAGCTCTCAACTAACCTCTTGTGCAGAATGGTAAGAATAAACCACAGGGCTTCATTGCACCTTTTTTTCCCCCTGCAAAAGATGAGAAAGTAGGAAAACGATTCGCTTTTCTTACTGTTTCCCAAAGGCTGATTCAGATTTCTTTGCACTACTCTACCAAAGACTCTGGGACAATATATGTGACAAGGAGTTAAAAATAATGGGTGAAATTCAGTGAGAAGAGAAAGATTTGAGATGGTTTGGGCTTGCATTTCTGTGCCATTTTTCTGCCAGCGCCCTGTAGCAAATATTCATTACTGCAACTGTCACTATTTGGCTTTGGCATCAAAACAGGTTGCTAATACGTTGTGGAATGGGGCTTCAGTTGAGAATAAAAGGAAACATCAGTATTCAAAGTGGCCCATTTGTGACCTTCGTCTTGTATAAAAACACTGTAAATACTTCTTTAAAAAAATCCATAAAGCATAAGAAAGGATTCCAAAAAATATCAACACTTGAATTTTGGATAGTAACATGGAGCAGCCAAGTTACATGGTCTGGGCAAGAAATTTATTCCTCTGGTTACAGACTTCATAACTGAAGTGGAAAAACCATAGGTGAGTTACTAGAGTTTCCTCTCAGGTAACAGGGATTAGTGTTATAACCCAAAGATGTTCATCATGTTTTCCTGTAGATTGAAGGCTCAGAATTACATCTGATTTATTTTCTTCTTTCCTATGTGAATTTAAGTCTCACTCAGACTTGCTAGGAAATGAAGAAAACAGCTGCTTCCTCATAAATGTGCTGACATTCTGAAGTAGAAAAAGGTGCTTCTGACCAAAAACAAAAACAAAAACAAAAACAAACCACCAGTCTTTAGAAATTATTCCTGGTGGTTTCTTTTCTACCACTTTTATCTCATTTAACTAAAATTTATTGAGCCCATACCACACTCTTAGACCCAGGCAGGAATGGCCTTGGCACTGGGCTGTGCTTAAAAGTCCCTTTATTTGTGGGCTTTTTTTTTTTTCTTGTAAAATAAAAAAAGTTCCTACAGGGTTCTGTAACCAATTGAGCAGATGGGAATTATGGGAAAGGGAAGTGAGAATTGAACTGGGTGCCCCAAAGGCCAGAGTACAGAGGCTGGGAGTTCATAAGTGTGTGTGCACACTTATGAGTGTATATGTCTATGTGTATGCATGTGCATGTATGGCTATATGTGTATATCTGTGTATAAGTGTGTGTGTGTGTGTGTGTGTGTGTGTGTTGAGAGGTTGGAAGATATCACAACTTCTATCTGGAAACCAGAGAAAGAGTGGCTGTTTTTGTACACAGTACACATTTGGCCACCCCAAATCACAAAAATGTATGTCTAAGCAGAAAAAGTCCCCCTGCTCTGAATTCCTCACTCCCGTCTGCTAGAGTGGTATAGCTGTAGAAAGTGCTTTAAACGGCCTAGAAATCCCAAAGCCACCAAATGAGGCTGTGGAGAAATCAAGTGCTCCACTCCACTTTGCAGGGTACCTGATTTGGGTAGGTCCAGTCACCAGCCAGAAGTTCTGGCTTTGGGCACTGCTTCCGCTCTGTTCTTACAAATCTGCTTCACTACCAGGCTCAAGGATGATTCAGGTGAGGGGATTCTTTATTCTCCAGGTCCCAAGGACAATTCCTGGGGAACAAAGTGTGGAGTTGCTAGGCGAAACTTGATACATATTTAGATATATGGCATATAGTCTCCATTTGTATGCTCGGTCCTGAAAATTTTGGGGGTCTGTCTTATAGAACCCATCCATATACAGGATGCTGTGTTAATCACAGGAGGTAAAAAATAAATGCAATATAAGTTGTATATGCAAGAGTAATAGGACTCTAATATAAGAGTGGAGGGAACAATGAATTCACTCTCCTTGAGAAGAATAAGCTGGAAGAAGTATTACTAGAAAACATTAGAAAAATGAATTGCACTTCAAACTGATTTCACTGTGTCTCTAATGGTCTGTGACTTGGTAGTTCCATGCAAAAAGTAATCACATATACTTTTCATCAAGTGACAAGTTGTTCCCCATAGTAGCCTGCATGAAACTCTAATGTTCTAAGGGATTGGGTGACTATACTATTTCTTTCTACCTTTACATTATTTGAACTAAATTTCCCAAGCCTTGTATGCATTAAAAATTTTAGAAAGGAGATTTTAAAATTTACAAAACAAAAATATTGAACTGAAACTTTTGAGATGATTTTCAAAGCTGTCCAATTTATTATCTGTTTGAGGCAATTACATCAACAATAGATTCATATACATAATGGTTACTTGTTGAACTCACTATGTGCTACATGTATTACATGCAAATTAGACCATACGTTATTCTAATGAAAAATATTAAGGCAGAAGCAGAGCCCATTTAAAAAATTTAACTTCTGGATTTCCCTCTTTTTTTTTTTTTTTTTGAGACAGAGTCTCGCTCTGTCACCCAGGCTGGAGTACAGTTGCACAATCTCGGCCCACTGCAACCTCTGCCTCCCAGGTTCAAGTGATTCTCCTGCCTCAGCCTCCTGAGTAGCTGGGATTACAGGTGCGCACCACCACGCCCGGCTAATTTTTTTGTATTTTTAATAGACATGGGGTTTCACCATGTTGGTCAGGCTGGTCTTGAACTCCTGACCTGACGATCTGCCCACCTTGGTCTCCAAAAGTGCTGGGATTACGGGCGTGAGCCACAGCACCCGGCCTTTTTTTGTTTTTTTTTTTTTTTGAGATGGAGCCTCACTCTGTCATCCTGGCTGTAGTGCAGTGGCGCAATCCCGGCTCACTGCAAGCTCCATCTCCCTGGTTCAAGCAATTCTCCTGCCTCAGCCTCCTGAGTAGCTGGGATTACAGGCACACACCACCACGCCCAGCTAATTTTTTTGTATTTTTAGTAGAGGCGGGGTTTCACCACGTTGGCCAGGCTGGTCTTGAATGCTTGACCTCAAATGACCCTCCCACCTCGGCCTCCCAAAGTGCTGGGATTACAGGTGTGAGCCACTGCGCCCAGCTGAATTTCCCTATTGATGCCAAAGATCAATTAGCTTCATAGGGACCGGCCATTTTCTACAAAGATCATGTGATTTGAGAGGGCAATGTGAGAATGCTTTTATTTTGTAGGATAATTTATCCAAAATTTAGGCAATTCCTATTACTCATTCAAATTTGGGGATAAACAGATTACAGAAGCAGGTTGCCAGGACAGAGCACAGTTGCAGAAGCCCCCAAAAAGAGGTGGTGATCAGGACCAGGTCACACACCTTGACTTGGGTCAGGCAACTGAGGGTTAAGCTAATGAGATGAAGAAGGGGCAGGAAAGTTGGACCATGAAGGAGGAAGAAGCAGAGGCTCCTGAAGCACAGAGTCTTGACACGAATTGTCCAGTCCCCTGAGGAGATAAGTAGGATCCCATATTGGCCAGCCAAAGCTGAGACCTACTTTATATCTTCAACCTCCACATCTCCGAAATGTTCTTAACCTCAAAATGGACCTTTCTAGATTAAACTGGGATTTCATCAAGTCAAAGCGTATATTCTCTCTAGACAATGGGTCTCCCCTACAACCTAAAAAGAAAGAAGCCAACAGAAAAAGACAGATGTAAAAGGGTGACTGACAATAACAGTATTAGGGACATGACTAAACACTGCTCATCTCTCCAGTGGTTACAAGACTGATCAGGTGGCTTGACTTAAGCTCGCCCTCAGAATACAAGCTCTCTATTTAAAGAGAGATAAGCTGATTAGAGTTAGTATTATTACTTTTTTTCTCTACAAGGTAAATTGCCCTCTTTCTTTTCTTTAGCATCTGTAAATTAGGGACTCATTCTAGGAAAGAAGCCTTGGCATGTCTTTTTAGCCTAATTTAATATCAAAGCATTGTCCTTAGTTGATAACAATCACCTCAGCAATCTATATCAATGTCTTATCATGTCAGTGCCTTAATTTCTAAGTCAAAGAGGATTATATTCTCTACTCATTTAGTATATAAATATACTCCATAACATAACTAGAACAGTGTCTGCCAGACTGTTGGTAATTGATAAACACGGATGCTGCTGCCATCAAATTTGTTAGGCATTTGCTTATCTTTTAAAAGTTGGAGTTATATCCCTGTCAGGTAGGTGCTAGACTGAAAATTGGCATAGCAATAAAAAAGCATATCATTGACCTCCTAAGTGAAATTTTCATCCTTAATCATTTTCCTCTTATAATTTTTCAAATAATATTTATTTCACTCTTTTCTTTATGCTCCTTTGGCTCTCAAAACATCCCCCTATCATGGGGCCAAGATGTTGGGGAAATTTCACGAATCAAAAAGAATCCTATTAGTATAAACTAGTGATTGTGAGACTTTAGTATGCGTCAGAATCACCCAAAGAGTTTGACAAAACACAGACTGCCCAGCCCCAGCATCAGAGTTTCTGATTCAGTATGTATAGGGTGAGGTCTGAATATTTGCATTTCTAACAAGTTCCCAGGTATTGCTGTTGCTGCTGATCTGAGAACCACACTTCAAGAACCACCACTGACAGATCTGCCAATTAGTTTCCGGTTTAGATTAACTGGTCTCAGCTCTAAAGCTAAATGTCATTTAAACAGCAAGTCATGAATGCAAGAAGAGGGAAATGAGAGATTGAGTGACCAGTGTCCTTGTTTTCCTGAGGGAACTGAGGGAGTTCCTGCGACATGGGACTTTCAGTGCTAAAATTGGCACATCCCAGGCAAGCCAGGGGAAGCTAGTTACTCTAAAAGAGAACCCTGGAAAAAAGTAGAAAATTCTTTAAAAAATTTTAGATACTACCTAATCAATGAACTTTTTTTTTTTTTTTTTTTTTTTTGAGACAGAGTCTCACTCTATCATGCAGGCTGGAGTGCGGTGGCACCATCTCAGCTCACTGCAACTTCTGCCTCCTGGATTCAAGTGATTCTTCTGCCTCAGCCTCCTGAGTAGCTGGGATTACAGGGGTGTGCCACCACACCTGGCTAATTTTTGTATTTTTAGTAGAGATGGGGTTTCACCATGTTGGCCAGCCGGTCTCCAATCTCTGACCTCAGGTGATCCGCCCTCCTCAGCCTCCCAAAGTGCTGGGATTACAAGCGTGAGCCACCGTGCCTGGCCTAAACAAACTTTTCTTTGAGAGATGCACTTTTTGATAACAAATGAGGAAGGATAGAGACACATTCTGATCTTTGGAGCAGAGAAAAATACTAGTGGGAACCTAAATAACCTTCTATTGATCAGTTAAACCAGGGTTTCTTTTGTAAGAATAAACTTTTCTCTCCCTAAATTAGAGTTTGTATATTTCTAGGGGAATTAATTTTCCACTTTGTTCACAGATGTTTAGTATAAAGCACAGTTCATCCTCTCCAAATATAATTTAAGCCAAAATAAATTAATCCAAACCTAAGTTCATCAGAAGGTAAGATTGTTAGGCCTTGTTCTAGTTAATTGAGTGGGTCTGGCTATTGTACATACAACTGATAAGCACCAAGACAAATGGGTGAGTTTTATCAAAATTTGTGAGCTTTTGGATAAATATTACGAAAGGGAAAGGAAAAGGAAGACAAAAAGAAACTCAATTTACTCCGAAGGCATTTTAAATGATTTGGATGCCACTAGATTAGGAAACTGCCTTTTCATGCTTCTAATAGAGATTTTATTTTTCCTCCAGTAGGGCAGAATGAAAAAAAAGCCCTCCAAAATCTATGAATGGTAGCACCCCTGTTCCAAGAGCTTTCAGAGGAAAAAAATACTGCATGCTGCAGTAACAGTTTCTGTTTCATTAATGAGAAGAACTGTGTATTGGAAAGCTCAGTTTGAAATCTGGCAAGAAATCAAGGTATGGTTTTTCAGTGATTGCCTTTGGTAGTTCATCTGTTTAACATATGTAGTAATGGCCTTCCTTCTGCTGGCCATGTGCCTTAGGTTAAAAGTAAGGGTTTGTCATGTGTCCTTACTATCCACGATATCTAACGGTTGGAATTATGACATGATAAATCATGAATCTTGAAAGCTTTTACTAATTGAAGTTGAACGAAAAGTGAGAGAAAGCTTACCTCTGACTGGTAATTTAGAATGAGTAGGGACTGCAAAATGTGAAGATAGTCAAGCCAAGTTATTTAGGACACAAATACTCACTCTAGAATCCTGTTAGGCAGCACATACCATAAAAATGAAGAAATAACAGCCAGCTCTTCAGTTTTTTTGTACTGTAGAGCTGTCTTGAAGATAAGAAAACAAGCTCCCACAATAAAGGGTGCAATGATAAAATATTGAGTATGGAAATAATTTAGAACATTATCCCATCTGGACTCAGGCATTTTGTTGTATGTGCAAGAGTTATAATACTTAGCATTTTTCATTACAGTGTTAGTATTTCATAGATTAGCTATGCAGAAAATGTTTTAATCACCAGAAAGTTACCATGATGTAACCGATATGCACTTGCCACAACACATTGCTCAGACATCTAGATTAAAGGATTTTTCATATTTCAGGAGACTAGAAAAGGAGTTTTCAGGGAGTAAATTCCACTGGATAAATCATTGAAAATGGTTGACAAAGAGGATGGAAGTATAGAAAAGGAAATGAGAAAAATTACAAAAATTGAGAAAACATTTTTTTAACCAATAATCTTTCAGCAACTCCTGAGCATTCAATTTCAACTATAAGCTGAGTTAAGACTCAAACTACCCATCATTTCACTCAAAACAGCAATGTATTATTATTTTTCTCTCTGCAAAGAAGGAAGAAAAATGGGGGTCATCACATAACACAATGATTTCTTGATAGAATTTCTCTCTTCAAAGTAGTTTCCATGTTGTGTTAATATATTTCAGCCAAAGATAATTTTTTAAGAGCTGGAGGATAAATAAAAATCAGAGAAAACATGCTAATAAATATAGAATAGGAGAAATCAAAAGTCTACAGATTATTTACAGAAAGACTGGCCACTGAAAAATTGTTAGAACTGTTTGGAAAATAATACGATACAATTCTGGAACAAATGTGTCTCTTCCCCAGCAAAGCTAACAGACCTGTTTCTAAGAAGCCAAGATTCCCTTTCTATCTCCAGAAACCACATAAACTAGATTTTCATGAAATTCCAAATATAAACTTATCATCTCTCCTGTTATTCCCATTAGCTATCACACAGCTCCAGAAATTCCAAACTACAGCAAACTGCCCCAGCACCAAAATTTGCCAAACTATGTATTATTCTTTTCACATTTGAGAATACATTCATTGTAATTGTATCACCATTTCATCAAAGCGCTAATTTAAACATTTAAAAAAGTCGATCTTTCTTTTTTTTCTGAATATGAAATAACAATTTTTATTTTCTTAGGCTTCATTTAAAAATTGTTTATTTTAGCATTAAGCAGCTATAAATCTAATTATTTAAGTATATATTTAAGAAAAAAATGACTTATTGGTTAGTTCTGTCAATCAATTTTTAATTCAATACTTTAAATATATTTTACGGCAGAGTTATATTAATAAAGTATGCTAAGAATTAATCTCAAAATAAATCTGTGTTATCTCTGAAACCATCTATACTGGCCATTCTGATCCTGTAAAATGCTCAGTATTTTTATAGCTACAAAAAAAAAAAAATAGAAATCTAGTCCCATGTGACTGACCTCTCAAAGGATGCTGGCATTTCTATTCCATTTCACTCGTTGGGATCTTGTTACGTAAGAGTTAAATCACAACATCGTATTGGAGCCCATTTGATATAAATAGAAGTTCTAATATTTCACCATTAATTTTGATAAGATAATGTTTAAAATATAATTCATAATTAAGCTTTAGAATAGAGTCATTGTTTTATTTAGGATACATGTTTGTATAGCTGTTTTTTATTATCAATATTTCTGTTACTTTTAACAACAACCCAACTGTGAAATTTAAAAGCTAGCACTGTGAGTAAATTGTTTTGCTTCATAGGTCATGTTTTAAAATTGTTAATTTTCTTGGTACATAAGATCTTATTTCTTGTATATCATGTTATCTATAAATGGGTTTTACAGCAAAAGTAGGTTATTTTGAAAATGTTTCTCTAGCAATGAAAAAGCCTTATCATGGATGTGAGACTAATTTCGTTCACATCCTTACTGGCAGATTCTTCTTGCCCAGGTAAGAAGCCAGGCCAAGAATTCTAGCAGTCCAGGACTGAATGTGTTGAGTCAAATGTCTGAGTGGACAGAGAGTGTGTGAGGCAAATCAAGCCTGATACTTGAAAGGCTGTTGCCAAGCGGTCAAGATCACAGCCAGGACACAACAGTCAATTCACAGGGCTGGGGAAAGAAGTCAGAGCCAGAAGGCAAGCTGGGTGAGAAGAAAAAGGTCCCAGGGTATCTGAGGACTTGGCCTGAGACCATGGCAGGCAGACAATGTATTGACCTTGTCAAGTTATTTTTAGCATGAAGTCCTTACCTCCTTGGGCAGGGCTGTCAAGGTTTTATTGAGGAGGGTGCTCATGGTCACTACCTGCACCTCCAGAGGAGAGGAGGAGAGGCAAAGAAATGGATGGTAGCTGTGGATCTAGAGGCTTTGTGCTTTCTTTTATGCTCTTGGACCACACATTAGGAAACTGTGCAAAGAGAGCAAGGACTCATGCTTTTTCTTTTTTCCTCCTCCTCTTTTCTTCAAATTGCCCATTCTTTACCTCAGTAAAAGCAAAATAAATAACTGAATGAAAGAATGAATAAATAAGAAATGTATGTATGTATTTCTCTCTTTAAGATTTCAATCTGCTCCCATAAGTCATCCCTAATTGAGGACATTTCCAGAGAAGGCTAATTAAAAACTTTTTTCAAGTTGCTGGGGGAAAAAGAAAAGTGATGAAGGATTGGGCAGATTGGCTAATGGAGTTGAACTGTATGATTTGGTTCAGTGAAATCAGTTTTTCTCAGAAGCTCATCAAGACAACCCTGGATAGAACTCAGTTTTATAAAAATACAATGCTTTTCACCAAAATAAATTCACTTAGATAATTCAAGCGCACACATAATTCTAAGTGTTGGAGGAATTCTTGAAGAATGCTTAGACATTGAAAAAAATGTATTTTGTCTCACACAACACATGATATGTGCATTTCTAGCACTGCAATGCCATAATTTCAGTAGTTATTTGCTTTTCTTTAAAACTTCAGAAAAATTCCACTATGATCTAACTGTCAAAACATAATTTCAACACTGGTAAGAGTTTCCTTTCTGGCTGACTTGTCAATCTGAGTTAATAAATGTTTCCTCAGCCTGGAAGTTTAATTAACTTAAGTTGAATAGATCTGAATGAGAGAAATTATTTGTATTTGCTTATTAACTTTTTTTTCAAGATAAGACAGAATTAGAAAGGAAAGAGACAAGTAAGAGACACATGTCTTATTTCCCCTTTTAAGTTACAGATTTATAGGGAGAGAAATTTTGTGAGCTTCTCCTTTTAAGGATATTTTTATCAGTTAGTCCAGATGGATCAATATGACGAACCAATCAATACGATTTTGATGAAATTCTTCTCTATCTTTGAAGGTACTATCATCACAGATACTCTGTTTCTATTGAAGAATATATCCTGTTAAGATTTCTGAGACGCTAATAAAAAAAGTGTCACCAAAATGATGATTTATAAATTCTGATGTAAATATCACTGAAACATGCCAATGAATAAATGCCAAGTAGTCTACTGTGTATGTTGCAAGATGTATGTTACATAGCACACTTAAAATGATAGATTACGCATCACTCAAAATGAGATAAAGACTACTTCTTTAACTACTTTTATGTCTCATTATTTTTTGCTGTTTTAAAATTTCCTTCATATAGAGTGGATCTCTCAAGTTAGTCCAACAATCTAGCTTGCTAGTTTTAGAGATCCTTATTCTAAACATCATTACTGTTGTATGAATCAGCTATCAGGTACAACAATGCATTATCTCAAAGGCAAACATAAATAATTACAAAATAAAACAAATGCATGACAAAAAATTAAAAGGTTCAAGATAACAGTAGCCTCCTACATTTGTTTAGTCCTTCTTAATCTTCAAATAAATTTTGTATCCACTTCTCTGTTTTTATCCTCAGTATAGTACTACGAGAAAAACATTAAAGTTCTTATTTTATAAAGGAGAAAACTAGCTCATTGATATAAAGTCATTTGCTAGAATCATATAGCTATTAATTGGCAAAGCCATTATCAGCATCAAGATTGTTTAAGGTTTATTTTTGCCAACTGGTAGAAAATATTGTCTTTGATTGTAAAGAGCTAAGTATTAAAAATTGCATAGTGTTTATAGGACATTGCAGCAATTATATATTTTTTATTTCTGCACAAATATTGCTAAGACTATGTGTATGACTAGAAAACTATATATTCAATTTTGGACTAATTTTATAGCACTTAGAATAGAGACATATGCATTAAACAGTTTTGTGTAGCAATATCATTAGGCAATTTAAATTTAATGTACCATGTCAGATTTCTAATACCTACTTATTAAATTTACCAAGGTTTCTAGCCTTCTGTTTACAAACTAACTGTAATCATTTAAAACATAAAAAAGGCAGCAACATGCTTTCAAAGTAGAGGTTAGATCACATCACTGTTCTCCAAATACAGTTCTCTCAATTTTGCCCCATGTAAAAACTAATGTTCAACTGAAAGCTTTCCCCCTGAGATCAAGAGCAAGACAAGAATGTCCACTCTTGCTGCTGCTATTGATCATTCTACTGAAAGTTCTAGCCAGAACTATTAAGGAGGGGGAGAAAACATAAAAGGTATCCAGATTAGAGAAGCAGAAGTAAAACTACCTCTATTCATAGATGACATGATCTTGTACATAGAAAACCTTAAAATATCCACAAGAACCCCCAAAACTAATTTCTATACACTAGCAATGAACAATCTAAAGTTAAGAAAACAATTTCCCTTACAATTGCATGAAAAAGAATAAAATCTTAGGAATAAATTTAACCAATAAAGTGTAAGACTTGTATACTGAAAACTATAAAACAATGTTGGAAAAAAATAGAATACCTAAGTAAATGGAAAGGCAGCCCATGTTTGATGGTTGGAATACTTAATACTGTTAAGATGGCAATACTATCTAAATTAGTCCACATATTCAATGGAATCCCTATCAAATATTTAACTGAGTTTTTAATACAAATAACTAAGCTGACCTAAAATGTATATAAAAATAAAGGGGTACTAAATAGCCAAAATGATATTGAAAAAGAAGAATAAAGTTAGAGGATTCGAGAATAAAGTTAGAAGAATCACACTTCTTGAATTCAAAACTTACTAAAAAGTTACAGTAATAAAAACAGTGTGGCATAAGAATAGACATAGATCAATGAAATAGAATTAAGAGTCTGGAAGGAAACCCATACATTTATGGCCAATTTATTTTTAACATGAGTGACAAGACCATTCAATGGAAAAAGAATAGTCTCTTCAACAATGATGCTAGGACAAATAAGCATACACATGCAAAAAAAAAAAAAATGAAGTTGGACCCCTGCCTCACACCGCATGTCATTCAAAATGGATCAGTAACCTAAATGTAGGAGGAAAAACTATAACGCTCTTAGAAAGAACTATAGGAATAAATATTTGTGACCTTGTATTAGGCAATGGTTTCTTAAAATGGAAATAAAAGCATGAGGAACAAAATAAGTAATAGACTAAGTTGAACTGCATCAAAATTAAGTTTTTTCGTGTGTAAAAAAACACTACCAAAAAGTGAGAAAACAATCCATTAAATGGGAGAAAATATTTGTAAATTATGTATCTGATATAGGTCTAATATCCATTATATATAAAGAACACTTACAAATCCACGATATAAAGACAACTCAATCAAAAAATGGGCAAAATATTTTAATAGACATTTCTTGAAATAAGGTGTATAAATGATCCAATACACACATGAAAAGATGCTCAACATTAATCAAAACCACTGGGAAATACCATTTCACAACCACTAGGATGGCTATAATAATAAAAAACTAAATTAAAAATAAAACAACATAACTAGTGTCAGTGAGAATGCAGAGAAATTGAAATCTTTGTATGTTACTGGTGGTAATATAAAATGGTGCTGTCACTGTGGAAAAATTTAGTAGCTTCTCAAAAAGTTAAATACAAAGTTACTATATGACCCAGAGATTGTCCTAAATATATACCTAAAATAACTAAAAATATATGTATAAACATAAACTTATACATGTATACTCATAGCAGCAGTATTCATAATTGTCAAAAGGTAGTAACAACCCAAATGGAAGAGTGGATAAATAAAATGTAGTATTTCTATAAATAGAATATATATTCAATCATATAAAGAAATACAATACTGGTACCTGTTACAACATGGATGAACCTTGAAAGCACTATGCCAAATGAAAGACATCAGTCACAAAATACCACACGTTGTATGATTCCATTTATACGAAACATCCAGAATAAGAACATTCATAGAGACAAAGAGTAGATTAGTGGTTGCCAGGGAATGGGAGAAAGGAGAAAAGGGGGAATTAAGAGGTAAAGGTTTCTTTTCACAGTGCTGAAAATGTTCTGGAATTAGAAAGTTGCAATGATTGCATAACATTGTGAATATAGTAAAGGCCTGTTTGTATACTTTAAAATGGTCAAATAGTGAATTTTATATTATGTGCATTTTATATCTATAATTTTTTAAGCAAATTTCCTTGCAGTGGCCAAAGTTCCTATGTGATCTTGTCCTCTATTATCTTGCTGACTTTATCTTTTTCTACCCTTCATTTCATTACTTGTGTAACAGCCACACTGCATCACTGGCCTTTGTGCTTTCCTTCAAGCATTCCAAGCATGCTCCCACCTTAGAAACTTTGAGTTTCCTCTCAATAAATTAGGTATTGATGGGACGTATCTCAAAATAATAAGAGCTATTTATGACAAACCCACAGCCAATATCATACTGAATGGGCAAAACTGGAAACATTCCCTTTGAAAACTGGCACAAGACAGGGATGCCCTCTCTCACCACTCCTATTCAACATAGTGTTGGAAGTTCTGGCCAGGGAAGTCAGGCAGGAGAAAGAAATAAAGGGTATTCAATTATGAAAAGAGGAAGTCAAATTGTCCCTGTTTGCAGATGACATGATTGTATATCTAGAAAACCCCATTGTCTAAGCCCAAAATCGCCTTAAGCTGATAAGCAACTTCAGCAAAGTCTCAGGATACAAAATCAATGTGCAAAAATCACAAGCATTTTTATACACCAGTAACAGACAAACAGCTAAATCATGAGTGAACTCCCATTCACAATTGCTTCAAAGAGAATAAAATACCCAGGAATCCAACTTACAAGGGATGTGAAGGACCTCTTCAAGGAGAACTACAAGCCACTGCTCAATGAAATAAAAGAGGACACAAACAAATGGAAGAACATTCCACGCTCATGGATAGGAAGAATCAATATCGTGAAAATGGCCATACTGCCCAAGGTAATTTATAGATTCAATGCCATCCCCATCAAGCTACAAATGACTTTCTTCATAGAATTGGAAAAAACTATTGTAAAGTTCATATGGAACCAAAAAAGAACCCGCATCGCCAAGTCAATCCTAAGCCAAAAGAACAAAGCTGGAGGCATCATGCTACCTGACTTCAAACTATACTACAAGCCTACAGTAACCAAAACAGCATGGTACTGGTACCAAAACAGAGACATAGACCAATGGAACGGAACAGAGCCCTCAGAAATAATACCACACATCTACAACCATCTGATCTTTGACAAACCTGAGAAAAACAAGCAATGGGGAAAGGATTCCCTATTTAATAAATGGTGCTGGGAAAACTGGCTAGCCATATGTAGAAAGCTGAAACTGGATCCCTTCCTTACACCTTTTACAAAAATTAATTCAAGATGGAGTAAAGACTTACATGTTAGACCTAAAAGCATAAAAACCCTAGAAGAAAACCTAGGCAATACCATTCAGGACATAGGCATGGGGGGCAAGGACTTCCTGTCTAAAACACCAAAAGCAATGGCAACAAAAGCCAAAATTGACAAATGGGACCTAATTAAACTAAAGAGCTTCTGCACAGCAAAAGAAACTACCATCAGAGTGAACAGGCAACCTACAGAATGGGAAAAAATTTTCGCAATCTACTCATCTGACAAAGGGCTAATATCCAGAATCTACAATGAACTCAAACAAATTTACAAGAAAAAAACAACCCCATCAAAAAGTGAGCGAAGGATATGAACAGACACTTCTCAAAAGAAGACATTTATGCAGCCAAAAGACACATGAAAAAATGCTCATCATCACTGGCCATCAGAGAAATGCAAATCAAAACCACAATGAGATACCATCTCACACCAGTTAGAATGGTGTTCATTAAAAAGTCAGGAAACAACAGATGCTGGAGAGGATGTGGAGAAATAGGAACACTTTTACACTGTTGGTGGGACTGTAAACTAGTTCAACCATTGTGGAAGACAGTGTGGTGATTCCTCAAGGATCTAGAACTAGAAATACCATTTGACCCAGCCATCCCATTACTGGGTATATACCCAAAGGATTATAAATCATGCTGCTATAAAGACACACGCACATGTATGTTTATTGTGGCACTATTCACAATAGCAAAGACTTGGAACTAACCCAAACGTCCAACAATGATAGACTGGGTTAAGAAAACGTGGCACATATACACCATGGAATACTATGCAGCAATAAAAAAGGATGAGTTCATGTCCTTTGTAGGGACATGGATGAAGCTGGAAACCATCACTCTCAGCAAACTGTCACAAGGACAAAAAACCAAACACCGCATGTTCTCACTCATAGGTGGGAATTGAACAATGAGAACACTTGGACACAGGAAGGGGAACATCACACACCGGGGCCTGTTGTGGGGTGGGGGGAGTAAGGAGGGATAGCATTAGGAGATATACCTAATGTAAATGACAAGTTAATGGGTGCAGTACACCAACATGTCACATGTATACATATGTAACAAACCTGCATGTTGTGCACATGTACCCTAGAACTTAAAGTATAATAAAAAATAAATAAATAATTAAAAAAGAGAAACTTTGAGTTTCCTCTGCCATCTGTCTGGAATGCTTTTCCCCAGATAGCCAGATTACTCATCCCCTTACCATCTTCAAGACTAACACCTTCTCAGTGAGGTTGTACACCATCACTCTGGATAAAATTGCTACCTTTCTACCCATTCCTGCAATTCCCCTTTATCTCCCTTGCCTTTTTCTTCTCCATTGCAGTTATCACATTCAAACATATTATGTAATATATAACAATATAAGGGTTAGTTAACTTTGATGACCCTCTACTGGAATGTAAAATCTACAAGGGCAGGGTTTTTTAGTTGCTTTGTTCTCTATTGATCCTTAGCGTCTAGAATGGTTACCAAAACATAATAGATTCCCAATAAATATTTCTTGAATGAGAGAATGAAACAACCCAGAAAATAAAGTGATGCTTGGGAAGAAAGAATAAACAGTAGGAGGAGGTGGCAGAAAAATAAACCCAGTACTAGCGTGTGATGGCATTTGTATGGAAAGAATTTTTCATCTCTTTAAAATTATTGCATCATTTCATTCAAGTGTGATATAACTAGGTGATTTAAGGAGAGTGGTTATTTGTTGTTGTCGTTGTTGTTGTTGTTGTTGTTGTTGTTGAGAATGAGTCTCGTTCTGTCACCTAGGCTGGAGTGCAATGGCATGATCTCAGCTCACTGCAATCTCCACCTCCCGGGTTCAGGTGATTCTTCTGCCTCAGCCTCCTGAGTAGCTGGGACTACAGGGGCATGCCACCATGCCTAGCTAATTTTTACATTTTTAGTAGAGACAGGGTTTCACCATATTGGCCAGGCTGGTCTCAAACTCCTGAACTCGTGATCCACCTGCCTTGGTCTCCCAAAGTGCTGGGATTACAGGCTTAAGCCACCATGCCGGGCTGGTTATAATTCTTTCAATGACGAATTTATTACATGATTTCCAACAGCCTTCCAGCTCTAAACTAACATGATGCTCTGAAAAACAGGATGTTTATTTAAAACCTCAGCTGTAAGATCCACAGAGTTTCTAAAGATGTGATTAATAAGTTAATTTAAGAATTACACACAAGTAATTCTGCACTAGCCCTTGTGTTTCCAAAGGCCAACAGCTAAATTAGCTAAGATAATTGTGGAAAATTATTTTCTACATTTGGAAAGCTGTGCCAGGAATTATATCAAGGCATTATTGTCAAGCCCTTGTTTTATCATTATTATTCTGCTAGGTCAGAAAGACAGGGGTGATACAGTCCTCAAAAAAAGTTCCTGAGATGCTTAAGAGAATCAACAACAACAAAACATTCAGCAGCTGAAAAAAATATTGAGATTAAAACTAGCAATGCAGGGCAAAAAGACTGTAGAAGAATTTAAACTCCCAGGCATCAAGTAACTATATAAAACCTAGGAAATGTAACTCAAGGTTAAGAAACAGATGAAGAGGGGCTGGGCTCGGTTGCTCATACCTGTAATCCTAGCACTTTAGGAGGCCAAGGCAAGAGAATCACTTGAGCCCAAGAGTTCGAGACCAGCCTGAGCAACATAGTGAGACCTCATCACTCTTAAAGGAAAAAAAAAAAAAGCAAATTATCCAGGTATATGGCATGAACCAGTAGTCCTAGCTACTTGGGAGGCTGAGGTAGGAGGATCGCTTGAGCCCAGGATGTTGACACTGCAGTAAGCCAAGATCACACCACTGCACTCCAGCCTGGGTGACAGAGAAAGACCATGTCTCAAGGAGAAAGGGAAGGGAGAGAAAGACCATGTCTCTAGAAGAAAGGGAAGGGGAGGGGAGGGCTAAATCTCTACCAATGATGAAAGGATAAATAAAATGTGGTATATCCTTATAATGGAATATTATTCTGGACTAAAAAGGGACAAAGCCATGGCAAAAACTGTGTCATGAATGAACCATGAAAACATTATGCTAAATAAAAGAAATCGGCCACAAAATACCAGGTATTCTGTGATTCTATTTATAGGAAATATCCAGCATAGGCAAATTTGGAGAGACACAAAGTAGATTAGTGGTAGTGAGGGGAGAGGGAGTCCATGGATAATGCGGGGTGGGGGGGCGGGACTGATGATGAGTATGTGGTTTCTTTAGGGGGTTCTAAACTTGATAGTGGTGATGTACAAAGTTCTGAATATACTAAAACCAGTTAATTGTACACTTTAAATGGGTGAATTCTATGGTATGTGAATTATATCTCAATGAAGCTGTTATTTTAAAAAGTAATACGTTGTGAAAATTCCTCTTACATTCTAGTTCCTTTGTTTCTTGTTTACTATGAGGGAGCACAACTATCACCTGGGAGGGTAAGAGGGGAGCACAGGTTCTATGAAATGTTAACTCATATGTTGATACAGGGTAGATTTCAGAAGTCTCAAGACAGGAGACAGCTGCTGTGCTATTTAAGTGCTTTTGGGCTATCCTGTTGAGAGTGTGAGCCTTTGACTCAAGGTGCAACACAAAAGTCATGGTAGAAGTTTGGTGATTCCTTCTCTTTAGGCTTATAACACCTTGTCTATATTGCTATTTTGGTACTAATTATGTTACTATAATTATTTTTTAAATTACTAACCTTTTTCCCAGATGGTGAATCTCAAAAGGGCACTATCTGGAATATGGTAAGCTCCTCAATAAAGTACTTATTATGTGGCTGGCTGGATGAATAATTGAATCTAGTGTTGTATTTATCTCTGTTTCAAGGAAAGAGGAGAAGAGCAGAATGAAATATTATACTACCATATAAATGCAAAAAAAAATTTAAATAATATAAATGGTATAGGCAATCACAAATTAAATGGTGTGGACAATATTGTGAAATCAGCACAAGATGGCCAGTCAGGACATGCTCTACCCTCAATCAGTTCTCAATCCCTATCAAGAAAGTATTCCACCATGCCGAGGACATTTTAGTTTTAAACAACATGGCCCATAAACACACAACTATCTTATCTTGTACTTGCCAAATGTATCATAAACTATTATGTTGCTTGATGAAAAATGGACAAATTGGGCATTCAAGAGAGATGGAATATTTGCTTCAAATTGCCATCTAAGATATGTTCAAGGATAACTAAGACAATATTCAATTTTTATCTTGTGTGAAGACTTTAGAACCCAGCCCTCTACTCTCCAAGTCTGGGAATATGAAATTCTGTTCCACGTCCCAGACTGATCACTTACAACCTCCCATGTTGTCGCTTTATGACCTAGAGTGCCACAACCATCAGCCCATGTCACTAATATTATTGGCTGCTGCTAAATCACCTGTCAAATTTTCTGAGTTCTCAGTCAATTTACTCTGAATGTTAAGCTTGCTCTTTAGTGTCCATGTTTCTTTTGATTCTGTTTACATAAGAATTCTCCAAAGACTCAGGCTTGACCTCAGTTTCATGCTTAGATGCTCTTCCAGTAACACCATCTTTTTTTTCTTCTCAGTGCCAGAAAAAATAAAATTCAAGTATTGTTTAGTGTCATATGCCCTGGCCTGCATGAATGACTAACGTAAATTTGAAGAAGACTGCTTTTGGTTTTTGTGTCTGCTTAAAATTCAGATTCCCTAATCTAACTCTTTGTGTGTTTAACTATTTCATAGACACCAGATCGTGTCAAAAATAATATAAAGACCCATAAAACAGTGGGTGGATAATGAATATTTGTCATTTAACTTTGATTATGCTAAACTATATTCAGTATGAACCTTTCACAACATGTATGCAAGCTGTGTACATCAATAGGAACAAAATAAATAAAGCAACCAATTTTAAAAAATTATTATATTGCATTCAGCTTGGAAATGAAATCTTTCTATATAATCTCATGATAAAGCTACAATGAATGGGTTCTCTAATGAACACTCAAGTGTTTGTGTATGGTCTTTTTGTTGTACATGTGTAAAAAATATTTTATATCATTTTCTATTCACTACAATTTTTTTTAAGGAAAGGAGATACAATGAAGTTACTTATTACAACATTCATAACCTCCAAAATTAATGGTTTTCTAATTTCATTTGGGGTCATAATGTAGAACTTTCTACAGAAAAATAGCAATTAATTAGGGCCACTGAAATTGTGAACTAGTCCCTGGAAGACTCAAGTCTCAGCTTTCTCTCTGTCATGAGAAAAATATTAAGTTGTTTACCTTAATAATCTCTAGGATTTGTTTAGCACTGTACAGTGTGCTAAATGTTTTTCTACCCATTAATTTTTCACAAAATTCTTTACAATCAGAGCGGAATCTATTTTTGACTCTTTTTAAAATGTGGAAACAAAAATTGAGAGACTTGAATTAATTCACATAAAGTCACATGCTCTGCATTGCAGTGCCAAGACCACAATATATATTTCCCATCACATATGATATTTTAGGGAATTGAGGTGAGAAAGGAATGCAAAATGAAAGAAAACTCTCTGCCTTTCATCTTCAAAATCATTTTGAAGTTTGATTTTTGTTCTTGTTAGTCTTCACATTTAGAATATTTGAATTTTTTATATTTAAAACTCCTCTTTGAGGCCTGGCACAGTGGCTATGCTTGTAATCTCAGCACTTTGGGAGGCTGAGGTGGGAGGATCATGAGGTTAGGAGTTTGAGACCACCTAGCCAACACAGTGAAACCCTGTCTCTACTAAAAATATGAAAATTAGCTGGGCGTCGTGGTGGGTGCCTGTATTCCCAGCTACTTGGGAGGCTGAGGCAGGAGAATCGTTTGAACCCAGGAGGCAGAGGTTGCAGTGAGCCGAGCTCGTGCCACTGCACTCCAGCCTGGGCAATGGAGCTAGACTCTATCTCAAAAACAAACAAACAAACAAACAAACAAATCTCCTCTTTGAAATTGTTTTAATTTCAAAGCAGACTATTTAAGACAGCAATCCTAGTAAAGACGTTTTAAATTCAAATTATTCATGTTGGGCCAAATGTTAAATAGTAACTTAATTGCCTTCAAATTTGCGCAGCAACTAATTAGGTCTCTAGCCATTTGAAATCATACACTATCAACTTGTAGCTGTACATTTCAAATGCTCATGGAGAGGATATGGATGGTCTCTTGACAATTTGCTTATTGGATGGCTACAAATGTCCAGCAAAGCAGTTTGCTGCTGAAACTTGGACAAAGACATATCTGTGGCCTTATTAATATTATTTTTAACCTCTGAGCACTTAAGTATCTGACTTAGAGCCTTCCTGTGACTTTCTAGTTCTTAGAGTGATAGTTAAAAGTATATAGCTAATATATAATAGTTGCCTAATAAAAATTTTATATGTGACTTAATTCTTTTGGTCACTTATAATATTTTCATCGCTGAAGTTTGACAGTTTGGCACATCATCATCATGTTCAGTAGCAAAACATACACAAATAATCCCTTAGACTAGAAACTCCACATGGCTTGCTGGTTAGAGATGTTGTATGCAAAACTAAACACTACCTTTTCTAATTTTAATCTCTTTTCTATTTTTTTTCCCTAGAGATATGTCATATAGAATTCCCTAGTGTTTAGAATTTCTCAGGCTATATTTTTGTGAGCCAGAATTTTGTCTCCAGAATTTAGGAACTTAATAAGTATGCAGTGAGTAAGCAGACATTCATCATAGAACCAACTGAAAGAGAGAAAGGGATTCACTTCAGAGCAGATCCTGGCATAAATGATGTTACTTGCAATTAAGTAAGCCAAGAGAAGAAATATAACTTAGAAATAGCTAAATAGGTAGGCAGGTAGGTAAATACCTTGATACCATTTTAAGGGTAAAAGTTGACATTAAAATATGTTGAGAATAATGGTAGAAGTAATAGCAACTTTAAGGAGGCTACAGATAAAAACATAAAGCAGGTTAAAAGACAAATTAAATCAAAATAAAATTTAAAAGCTACAGAGTTCAAGTTATACAAGGCAACAGTAAAATACATTACACAAGTAAGCAAAAAAGCTGAAGAGGCAACATTGGCCAGGCACGGTGGCTTACGCCTGTAATCCTAACACTTTGGGAGGCCGAGGAGGGTAGATCACCTGAGGTCAGGAGTTCGAGACCAGCCTGGCCAACATGGTGAAACCCCGTCTCTACTAAATATATAAAAATTAGCTGGGCATGGTGGCTCACACCTGTAATCCCAGCTACTCAGGAAGTTGAGGCAGCAGAATCACTCGAACCAGGGAGACAGAGGTTGTGGTGAGCTGAGATCGCACCACTGCACTCCAGCCTAGGCAACAAGAGTGAAAACTCTATCTCAAAAACAAACAAACAAACAAACAAACAAAAAACCTAAAGAGGCAATACCAAAAAAAATAAAAACTTTAAAATACTGTTTCACAAAAGAAATACAGACTTAAAATATTTTTTAAAGTAGGTTAAGGTAAAATGATATTAAGAGTATTACAAATCATTTTATTAGATGTAGTAATTTAAAAGTTGTAAACATACAAAATTCCCAAAATAGACTAAGAGTAAAAATAAAAGTAGAGCAAAAAAAATTCAATAGCATGAAACAGATACTACATTCAATATGATGTGGCTTTTATAAAAAAAAATACGTTGAATATATTTTTACAGGGACACTAGAAGGAAGTCTATGGGATTGACACTGTGATTTGTTTCTGCATTAAAATACTTTTACAATATATTGCTTTCACAATTAGAAAAACTACTAATTACTTAAACTAATGAAGAGATAGAGAGCATGCACAGTGGCACAGCGAAGCAGTCACAGAGCTCAGCGGTTGAGCCCCAGGTGGAGGCACACACCTGGGACCCTGAGCAGCCTGAGGGCTTCCTCAGAGCCAAGTGTCAGGGTGGAGTGAGGAGCTGTGAAGCCCCTTCACATCTGGCCTTGAAGACAGGGCCCTCTAGAATGGCTGGCTCGCTTTCTCTCACCCAAGGCTCCAAGGGGCTAGTCTTGTCCGCTGATGCCTACAGATATGAAAAGATACACTCTTTCCAGGTGATTACATTCCAGCCCAAATATCTGGAAATCAGGAGAAACCTCTTCTGATCTGCAGCCCCTCAGTTTTCAATGACAGAGTTTACTAACCAAAATCCAAAATTATGGATAGAGCTGAATGTTTACAGTTCTAGAGTTACATTTTTCTTCCCAGATGGTTAGT
Organism: Homo sapiens; assembly: GCF_000001405.40. Classification (NCBI taxonomy): domain Eukaryota; kingdom Metazoa; phylum Chordata; class Mammalia; order Primates; family Hominidae; genus Homo; species Homo sapiens. The sequence goes on from NC_000003.12 coordinate 21,463,856, forward strand.
ACAATATAGTGTACTCTTAGGAGAGCTGCTTAGCCTCAGTTTTTTTTTTTCATATGCAACAGGAATAAGAATCTCTGTCCCATATTTTCTTATTTATAGGAGGCTGTATCACACATATACATGAAACACATGAAACAAAGCAATTAATGAAGTTCACTCAGCTGAGGTAAATGCTGCATACAATTCTTGGCTTAACCAAAGGAAGCAAAGATTACAATAAGCCTTAAACTCATTTAAATCTCTCCCCAGAACAAATATTTTACTGATTACAATATTCTCAAGGTTTTTGATAAAGCAGTTTTTCAATAATGTAAAGTAGGCTTTTGAGAAAGTAATTGCAGATTTCATCATAATTTTATAATCGCTGACTGGAGGTTTAATGTAAAGTAATACATAATACACATAGAATTTTGTTAAATATGTAATGTTATATTCTCAAATGGAAAACAAAAGCCTTCTATTAAGTGGTCATCTCAGAATGGTTCTAAATTGAAATAAATAAATCTTACTGCTAATATATGCATTTTTATATTAAAAAACAAAAATTAAAAATATATTTCTCTGCTTTCTCAATCTTTTGTCTGTCTTCCTTTTTTTCCTCTCATAAGTGCATTCATACACATACATATACACACAGAGAACCTCAGACACTCAAGTATCTTTGCTTTCTTCTCTCTGGAACATTATATTAGCTTCAGATACAACAGTCAACTCTTCCTTAAATAGATTACGCTCTAGAATTGCAGTTTTTAAACCACAGCTGTTAGAAGCTGCAGTTCAACATTAATATGTTTATGCCATATTTTCAAGACACAGTCTCCAAAATCGCTTCATATGAAAAAACATATACATACTCAATTATTTACAGCTGCCAAAAAATAAATTAAAACACACACACACACACTTATGCAACTCATGAACACCATCCCTGCAATAATTTCTGGATAAGAGAAAAACAATCCCAGAAGATGCGTAGCCTATTAAATATTTGTAGAAATATAACTCATTTGAAAATGAGATATTACCCTTGCTTACCACACATTACACGGCCTACTCTCTGCCTTCTCAGTGGGGGTGCAGACAGAGGAATCCAAGCAAGTTTATGAGACCATCATGTGACCCCACTGCCGGCCAAGGACTCTGCTACAAAATAAGAAGCTATAAATTTCTTTCTCATTAAATACTTTGTCATTTTTACAGAAAGATTTCATATCCAGGTACTTTACATCTTGTTTTCAACAGATTTCCAAAGCTGTCTCTGTCTATATGGAGCATTTTTGTTAAATATTTCTTTGCACGTAAGTTTTCACTGTGCCCTTGAACACAGTGAAAATTTACATATTTTCACTTTTATTTTCACATAGGGAACTACACTTATCTCCAGAGTCTTCCCAATTTCTTTTGCTAAAAGACTATTTGTATTTATCCAGTTAGGTGTCTAATGCAAAACACACTAATTTTTAAAGGTTGTTCTCATCACTGAATATTTTGGTCTAACAAAGCCATATATAATCCCAATTAATTTGAAATACTTTCTCTTTTCAAGATCAGTTGGAAGAGAAAGTTTCTTCTGCTCTTCCCAAGAGGGCCACAGCCTCTCATCACCTGGCCAGAGTAGGTAACATGAGACAAACCATTTTAAAGTCTAGGAAAATCCCTAAAAGAATGAATCAGTCAGGAGCGATACATGTTGATTATCACAGGGCATAAGCCTGAATTTTCAAATACATCCTTCCAGAATGTATTCGAGTTATGCATATTTCCTGGCACTCTTGTCTCACATCTGTGTAAGTCTCCGTGTATCTTATTTTCTTTCCTGGCTCTGCTTCTTCCTTTCCTGTGAAAATTCACCTGTGTGAATTTACAACATTTCTATAATTTGTTTCTTTATCACCCATTTTATGTTTGTAATTAATCATGCAGTAGACGTAAGCCAGGTGCTAGGTGTTAGGATTTGGCAAATAGTCAGATGCCCTTCCTGCAGGCTGACCCACTCTCAGGCTACACAACACTCATTCTCCATCACACCTCAGGATACAGGAGCTGCCGTGAGCACAAATAGAGATGCTCTTCTGCTGCATAAATGTGCTAGGCATCTCCACTAGGGTTTGCAAAAATCTTAGAAAAGTGGGTCTCCATCTTCATTTCTAATAGCAGAGTGGTCTACGACCCTACCACCTGGAATGCACCCGATTTTGTCTAATACTGAATTGTACTAGTATTTCTCACCTGGATAACTGCAATAGCCCTGCAAATAATGTCTTCACATCTTCCATTATACCACCCCATGCATCCTAATAGGCAAATGCATGATCAATCTTTACCTTATAATATGTTCATTTTCTCAACATTTTGTAGAACAAAATCTGATGACCTTAATATGGTTTATAAGGTCCTTAAGGGTTTGGTTCCTGCTTAATGTTCTAGACTCATCTTTCACTTTGCCTACTCCTTCATACATCCACTTTGCTCTAGTCATATTGAAGTTTATTCTTTTCCTTGAAAAGAATAACAAACTTCAAATGTTATGTTACTTTGCCTTTAGCATGGTTCATTCTTCCTCCTCATTTGGCTAATGTGTACTTACCTCTTACCTAAGAAAGTTCTTTTTCTATGAAGCCTTCAAGGATACCCTACAATGGGCTAGAAACCCCTCCTGCATACTATTACTAAAGCATATATCCCTCTGACCACACAACATCATGACATTCAACACCTGTATCTCAATTTCCTGCCTACTGGTTGCATTCCTCACTAGCCTGAAAGAAATGGTAATGTAGTCATCTTGTTCTTATTTATGTCTAGTGAGTCCTGCTCATGGCATTCATAAGTCACACAAAAAATTTGTTAAAAAAAATGAAAAGCTAGTTTTATTTCCTCTGATGCCATGATCTCACCCCACTACACGCTCTTCTCCTCCCTGCCTGAGGTATCCATGAGCTATTGGCTTTGATAGGTAACTAAAGAAAAATTCAGAGGACTGTGAACTTAGGAGAGTATCTATTACTGCCCCACCATTTGATAAATGAGAATATACTGGCCCAAAACAATGAGATAACCAGCCCAAGGACTTTGAGCTGGAGAGAAGAAAGTTCTGGACCTGAACCCAAATTTTCTAAATCCTTAGTCTATGCTCCTGCCACTATACCAAGCTTCTTACCAATGATCAGGATTTCTCAACTCCCTGAACTCGGTTCTTGTGCTGAATACTGATGGAGTAGGTAGTTTATTTCATTAATGCCCCCCATCAATGTGCTTATGGAATAACATGTCAAAGTAAAATTAAGAAGGAAACTTAAGTCAGTAATATCTTCTGTCAAAACCTGAACACATTAATTACATTTACTTTCCTATTGCTTGAACCTGACTTACTTTCCTATTCCATAAACTTTTTCAAAATGTAAAAACCAAGACCATTTTGTTTTTGTTGTTGCTGACATTGTAGTTATTAGGAGTTTAGAAAATATTTTAGATACGGGGCTTCTTTGCCAAAACATTATTCTGATTCTAAGTGCCCGTAAGTTGGAAGACAAAGTAAGACTGTTTCTCTAAGACATTATTACTGATGCATGCAGATTTTATAGTTTTTGGGGGGAACAAAATTATTTACAAAAAATAGTTTAAGGCATTTTTGTAAATCTTAAACATCTCTAATTTAGTCTAACCTGCGAATAGCAGAAAGGGGGCAAGCTGGCAAACATGCTGACTTGAATTCACTTCCACTACTAGAGCTTTGTCCTGGCCTTAGATGCCTGGTGTCAATGGCATCTTTTTGTGGTATTTCCCTGGTAACTCAATATCCTGATTCTGTCCCATCAAACCCATGCTTCCCCTCAGTGACCATGTGCGGTTCATTTGGGTGCCATATCTTTCAGGACCCAGAAATTCTATTCCTAACACCATGCGTTCTAGTTAAAAGCACCTTCAAAATGCTGGTTCTGGTATTTGCATGTGGTATGAATGTGAACAAGGTAATACTTCTAAATTACAGTTTCTGCATTATATGGAATGAGGGTATTGACCACAATAAGAAACCATGTAACACACACTAGGGAGGCTAAAATATAAAAGAATGATAGTTCCATTTGTTGGCAAAAATAGGTACAAATAAGACTTGTCTACGGGAATGCAAAATGGTAAAATATCTTTGAAAAAAAGATTGGCAGTGTTTTATGAAGTGAAATATACTCCTAAACTAGAACATAGTAATTCCATTTCTAGGTATTTACCAAAAAATAAAAAATGTGTCCATAAAAGTAGTATATGGAGCCAGGTGTGGTGGCTCATGCCTGTAATCCCAACACTCTGGGAGGCTGAGGCGGGCGGATCACAAGGTCAGAAGTTTGAGATGAGCCTGGCCAACATGGTGAAACCCATCTCTACTAAAAATACAAAAATTAGCCAACTGTGGTGGCGGGCACCTGTAGTCCCAGCTACTCGGGAGGCTGAGGCAGGAGAATCACTTGAACCTGGGAGGCAGAGGTTGCACTGAGCCAAGATCATACCACTGCACTCCAGCCTGGGCAACAGAGCAAGACACTGTCTCAAAAAAAAAAAAAAAAAAAAAAAGTATATGCAGACATTCAGAGTATAATTATACATAAAAGCACCTCTGGAAAGCAACCCAAATATGCATCACCATGTAAATGGGTAAATTGTGGTATATTCATAAAAGGGAATACTACTCAGCAATAAAAAGAAAAATGAACAGACACATAAACAACATGTATGAACCTCAAAACCCTATGTTGAGCAAGAGATACTGGTCACAAAAGAATACGTAGTATGGGCAGGGGGCGGTGGCTCACGCCTGTAATCCCAGCACTTTGGGAGTCCGAGGCAGGCGGATCACGAGGTCAGGAGATTGAGACCATCCTGGCCAACATGGTGAAACTCCGTTTCTACTTAAATACAAAAAATTAGCCGGGCGTAGTGGTGCGCCCATAGTCTGTAGTCCCAGCTACTCGGGAGACTGAGGCAGGGTAATCGCTTGAACTTGGGAGACAGAGATTGCAGTGAACCGAGATCGTGCCACTGCACTCCAGTCTGGCAACAGAGTAAGACTCTGTCTAAAAAAAAAAGAATACATAGTATGATTCCATTTATATTACATTCTAGAAAAGGAAAAACAAAGGTACTGTGACAAAGCAGATTAGTGATTGCCTCTGTGTGGGGATGGATTGACTGGACTGTGCATGAGTAAAATTTCTAGGGTGATGGAAAGTTTCTATATCTTGACTAAGGTGATGGTTACACTGGTGAGCAGATTTGTCTACTCATTGAACTATTCATTTGAAATCTGCATTTTATGTATGTAAATTATGCCTCAACAAAACAGTAAAGCAATTAAAACTTCCTCACTCATAATGATTCGCATGCTGTAAATGGAACATGAGAGGAGGCCACAGACTTTTGTGCCAGGAAGTTGAAAAATAATCATGGTCACATTGTGATTTCACCAAGGTAAATGTCACTCTGAGTCCTCTCACAACCTGCAGTAAGTGTGAGTTTGCCTCCAGCTGACCTCATACGTCACGAAACATGTTTTTAGTACATGCTGCTTTTTCTTTGGGAGCAAAATATAAGCACATGGTACTAGCCCTTCCTTTTAAAAAGCTTATTCAAATGGAATATGAGAAGTTTAGGGAGTGCGAAAACAAGTGTATTTTTTTCAACTATATTAATAAATATACATTGAACATATATCAGACAAAAGAATACATTTAGGTTTATACTCTGGGAAAAGTTTTTAGTTTGTTTTTATTATAAGTTGTTCCACTGATACTCAAGTTCTTTTTTTAATAACTATCTCAACTGATGGAAACTCAATTACTTAAAAAATGTTTCAGGTTTTATTTTCCTTATTGTAGTGAAACAAATAATTGGGCATGGGAATGACCACTTACAGTTAAAGAAATAATTATTAAAATGGAACTAACAGTATTTAAACAGCTAAACAAAAAAGGCTTAAAGGAAAAAAAAGCCAATAATTGTTTTGTGGTCTAGACATTTAACAGTGGAGATCCAAAGCAATCCTTCATTTCTTGCAAAGTATTCCACAAAGCAGGTGCTTTAAGAAAAAAAAAATTAATGGGTAAAAGGACTAAGGATATATCTACTAATGGAACGTGTTGATTTGAAAGCCAGATAAAATGGAAGTCGTAGCAACTAAGTATAGCTACTTTTCTCTAAGCACTTTGCTTACTGTGTATCATATTAGGCACTTACAGTACTTTTTCCCCGTGGAAAAGTACAACTTCATTGAATAATTATGGTAAGAGAACCCATTATGTACCTTTTTATATTTTGTCACTTTGCCTAGTGCAGTGCCTCACAGACCAATTCTTCAATAAATATGTACTGAAAGAGTTAAAGAATTGAGAGCACATTATGAACAACCTTTTCGTTTAAAATGGAGTGGATCCTAAGCAGTTTTCTAGGTAGCTTCAGGAAAGCAGGTAGCTGTCCTGCTTTAGAATTCTCAGCCCAAATTCACTAGCATTGTTCTAAAATGTGATGGGGTGGGTGTATTCTGCCTACATTGTCCCCAGATTTCTATAAAACTGTCAGAGTAAAAAATGAGAAAACATTATATAAACTTACAAATAAACCTTTCTAAAACTTTAAAGTATAGTTTCATAGAAGTACTATCAAAAGACATTACTCAAAATAAACTGATGACATGAAAATATATAAAGAAAAGGCCAAATCAAGTGAGATGTGTGCTTAAAATGGTTTCAAACTTTAATTTTTCTGGGAAAGCAAAAACAAATGGTTTTCCCAGCGTTTAGTCAGGGTATACTCTTTATTCTCTTATCACAGATCCTAATTGAGCCAGATCCACAGGAAAACTTCCTTCAGGCAGACGTGTCCTCTAGGTTTGACTACGGAGGCAAAATATACATATATTTTGAGTTTTGACAAAGTCAAAAATCCTGTCTTTTTGTAGTGTAATTGGTTTTGAATGATCATTCCCAGCTTTCAGCCACAATGGGCCCAGTATACCTTTATAAACCTGGAACACACTTTGGGAAGGTTTGCTACTGCATTTCAACAAAATGGTGCCATTAGAGTCTGATAGTAGACTAAAGTAGTGGGGCTCCAAATTCATATTCTATTTTCAATACTTAAAGGGAATATAGACTAATATTGATCCCTTATTGTCCATTGATAAAATCATTGAATTTTAGAGTTAGATGATGGGTCTCATGTTCTAAGTCTCTCAATTTACATATGAAAAGAAAGCACAAATGGTTTGCCCAAGATCAGACACATATGTCATAGCCGGCGTTATGCCCAAATTATCTTGAGTTCTGAGTTAGGGTTCCTTTCACTGAACCATATTCCCTTCCTTCCAGGATTCATTTCACTGAACCATATTTCCCTCCCTCCCTCCCTTTCTCTCTCTCTCTCTCTCTTTCTCTCTCTCTCTCTCTCTCTCACACACACACACACACACACACACACACACACACACACACCTTGGTGATGGCTGTTTTTTACTACTACTTGGTAGGATCTATCCATACAAGGACATTATTTTCATGGACAAAGTTCAAAGCCATAGTCTGCCAATATTGCAGAGGTTCCATTAATACATAATCCCTAAAGCACCTCTGATATTCTCACTAAAGAGCCCAAAACAAATAAGCAACTCATTTCTCTTCAACAAAATGTCAGCCTACATTATTTATGGTGGAAACAGTTCTGTTAATTAATCCATTATACAAAATCTTTAGTGATCAAAAATTCCCAGAGGATGGAACACAGAGAAACACTTCTCACCCCTCGAGTTAAACATCAAAATATTTTTTGTTACAGTCAGTTTTGTCTTATTTGAAATAGCTTGAAGTATGATGGGAAACATTTCCCTTAAGACTTTTTAGTTTTGATACATTTGGGAAAAATTATTTCTTTTTGAGTAGATTTACAGGGTCTTTCTGAATATCTTTGAGCATTAAAATCTCAGAGAGACAAAGAAAATCAATTATTATTTGCTGGTTATGTTTATCTTCATTGGAAGAAAACATAATAATTACTTCTTCCCATTTTATTACATACATAAGTTCAGAAAACAAAATGCTATGTTTGCTAGATTACTTTGCCTAATTTAGGGAGAAAATTTGTGTTTATGTGAGGATTAATTAGAACTATTGTTGTCTTGAAATACATTCAACACAGTGTGACCTGAATATTTAAATTTTATTTTATGTTACGCTCGTCAATAAATTCTCAAACTCAACTTTTTCCAAAAGCTTTTAAAATGATCATTTCTTACATTTATCATGAAATCATCTTGCCAAAAGTCAGAAGATGACAAAGGAAGAAACATTTAGTTACATTTTAACATCTGTTGACTTAAGGAACCACGCTAGGCCCTTTAGAGTTATACAAAATAAATTTAGAAGCATAACAAGAAATCTCTACTCTTGAAGAGGTTGAAACTAAGAGAAAAAGCCAGACAAGAAGTGCGCCTAATGGCCATGCTAAAGGACATAGAGGAGGACTATAAAATAAGAGCAAAAAAAGTTAGTAGGGTATCCCTAAATAAAGGTGGTCAACTCCAATTTAGGAAATCTGATCATCAGCCGTAAATGGCTACACTATGCAGCCAATCACTTATCCCTGAGCCCATTGTCCATGTGTTACCTCTTACCTCCAATCCATCAAAAAGTCCTCTTGTTTCTATATTGTTAAATTAAAATAAATTTGACCTAAAGCTGCTTCCACCTGCAGCAAACTGCAATCTAACTTAATATGCGAACAAACTGCATCTTAAATTATGGGTATAGCCTTGTAACAAAGAGCTGAGTCTCAGCCAATTACAGCAGCTAAGCTTCAGCCAATCACAGGCTGCCAACTGATCAGACAATGTTCATATAAGGAGATGCCTCATCATAGCCTGTCTAAATAAGGCAAATGACAAGCTGTAACCAATCGAGTTGTTTCTGTATGCAACTTCTTTGTTTTATTTGCATCGCCTGCCCACATTGCTGGGTAGAGTTATCTGAGCCTCTCATGGTTCTGAGTGCTACCTGATTTGTAAATGTTCTTTGCTCAGATAAATTTTGCTAAACTTAATTTGTCTAGAGTTTTTTTTCAGAATACCAAAAATCTATTTTAAATCTACTCACCACTTCTATTCCCACACTGTTCCAAGTCACCATCACCTCTTGCCTAAACTGACGTAATCACCTTCAATCACCTTGATTTCACTCCTAACTTCTAATCTACTCCCTACATTAAAACCATACTAAACATTTGAAAAAGCTAACTCCTACTTAATCCCCTCTGATGGCTTCCTATTGTTTTAAAAGTGCAACTGCTTGTCACAGTTTGCAAAACTCTAGTATGATTTGGCTCCTGTCTGCTTGAAGGTCATGGTCTCCTTTTCTGTGGAGGATGTGGTGGTCTGGCTCAGCACCCATGCCAAAGGTTGGAGAGCTAAAAACTCTGTTTCCCAAATTAACTCCCACATAGGTCACATAGGTCCTGGCTGTGTTTATTTTCTTCCAATTAGATTACGTGAGATTGAAGGAACAAATTTCTGCCTCTTTTATTTATCTCCTTTTCTGGCAAATAGTATCAAGGAAGGATCTGGTTTGTCTGGGGAAATGTTTTATGTGTGGTTGTTTTCTAGTTGTAGGGTGTCTCCCTGATACTGCAAGTGGCCCCTTGTTGAACCAATGCTATAGCTTGCTTCTCAAGGTTGTTTCCTCCTTGAGTTTTTCTACTGAACCTGTAATCAGTTTTAACCTGTCTACTAAAACAAAGATGGATTCTAAACCCTGTTGTTCAAACCTGAGTGACATATTTATCTTCAGTTTCTCTAATATGCTAATTTTTTCTTGTCTCAAGCTCTTTGCATATACTTTCTCCCTTGAATGGGCTGAACGTCTTTGGAATCCTTCTTATATCTCTGTTCTTGACATAAATGTTAGCTGACCAGAGATTCAGAGACACTTTTCCTGGTTAATCAATCTAATTTAGACGCTCACCCATTTTCTTCTATTAAACCATCTGCCTTTTAATAGTAGTTAACATAAACTATAATTTATAAGCCTAATGATATATCATAAGATAGCAGATATTTTATATCATATATGCCTTGTTATATATATATAAATATGTGTAAGCTAGATATGTGTATATATGTGTGTGTGTATATATATGTATCTTATATATTATAAGTTCATCCATTAAGTTGTGAGGCACTTACTGAGCACTGTATACCTAGTACCTTCGAGAACACGTGGAACAAATTTTTTTTTAATGGATTGATGTTGCTTTGAGGCATTGTCTAACTTTTCAACCAGCCCATTTTTCTTCTTTATTGCTTTCCATTGGCCATGGCTTACGTAGGGAAACCTAAAGGAATGTCTCTATCCACAGTGGCAGGAGAAGTTTCCCCAGACTACAGGATTGAGGTAAACTATACAACTATACACCTTGTGAGGACTGTGAGGATAGCAAACCATGAAGACTATGTGTCTATACTGTTGCATTTCTCTAGCACCTAACAAGATCTCTGGACAATGAGTAGGTGCCCCAGAAACAAATGTGTGCTAAATAATCTGATCTCATTCTATCCTTTCAGGTAACATGAGAGTAACACGAGGTTCTGGGAGGCCAAATCACTCTCCAAGGTCAAACACATTGTTTGGAGGTGACTGTAGGTCCAAGATCATCAGATACACACAAATGAGCCTTTATCCTACACCATCTGCTTATAGTACAAACTGCCATATCTCTGAAATTTCTCCCATTTTACTTTGGAGGTTAGAAATATTTTTAATGTGTTGTAAATCCTGATAAAGAAAACTGAATAATAATTTTGGATACTTAAATATGTATCAAATATTTTCTAGTCAAAATCCTCTCACAAGTCTTGCTGTCCTCAAAACCCAAAATCATTTTGTACTGTTTGAAACTCAGCTTGGCTTTGCTAATCAAATTATACATAAGTGATAAATTCCTCATATTAATGATTACATTCCTCATGACATGTTTTTTTGAATAGCTTTATATTTTAATTAGGACTAAGACATATCTGGTGTAATTGATAAGAAATCCTTTCTCTAGCTGTTTGTACAGAAAATACAAAATTAAGAATATAATTTTTTTTGTTTTAATTTGCAGTTAAACCCCTGACATGTTATATATTTTTTCATATAGTTTATAGAGTGAAAAAATGCTACTGAGATGGTTAGGAATCTAAAGGAAAATTTCACAAGAAATTTAGGTTAGGGAAATAATTGTTTTGTTTTATCCCATCTACCATTACTAGTTTTTGAATTTTTGAATTATTTATGTTATACAGTGTATTAGGGTGTCATAAAAGTAATTGTGGTTTTTGCCATTAAAAGTAAGGGTAAAACCCACAATTACCTTTGCACCAACCTAATAATTATACTGGGAATTTCACATTAAAATCTATATGTATTCTATAACTATTTGTCTGAAGGTATCTGTTTCAAATCTGGAGCAGTGAACCTTCTGTCTGTGATGTTTAAGTAAATAATTTCATGTATGAAATAAAAATACATCTGTATTCTCAAATATCTAATGGCCCTTTTATTTGATTTTTGTTTTGAGAAATTTTGGGATTCGATATACATTTTAAAATTTTTCAAAGTTACTAAAACAAAAGGTTTATCTTTTCTTAAAATCCAAAGTTATTATTTAGACTGACTTCTCTAATATTAAAAAGAGCCAAGAGGAAAGATCCTCCGGATTCCAATTTTCTAAAATTGTGTGAAATTTCAAGACATCTTAATTTTTTAATATGAGCCAAAGAGCTCCATTCTGCTCAAAGTTAAAGGCACACATGTTTAAAATGTCAGGCCCATTAACTCTTTCAGTCTCCCAAGAAAATAACTGATGCATACCTACACTCATGCAAAGCAAGTGTAAGGCAGGGAAGATTATATTTTATAGACACTTAAATTTTGAGTTTAAAGTAGATTCCACTGGCATATGAAGGAAAATCTTTTTTTTTTCTATTGGTATTTATGGTTTGATATAAAATTATTTCCAGTGCATTATTATGTAGGGAAAGACCTCATCCTTTAGATATAGCTTTTGTGTATCTCTATGTATTTTGCATGCCCAGTAAATCATCAGCAGACACATAAGAATATTGCTTTCTCAGAAGTTGCTGGTCATATGGATTAGGAGATAGAGCACAGTTAAATATTCTTGATTATTTGAACACAGCTCTGTAAACATTGCTCATCTCTGAACTGCAGTATTAGACTTTTAAACAATTGAAACTTGTTTAGGCAGAAAAGCTGCAAGCTATGATAATGCATATGACAGCTTCACTCAACTGAAATATAGGATTTCAACACAGAATTAAATCCACTTTATTGGTGATCTCAGTCTGGATTTAAGCATTGTCATCATGAGGGAAGGCCACTCCTTATTTAATTGTTCATTCAGCCCCTAAAACAGATCTGACAAAGTAATCATAAAGGGGATAATTCTAAAAGATTATCCTTTGAAGCAATTATCCTTGAAAGGGATAATTGCCAACTCTATTATTTACCTAATAATTCTAAAAATTAGACCTGATCCAACCCTCACATACAAATTAGAATTTTTTTGATGATGTTGAGCTCAATTATCTCCCTCTCATAGTAGGAAATGCTACATATATTGGTTTGAATTATGTCATGAAGACACTTATGCTCAGGGTGGGGTATGTGTGTGTGTGTGCATGCGTGTGATAGAATTATACTCTCCATTACTTTGCATTTGTAATATATAAAATATATTTGTTGTGAGGTAAGAGTGGCTCTTCTTTTGAGATTACATTTTTAAAATTTAAAAACTTAGATCAGAATTAAAATAGAACCTTTCTCTTCTATTGAAGAAGATATTTCCTTACCCAAATGTAATTTTTATCTCCTTTCATTATTTCACTTTGGCCAGAACCTAATTCTCCACCAAACACTAGTTCCAGGAAGCTCTCCTTCTTTCCCATCTGTGGAAGAGATTCTGAGGTGAATATACTCCTGCATGCAGAGAGTCTCATCGGTATCCATACCCCTCTCTGTGTTTTCATCACTGGAGGAGTCCGTGAGAATGTTCTGAACCATTCTATGTCACCAATTACCCCACCCATTTTTATAACCACCACAAGGTTCTTCTAAGACCTTCCTTCCAGCCTACAATATTTAAGTCACTTCTTCCTTTCTTGTGCCTAATACACTAAATCCAAGAGACTACGCCACTCCAGTGGACCCCTTCCTTTCCTGTCCTATTAACATTCCCAGTTAATGGAAGGTTGAGGAGGGTGGATCACTTGAGTTCAGGAGTTCAAAACCAGCCTGGGTGAGAGCCTGGTTGAGGTTTCTATAGCAAGACCATGTCTAAACTAAAACAAAACAAAACTAAACAAAACAAACAAAACAAACAAAAACTAGCCAGACATTGTGGCATGCATCTGTTGTCCCAGTTACTTGGGAGGCAGAGGCAGAAGAATCACTTGAGCCAGGAGATGGAAGCTGCCTTGAGCTGTGATTGTGCCACTGTACTTCAGCCTGGGTGACAGAGCAAGATCCTGTCTCAAAAATAATAGTAATAAACATCAAAAACATACTGGACTTTTGGTAGAATTTGCATCATATTTAAATGAATAATTTAGCAAAGATCTCCCTAACATACTGTTTTGTTCAAGTCACTGCTGATTCTTAAATACCCTACTAACTGTTAGATTTGTCTCCCTGATGTCAAGCTCTGCATTCTTAATCTACTATGTCTACCCACACTTGCTGGTGGACCTCCATCCTCCCTATCTAACCCTGACATTCTAATTCCCCTATCAACCAATGTAATGTTCATTCCTGCTCCACTGTTTTTGTTCATGGCTTCTTCTAGCAGTGTTGCCTTTTCTCTGATGTCCCAAAAATCTGTGCCAAAGCAAACATTTTCTTTAAATGATTTCACATCCCTCATGGATGCTCACTCCTAGAAACTAAAACCAATAAACATATATGGATAGCCACCAATTTTCTGCCCTATTTGTTATCACCTACATTTCTAATAAAAAGAACAAATGTCTCAATGATAGTGAATTTCTCTACTATTACAACAAAGTGGGAAGGGGCATGCTTCCAGAGACAATCAGAATCTTCAGGAATGTGCATTAAAATGTCCTTGGCTTACTTCTTACTTCCTCATCCCTAATGAGAATTTTGTTCAGGAAGGAGTATTTATAGCCTCTGTGAAAGTAGTGCAAAAATTCAATCAATGCAATATCCATGAAAGAAAAGAGTATGACTATAGTATTCATAACTTCAGCCTAAATACCAAAGCAAAACCTAGCACATAATAGGCATGCCAAAATGTGTATTATATAAACAAATATTTGTCCTGTGGTTGATAGCATCATTGTTCAAAATATTCAAATATTTTGAATATTTGAATATTTTGCACTTTCTCTGCAGTGTTCTTCCCTACCAGAGGAGTGCATATATGCCTGTGTGCAACTGACATTAGGCCTCACCATGCAATTGACTTTGGTAAAAAGGATAAAAGAGTTGAAGTAACATAGATAATGTATGCCCTAACATTATGTTCATTTTCTTTGAACTTTAAAACAAGCAATGCCCAGATACACCTGTTCCATTAGAGTATATCCAGAAATGAAGTCATATTGAGCAGAGCCACAGTGAAGAACAAACCTTTGTTACTGTAAGCCACTGAGATTGGGAGTCATCTATTACTATAACTTTGGATACTTAAATATGTATCAAATATTTTCTAGTCAAAATCCTCACGCTTAGGCGTAACTTAGCCTAAGCTGTCCTCTGATACAGAAAGAATCAGATACTTGAAGTAGGATTATTTTTTCCTAGTACTGGCTATTTCTTTTGAAAGAAAGAAAGGGCAATCTCTTTTATTCAAGTTTATGACTATCTTCCATAAAAAACACCATCCCCAGTAACACAGAAAATAGACTTAAAGGACAGAAAGAAAGATAACTTATTTTTTCTATTTACCTACATTCAAATTTAGCAGCAGGAAAATTTGGAGGAGAAGGGAATCACAGGAGGTTTTAAAATGTTTAGGTCATATAAGTCTTTCAAAATGTACATAATGAACTTGTATTATGCATGATTAAAATAGTAATCATAAAGAAATATATAACATGATAAAGTGAAAACCATATATTTCTTGTAAATATTGGGTATATATATATAAATTACTGTGACTACATTATTTCAGATAAAAACATAAAGTATAAAGTTAATATTTTTATACTTGAAAGTATAAAAGTCTAGAAGTATTGTTTTTTTTTTTCTACTGAAAGCTTTAGAGGAGTCTAGAGCTCTAAGTTAATTTGGTTCAATATTCAGGCAGGAAATGCATATCTTTCCGTGTAATTTCATCCAGGATACACTTGAGAAATTTATCTTTACTTATGTAACTTTTGTGGAAATTTTTCTTCTCAGAACTGATCCATAATTTAGCATGTGTAATTAACACATGTTATGATGTGTTAATGATCTCTTATTTACAGAGCATCTAGCTTCAATGAACAAAAAGTACTCTATTAATTTATTCTCTAAACTTATGCATCTGTAAGTATCTCTGGACTTACAAATTAACTCTACTAAAGAGTAGATTTCTTTAAAAGATTTATTTAAGGCCAAGAATAAAAAATTAAGACATGCAAATATTTCTTTGTATGGCAAAGGTATTTAAGGATTTTGATTTAGAATTAGAGTATAAGAAAAGCACTTCCAATCTCCTATCAGTGTTCAGCAGGCTGCTGATGGCTACCTAGAGCCTTACATTTTTATTAACATCATAAGAAGAACTTAATTTGTAATGAAAGGCTACTTTGCAATTATCGCTAATTCTACATTTACCTGCCTCTATAATTTGCTTCACTTATGGCTGTCTCTTACATTAATATTCATTACAAAAGCCACTTTCTAATATTACTTGATTTGACAGAAATGCATTAGCTATGACAAATGCTTCATAATGTACTCAGACAGTATTAATGCAAGCAGAACCTGTGGTAATTATTGCTATTTAAATATACAGATTATTCCTTTTGGTCTGCTTTTTAAAAATGGAAATAAAATCTACAGCCATCAGAGATTAGAACTATCTGCTTTTTAAATACACTTTACATTAGTATCATTTCCCCATATTAAAACAGTCATATACAGAGATGGTGGCATATAATAAACACGGTGGGCCCATATATTTATACAGAGAATGTAAGAATTTTTTTTTTTTTTTTTTTGGAGACAGAGTCTTGTTCTGTCACCCAGGCTGGAGTGCAATGGCACGACCTCGGCTCACTGCAACCTCTGCCTCTGGGGTTCAAGCAATTCTCCTGCCTCAGCCTCCCAAGTAGCTTGGATTACAGGCACCCACCACCACACCCAGCTAATTTTTGTATTTTTAGTAGATACAGGGTTTCACCATGTTGATCAGGCTGATCTCGAACTCCTGACCTCAGGTTATCCATTCGCTTCAGCCTCCCAAAGTGCTAGGATTACGGGTGTGAGCCACCGTGCCCAGCCTGAAAATTTTTAAAAAGATAAACTTCTCACTTGTGTGGGAAAAAGGAACCCCAGGAGGATGAGTTGCTTGATTTGGCAGTAAGGGTAAGGCCTCCTGTCACTCAATATCAAATCACCCTCCAGAAGTTCCTTTCCTTACTGTTCCCCTGTCCCCATCACATACAGCCCGGTCACCCAGCTCCTTCCAATGAAGAAAGATCGGAAGATAAAGAGTGATCTTTTTACTGTAATGATCACTAAAATGCGTAACACATATGGCCTGATTCATTAGTACGTTATTTGATTGACATTCGATATTCACTTGTTCTATTTTGTAAGCTCAGTCCATGAATATGCTCATCTTCCAATAATCTATTTTAATTCAGAGAATATAGATCATTTCAAAGTAGCAAGTAATTTAAATCTGTCCTATAATTCAAATACATTTAGATATGTATTCGGATATGGTGTTCAAAACAATTTTAACCAAATAACAGCATCAGTAACTGTCATTTCATTTGTTACATAAATCATTGAATTTTACTTTAAGAAAGTACATTTCAAATTTACTTATCACATATGATAATCTTTAAACATTTATTTTATTTTCAAGATTTTCTACATATGTGAGTTGATTAACTGAAGCTTACTCCATCCTAGGCAGAGTGAGAGGTGGTGAGAAACAAAAAGCTGTCTAAGACACTGGCTGAGCAATCGCTGATAGTGACTGAGATCACCTACAAGCAACATGATTAAGATTTCTACTATCATAACAATGGGGATCTAGACAGAATTTTAATATATCTCACAGGGCATTTGATCAGAGTCACCTCAGTGGTTTTCAACATGTTTTTAGCTAACAGACTCTTTCTTTAGAAAAAGATTATGCAAAAGTCCAATTCTTAATACATAAATGCAGATATTGAAACTGCATTGAACAATCTAGAGTTCTGAACTCTACACTATGGTCCCTTGTGGAGCTTGGTGAGAACCCAAGGGTCAACAGAGTAGACTGTAAACCATTCCCCATACACATTCTCCTCTAAAATGCCCCAGGCCAGTTTATTCTATGTGCTAGACTGTTTTTGTACAACCCCAATGGCTGAGAATTCATCGCCTCATGAGATAGACCAGTCTACCTTCAGATAGCTTGTTTTTTTCCTTCACAGACAGGGTCTCGCTCTGTCATCCAGGCTGGAGTGCCGTGTGTGATATTAGCTCAGTACAAACTGTAACTCCTGGCCTCAAGCGATCTTCCCACTTTGCCTCCACAAAGTGCTGGGATTACAGGTGACAGCCACCACTCCTGGCCTCAGATAGCTTCTAATTTTTAAGGAAGTCTTTTTTATTGACTTGGAAGTCACCTTTCTGAAACCTCCTTTCACTGTCTAGTTAGCTAGTATATTTGTCTTGGGGGCCTAAAACAGCATGTGAACTTAGTAGGTGCTCAATATATAACTGCTGGATAAATAGATCTAGTTCTATTTTTTGAAGTCATAAACTTCATAATCCCTGTTCCAAATAGCAAATTGAATATTTGGACACTACTCTCAACATTTTCTTTAGGTTCAGTGTTGCAGTTCCATCACATGCTTTTCCCAGTGTATGGTTTCCAGATTTCATTCACCGTCCTGGGTGTTTTTTTCTGACCTTCAATAATTGTATTAACTTTCTTTGAAGTAAGGAGGACAGAACTGAGTCCAATGAACTAAGTGTGATTTGCAAGAGTGAGTATGTAGAGCCATTGAGTCTATCAGTCTGGGCTCTTTTGTTTATGAATTCTGAGTATGACTGTAAAAACTCATGGGCTAGGACATTCACATGGTTGACTCCTACTAAGGGTGTGGATCACTCAATTCTCTAAATCAGGAGTCAGTAAAGGGTGACCCATGGGTCAAATCTAATACACTGTCTGTTTTTCTAAACAAAGTTTTTTTGGAACACTGGCCATGACCACTCATTTATGTATGATCTAAGGCTGCTTTTGCACTACAATGGCAGAATCAGTAACTCTGACAGAAAGTGTATGGTCTGCAAAGACCAAAATGTTTCCATCTGGCCTTTTACAGAAAAGGTTTAGAGGCAACCATTCCCTAAGTCATCCTTGCCCATGGTCACTGAAGTTCAGGCCAACAGAAGAAGTACTTCCTAATAACACAAACCCAAGAAACCTGGGAGATTACTCCCTCTTAGGCAAAGCTGAACTTTTGCCCTTTTTCAAATTAGTGATGTCCTAACCTTTGTAATCAGTAGAATTATCTGTGAAATTTTTTTTAGAAGTGCCAATTTCTAGACATCAAATTAGGTCAACCAACTCAAATGTAAGGCTTTGAATAAACTCTTGCATGAGTACCTAGGATGTCTTAGTCCCATCCTTCTACCATGGTACTCTTCTGCTTATTGGAACATGATCTCTGTTTTCATTGCGGTGGTGGTGGTTTCCTTAATTTTTACTTTGAAATAATTTTAGATCCACATAGAAGTTGCAAAAATAGTATAGAGAGAATTTCTGTGTAGTATTCATCTAGATTCCTGCAATGACAACAGCAACCAAAACAAAATTACCAAAACCAGAAAATTGACATTAGACAGTATTATTAAAAACTAGAGATTATATTCACATTTTACCAGCTTTAACATGTAATCTTGTTTAAATATACATTTCTATGAAATTTTATCACATGTGTAGATTCTTGTAATCATCATCATGATCAGGAATAGACTGCTATATTGCTCCAAAAAATAGTTATTTGTACTACCCCATTAAAGTCATAGCTTACCTCCAACCCTAAATCCTGGGAACTATGCTATGTCTTCAATGTAATTTGGAGAATGTCACATAAGTGGAATAGTAAAAGATGGATCACTTTGAGATTGGTTTTGTTCACTCACCATAATGTCCTTGAGATCTATCCAAATTATACATATCAATAGTTTATTCCTCTTTACTGCTGAGTGGTATCCCACTGTATCTCTGTATCACAGTTTGTTAATCCACTTGCCCAATGAAAGACAGGTTGTTTCTACTGTATGTGAGGATTAACAGAACTGTTATAAATGTCTGGAGTAAATACCCAGCAGTAAGATTGCTGGGTCATATGGCAAGTATATGTTTACTTTTACAAGAAAATGCCAAATTCTTTCTCACCAGCAATGTATAAAACTCCCTGATGCTCTACATCCTTATCAGAACTTAGCATTGATGGGATTTGTTATTTATTTTACACATTCTAATAGGTGTGTAGAGGTATCTTATAATGTGCTGATTTGCATTTCCCTGATAGCTAATAATGTGGAATATCTTTTTATGTGCTTTTCATTGTACCATCTGTGCATTATTTGACAAAATGTCTGCTCATGGCTTTCGTCTATTTTCTAAGTGGATTATTTGTTTTCTTGCTGTCAAGTTTAAAGTACTTTTTATATATTCTAGATATAACATCTTTTCCAGATATGTGAATTAAAAAATTTTCTCCTGGACTAATATTTCTTTTTTGCAGACCATAAGTTTTTAATTTTGATGAAATCCAATTTATCTTTTTTTTTCTCTTACGGATCATGCTATTGGCATCATTCTTTGTCAGTCAGGGTCCAATCAAAAAAGAGAAACTGGCATCGTAATTTGGACAGGGGAAATTTAATGTTAACTGTAACAAGGGATTGCTTAATGACGATTGTATAGTAAGAAATAAAGACATCTCCAAATAATATATGAATAGCAGATATAAGGAGCAGTCATGCCTACCTAGGGCTGAAATAATGTGCTTAGAGAAAAGAGCTCACCCTTCCCAGGGCTGAGCTCTAGACCTTGTTGGACACGGTTTGACCGTGGCTCACTGAATGGTAGAGAGGTTGCCATGAGGCATCACAGGTGGAACTTGCTAACCCTCTAGGGTGCCAGTAGAAGTGGTTCATAGGAAAATGTCTCACTAGAGGCACAATGTTACAAAACTGCTTTAGGGGTGTGTTGAGAGAGGCCACTAGTCTGTGGGCATTTCTGGACACCATGCACTGCACAAGCTGGGCATCTTTCGAAGAAGCTATCTGCACCGCAGGAGTCTGGTCAGTGAACATCCAAGACCAAGAAGACAGACCTCTTCCTCCTGCGATGTCTCTCCAGTGCCCCCTGCTGACAAAGGTTAACATCATGCCAGCTTATAAAGAAGGATATGTAAAGGGTCTAGATCCATTGTCACAAGATGGGAATGGTCAAGAGTGTCCTGCCCTGCAGTTTTACCAGTGCCCTTTGGAGGGGGGACTGCCTCTGCTTGCATTAGTGCTGAGCACAAATAGCAGGACTCTTTGATCCAGATTCTGAAGTGTCAGGGAGGAGAGGGAGAGGTGTGGTAGGTTTGAGATGCTCTCCTGGAATACAGTGGGTATAATCAAAAGAGTCCCATCCTACAAGGCTGTCTCTTCCAAGTTTAGAATATGACTGAAAAGAGCAGACTTGTCTTGGGACTATTTTGTCTGAACCCATTGGTACTTCTAGCTTGCAGACTGCTCCTGTGCCCAGACCGGCATATATAGGAGGCAAACAAAACAAAATAAAGGAAACAAACCAAAAATGGGGAACTTATCACTGAGTCATCCTGTAAGTCTTGAGGCTGCTAGACAGTCCTACCTCTCTCCCTACTTCTCTTTCTTCAAAGTCTCCTAATGCTTGGCTTATGTGTTCTGTCCAGACTTTATATTCATAATTAATGCAGGAGAAATAAGGTGAAATGAGTTTACTCCATTTTCTTTTGAACCAGAAACTTTCCATGTCCTAAGTTTAAACTGAATTATTTGCTAGAAACACGTCAAGGTTTATTTCACATGTACGTGTTTCTGAGCCACAGTGTTACATGATCAGCTGGCTCAGGAAGATGCCTTCTAAAAAAATGCTTATCCTGATCCACAGGCTCACTTACTTGATAAAGCTGGAGATGGGTCCTAATGCAAACATTAGAGAGACACTTATGTTATTATGAAGGGCAAGCTCTACTAAATACTGGAGCCGACTTGAGAAGACAACTTGAATTGTCCTAAACTGCCAGCTGGTGGTGGCAAATGCCCATTAGGCATCATTGATTCTTACCTTTCTGGCACATCAAGGGACCTGGAATGCCTTGGCACTCTTTTCTGCTATACCATCATTTCTGCTCTTGCTAGGTTAGCTATCATCTTCCTCTATGTTTTTTTAATATAGATAACATCTCTTTGATTCCTCCTTTCACCATTTTTCCCATCTGTGAGGATTACAGAGAAGTGGGATATTCCACCTCTGCCTCAAAATTCTAATTCACATTAATAATAATGATCATAATAAATAGTAACAGTAACTTTCTATCATTTCAGAACACCTACTATGTGGCAGGCCTTATGTTAGAGGCCTTAATTGCATTATTGATCATCCTCCCTATGATTTGTTACTTGACAGATGAAGAAAATTAAATGGTACAGCTGAGATTAGAAACCTAATGTCTGAGTCCAAATCTCATCTTCTTTTCCCAAAAAAAAACCCTTTATCTGAATCCCACTACCACCATCACCACATCTGTACCACCCCTTTTGCCTGTACTTTTAGGCACACCTCACAGTATTTACATTTCAGTTTTCTCTACTAAGCAAGACTGAAAGCTCCTTGATAGCAATGAATTATCTTAAAACACCTACCTAACACAGGATCCTGTGTTAGGATTGGGTCACCAGCTGATGATTTTTATAGCTGCCAATTTAGAAGTTGGCCGTCTCTGAAAACTGGCTTAGCAGAGAGATTGAAACAATTTATCTAGAGAGTCACAAATTCAGCCGATGACCAGCTGAGTGGAAGTGATGCTCAGTGAATAATGAGGCTAATCTGACTGATGATCAAGATTGAGTCATGCATGCATATGAGCACCCAACTTGAAATGAGGTATCACTGTACGCATTAATTTATAACTACATATGAAGAAAAGGAGCCAAGTCTCATAAACCCAAGTGCTGGCCTTTCAAACACACACATTTCATTCAGAGACTCAAATTTGACAATGATACCTGATAAAGGCTCACATCAGTCATATCACAGCCTCCATCCTGATTACAAAGTGCATACTGTCCATTTCTCTGAATAGGATGCCATGTTATCAAAAGATGATAAATGTGCTTGCAAACAGGTAGGGCTAAAAAAATGCTTGCAATATTTCTTTGTGGTTTTGCAACAACAAACATCTTGACTGAATTTCCTATCTGCTGGGAAGTAAAAAGCAAAAGGCTTTAATGATCAGGAAAGTTCAAATGTAAAATATAAAAATGAAAGAATCTGGGCATTGGGACAGACATTAGGTCACATCTAGTACGACCACAATCCAGAGCTGGAAGTTGCTCCAAAATATTCCTAGCAACCAATCACATAGCCTGTATTAGAATTCCTCCAAAGTCAGGAAAATATCTAGAGTGCTCTATTTGATAGAATGTTTATTTGTTCATTGATTCACTCATATATTTGTATGATGACTATTCATATCATACTTTTTTTTAAACTGGCTAGGACCATGCAAAGCATTAGGAAAATAGCTATGAACAAGATACATATTCTTGAAGAACTTCTATTCTACTGGAAGTGGCAGACAATGGCAAAACCGAAAAATAAATGATTTACAAATGTAATGCAGGGTCCCACATGTGGTATCAAAAGCAAGTTCTTATTTATATTGAATCTAATAAGTTCCTCTGTATTTTTCACTGATTAGCTCTGCTATATACTTTCACGCCATTAGAATAAGGCTTTTCATTCCTCTACACTGTAACACACCAGATATTTTAGGACAACTCGCACTTTACCCTCAAGCTTTCCAGGAAAAATGCCTCCAGTGTTTTTTCTAACTCTTTAACATTCCATAAAATATTGTGGCCTTTCATTTGCTACTCTGATCCTACATTGTAGTGGGTTTTTTTTCTAAATGCAGTTCACAATTAGTTACTTTTGCTTATTATCACATTTGTTAGAATTAATTATATGGCCCCAATATAAATGTTAGAGGGGCTCAAACATGTAGGGGAATAATAGATATTTGGTAAGCACTGTCTCTACTTCAAATTACAAATCTTATCTAACATCATGATGGTAGGTCTAATAACACTATAATCTTCCTCATTGTCAATCCTATGTATTTACTGATGCTTCCAAATGCAATCACACACCATATAATATACTCATGCATAACATTAATATAGTCATAAAATGGAGAAAATTTGATTGAGGAATGAGAATCAAACATACTTGCTGAAAATATAATACACATAGCTAGATCACAACCTTCCCTAACAGAAGCAACATGCTTAGCACTCAGGATCAGTCCTCTGAAGCTGGATTTGCTGACGTCACATCTTGGTTCCAGCTAAATCTCTATCAGATGTGTAACTTTGGGCAAGTACCTAACTTCTGTGTTCCTTTGTATTATATCTTTATTCACAACATGAAATTAAAAATCTTTGTTGAACTTTTGCTAGAATTTAATGAATCAATTCATGTAAAACATCAGAATGCCTAACTTGTACTATGTGCTACAAATGTGTAAGCTATTGTTACTATTATAAGAATGTGCAATGCAAATGAAATTTCTTTAGTTGTTAAAATCAAGCCAGTTTTCCTCAAGAGCTTCCACAATGCTATATTGGAAGAGGATGGGTGGACGTATTTGAAAATTGAACTTACATATTTACATCGTCACACTCTTTCCTGGTTGAATAGTCCCTTTTGGATATATTTTTTTTTAACTATTTGAAACAGGGATAAAATTATATGTCTCGTTCCTTTCTTGTGCTTGATCTACCTCTTCCTTTTCCCTGCCATGTACTTCAATGAGGATTACAATTGTTGATAAGATTTCTTCTAATCTTGCAGTAAAGGCAAAAATGGAAACACAACTCTTATCAGGAAAAGGAGGAAGCATGCCAGGGTTTTAAATTGAATCTAATAAGCTACACACAGACACACAGACACACACACACACACACATACACTTGGGTAAAGCCTTCATTAAATTACCATACACCACAGAGATTCTAAATAACTGTATATGTGACTTTCATAATGCTAATGTTGAACTATCAGTTGAGGTGCCCAAAAGCATGCCAGTTCCACCAGAAGCTAATATTAATTTAGCTTTTCTAGTGGCCACATGTGTCTACATCTCTGGAGTAGAATCTTTTACTACTCTCTCATGAAAGCAAAATTCTTAATACTGTTCTAGTGAATTTGACTCTCTCTGTGAGAAACCATGTGTATCCTCCCAATCATCCTGAATCTCAGCTTTCTGTCCATCCATTGTAATAGCTCTGTAGAAACAGGATAGAAATGGCATTAAAAAAATGGCAACTGGAAGAGACTTAGGCCCACTGGTCAGTTTGCTACTTTAGTCTTGGCTATTTTTTTCTTAGGCCAGAGTTTTTAAAGCATGAATAAATCTAGTCAGTTTCAGCTCTCTGGAAGGAAAGTTTCAGCATTTATTTGTTTAACTTTCCAAAGCAGTCCAAAAGCATTACCTGAAGGTAGAACTTAGAATTGGATTTCTAGTCCCAGAGGATACCATTGTTGCCGCTAGAGTCAGTCTAAAGCCCTAGCAGGTAACGAGCACATTTGCAGTTAGAGTCTATTAATAAACTGATGAAAGCTCACTGGTTAACAGCCGAAGAATGCCATTTAATGCTCTCTTTTGCTTTTAATGGACTGAAACCTGTTAAAATGCTGCTAAATAATAAGGCAAATTTTTCTGGCAGTTGATAGACTAACAGAAACACACACACACTAAGTAGAGGGAATGATTCCAATAAGCTCTGCACCAAAAGCAGCTGCAACGTAGCAAAGTTAGAGTCTACACGGTCCAGGAAGCCCCAAAGAAAGACTGGAGATAGAACTCAAGATGTTCCATTCAGATAGAACTTCTATGATTACATTATCAACTTTCCTGGGGCTATTAAATCAGTGGAGCAAAAAATAGGCACATTTGGTCCATAGACAGAGAAAGCTGGGTATAGCAAAGAGAGGATTTAAATGGCACAGCAGATGTCTCAGGGCTCTCGTATCAGGTGCATGCTCTAAAGGGCTCTTCTGAGGGCTCTAATGCAGAAAATGGCTTATTGAGCACAAAAATGAAAGAAGTTAGGGGATAGAGTTTTAAAGACTTTCCTCATTCTTTAACTTCCCAGATGGGTTATTTCTATCTATTTTTAGACATGTGATGTCAAACCAACCAATTGATGCAGTCATTTCAGTGAGATTTTGGCTTTTGTGACACCTGTCTGGATTCAACTTCACTTATCAACACTAGTGTTTTTCCAGCTAGAGGCATTCATTTATCTGCCTCATATCTGCCCCATCCTGTGCTACAGGTTGCCCTTGATGGGCAATGGGTTATGGACCTCTAGAAGTCTAGGAAGTTCCTGGTTCCAGACCTCCAGCACATTGTGAAGCTCCTGGTTGGGTCAGAATGTGGCCTAATATGAAGGGCATACCAATCTTCTGGTTATGGAGACCTCTTTCTGACTTCCTTCTTTGTCTGGACCTGAACACAACCTTCTTCTGACCACTTGAGAGGCTACCATTCATCCTTTACATAAGTTCCTAAAATTCTTTTGCTTCAAACACATGGCTCTGGTTTGAAGCAAACACATAGCTTAAACCTTATATAAATCTGAATTTAGCCTCTGCTTTCCTTAGCTATCATTATCAACATGTCTTTCCTATTGTCCCAGTTTTTCCTTTGCTCTCCAACTCTTGTTGTCCTGACTCATCTCTTTTGTATTTTTTATATTTTTATTTATTTATACTTTTAGAGCTGAGGTGTCTAACTCTGCCACTAAGGCTGGATTGCAGTGGTGCAATCATAGCTCACTGCAGCCACAAACTCCTAGGCTCAAGAAATCCTCCTACCTCAGCCTCCTGAGTAGTTGGGGCAACAGGTGTGTGTCACCACGTCTGGCTCTTCTTTTGCTCTTGCTGTTATTCCAATCCAAAAAAAAATTTTCAAATAAAAAATATCATGATGCTAGGTTTAATTCCCACCTCACGTGCTCTTCTTACAATACAATGTGACTGTCACTCTATCATCATCAGATGGAATCTATCCCCTACCCCTTTATGCCTGTCTCAACCAATAGAGTATGATGAGAGGGTGTTGTGACTTTACAGTAAAAGTCATAAAAGGAAATACAGCTTCAGCCTAGCTGTCTTTTTGTAACTCAGATGTGATATTGTGAAAAAGCCTAGGCAATATGTATGGAGAGGTCACTAGTGGGTACTCTGGCAGACAGCCCCAGCTGTGATATGACTGATGTGAGCCTTTATCAGGTATCATTGTCAAATTTGAGTCTCTGAATGAAATGTGTGTGTTTGAAAGGCCAGCACTTGGGTTTATGAGACTTGGCTCCTTTTCTTCATATGTAGTTATAAATTAATGCGTACAGTGATACCTCATTTCAAGTTGGGTGCTCATATGCATGCATGACTCAATCTTGATCATCAGTCAGATTAGCCTCATTATTCACTGAGCATCACTTCCACTCAGCTGGTCATCGGCTGAATTTGTGACTCTCTAGATAAATTGTTTCAATCTCTCTGCTAAGCCAGTTTTCAGAGACGGCCAACTTCTAAATTGGCAGCTATAAAAATCATCAGCTGGTGACCCAATCCTAACACAGGATCCTGTGTTAGGTAGGTGTTTTAAGATAATTCATTGCTATCAAGGAGCTTTCAGTCTTGCTTAGTAGAGAAAACTGAAATGTAAATACTGTGAGGTGTGCCTAAAAGTACAGGCAAAAGGGGTGGTACAGATGTGGTGATGGTGGTAGTGGGATTCAGATAAAGGGGTTTTTTTTTTGGGAAAAGAAGATGAGATTTGGACTCAGACATTAGGTTTCTAATCTCAGCTGTACCATTTAATTTTCTTCATCTGTCAAGTAACAAATCATAGGGAGGATGATCAATAATGGGCAGCATCAACAGCTTGACATAAGTCAGGAAGGCTTTGAGATGACTCTACACAAACTGCCATTTAACTATAACATAAAAGAAACACCCCCTATTCCCCATCTAAGAAAAAAACCCTGCCTACTTAATCACAGTTAACCACCAGAATCATTAAAGATATTAATAATAAATGATAGAGTTTTTTCACTACCAAGTTTGAGTTGGTTTGTCTGCATACACAGATAACTGGAACAATCATAAATAGCTTAATATTTGGAGGTATCTAAATTAGAGATTTACAAACTATGGCCAAAGTAGGCTTGCTGCCTGTTTTGGTAAAGAAACTTTGATTGGAATACAGCCATGCTCATTCATTTACATGTTGCCAATGGTTGCTTTCATGCAAGTGTCAGAATTGAATAGTTATGACAGAGGCTAAAATACTTACTACATGATCCCTTGCAGAAAAAATAATTGCTAAACACTACGTAATAGCCAACTGGATGACTTCTCTTTTTCTACTTTTGACAGTGGATATTTACCATGCTGGAACCTAAAGTACTTGTATCCTATCCAGCTATGTAAAATTTTACTTTTATTTGCACACTAAAGGTAAAGCTACACACACACAGACACACATACACACACATTTAGATAAAGCTTTCATTAAATTACAACATACCATAGAGATTCTAAATACCATATATGTAATTTTTCATAATGCTGATGTTGAACTGAGGTGCCCAAAAGCAAATACACTCACTGACCCAACCAGGAAGTGACACATTATAATAAATGTTTTATTTTTCTTTTTGCAATAAATAAAAAGATGGCTGATACAATCAGAAACTCCTTGTGCAGAAGCTTACATTGAGTAGGATTTTGATGAGAATAAAGCAAAGTCTTTCTAAGGTTTTTAAGTAATGACAAATATTCTTAAAAACCAATAGCTTAAAAATCAATAGCTAAATAACCAATTATTAAAAACCAATAGCTAAATTGAATCAACTTGATGACAAAGTGCCCACAAATTGAATGGGTTTGCTTTACGGATTCTAAATGGTTTTTTATAAACAAACAAAAACAAACAAACAAGAAACAAGACCAAAAAAAAAAAAAAAACTTTGTCAATATACTCCCATTTGATTTCTTTTACTACTCTTCGTATTACTAAAAAAAAAAAAATGGCCGGGCATGGTGGCTCAAACCTGTAATCCCAGCACTTTGGGAGGCCAAGAAAGGAGGATCACTTGAGGTTAGGAGTTCGAGACTAGCCTGACCAATACGGTGAAACCTCCTCTCCACCAAAAACTACAAAAATTCGCCAGGTGTGATGGCGAACACCTATAGTCCCAGCTACTCGGGAGGATGAGGCGGGAGAATTGATTGAACCTGGGAGGTAGATGTTACAGTGAGCCAACATCGTGCCACTGCACTCCAGCCTAGCAAGACTCTGTTTCAAAAATAAATAAATAAATAAATAAATAAATAAATAAATAAATTTTGGCAGGATACAACTGAGAAAAACTATCTGACCATCCCCCATTAATTGCAAGTTTGATGGAAGATGTTACCTTTACCTTTTTGAATAAAGGGAATAATAGTGAACAGAAGTTACCAATGGGTTTCATACCATGACAAATAATGCATTATATCATTATTCCAGTTATAGTTATTAGGTTAGTTTTTTAATACAAAGGCATATAATCTGGTTAGAATCTTGGACTACACTAAAGAAAGAAACTGATTTTATCTATTCTTGCTAGAGCAAGGCACTTTTTAAAGATCCATTCATCTCTCAGGATGGTGAGTACTTCCTCCTGACTAGGACACAAAAATTGATACATACTAGTATGTATCAATAACTGAAAATAACAAGAAGGCAGATGCTAAGTCACCAACATATTTTTTCTGTATTATTTAGCAAATGAGAGATTTATGTTTCTACTAGTAGAGAGATAACTATGATTTCTGTCCCATTTCTTATATTCATGGTCTTCTGTGAAGCAAATTCTTTAAAATGGAAATGTTGATAACTTAGAAATAACTTTTAAGCTTTCTCTTTTTGGATGAGGCTAAAATGTAATATTTTAGATGATGCCATATTGAAATGTTTAAAAAGCTATATAAATTAAAACTATACTTTTATTCATGTTTAGGAAATTGACACCTTTGTATGAAAAACTATGACCTCTGAACTCTGGACTACACTAACTTATTTTTAAGTAACACTATATACTGATCTAAAATGTCTTAGTAATATAGGGAGAAGCATGCATTTATGGGCCATGAACAAATCCCTTTTAGGTTAATGGATTTTTTCTTTTTTTTTTTGAGATGGGTCTGGCTATGTTGGCCAGAGTGGTCTTGAACTCCTAGTCTCAAGCAATCCTCCCATCTCTGCTCCCAAAGTGTTAGGATTACAGCTATGAGCCACTGTGCCCAGCCTAGATTTTTAATTGTCAAAATTACTGTACTAAAGATCACCTTAGTTGCCTAAAAGAATTAAAGCACTTTTCCAAAGCAATAATTCCAAGGAGATCATACATATCCTGCAAAACTCTAATCTCTTTCAATGTAGGTAATCTTGTATCTTTAGCTGATAATTCTGTATATTCATATTGAAAAATTAACATTTGACTGCAAGAAAAACAGGCTTTTTTTTCCTTTGTCTTTAAGACTTGGGTTTTGTTATTCCAGAGAATTCTGTCATCGTCTAGATAGCATTACAAGAGCAAGCATAAATAGAAAAACCAAAGTTGAAATGATTTCTCATGCAAATCCAAAATTATCTACTATAAATTTTACACAAAGAGATCAAAGATGTTACTTTCCAATTACCCACAGAGCTTTTCTTTCTGGCAAAATAATAGCATGATTTTTATTAACAAAATGTAAACCGAGAAAAAGACTTGGTCCTTGACCTTATCTTCTCTTACCAGCTCCCATGCAGGTGAAAACCACAATAAATATGTGAAGAACATAAACTGTAGGCAGGCACATTAGAGCCTTTTAACAGTTACAGGGTCTTATGTGTAAAGAATAGTATTTACACCAAAATCCTTAGGAGTGTTTGAGGGTTCTGTAAAATGAAAGGAACTACCTTGAGTAATATAGCAGACATGGTGATATCAGTTAGCAACCAAAATTGGGGTTAGTGCTAAGGAGGATTATGGGAAGATTAAGTTTAAGTGTTTTGCTGCCTAACAGGAGACAGCAAGGCAAAGGCCCCGGGAGGAATCAAAACGCCACTCAAACTCTAGCTCCACTTCTTACGGATTTTTTATCTTGGTCAATTTTCCTAACTCAGAACCTGGTTTCTTTATCTGTAAATTTAAGAACATTTACCTCCAAGAGTTAGGTATTCCCATAATCTTTACAAGCCTCTAGCACAAAACTTCTCAACCACTTTATCACAGCTTTTTGTTCTCTGTCTCCTCCATTTAAATGAATCACTAGAGGACAGAAGCTACATCTCATGACTAGAAATACTGAGTACTCAATGTTGATTAAATGAAACATTTCATCAAAGGATTTATTTTATAAATTACATACCCTTGACATTAAGTTTAACAAATACTGGTTAACAATATCTGTGTCCCCGTCTACCTCCTTTATAGGAAAAGATTATTTCAGTTGCTCTAGACGTTCATGGCACTGTATCTGCTATTTTCTTCAAACAAATATTTTCTACCCTGGATTATATTTTGTGTACCATCCAGAGTGAAGATATCTTAAGGCTAGAACTCCTGTTCTGCATTAGTTTTCATTGCTTCGATATCTCATATATTACAACAATATTTGTAGATTTAAGAATGAATATGAATTAATAGATAGATAAAAGGAAAAATAAATAACCTCGAGTTCCATCAGTCAGACTCAAATCCCTATTTCAGTGAAGGGTAAGAATGATTTTTTTTTTTTCCCACAAACTCTTCTACTTAATAAGCAGTGTAGAAGAAAGCATTGTTTTCTTTCTAGCTTTACCTAATTCTACTAGAGAGCTGGCAGAGAAATAGAAAGTATGGCAAAAAATAACATAAGTTCCAACAGCACAATGAAAATAGAAATCAATCCTAAGAATATCACTCAAAACCTTATAGTTACATGGAAATTAAACACCCTGCTCCTGAATTACTTTGGGTAAATAATGAAATTAAGGCAGAAATCAAGAAATTCTTTGAAACTAATGAGTGCAAAGGTACAACATACCACAACCTCTGCACAGCTAAGGCAGTTTAAGAGGGAAATTTATAGCACTAAAGGCCCACATTGAAAAGTAAAGAAGATATCAAATTAACAACCTAACATCACAATTAGAGAAACTGGAGAAACAAGAGGAAACCAGCCCCAAAACTGGCAGAAGACAAGAAATAAAGAAAATCAAAGCTGAACTGAAGGAAAGTGAGATGTAAAAAAACATACAAAAGATCAACAAATCCAGGAGTTGGCTTTTTGAAAGAATTAATAGATAGATAAAACACTAGCTAGACTAAGAAAGAAAAAAGAGAGAAGTTTGAAATAAACATGATCAGAAATGATAAACGAGATATGACTACTGACCCCACAGAAATACACAAAACCCTCAGAGACTACTATGAATACGTTTATGCACACAAGCTAGAAAACCTAGAAGAGATGGATAAATTCCTGGAAACATACAATCTTCCAAGATTGAACAAGGAAGAAATTGAATCCCTGAAAAAACCAATAACAAGTTCCAAAATTGAATCAGTGATAAAAAGCCTGGTAACCCCAAAAAGCCCAGGACCAGGGAAATTCACAGCTGAATTCTACCAGATGTATAAAGATGAGCAGGTATTATTCCCACTGAAACTCTTCTAAAAAACTTGAGGCGGAGGCACTTCTCCCCAACTCATTCTATGAGGCCAGCATCATCTTGATACCTAAAGTTGGCAGAGATAAAAAGTAAATAAATATATATATAATTTATATATATATTTATTTACATATATTTATGTATTATATATATTTATTTACTCTTTATCTCTGCCAACTTTAGGTATCAAGTATATATGTATATATCATATATACACACATATATTTGATATATATATCATATATACACACATATATTTGATATATATATCATATATACATATATATACACACATATTTGATATATATATCATATATATACATATATACACATATATTTGATATATATATCATATATATATACACATATATTTGATATATATATCATATATATATACACACATATATTTGATATATATATCATATATATATACACACATATATATCTGATATACTTCAGGTCAATATCCTTGATGAACATAGATGCCAAAGTCCTCAACAAAATACTAGCAAACCTAACCCAGCAGCACATCAAAAAGCGAATCTACCATAATCAAATAGGCTTTCTCCCTGAAGTACAGGGTTGGTTCAACATACACAAATCAATAAATGTGACTCATCACATAAAGAGAACAAAGACAAAACTGCATGATTATTTTGATAGATACAAAAAAGACTTTCAATAAAATTTAACATCGCATCTTATAAAAAACTCTCAACAAACTAAGCATTAAAGGAGCATACTTCAAAATAATTAAGAGCTGTGCATGACAAACCCATACCCAACATCATACTGAATGGGCAAAGCTGGAAGAATTACCCTTGAGAACCGAAACAAGACAAGGATGGCCTCTCTCACGACTCCTATCCAACACAGCACTGGAAATCCTGGCCAGAGCAATCAGGCAAGAGAAAGAAAGAAAAGGCATCTAAATCAGAAGAGAAGAATTCAAACTATCCCTATTTGCAGATGATATGATCCTGTATCTAGAAAACCCCATAGTCTCTGCCCAAAAGCTCCTAGATCTAACAACAACTTCAGCAAAACTTTGGGATACTAAATCAATGTACAAAAATCAGTAGTATTCCTACACACAAACAACATCCAAGCTGAGAGCCAAATGAAGAATGCAATCCCATTCACAACAGTCAAGAAAAGAATAAAATAGCTGGAAATACAGTTAACCAGGAGATGAAAGATATCTACAAGAATTACAAAACACTGTGCAAATAAAATATAGGTGAGACAAACAAATGAAAAAACACTCCATGCTCATGGATAGAAAGAATTAATATTGTTAAAATGGCCAGACTGCCCAAAACAATTGATAGATTCAATGCTATTCCTATCAAACTACCAATGACACTCTTCACAGAATTATTTAAAAAAATTTTTTTTAAATTCATATGGCCAGGTGCGATGGCTCACACCTGTAATCCCAGCAATTTGGGAGGCTGAGGTGGGCAGATAATTCACTTGAGGCCAGGTGTTTGAGACCAGCCTGGGCAATATGGCAAAACCCTGTCTCTACTAAAAATACAAAAATTAGCTGGGTGAGGTGGCTCATGCCTGTAGTCCCAGCTACTCAGGAGGCTGAGGTGGGATAATCACTTGAACCTGAGAGGTAGAGGTTGCAGTGAGCGGAGATCATGCCACTGCACTCCAGCTTGGGCAACAGAGTGAGACGCTGTCTCAAAAATATAATAAAAAATAAAAATAATAAAACTCTTACGGAACCAGAAAAGAACCCAAATAGCCAAAGCAATCCTAAGCAAAAAGAACAAAGCTGGCGGTATCACATTACCCAAATTCAAACTGCAAGCCTACAGTAACCAAAACAGCAAGGTACTGGTACAAAAACAGGCACATAAACCAATGAAACAGAATAGAAAGCCCAGAAATAATGCTTCACCCCCACAACCATCTGATCTTCAACAAAATAAACAAAAACGAGCCATGGGGAAAGGACTCCCTATTCAATAAATGGTACTGGGATAAGTAGTTAGCTATATGCAGAAGATTGAAATTGGATATTTTCCTTAGATCATATAGAAAAATCAACTCAAGATGGATTAAAGACTTAAAGGTAAAATCTAAAATGACAGAAAAACACCAGGAGATAACCTAGGAAATACCATTCTGGACGTAGGATCTGACAAAGATTTCATGACAAAGATGCCAAAAGCAATTGCAACAAAAAAAAAATTTGACAAATGGGACCTAAAGAGCTTCTGTATAGCAAAAGAAACTGTCAACAGAGTAAACAGACAACCTACAGAATGGAAGAATATATTTGCAAACTATCAATTCGATGAAGTTCTGCTATCTAGAATCTATAAGGAACTTAAATTTACAAGCAAAAAACAAGCAACCTCATTAAGAAATGGACAAAGAACATGAACAATTTTCAAAAGAAGACATACACATGGCCAAAAACATAGGAAAAAATGCTCAACATCACTAATCATTATAGAAATGCAAATCCCAACCACAATGAGATGCCACCTCACACTGGTCAGAATGGCTATTAATAACAAGTCACACTTTGGGAGGCCAAGGCAGGTGGATCACAAGGTCAAGAGATCGAGACCATCCTAGCCATCATGGTGAAACCCCGTCTCTACTAAAAATACAAAAAATTAGCTGGGCGTGGTGGCGTGAGCCTGTGGTCCCAGCTACTTGGGAGGCTGAGGCAGGAGAATCGCTTGAACCTGGGAGGTAGAGGTTGCAGTGAGCTGAGATCGATCGCACCACTGCACCCCAGCCTGATGACAGAGCAAGACTCCATCTCAAAAAAAAAAAAAAAAAAAAAAAAAGTCAAAAAATAACAGATGCTGGCAAGGTTGTGGAGAAAAACACTTATATACTGTTGGTGGGAGTGTAAACTAGTTCAGCCATGATGGAAAGCAGTCTGGTGATTCCTTAAATAATGTAAAACATAATTACAATTAGACCCAGCAACCCCTTTTTTGAGTATATCTCCAAAGGAACATAAATCATTCTACCATAAAGACACATGCATCCATTATGTTACTTGCAGTACGATTCACAATAGCAAAGACATGGAATCAACCTAATGCCCATCAATGGTAGACTGGATAAGGAAAATTTGGTACATATACACCATGGAATACTATGTAAACATTAAAAAAGAACAAGATCATGTCTTTGCAGCAATGTGGATGGAGGCGGGGGCCATTATCCTAAGCGAACTAACACAGGGATGGAAAACCAAATACTGAATATTTTCACTTATGAATGGGAGCTAAATATTGATTACATATGAACACAAAGAAAGGAACAACAGACACCAGGGCCTATTTGAGATTGGAAGGTGGGAGAAGGGTGAGGATTGAAAAACTACATATTGGGTACTATGCTCATTACCTAGGTGATGAAATAAACTGGACCCCAAACCCTGTGACATGCAATTTACCTGTATAACAAACCTTCAAATGCACCACTAAACCTAATAAAAGGGTTTTTAATTTGAAAAAAAAAAACCAAAAAACGAAAAACAATAAAATAAGGCCCAAATGGGTCAGTATCATTACTGCTACACATTCTGCATTCTGACCTTCATCTTTAGGTTTGGCCAGGCATCAGCTATTAGTTTGTGGGTAATTGGTTTGAGCAATCACGTAAATATAAAATATTGTTAAGGCTACCCCACAAACTCAGTCATAACAAAAGTAAAGCAAACTAGAGACTGGTTATACACTGGAAGAGTGGCATAGACCCTACCCATGGGATTAATATGCTTTCTGCCCTCAGATTTAAACCCATACCCATGTCACAACGCAAAGTTGGATACATAGTCAATCCGACTCAATAGAGCTTTTTAAAATGTTCTTAACTCTCATTAGAAACTGAAGTAGCTCACTAATTTAGTGATGAATCTGAATGCAATTATGATAATTAAAATAGCAATTTTATGCTGTCTCTGGGAAATGCTCAGCCCAATGGTGGCACATTCAAACTCTGAGCTACACTGGTTAATACCTTTGATTTGTATCACAAAGTAGTTAAATGTAATAAAGTTCAATTAGTAAAACTTATTGATTATGTACATTCAAGTTGTTACTATGTACTTTGGTATGTGTTAGTTTTTACTATTAAAATAATTCCTAGCAAGATCTTCATAGAAACAAAAATAATACAGTACTATTTGCTAGGTTTAATGTAAAACTGTGCTAGTTGCTAGAATAAAGATGTATGAAATTAAGGTGTATCCTTCATCAAGAAGCTGAAAATTTCATGGGGTTGACAAGCAGGAGGATAATACAATTTCAGTGAGTGCTAGGAATGAGTTTATGCAGAAGCCTAGAAGTAGGAATGAGCCAACTAAGAATATGAATGGATTTGTTCATGTTTCTGTGCACCCAGGCACATATGCATTGGCACACAACATGTGCATTCTTTTGTGCGTTAGCATGTGAAGTGTGGGATGGGGTGAGGTATGATGGAGGAATATTCCAGGCAAAAGAACATACACACCTTGCTTTCAGTCCTCAAGTGAGGTAATTGGGCAGGAGTTGAGAAGAAATGTGTAAGACTGGCAAAAATGATAGGCAAGGGTTAGATCACTAAAGAGTTCTGATGCTGTGGTAGGAGTTACTAAGAAATTATTTTAGGCAGAGAGGAAAATGGGTCCTTGGGAAGTTTTCGTTTTTAAAGACATTTCTTGTTTAGCTGGAAAGCCCCAGCTTAGAGCCTGGTGGCAATCTTTGATATACAAATGCAGGCAATTAGAAACTGGGTCCACCCAAACAAGGCAATTCCCGTGGCCTTCTTGTCCTTGCCCCACGTGTGCCTGGCAACACAGCCGCCCCCACATATCCCCACGTGTGTAGAACATCACTGCACCCCGCATTTGCATTAGAAGGCTAGGGTGGGAGGGCCAGCTTTTTTCGCAGGCTACATGAATAACATGCCTGGTTAAACCAATCCCACAAGCCCTGTGCCAAGCAGACACCGCTTCCTCCAGCCTCTATATATACCTGGCTGGTTTCCGTTCAATTTGGGGTCTCCTCTTTTGCCTTTGGAGACCCACTCCCTCTATCGCTGTACGGGACAGCTTCTTCCTTCTGCCGTCTTCCTTCTTTCTTGCCTATTAAACTCTCCACTCCTTAAAATCACTACATGTGTGTCCATGTCTTTTTATCTAAACTAGCATGAGGACCAAGAACCCTGGTGTTCCTCTACTCATCAGAGCCATATCAATGCCATGTAATGGATTTTGGAATTCATAAAAGAAAAATGCAAGTGTAATTCTTAATTCAAATATTTGTCTGAGTTTGGGTTTTGTTTTTACAACGAACTCAGTAGAAACACTGTCTCCTGACTGCAAGAAATGTACTATTTGCATGTTTTGTTTCACATTTCATGTCTATTACTATTAAATATCAACCCGTTCACTTTTCCATATTGGAGACAAAATTCTCTAATTGTCTGCATGTTTTCATAGATACTCATTTGACATTCTGTCATATTTTATCATTGTTCAACTCTTTTGTAATATTTAAGATTTCTACCTTTAAGAATCATTTTTTTGCAGTTGAAATATTTTGTTATGTAAGCTTATGTCTACTCAATTCCTAAGAATCACATAAAAATGAGGAGGAAAAACTCTCCATGAACTCACACCCAAACACACAAAGACACAGATGTTTCCAGAAGTGTGGCATCTGCAGACAAAGCTACTGGGAGTTTTAATTTAATTTTTAAATTTCATCCAGATGTCTATTATATCATAAATACTTCTTAGGTGTTCAGCTTTTCAGGTACTTTATAGATGTAAAATCTCTGGTAAAGAAAGACAGTCAAAAACACACTGTATACACATACTCACATGCATATGCACTGAAGGAGTTCAGCAAATGCCACCCCAAAATATGTTGCTTTGGTATGCTGATTACTTCAGTAAGGCAACTGGGGAACAGCAAATGCAGGGGTGGGGGTGCTTTCTCTGAACTCCTCTTATCTGTCTAGGGATAGATCTTCCAAAAGGAACTCAGTTGTCATTAAGGCTCTTCCAAGACATCTCATCAACCAGGGGAGATCACAGGAGTGGAGACTGTAAGTCAGCATCACACCGGGACAGACTTTGTCACAGGTTATTACCTATTCTTTCGAGGGTCCATTTATTTTCCCTCCAACATCATTTACTCTCTCCTAAGTTGCTTACATCCCTGTTCCACTCTCCCCTGTGAAAAGGATCTGTAAGTTTCTAGATTCCACTGAAAGTTTTCCCTCCCTGCAGGATACATACATGTGCACATACATAGGTAAGGAATCCAGTTGTTCTAAAATTTTTATGTGATGCAGGGAGCAGTTATATACATAATATATCTAGGTCAAAACTTTTATCAGCCAAATAGAACCAGCCAAATATCATTCATCATAATTTCCTCATGCACAACAAAGAACAGAATATAATATTTTGTTACTTTTATGTCATTCCTAATGTGAAATTTATCATCACTGATTCACATACAAAGATCCTAGAACCACAATATTCAAATAAGGTTTAGCTTTTTCCCCCACTTCTGAATTTCCCTTCTCTTTTTCAATCTCTAAAGATCTGCTACCAGCACACTCTGCTAGCACTTATCACACATCTTGAGAAGGGAACACTTGATAAAATCTCTTTCTTTGACCAATCTGAAGCATGTCATGAGCCAGTGCTAAGAAAAGAAAAAGCACTCCAGGCACAAATGGTTTCACAATGGTGCTTCAACTCCTGTGCCAAGACGTATGCAGTGGGTCTTTTATCATGACAGTTATTGTTCCAGTGATGCTTTGTTAGGGAGAATGGGTAGGAAAAGAAAGACCCCAGGAGTTAGCACAATTTCCACATTGATAAGAGGGGCATTTGTACACCACTGCAGCAGATCTATAAGAGCTGATGGAAATGTGCCCTTTTCAAATAACTTTATATTGCCTCATAAACTTCAACAGAGGTATAGATTCATAACCCACAAAAGCATTTGTCTATCTTAAAAGAAAATATGCATCACTGATTATGAAGACTTGGAATAGTAGCGTACATCAGGAACAGGTATTAAAGACAGAATCTTACATAAAAATCAATGTATGTGTATATTTGTATTCATGTACAATATATCCTATATACAAACATATGAGATATATGTCTTTCTGAAATCAAGCCCAGCTTGTATTTTGTTATTTTTAATATTTGCTGCATTTGTTTGAACTCTAAGTCAAGAAAAGCAAACTCTTCCAACCTTCCTTAGGAAAACAGACACAAAAGCTAATTTACAGTTGCCCTCCATAGAAAACTATTTGCTTGTTTCCTAAAGGATATTGAGGTTGATTTTTCCTTACAAACTATTGTTCTACTACATTTCTCATTTGTTCACTATTGTCATAATTTGGCTTCTATCTAAATGAATTTTTTTAAAAATGTGCACCTAGATTTGTCTGGCACTGGGCCTGAGGTAAACAGCTGGTTCAGGAGGGTAATGTGCAGGAAATAAAAGAATCCAGATTTGTGACCTTAAAATTGACTGACCTTCCTATGAGTCTTTGTTTCCAGGTGTATTTGTTTTCAATCACTGGCCATCATTTTCCATCAGATATCTTCTTTATCATTAGAAAATTATCTTTATTACTCTAAGTCCCTGAACAAATAATGTGCATTCCAATAAACACTTACAGTCAATTATGAATCAAGAGCAAATAAAAGTTCCTTTGCATTCATAGACCTTCTTAGCAATACATTCAAAAGTATTTTACTTTTGGTACCTTTAAGTCTGATGAGTACAACATCCCTGGTTTACAATTTCAAAATTAAAAGAGAAAAAGGGAAACTGGATACAAAGAAGACTGAGTCATGAGTGAAAAGTGCAAATTTAAATTGTAATTAGTAGCTTTATCTGATGAATACATTTGCAATTCAGTGAGACGTGATAAAGAGAATTATGTAATAGAACCAGGGAGAAATGTTCTCAGACTTTACCAATTAGATGACTAAGGAAAATCCATATACTCAATAGGCTAATTAACTCCTGATTGATAGTCACTGAAGGGCCATTAGAAATGTCAAGTGTTCTTTACTTGTAGGACTAGAGAATCTCAAAAACCAAAAACAACAACAACAACAATCTCCTTTAGGGGTTAGACTTGATGACCTTTAATAAAACTTGCAACTCTGAAATTTGATGAGCAATATCACAGAATCCCCTGTTTTAATGAGAACCGCTGTTCTTTCGTGAAACCACCTATACACAAATACAAAAGTCTAAAGCTTTACCATGCTTCAATCCAAGAACAGAAACACAAAACTGATTGTTCCAAGTTTTAAAACTCTTGACTTACTATCTTTTATATAAAAAGTACTCTGTAAATAAAAACATAAGCAAAATAATTAATCAAGGGAGTACTCTCAAGAGGCATGCCCTCTAGCAATGAGAGAAGGTAAAGGCAGAAAACTTCCCTTTAGCAAGAATATGATAGGGCAACTAGAAAGGAATTGGTTTTATGGAGCTTTATAGGCAGGAGGAAGAAAAGTGAAAGAATTTTCCGTGTTTTAGAACTACAGTACAAGAAACAACAATGGAAAAACAAGGTGTGCCTCTAGTGGAAAATATTGCAGGAAAGCCGTGGAAGAGAAGATTGGAAAGGTAGGTTGTGATCCTGGGGTCCAGCACAGAGGTACATTAAAGATTTCTGAATGGGTAAGAGATGTGGTTTATGTACTGTAGAGTATAACTGGAGAGTAAAATGAAGAACATGGTTGTCAAGACACAGGTGTGGAGGCAGTTAGACCTGCATAGAGGCTAGGGCAAATGTATGTGAAAAACATAGATCTACAAGGCCAGGATGTGGGTAGTAACAACATGTAAAAGCATGAACCATTCCAGGAATGGGAGGGAAGTGGACTCTAGCAATTGAATAGAAGTGAGAACTTAGGAGAGGAAAAGACAACTAGAAAGCTTTCAAATCTGGGAAGTGCAGAACTCAAAATAAACGATGATGGTCAGGATGAGGACTGGTTTTTTTCATTTGTTTGTTTGTTTTTTGAATCTGTTAAGTATTGATGCTTGAAAGCCATCCAAGTAAGTGAGCAATGGGCCATGGAAAAGCAGATCTGGACTTAGGAGAAGGACAGGGCAAGAGAATCTTAAGACATCTAAGCACAAGTGATACTTGAAGGAAGCCATGATAGTGTTCAAATAGAGACCATAAGATTGAAGGAACAGACTCTTTGTGGCAATAAGATACAAAATTCTAAATAACAACTAAGGCCATGCCTGACAAAGTTTAAGGCACACACCCCTACACGTAGAGAGTAAACTATGTTCTAACTGTTCTAACTATCACAACATTTTTCTTTTCTCTAGCAGCTAAACAAGCACTGGACTCAAGATAAGCAATATTGAAACAATTGCAGCTCACTGACCACCAGACATTGCCTAACACTCCCCAACTTTTCACAAGCCATAACTACAGCCTTGACTGGACAAGAAATCGACTTCAGTAACTTTCTCTTAATAAGAGAACACTGGCCATGGACTGGTTCTGGCCAGTTTACAGAGGCTGCATATGTAAGTGCCTTCATGTCCCTGTTTCAGCTTTTGACTCAAAGGACCTAATTGTAATTTATTTAAAGTCTCCACCCCAAAATGAACATGGGTCATATGTAACATGAATGTTTCCTTAGTATGCATGCATACATCCCCCCTTTGTCAATATTCATAGCTCCTCCTATATCTCATTGAATATGTATACTTGGCCAACCGTTTCAGCATAAATTCCTGTTTTATCTCTCCTCCCTCGAAGTACCTATTCTCAGACTCTGATGGAGGCTGTGCTTCCCAGACTGTCAGGATGGCCACCCTGCAGGCTGTAACTATAAGAAATAAAGCTCTTCTCTCCAAATTTGTAGGTCTAGTGATTGAAGTTAACAATAGAATGTTATATAATTGCTGACTAATATCTGTTTTGCTTCTCTAGAGGAGAATTATTCTTGCCTGCCCCATTGTAATCAGGCTTGGCCATGTAACTTACCAGTGAAAAGTGAGAGAAATATTACGTGTCAGTCCACTAAAAAGCTCTAAGAGCCTTTTCCCCTCTTCCATAGAATTCTCCAGCTAGTGGTTGCTTCGTCAGCCTAGTCCTGGAGTTAAATTAAGATGAAAGAAAAACCACAGCTGATATGTAGTATGAGTAAGAAATAATTAGATATTGCAAAAGCCACTAGGATTTTAGAGGTTGTTTATTACTGCAATATAACCTAGCCTAACCTAACTGATAAACAATGTGAATGAGATTCCCTAAGAATCAAAAGTAAAGAAAGATCAGGGAATGACCTTGTACAGAACTTATTCAGACAAATCTGAATTTGTCATTTCATAGAAGAACAAACAACACAAGTTAGTTACACTTGCCTAGTTACTTTGAGTATAATTTTTAAAATTTTGCCATTAATTTTTCTAAATAAAAAACTTGGTATTTAAAAACACTTGCTAGATTAGACAATTATTCTGGCTATCTTTGGAAATGCTCTATGAAATATTCTGTGACAAATAGTAACCACTCTTATCAGCAATTTAGAGTGCTCAATATATTTTTTAAAAATATTACTTTTACCTGTAAACTTTTATACAAGTAAATTCACCAACCTAACACTCTTCATTAGATCACAAGAACTAAAATTGTTCTTTAACGTTAGGAAGTGTGTTTTTGCCTTGAGATAGATGAACTAGGCATTCTTTCTATGAATAGTCAGTGGCTGATCACTGAATACAATTTTCTGCTCAGCACTCTAGCAGACTGGCATAATTAGAGAAAAAGGCAACACAAAAACCCAAGATCATAAAGTTAGTGAATAGGAGCTAACCCCATGGTTTAGATGTATGTGTTACCCCAAGGCAGCAGATAAAACCTTATTATTTATACTAATAAATAATATATGACTTGAAAATTTAAGAGGAATTATCAATCAAAATTGTCTTTATATCAGTCAACTAGGTTTACAATGAAAATTTAGTTTCTGTGAGTATTCTTTCTATTTCTTACATTTTAGAGAAAACCGCCAAATCAATTTTCTAATTAAAGGCCATACCATTTCTTCCCCTTTTCACTATTGTTGCCCCAACCCTCTCCAGGGGTTCTCATTTACCAAAGTATGACATGTTTAACATTTTTCAAAGGAATTAGTTTGGGTTTTTAAAATATATATATAATTGGATTACTCTTTTCATATAGATTTTTTAATTAAAATGATTTGATAAATTACTAAAATGTGATTTCATGTGTCTCTATCTTTTATATATGGACAAGCCTACAAATCACAAAAGATTCTTGTGCATTACCAGAAATTTTCTTTTTATTATTAAAAAATGCATGATCTTTGATTCTAGAGTCTTATCTACCTCTTCTTCTCCTTCTGCCAAGTATTTAACTATTCTACAAAATTAGCTCAGAGTCCTTTTGTTTTGAGATGAGGTCTCACTTATTTTGCCCAGTCCAGTCTCAAAGTCCCAGATGCAAGGAATTGTTTGTGCCTCAGCCTTCCAAGTAGGCGAGTCTATAGCCACATGCCACTGTGCCAGGCTCAGACTCATTTTGTTTTCAGAGTTGTGCTAATCAGTATGAGGAAGCACATAGTAATAAAAAGAACATGTAATTGCTTTAAGAAAACTCAAATTTGTTAGCCTAGATGCCTCAGGTTTATACTGCAATACAAATAGAATAAGGGTCTACGAAATGGGTGTCTTTTCTCATAGAGAGTTTTGTGTAAATTCAGTTTAAAGAGAATTTGGCTCAAAATATCTGATGAGTGTGCTGGAACTCTTAGCCTCTCAACCTATATAACTTGCTTTTTTGTTTGTTTTTTTGTTTTGTTTTGTTTTTTCCTGATATAGGTCCTCATGGATTAGGAAAGCAATGTCTTTCCTAATGTCCATCGCTTCCTTCTTTTGGCTTTAGAATATCTGCACCAACTTTACAGACTTTACTATCTCTTCTGCCCTTTTGAAATTTTCTCTAGCTCCAGCTTGGAAGGGTGCTTCATCATCTCAACACCATTTCCACTGTTAGGTAAGTTCTGGCATGTTTATGTTATCTTCAAAAGACAAATCCAAAGTTTGTTACCACTCAACTTCTGAAAGGACAGATCCTGGAAGACTGCCACCCTTCAAAGTTGTAAAAGAAAATAAAATTTAAGGACCCTCTAAATTTATTATGCCAAGGGGTGGGGTGGGGGTGTTAAGCACTGGTGTCTGAGTCACATAACATGTTTGCAATTTCTGCTTCTTTGGGGTTAAT
Source organism: Homo sapiens (assembly GCF_000001405.40). Lineage (NCBI taxonomy): Eukaryota > Metazoa > Chordata > Mammalia > Primates > Hominidae > Homo > Homo sapiens. The sequence goes on from NC_000003.12 coordinate 21,508,449, forward strand.
TCTCTTCCTCATTTTCTTGTTCTGTAAATGACTAGGAGAGACCAGACACCAGACTGCCTCCCCCTTCCAATTACTGATATTTGTTATATATTAACTACATCCTTTATTGTCCTGTACCTAAGACTAGATGGTGCAAAAGACCCCATGAGTATTAAATCCTCAGTATAAAATGTTAAATATACCTTTCCCAAAAGAATAAGACCACCCCAACCAATGTCAGATTACTGTAACTAAGCATTAAGCCTTATATAGAAAGAGGTGTTGAAATTCTGTTAAACTTCCCTAAACTTTGTCTATAAAAATGATACTAAACTTCTACACTTTGGAATACTGACTTCCATTCTTTGGAATCTGTGTTTTCTGGGCAGCCATTCTCCAACTTAACACTTGGATAAACTCTCTTTAAACTAGATTCTGACCCTTTGGATTATTCTAGGTTGACGTATTCTAGTCTCTAAGTTAAGAGATGAAAGTATCTAGTCACAACCCATTTACTTAACAGAGACAACACACCTGGGGGCTTTTTTTTTTTTTCTTTTTCTTTTTTGAGATGGAGTCTCGCTCTATCGCCCAGGCTGGAGTGCAGTGGCACAATCTCGGCTCACAGCAAGCTCCGGGGGGCTTTTCTTAACTCAAGTTAGCAGCTCTACCTACCACACATATATATATTTTTAAATGATGTGCATCCTTAATGAAACACATATTTTCATATTTTAAAAAAGTCAAGATAACCCAAAGATGAATTGTTGATTTAAAAAGTCTAAAAGTAGAAAAAATTTGGAGCAAGGAAAAACGTCACTTTAACCCTTTACATCAAACTCATCTCTTTGTTCTCCCTACCTACTGCCTTCTTTGCATCAAAAGGCTTCAGGATTTTTCTGCACTTCTCTATGCCAGATGCTGCTTTGGGGATCCCCACCTGTGACCCAATATCCGGGAGCAGAAATTACACTTACCTGCTTCATTACCACTCATTCTCTTTCAGCCCTCAAAATAAAGCAGGTAGTCTTCGATTATTAGAGAAAAGACCAAAGCTTTCCCTAAAAGGTTTAAATCTAAATTAATAAAATGGCACAATCCAGCTCTTGCTCTGGATAACAAAGAAGTGAATATGACAAGCCTGTCTTTTTTTTTCCTCTTTAGTATGTGGTGGCACAAACTTGGCTATATCAGAGAACCAAACCAAAGGAGTGAAATAAGTCTCAGTCATTCAACAGACATTTTACTCAGCATTTATCCCATGCCAGACCAGTTGCCAGCATACAAAGATGAGACATGTATTCAGGCTGAGGGAAAACACAGGGCTCTTAGGGAGGGCAGCATGATGCATCTACAATAATACCTGAAGAAAATACAAAATGCCACAGGAACTAAGAATATCATTATCCCTTACAGATTCACTTGCAGCATCCCCAGTCCTTGGAAGAGCTGATATGTGTCCATTGTGTAATAAGGATGTTACATTGTGTAATAAGGTTGTCGTAATCTATTCTATTCATTCACTGTTTATTTTCTGTTTTCATCAGTCATATCCAGAAGATCCTCTTTCAGTTAAGACACTATCATTGGTGATGATATGAACGTTTCCTTACCATTGCCATTCACATGGACTGGAAAACAATTGAGGTGTAACAGTCTCTGTGTTCTAGAAAGTGATTTATTAGAGGTATATCCATGAATCACAGAGGAATATTTTCTCTGTAGATTTCGAAAACCAGTGGTCTTATATTTAAAATGTCAGCTTGGGGAAACCTCACTAGCTTCCCCTATTATGAATAAGCTGGTCGTTGGCAGGAGCTATCCCAAGGGGCCATTCAGAGGCCATTATTTCACCGTGAAGCCTCTGTTAAAAAGAGTAATTGGTATCAATAACACTTACCTGTGTTTGCAGAGGGAAGGTTACCCAGCCATAACAAGCCCAGTATCACACAGCCACTACTTAAAACAATGCAGTATTTGGAATTTATGACAATAAAGGCTTTCTGTAATAATGCCCTTATTGGGGCCTTCTCAATTCATTTAGCATACTTTGCTGTGTACTCACAATTAAATTAAATCTGCCATGCAGTTATAAGCTAAGGTGCTGCATACAAGATGCAAATGCTGCACACTGAAAAGGTTCATTTCTCAAAAAGAGTTATGGGGTACATGGCTTCAAATGCCTTTTATGACTATTCCTCTGAAACAGCCACAGGACTCTTGCAAAATGCAAAATCTGGAATATAATTAGTGATTATCTTAATCTTGCAGGGGTTTGGAAAAATGAGAGGAAACAATTACCATTATACAGAAAGATGGCTCAAGCATGAATCAATATGGCAGGCACATAAGTAAACAGACATGGGGCTAGACAAGGGAGGGAATCCCCAACGACGACGACGAGGACAACAACAACAAAGATCATTGCTTAACCTGTTTTGTCAGAGCTGGTATTGATGGTATTGGTAGTGATGGAGGTGAAGGTAGTCTTTGCGCTGTCCTTGGCAGTTACAGATTTCTGCTTATTTTTCATGGCTTCCAGTGCTTTGAGCTTCTTGGCATGTTTCGTGCCTTTGTAGTGGGCCGCAGCCTGGCTCTACAAAGGAGAACAAAATGAACCATGCAATCAGGCTCATTTCTAAACTGGCATTCTCTGTATTACTGCAAATACAGACTCCCTTTCAATAACAGGTACCATTCGAGCTAATTCTGGCCGTGGCCAGACAGTGGGGTTCTATTTAGAATGATGCTAGAAAGCAATGGGAATCCAGTTGTAAAACCTCAGGATAGAAGGAAGAAATACTCTGTTGTTTATCTTAAGAGAAATGTAGCTGAACACTGACACATCAACAACATTTTCTTTGTGGGAGCGGGGAAAAAAAATAAGAATTTACACCTGTATCATCTTTGTTCTGCCACAGAAGATGCTGGGCTCCCAAAGATTAACAAGAGCCCTAGAAAAGAGTAGCTTTCACCTTCTTGGCTTAGAAAATGCATTTTCTCTTTCTACAATGTGTCTTATTAATACAGTCCTCAACAGGTGTCTACAAGGAAAGGTTCACACAAAACAGGGGAAGTAAGCACCCTGGAGACTGAGATTGAAGCTTTAGAGTTCAAAAGCAAATGCACTTCTTAAGTTCAAATGGAGCACACAGAAGCCGGGCAATTTCAGATTCTTTCTCCTCACTTCTTACCAAGGGTAGTCTGAGAAGTTCAACTTAGTGTCATTTTTTCAGCGCATGGATCTTTCATGCCCCAGTCCATTGTTGGGAGGCTCCAGTGTGTTTGTACTACCTAATGGGGCCAATCCAGTTCTTTTGCTTGTGCCATCTGAGATATATAGAGAGAGAGTTTAGAGTGATATGCATTTTCTCATGTTTTATTTTCCTAAGAGCATTTTTTTTTTTTGTGGGGGAGCGGTATAGTGAAATACATTAATTACCGGGCGTGGTGGCTCATGACTGTAATCCAAGCACTTTGGGAGGCTGAGGTGGGTGGATCACGAGGTCAAGAGATCAAGACTATCCTGGCCAACATGGTGAAACCCCATCTCTACTAAAAATACAAAAACTAGCTGGGTGTGGTGGCACACACCTATAGTCCCAGCTACTCGGGAGGCTGAGGCAGGAGAATCGCTTGAACCCGGGAGGCAGAGGTTGCAGTGAGCCGAGATCACGCCACTGTACTCCAGCCTGGTGACAGAGCGAGACTCCATCTCAAAAAAAAAAAAAAAAAAAGAAGTACATAGAGATAGAAAGTCATATTTAAATAAATGTATGTTTATTAATGTTTATTTCTTGGGGGAGAAAATACTGTAGTTGGTGGGTAGGGTAAGGGTGACCAGGAAGATTCTTAACTTAGGTTTTCCAGGTCATAACCTTTCCAAATGTCCCCCACAAAAGGATATCTCAGTAGAGGATTACTCCTGTTAGATTATCCATTACTTCCCATTGCTTATTTAAACTAAGTACTTCACTTTGCCAAAAAATAATAATCACATTGTCCTCTTCATTACAGAACCTGTGATAACTAGGGTGTTGCAATATAATATGTTTTAACAAATAATTAAATAGTCCACATCTTCATTTGCATCATTCTAGCAAGATATCCTCAAAGGACTAGGTACCCTTATTGAAAGAACACTGGACAAGAAAATTATATATTAGAAACAGTTTGAACAGAGAGCACACTCATGCATCAGTTACAAGTTTTCCAACAACACATAACATCAAAAGACATAGTGTGAGCCAAAATATGAAGTTAAGACATGCTATAGTTAATTGAGGAACCAGCGATAGATTGGATTAAGTTGATTCTACATGGAGAATGCCACTTTGAGGACAAAATTTTGTCTTTTTTTTCCCTGCCTAATTCTCATTTTTAGTATATCAAGTCCTTCGGCCATAACATTTGAGAACGATATGCTATATTCAATTAAAATCACAGGATCACAGGTCATCTTCTTTAGGCATCTGGATATATCATTTCCCTTAAAGCAGAGTTTCTCTTCTCTTTGCAAGTAACCCTTTCCTTGGTGATACAAGTGAATGTTTAATAGATAATATATATTAAAAGATGGGGGGTGAGATTAATCGTGCTATCTCCACTTATACCTCCAAAATAGACATTTCATAGGTTCCTAACAAATCTAACATTCTCAGTGGCATTTAAAATTAAACAACACTTTGTTTTAACATATCACAGGACCAGGTGATTATCACTATTTTTGAAATTAAGAAACTTACTACAAAGGAAGCCCACAAGTTAAGAAAGTCTTACACCAAAAAACAAAAACAAAAACAAACCAAAACAAACCCAAATACCAAACAAACAAAAACCTCTCTGCACAGGCACAACTAAACCAATTCCCTCTAACAAGTGAAACAGCTCAGGGAGTTGTGGGAAGAACAGGGTGACAAAATGACCAGAAGTTGATAGGCTCCCAACAGAGACACTTAATATCTTAAAATGCAAAATGCAAAATAAGACAAAATGAAATGCATATTCACTCGTTTATTGAATGACAGTACCAAAACACCTTGATAATAATTATTTTAATTATAAATTATCTGATTTAAAGGCAAATAAGCCTTTCCCAAATTAAAAATAAGTAAATAAATTATATGAAGGTCCAAGGCGTTATAGATAAACCAAGACATGTAGAATTTAGGAGAAATTGAGTATAGTGGGGTGATGGTTGCAGACGACATCAATATCAATATGATTGTAATTGTGCAGGGTATGTGTGTTGGGGTGGAAGTGGGCATACAAGTTGGAAGGCTAATATAGACAGATAACCCTTCTAGATATTTTAAATTTTCTTTATCATTGACTTTTAGGTAATGTTTATAGAATTTATTGGACAGTTCCTAAATTATCCTAGCATAATTTTTTCTAATTTATCTATAGTGACGCCATAACTCTAGATCTACCTTGATTCAGGTATGCTGTATAACAGTGTATTCCCTATGTGAAGGCAGAAAACCCAGCAAGTCTCCTTATCCCTTTGGGCCACTTGATAGATGCAGATAGACAAATAGATTGAAGTAGATAGATTATTCATCCACATTTTCTCTCTCTGTGACTGTAAAAAAAAGCTGCAGCCTAAGAAAGAATTTTACTGAGAGATTTTTTTAAAGCATCAGTTGGCCTGGGATGTCTCTTTGGGCCTCCTCTGCTTTTCTTTTGAGCAGAGGAGTGTAGGACAGTTATACCATATACTAGCACAACAAATTCCCTAAGAGATTGTGTCTTATTATTTATCAGCAATTTTCTGAGGGTCGTCATTGCCAGACACCTGGGAATTCTCAATACACATGCAAATAATTATTTTTCACAGATATGACTTCTAAGTTAAATAAGTAACTGTACTAATTCATTCTACCGTATTTCAGAATTTTGTATTTTAAAACTAAAGCAGAATCGAGTGATCATAGTACATATGGACGTGAGCAAAACAATAAGATTTGAGCTTTAACAGCTATTTTTATTAAATTGAATTAAGTTTAGCCTAAAGCTACCTCCTACCTATCTTAAATTTGGCCTAAAAGTTTCCGCATACATAGTAAACTGTAACGTAACTTGATGTGTAAACAGACTGTTACTTTCTGTATAACAAGTAGCGGAATCTAAATCAGTCACAGCAACTGGACTTAAGTCAACCACAGGCAGCCAACGGTTCAAACCAAATTCAAATAGGACAAACAGGGAGCTTTAACCAATCAGGCTATCTCTGTACCTCATTTCTGCTTGCTGTATGTCACTTTCCTTTTTGTGTCTATAAATGTTATTCAGGCACATGAGAGCCCTGGAGTCTTATTAAACCTTTCCTGGTTCTAGAGGCTGTCAAATTCTTGTATTGTTCTTTGCTCAATTAAACTCCGCTAAATTTAATTTGTCTATAGTTTTTCTTTTAACACTTTAAATAATAAGTGGAATATTAGCACATTGTGTTATAAAAACCACTATGCCAATCTTGAAATAGCACATGACACCATTAAATCTAATAAGTGTCATCCCAGAGGCAAGGGCTGACATTAAAGATATGCACACACGCGTTCCTGTAGAACAGAACGCCATTTTAGATGTAATAATGACCACACTTTAGTCACCAGTAGTCAGCCACTTTTCAATCTTCAAATTTTATCTTCAATATTTCAGAATGGTTTTTAGTTGAAATGCAACTGAAGTTTCAGTAGATAAAAATAAGTCTTAATTAGCTAACATTTGAGAGAGGGGTTTTGTCATTTTGAAACATGCTCATGCACATTTATCTTATTTGGCTAAATAAGAAACTTCTCTATAAATTGTTATTGCCCTATAAAATTCACTGAGAAGTTACTTTTTAGTATTTCTTTTATTCCATTAGCACCAATACCTTGTATACTTTTCACATCTCTTTTACAAAACATGTCTTATGCTTTTTAAAAACTCAGACATTTATTATAAGCATATATATCCAATAACCATAACCAATTAATTTTCATGAACACAAATAATTTCAAAAAGAACAAGGTAGCCTTTTTAGTTTGTGATGTCATGTAATTTTATCATATATTAAATTTGAATTAAAATAAAATAAACTTTATCACACTGATGGAATTCAGGACATGCCACCCCAAAACATGACTGGAATGAAACTGCCTTTGCAAAGATTACAAAAGCAAGAGAAATTTAGCACAACTGACTCCATCTTGCTTATAACCTCATAGGTGGCCCATCTTAGCTCATTCCTGGGCGTGGGCCAAGCTAACCATGGGAGAAATTTAATATATAGTTTAACATTGAGGCAAGGATAATAGGCCCTTCCTAAAATTGATCCCCACCTTGTTCAGGGCTGAAACCACCTTTGTAAGACCTATAAAAGGCCACAAGATTAGGATTATGGAAGGGACCCTAATCCTGCTAAAATGTAGGCTTAGTTACTGTAATCCTTTACTGCACAGGAGTCATGTGGCCAGAGGTCACAAGATTTGTGACTTCCCCAATTGCTCCTATAGATAACATCACTATTGTAGAACCTAAAGTTGGTCTTTTGAGATGTTTTTCAGACTTTTTCATTCTGACAACTGAGGAACCCCACCAAAACTCATGACTCATGATTCCACAGGTCCTGTGGTCCCCCACCCAGAGGAGGACTCATTACATTTTCCACACCCCTATGATTGCATCCCCAACTAATCAGTAGCAACCATTCTCTAGTCCCCTGCCCACCAAATTGTCCTTGAAAAACACCAACCTCAGAGTCTTTGGAGAGACTAATTTGAGTGATAACTTGAGTTCTCCCACATGTCCAGCCTTATGTTAATTAAACTCTTTCTTTACTGCAGTACGACGGTGTCAGTGAACTGGTTTTCTGTGTGCAGTGGGCAGGAAGAACCCAAAAAGATAATTACAATAGGAGACCAGAATATTCCACTGCAAATATAGTATAAAGACCATTTTGAGCTGATTATTTTCAGAAATAGCAGACAAAGGAGAATTTCTCAGAGCAGAGAAGTTACCCTTTTTTTTAAAGAGAAATTTACATCTATATGTCTCCCTCCCAGTACCAGGAAGATAAAGATGACTCTAAATCACTAGAGACTCTGATCAATGGAGATGGCATGAATTTAAATCTGCATAACACACGTTACTCTTGTTTATAGTACTCCTCCTGGCCACCTCCCCATAACTGGGCCTTTCTTTATATACTTTTTTCCTTGTTTCAGCAAAGGATGGTATTCAAGCCTGAAGTCAAAGTCATCTCTTTGAGTCTACTCTTGGGGTTTACTAATTTCTCTGGGTCATCGTGCATGCATACCTGAGTTATACATCTTAGTAAACTTTTGTTTGTTTTTTCTCCTGTTAATCTGTCTTTTTTGTAAGGGTCTGTCCCAGCTAGGAATTATGAAGGATAGAGGAATGATTTTTTTCTTCCCTTGCAATATTAAAATGTAACACCAGAAAAGAAAAAATGAATGGTTATTAGAGATGTCACCATCCTCCTTGGGGAAAGAAGAGAACATTTCAGCCAACTGAAATGTTTTTCCCTTTTTTTGTTTTTTTAAAAAAATCTAATTTATTAAATTTTAGCTTAGATTATTTCAGAGATAAAAATTATCAGATAAAATCTAATATCCTAAAATCTTAAATGATTACAGGAAAAAAAGCTTAAAATTTTATCTTTTTTTAATGTTGATAATATATATTACTGTTTATGATCCTAAATTTCTCAAAATGGAGTCACTTGTGACAAGTGACTCAGCCCACAGTTAAACTGCTGACCCCTCAAAGTTATAAAGACATATATGGTAGACTGAGGGGATAAAGTAGCACCTGCTGTGTCCAGACACCCTGAGACTTGGCAAGTAAGTGAAGCCAAACGACTGCCGAGATAATGGCCATGAACACACCTGTGAAGGGTCGTAGAAACAGAAAAGAAACTGACCAGGGCTAAGATGCCTGCAGACTCCCTGCTGGTGAGAATGCTGAGGCCTCCTTACTGCCTAAGTGCTGCAACACCCCAAACCCATGGCCAGCAATGTGTTGGTTTCCTGAGCTACTCATCAGTAGTTTATTCCCTTTTTTTCTTATTACTGTCTGTGTGTGTTAAATACATTGGCATAATTGTTGGTGTGTGAAAGCCTTGCAATAAACCTTGAATTTGAAAGGATTTAATTGGCCCTTGAGTCACTGTGAAACCTCCCCACCTCCAATCAGAGTTAATACAACTAGGCTGATTGGAACCTGAGAGAGTAGTTGCATACGGTAATCTGACTAGTTAAGTCACATGCACAGGTGCAGCCATATGGGTGAAGATCAGTATGCATTCTAATTACTCAGTGGCTTTTTGAATAATTGGAATATCAGTTTTGTATATACCAGTTCAGCAGCAGATTTCCAAATTCTTACTCATCTTAACTTTTTGATTATCAACTCTCAGCTTCATTTAACATTCATATAAAGCATTTGTTCTCAAATTCTGGTCCCCAGACCAGCAATCTTAACATCATAGTGTGGGCTTGGGACACTGTTAGAAATAGAAATTCTCAATCTCCATCCTGGACACATTGAACCAGAAACTGAGAGGGAGGCTCAGTAATGGGTACTTTACAAGCCCTGCAGGTGATTTGGTTAACTCTAAAGTTTAAAAACTATTCATCTTAAGTATAAATGCATTTTACTCCCAAAGTGGCCATTTCTTTTGGCACTTCTTGCTGAAGTCCAGGCTTCTTAAGATGAATGTATAATCATTTGAAGATTGAACATTTTTACTTGAACAATGTATATTACTCACCCTAAAAATTATCGATTTTTTTTTCCTTAAAAACATGTCAAAAATAACTCAGATACATGTGTATTTGGGGAATTTCTATCCAAGAAGGATGAACTCAAATAGCAAATTAACCTTGAAAACATCCTTATAATTCTAACATTACATATGAGTGCTTTCCAAGTCCTTGCGATTTTCTCTTTCCAGATTTTATCTTTTCTCTCCAAGGTAATTATTGTCGCAGGACAATTCCTGATCTCATTACTTTTATCTCTATATTGAATGCATTGTTATGATCCAGTTTGCAAGGGCTAGAGGAACCCCCTTGTCAATAAAAATAATGACAGTAATAATAAGCAAAAATCAACCCCTGTATCAAACTCTTAAAACTTCACTATAACAAAGAATATCTAATCCACTGTTTTATTTGCATTAAGCTGAGTTAGTGTTAGCCATGTCTAGTTTTTTTCCTTATATACTTATGGTTTTTTTATTGAGAAAATTACCTAGCCAACAGGCAAACAGAAATCATGTTGGTAAGCCAAGAGATTGTCTTCTCTACTGCTCTATTTAACAAAACATTTGAAGAAGAAATTTAAAGATAGAATAGTTCATTGTTATAAAATTTCCTTACTGCTGTGAAGACAAATTATGCAATGCAAGAAAAGACAGGATATAGATATATTTATTTCTTAATTACATGCCCCATATAGAATATTTAATAATTCATTTCAACTTGTTATTGTGTAGTTATCATGTAAATAGAAGATTACATTATGAATAAAAATGAATATTCACTCGCATTTTTTCCCGAAGTGAAAAACATGATTCAATTAAGGGTATTCTTTTGAGCTCAAGTGATTGATGCTTTACTTTAAATGTATTCCTGTCTTCTGTACTCTTCAATACAGAAATGAACAGTAACAGCTACGGGAATAGAAAAAAAGGGGGGGAAAGATAATACCACAGGATTACTGTGATTCTCATACACCACCACTACTCAGTGGGGAAAAGAAACATTCTAAATACACATGAAGAAGAGGAAGAGAAGCATGTCACAAATTCTCAGATACATTTGGTAACTAATTTTTAGAAGCAAAGAAAGTACTTTGTCACTAAGTACTTACATGGCTGTGAAAAAAATAGTCTAGATGGGGTCACTTTTCAAAGCTTCTCAACTCATCTATAAACTTCACCATTCCTTAACATTAGGTATTTAATGTTTTCAAGTATCTAAAGTGAATGATATAGTAGAGAGTGCTTACCTGAGTGAGGGAAGCTAATTTGAGAGTTACTGCCTGGTTCCTATTATGAAAGAAACCCTTGCTTTTGTATATATCTTGAATTCAAACAGCTATCTCCTTGAACTCTAAAGGAGAAGTCCTGATTGAGGAACAGAGGATAGCAGTGGGCTTTGGAAGCCAGCACACAAGTCTAATCTAGCTAAAAGGAAGACAGGCTCTGCAAAATTTGCTCAGTCCTTTTTGGAGCTTTTTGTAAATCAGAGATCTAAATGACTTTTAACTCTAGTGACAGAAGCACAAAAATTTCAAGTTTGTACAAAACTGAGAAAAATCAGAGAAACCACTTCGTCTAGCTGCTCAGCCAGTGTACAAAATCCCTTCAGAATGCCCATAGCTTAATACCTGGCTCCATGTGTGACACACACCATTTGAATAGGATGGGGAAGAATTAGAAATGTTCACTCTAATTATGTTCAAAGATCAACTTGTCATAGATGTTTGTATCAACAGCAGAGAAAAACTTGTTTTATATCCTGGCATAAATAAAATGTGCGTCTCCTCTAATCCTTAATTTCCTCCTCCAGCAAATGCTCCCCTCTCTGCTACTCCCAATGTCTGCTCTCTAGCACGTGTAGTGTAGATAAATGAGCAATAGCTCTCCTCACTTTGTTTTCCTAAGGAAAACGTTACAAGAAGAATCATTTTTAAGCCCTTGTATAAAGAGTTCCCTCTGCCTGGAGCACCTGTACTTGCCTGGTAGATGTTGGGATGCCACCTTCTCCATGTAGTCTTAGGTATGTCTGCATCGTAGCACTTATGTCACTGCCATAAGAAGGGTTAAATGCCTGTTTCTCCTAACAGAGAGTGGATCTCATAACAGAGAGAGGAAGACCTGATATTACTCATCATCCTGTCCCTAGGATCTATCATACATCTCTAAATAGTTGCCTATTAAATTCATGTTGAATTAATTTCACATTTTGATTTTAAAATGGAAATATGCATATGGAGTCTCAATGGATTTTGTATGTGAACAGGGTTTAACTTAATTCTCTGTCATTCTTTGGCACTTCGCCTTATCTGTTGAACACACTTCAGGGGATTTTTATGGCACTTAATGCTGGAAAACCATCTGGCACAAACACAAACTATTATTTTTTCTCTGGGAAGAAGCTTACCATCAAACACAAATTGTGCTATTTATGGGAACTCTCTCTTTTCAAGGGATGTAGCCAAGGAATAATATGGAGATTGTTTTGCTTTTTAAACATTTAAATGAATAACTAACAGGTTCTTTTTAAATCTGAGAAATACAATGAATAATTCCAGTGATGACTCTGCATTTTAAGGGTTATCTAAAAGACAAAATTCTTTTAAATATGCACATAAAAATGTTCAGTACTCGGGAAATGCTAGTCCTTTGTTAACACCATTTTTAAACTTCTAAAATGAAATATTTATGCTCTAAAACCAATACAGAGAAATTGAGTATGGCATCATTAACACATTTCCTCCCTACATAGTCACATAACACATACTCTGTGTTTGCTGAAGAACACCTTAGGGGAAAAGACTAAATTTCCTACTCCTCCATAAGTCAAAGAAGGTCTTCCCTCTATAGTTTTGTAGAATTTGCAATCTCTAATTCATAAATCTGAGAATAGTTCTGATTGTTCCTTTTATGAACTTGCCCCAGAGATCATTTCTAAAATGTTCAATTATTAATGAGATCCACAGGGTCCACAAAATAATGGCTTACAGTTGAGCCAAATGTTTTGCCAGTGTTAGAATAAACATCGTCACAGTTCTCCGAGGCACTTTGGTTACATTGAGAAAGGCTGGAGAACAAGACCACAAGTAACTTCTAAAACCTGAACTCTTTTGGTGGAGTCTACCCATATTCAATTCCTTTAGCTGTTCATTCATTCACAAAGAACTTATTGAACAGTTACTGCACACCAGATGCTCTTGTAGGTACTGATGAATTAGAGATAGAGTGGTGAACAAGTCAGACTAAAAAATTAAGTTGCATGTATAAATCTTCTAGCCTGGCACAGTGGCTTACACTTGTAATCCCAGCACTTTGGGAGGCCACAGTGGTAAGATCACTTGAAGCCAGGATTTTGAGACCGGCTTGGGCAACAAAGCAAAACCCCCAACTCTGCTAAAAAATTTTTTTAAAGCCAGGTGTGGTGGCATGTGCCTGCAGTCTCAGCTACTCAGGAGGCTGAGGTAGGAAGATCACTTAGGTCCAGGAATTTGAGGCTGCAGTGAGCCAGTGTACTCCAGCCTAGTCAACGGAGTGAGATACTTTCTCTTAATAAAACAAAAAGCCCCAAAAACGTCTCTATAAAAAAATACCATAGGCAAAGTAATATAAATTTGTAAAAATACTAGAAAAAAATGTGTAACTCCTTTTGCAGAGGGGTTAATCTTCCAGCTACATAAAGAATACATAGAAAATTAGGAGAAAAAGACACCAGCCCTTAGAATAATTGGCAAGAGCTTCACCAAATTCAGTAAGATAAATTATGTCGAAGTATCTATGGCTTCTTGGGATAGAATAGGGCCCTATAATGAGAATAAATACCAATTTTGGCCAAAATAAAGGAAAATGAATGTTCTGTATAAATCAATTCGGTGCCCTGGCTGAAATTCTAGATATGGATGAAAATTGTGAATAAACTGTGCTTTTATGAAAATTATGGTTTTGGAGAAAAAAGAAAAAAATGTTTTTAATAGGAAAAGTTGAGCAAACTGACCCCATCTCAGGGCACCCCTGTGACCAAACAGAACTCTGAAGTGGGACATTTTATATGCAAAATCTGGGGAAATCATCCAACTTCTTAAATAATGCTTTCCTCCCAGACTTAGAAAAATATTTGGTGGACCCACAGAAAGCATTGCTTTTGTTTTAACTTTTTTTTTTTGAGCAAGAGTCTCACTCTGTCACCCAGGCTAGAGTGCAATGGCACGATCTTGGCTCATCACAGCAACTCCGCCTCCTGGGTTCAAGCATTTCTCCTGCCTCAGCCTCCCGAGTAGCTGGGACTACAGGCATCTGCCACCACACCCAGCTAATTATTGTATTTTTAGTAGAGACGGGGTTTCACTGTATTGGCCAGGCTGGTCTCAAACTCCTGACCTTGTGATCTGCCTGCCTCAGCCTCCCAAAGTGCTAGGATTACAGATGTGAGCCACCATGCCCAGCAACTTTTATATAACCAAAATTGCAGAACGAAGTGGTTTGGGGACTAGATTAACTCTTGGAGGGAGGGAGGGTAAGCTGGGAAGGGACAGTGGCAATGACTCTAGAAGCCTGAATTATCTGAACATGTACACATAACTGATTTCTTTTTGTGCTTAAAGTTTTCCTATTGCATTAAGAAAAAAAATTTTTTGTTTTCTGCCTGGCTATGTAGGCAGGTATAGGTGAGTTGTGTCAGCAAGAAAGTTCTAATCCAAAGAGTTTAGTGTTTAGTTAGGTGCTAACAGCACACTATCCACCGGTAGTATTTAGTTGTCCTTGGTAGGATTTTGGCCAGAGGAATTTTTCCTGGGGTGATTCTTGGAGGAAGAGTTTAGTGTGTCATAAATGTATTAAGGAGATGCTGCTATTCTGTCACACAGTGGTTGTTTGTGTGAGGCATTTATGGAACACTCCAATGTGTCAGGTAGTGAGCTGAAGGCTTGATATGAATATTTCATGTGGAATAAGTGAATGAATACATGATATGAATATCCTCACTTATTCCCTTTAAAAGCCTATGAGTGAATTGCAACTATCATGGGAATTTTATAGATCGGTGGATTGAGAATCTAAGAGCTAGAGCAGCTTAACCACAAAGTATGAACGGAAGAGAACTTGTACTGAAGTCTAACTCCAGAAACCAAACTTGTAGCCCCACTTCTCAACCCAAAAGAGAGTGTACAATGATAAATAACCTTATTATGTGATTTCACAGTGGCTTATCCTTCAGAGGACATAAGACTAAATAGTGCATAGGAATTATTATTGATTTCTGTGACAATTAACTCATATAATTTCACTCAGTCTATCACAGGCCCATAAATGGATTAAATAATATTACGTGCATCACTCTTCTGAGGGTCTTCTTCAATTTTTCAGTACCTATTCCAATAAAATAATGTTGATATGCTAAGCAAAATAAAAAAGACTATGCAATGTTTTGCTTATATCCCCAAATGTGAAGCTTTCAGACATTAGGAAGTATGCTTGGGAATACAAAGCAGGTGATGGGGAAAGAAGTCAGCTCTTGCACAAAGTTTGTAGGTTCATTTAAAGATTATGTTCTCTATTCTGTTAACATGGAAGGCTGTGCAAATTTTTTTTTTTTTGAAAAAAGAAATAAAACATGTTTGCATTTGTATGACATCACTCTGGCAGGGGCAGGGAGTCTAGATGAGAAGAGGAGGGCAAGACTGGGGAAGGAGTGAAAGGTAAAAGGATCATTATAGCTGCACAAGTAAGAGATGGCCACATCTAAGAATTTGATTATGACGGTGAAAACAGAGAAATGAGTAATCATTTGGCTAATATGTAAATTAAAAATTTTCAGAATTGATGATGAATTTTGAGGGGTGGTCTCAAAGATGCCTTGCAGGTTTCTGCCTCTTGCAAATGCACGATTGGAGATTTCATTTCCTAGAATGGTTGATATTCAAAGAAGTCCCAAGGTTTGGGGGAAGAGCATGAGTTGGGTTAGGATACGTTGAGTTTAATGATCCTTAAAAACACCTAAGTAAAATGTGGGCTCTGCAGCTATGTGGTCGGTAGATTAGAGATGAATTCTAGGCTGTAGCTAAATTGGGAAATTAATCAGCAACAGATGGTAACTGAAGCCACTGGGAAATGTCATTTGAAAGACAAACAAAAAGAATTTTCCTGTTTAAGCACTGAAACACAATCCTTCATCAGCTGCAACATTTGAATGAGTGAACTAAGACTCCAACTGACCATTTATGGGACAACATATTTCCAAATTCTTCACTGGACATCATCACTTAGCTTTAAAAAAGTCTTTAAGTCTTTTCTGAAAGTGCTTAAGATCTTAAAGTTCCAAACAAAGAATGAATCATTCTCTTTTCATCCTCACACTAAGTTAACTAGAAAGTTAACATATTTCTCTCTGTATATAGAAAATAATCTCTCAGAATTTGGTCTCTAGAGGCCAAATTCATAAGGATAAAAGTCCTATCACTAGAACAGCAAGAGGGGATTCGTAAAGTCCAACTATAGAAGGCTACAGTGAGTTGTCCTCCAAACCTGGCAGTAAGGTTGTTCTCCCTGAGTTAAAATTGTAGTGGATGGAATTAACATTTACGGAAATCTTATAAAGGGGAGGTCAAAAGCAGGAAGGCAGGATGGGGGTATTAATCAAGGGCTGACTATATATAAAAGAGAGCTGTGTCTTAATGAATGTTATTAACATATCTGAACTAAGACTATTAGTTGAATAGGTTTCACCCTGGCATCTAGAGAAAGGGAATTTAAAGATTAACTTCACATAGAATTCTTTTTCTCTCTGATAAATATAGGGGAGAAAACCACACCACTACATGATCTTACTTTTGAATGTGCCATTCGTTGCTGTCTATGACAACCAGAGAAAAAAGGGTCCATTCAGTAAATCATGTATTTTTTAATATTTTACAAATATATCATTTAAAAGTCTCAATAATTACAAAAATGTAAGCACCTCCAGCTTCTAAATGTAGGGAAACAAACAAAAAGCTGCAACTCAGTGAGATTTCTAAAATTCTACTCTGTGTTTTTTCAATATTTTCAGATATTAATTTTCAGTTTTTAAATTGACCTCTTAAAGGTATATTCAGTGATTTGAGGAAGAAATGCCAAACAGAGACTGCATTTGGCGTGTATTTTTTTTTTCCAATGGCATTTGCCGTTAGCACTGAGGAAGAAAAAAGTTTTCTCTAAGTAAGAATTATTAAAATTTTGGGCCGGGCATGGTGGCTTATGCCTGTAATCCCAGCACTTTGGGAAGCCGAGGCGGGCAGATCACCTGAGGTCAGGAGTTCGAGACCAGCCTCAACATGGAGAAACCCCGTCTCTACTAAAAATACAAAATTAGCCAGGCGTGGTGGTGCATGCCTGTAATCCCAGCTACTCAGGAGGCTGAGGGAGGAGAATTGCTTGAACCTGGGAGGCGGAGGTTGCAGAGAGCAGAGATCGCGCCACTGCACTCCAGCCTGGGCAACAAGAGCAAAATTCCATCTCAAAAAAAAAAAAAAAAAAAAAACTATTAAAATTTTGACTTTGCAGACATTAAAAAATTTTTTAGACCATCTGATTTTCTATGAGATCTTAATCTCCAAATTGTTTGAATTTACCATGGTCAAAGCTAGTTAAAAAAATTAGTAAACACCTACATTTTATGACAAATTGAGACATTCCAATCTGAAATACAGCGGTTGTCTAAGTGATGTTGTTAATATCACTGCTTTCATTTCCTAAACCAGCAAGTGATTTTTTTTCCCCTTGGGCATATATTAACAATTTACTTTTTGTAGACAAGTGCACAAATATGATTAGCTTTTGCAAATTGCTCCTTATTCTGTTACTGGTAAGTAATTTTTATATTATTACACCGTAAACAGATGCTATTTTCCACTACATATTCAGCTGTAATTAGCTAATTTAATGTGTTAAAACAACAAAAGAACTTCAAGAATGATTCAATGATTCAAGCTGCATGGAAACTAAGAGAAATCAAGCATGAAGTTTGTAAAAGTATTCCAAAATTTAGTTTTTGATAAGGAATTGTAGAGTGCCTGTTCCTTAAAGTTGTTTATCTGTAGTTGTGTTTTCACCTTTGCAGGGCTGGTCCTGCACACAAACTTCCAAGCAGAAGGGCTACACAGGTGCCTCTGCTCATTGCTCTTCCATTTCCTAAAACTTGAGCTATTAGTTCAAGTATCACTCCTCTGCATTGAAGACTAGTTTTGTTTATATATTTGTTCATTTCAATATTGATACATGCGGCAATGTTTCTGCCTGTGACATAGCAATATATCTATATATACATTATTGCAAAAGTGGTGCAAGAAGAGGAGATGTAGAACATGCAGCCATGGAGATAGGATAAAAACTCAAAAAAATCTAGTGTCATGGAAGCAAGAGTGATAAGAGCTTCTGAAAGGGAATGCCTATCACTATTGACTGCTGCTGCTATAACAGATAGGAGGGTGTAGAAGTGTCCGTTAGATTTCGCAACATGTATATTATTGGTAACTGTCATACAAGACAGGACAATTTAATGCTAATTCATTCACTGGAACAATAGATTTTGAAAACAATAGATTTTGGAAAGGAAATAAAGGATCTGAATGCTTGGTCATGAATTAGCTAATTGGAATGGCTTCCAGAAGCAAACTTCACCCATCTGACGCGATCGTTCTTAACTGAGCACTATTATCTTATTTAGTACTACTAATAGGTATTTCCATATTATAAGTGAGTATCTGGAAACAGATCTGCATTTGATTCTATCATTTAGAAAAGCACAAAGATGAGGTAATATCTTTAATAGCATTAATAAGTTATCTTAAATACTTTCACTCTTTTCAAAAAAAAAATCCATGATGTAGAAAATCTTAAAAGTACAAATAAGGAAAAGGTGTAATATAAAGTAACTTATAAACTAGTTATCCAGTGTTAATTCTTTCAGACTTTCAGGGATATATTTTTCTATCAGTAGGTACATAGTAGGTGCTCAGTATCTATTTGTTGAATGATAATTACATATTATTATACAAAAAAAATGAATCACACTGTGCATACTGTTACAGTAACCACTGTCTTCAACATTTCTTCATTTGACGAAGATTTCTTGGTTTACATCCTCATGATGGTTGGCATTCTTAGGGAGAAGTGCTATACCTTCGTACAGTCAGAAACAAGCTATAAACATGAAGGTGCAGTTCTCAACTAGGCCCCGAACTTTATTTATATACCCAACATAATTCATTTCACCTCCAGTATGAATTTTTTTCTACTCCTAAAATATTAATAGAAAGGTTATAGAAAAGGTTATCATCAAATTACTGAATAGAATGATTTATTGGTTATCTTTAAAATAAATCGTTAAAGACTACAGAGGAGTCAAATCTTAATTATCCATAGAAATATCATTAACTTCAGGCTTTCCTCCACAGATTAGTATTTTAAGATTGACTTTCCTCTGGTCTTCAGTAGCCCTAGTGTCTGTAATGGCCATGACTTGCTAAATCACCAAAACCTCATGGAGCAGAATGGCCTGAAAACCAGAATGCTCACTGCAGAAAAACTATGTTAAAAAAAAAAACTATTTCTTCTAAGCCTCTCTAGCTTAGGGCATATTTGTCATCGCAGCTTTGTGTTAACATAACTAATACAAATCATTTTCATGGATTTTTACGTGAGCACTAAGAGCGTAAAGATATCCTAATAATGGCTTCCAAAAATTCCAAAGAATATATTTTATGTATTATTTAAATGACTTTATGTAAACTTCATACTTTTCCTCCAAGTTGGATTTTATTTTGCCCATTTCAAAGATGAGGAAACTAAGGAACACAGTGTTTAAATAACTTCCCAAGGTCCACAAGTAGTAAACGACAGAGGCGAGATTTGAAACCAGGTCTCCCTGTCTCCAAAGTTCATTGCACCATGAAGAATTTCTCAAATATTTCTGTCTTAAATGCAGATATTCTTCAGCTTGAAAAATAGATCCAGAAAGGGGAGAGAGAATGAAATAGAAGTATTTTTCTGACAGAGTATAATTCCCACTTTCTTCTTTTACACCAGAAACTAAATAGAAAAAAAAATGTAAAATATGCTAGCTAGTTCGTGGGGTGCAATCTCAGGGGCATATAAAAGAAATGCGTTTCTTCTTCTGTGACACACAGCCAGACTACACTTCTCTCAGAGTTCACTGGCTACTTGACTGAGTGATAGAAATAAGTGCCAGTGAACAGGATCTGCAACATGTCCAGCCCTGATGCACTAAAAATTCCTAAGTGTAGATTTCCTGGCTCTTTCCTTTCTGCCTGCTTGATGCAGACAAATGCAGCAATCTTGGAAGCTACCCATTAAATATATTAAAACAATATGATGGAAGGTACTGGATTCCTGAATTGCCACATGAAAGAGGTGTGGTGGATCAAATGGATCATAACATTTGATTCAATGGATCAAAAACTCTTATTTTGGATATTACATGAGCAAAACTTAAGTATCTAATTTGTTAGAGCCACTATGCATCTTTTGATTGATGTATACAGCAGCCAGAGTTACATGAAACTAACAAATACATCTACTTACTATTATGCTCTAATCCTGGAGAAACAGAGTACTCAGCCAAAGTAAAGAAGAGAGAGTTCATGAGCATATGGAAACAATGAAGTCTGTAAGATTTCATTTTAGCTAATCTTTGTCTAAATGAAGCATCAAAGTGCTCTGAAAATCTACAAGTTCTATGGCCTTAAGAAAAAGAAGAATATAACATATATTTTTGGAGGCCTCTTTTGAGTATTTCTTTAGAAAGACTAGAGTAAAGTAATACCTAGAAGATGTGCTGAACCTCAGATTTGGACTAAACAAAATCACTTTTTCCATTTTTTTTGTGTGTGTGTGGATAAACCCAAATCACTTTTTCCATATTTTTTTTGTCAGTTCTTACTAAGTCAATATTTACTTTGTATGGTTGGCATAACTAGTTTCTCAAATGTTCCACCTGAAACTAGAGATAGAATATGACTGTGGGGTTTTCTTACCATTGCAGGAAAGCCAGGTAACGTCTTTGTGCCACAGTGCAATCGAATTTTGGTTTCTGATATTCCTCTTTGACTTTGACCGAATAAATAAAAAGACCCTGTGACTTCCTAAGGAGACTTGCAAATGATTGATGAAAACTCTCCAAGATCTTAATATAATGTATGTCAAAAATAAAAACTACTTTTATTTCAGGAACCCTTCAAGTGTACAGCTTTTTCATCCTTCTTCATTTTTCCTGGCTGTCCTTTCTCATCATAATTTAGAAAGATTTTTTTAAAAATTCACTTCTGCCTTTACTTTCAGGAGACCCAAAGATGATCTTGTGATTATTTTTTTTCCATCTTACGTAAATTTTATCTATGGATCTTAAGTCCCTTTGGCAAACATTCAAGATGAGAAACATTGCCTTGCAGTAGGTATGTAAAGGTAAAGATAGCATAACTCTTCATTAAAATCTTAACACAACCTAGAATATCACAAACCACAGGTCTAGGAGCTGAGCATTAGTCATTAAGTCTTATTCTAGGTAAAACGGAATGAAACTAAGTTTGTATTTACTGGTCCTGAGTTTAAATTTTGGCTTTCCTTTCTATGGATTATGTGACCTTGACCAAGTTACTTTTCTCCATATCTCAGTTTCTTCATTTGAAAAATTATTGCAGAAAAAGTGATATGGTTTTAATGTGTGTTCCCAACAAATCTCATGTTGAAATGTGATCCCCAGTGTTAGAGGTGGCACTTAGTGGGAGGTGTTTGGGTCATGGGGGGGGTGAACCCTCATGATTGACTTAGTGCCATCCCCTTGGTGAGGGTGACTTATTACTCTATTAGTTCATGCAAGAGCTGGTTGTTTAAAGGAGGCTGGCACCTCCTCCTCTCTCTCACTTCCTCTCTTGCCATGTGACATGCCCACTCCCCCTTCACCTTTCACCATGACTGCAAACTTCCTGAGCCCCTCGCCAGAAACAAATACTGGCACTATGCTTTATGTACAGTCCTCAGAACTGTAAGCTAAAATAAATGTCTTTTCTTTATAAATTATCCAGCCTCAGGTATTTCTTCACAGCAATGCAAAATGGAGTAACACAACAAGCTCTTCTTTGCTTTGTGAGAATCAAATTAGAGAAGCACAATTTCAGTGCCTTGAGCAAAGTCTACATTTTAGGGAGAAGTACTGGAGTCTCCATCCTGGGTCTTTGATTTACTTACTATATCACATTAGAACATTTTTGTAGAAGGAATAACTTTTCTTTACCAAACTCCCAGATTCATGCTCTTTGGGAGACCTTAACTACTTGCCTCCAATCAGCTTTGGATTAAGCTAATGGGAGGAGAAAATACTAGTAATCTTAGGAAGGTAGGAAGAAACATACTAAGGGTGTTTTCATGATAACTTACAAGAGTTATGTTAAAAGAGACCCTCAGCATGATCAAACAAGTTTTTTTTCGTTGATGTGTCATTCTAAGGAAACTGAGGTTCGAAGTCCTCACTCCAGAGACTACAGGATGCAAAATCTAACAGTACCCATCACTGCTCTATGTCCATCTAAAGGAAAAGAAGAAGGAAGAGAGCACCACCTCTGAGAGAAGCGCAAAGGGAACAATGTCCTGGGGTGTTAGGAGACCAAGAGAATAGCAGAAAAAACAATCCGTGTTTATTTATGCACTTGTTCTTACATCAAATGTTGTTACAATCCATACCATGTTTAAACACTGTGTTAAATCCTAGCGCTGCAGTGGCTAAGAAACCAAAAGAAAAAAAAATTGACCTGAGACCCACACTTGCCAACCACAAGAGTTAAAGAAAACGGTGAATTTTAAAACATTAAGTTCATAATACATGATAGCTATAGATATTACTGCCCAGGAATCTGTTAATGTGATGATACATAGAGCAATCTTGGTACAGATTATGATACTTTTAGGGAATTTCTACACTGTTGCTTAATGCTTTTTTAAAAAAAGGCAAATTAAAACAATGAGATATTATTGTGCACCTATCAGAATGGTCAAAATTCAGAACACTGGCAACATGAAATGCTGGCAAGGATGTGGAGAAACAGGAACTCTCATTCATTGTTGGTAGAAATGTAAAATGCAACAGCCACATTGGAAGACAGTTTGTCAATTTCTTACAAAACTAAACATACTCTTACCGTATAAGGCAGCAATCATGCTCTCTGACATTTACTCAACGAGGTACAAACTTATGTCCAAGAGTAAAAACCCTGCATATATAAATTTATAGCAGCTTTATTCACATGTGCCAAAAATGAGAAACAACCAAGTTGTCCTTCAGTATTTGAATAGAGAAACAAACTGTTACATCCAGCTAATGTAACATTATTCAATGCTAAAAAGTAATGAGCCATCAAGCCATTAAAAGTCATAGATGCATATTACTAAGTCGAAGAAGCCAATCTGAGAAAGCTACATACTGTATGAGTCCAACTTCATGACATTCTGGAAAAGACAAAACTATGAAGATAGTAAAAAGATTACACGTTGCCAAGGGTTAGAGTGGAAGAAAAGATAAAAAGGTGGAACACAGAGAACGTCTAAGGCAATGAAGCTATTCTGTATAATATGGTAACAAATATTATTCTAAATCTGCTCAAACCCATAGAATATACGACACCAATTACGAACCCTAAAGTTAATTGCAGACGTTGGTAATAATGATGTGTCAGTGTAGGTAAATCAATTGAAACAAATGTACCATTCTAGAGGGGAATATTGATAATGGGTAAAGCTACACAGATCTGGGCACAAGGTAAATGGGAAATCTCTGTACCTTCTGCTTAATACTACTGTGAGCTTCAAACTGCTCTAAAAATAAAGTCGGGAGAGAGAAAGAGAGAGAGAGAGAGCAAGCACCAGTCATGGGAGATAATGCACCTCCTTCGGATGTGGTTAGGTCTGCCTGTGATGTCAAGGGCTGCTGCAATCATCTTTCACCCACGAGGGAAGGTTTAGAATTAGGGGAGGAAGAGCAAAAAGATGGGGAGCATTTTGGTCCTTGGTGAGATCATGAGCTGGTGAATTAACCCTGAAACCATCTTACCTTTGGACTTCTTCATTGTTACATAATAAACCCTTATTATTTATGCAACAAAATAGCATTGTAATATATCAGTGTGGGGGAGGGAAGGTACCTGAAAAGATGAATGTGGCCAGGAGAATACAGAGTGATGAATTATATAAATCGCAAACATTTGGTTTATTCAATATCACAATTAGCTGAATATGGATTTCTGATAATTAGATTTCAAGATATTCTTTGAGAATGGAACATTTTAGTTTCCTTCTGGTTGTCTCCAACGTAAATTTCAAAGCCTTATGAAAAATAATTAAAAAGAAAACCATCTGTACCCCATAATTGAAATAAATGCAGGCAGCATTTGTACAAAAGTGTACATATTTCACTTGTCCATAATATAATATGCTGAATAATATTTCCAAAAAAAAAAAAACAGATCTAGTAACTTTTAGGATTATATTCTGTTTCATGTTTTTGTTTATCTCTCACCAATTCATTTTAGCATATATAGAGTTCATTCAGCACTTACTAAATGCCTATGATGGCCAAATGCTATTCTAGGTACTGTTGTATTTAAGAAACACACTTAAGGTAGTAAATCAAAGCATTTTACAAAGACAAATAGCTTCTAAAACTCATCATCTGGCACTCCAAAATATCACTTGCCTCTGATTTTAGACAGTTCATGCAACTGCTTCACACAGGTCCAGAAATCTGAGGGTTAAAGATCTTGTAATTCAAACCCTGGGTGTGTATTCTATGAAGATGGATATATAATCACTGCCATAAATTGACAAGTTATGCATAAAGCTACAGTGACAAACAAGGCCACAAGCCATCACAGGTCCCTGAAATTACTGATGTACTACCAAACAACGAGTGAGTGAAAGAGCAGGTGGCCCTCGCTTTGTAGGCTGCAGCTCTAAATCTTCCCAATGGACTGGGAAATAAGCACTTCACCATTTAACATGAGCAGAGGAAGTCACTTCATCATTGGCCCGTCGAATGAACTGCTGACACAAGAAACGTTTCCCCACTTAGAAAACCACAAGTACTAAGTGATTGCTTCACATTTGGAAAATGCCTTTTATTTTTATTTTTATTTTTGCCCATACTAACTTTCTTATTTGAAAATAAAGGCCAATTCTCTTTGAGAAACTTTTGGTGCACTCAGTATTTGAACTCTAGCAATGTTCCATTAATCCTATAGAACGAAAACCTTTGGTGAATGTCGATGGCATATACATTTAATATATAACTATAGCTGTGCATTTATCATCCATCTATATGACTCAAAATGCCAGCTGTTAGATACCTGAACAGCAATTCAATAGATACCATTTATGAAAAATATTAGGTCAAGCCTGCATTTATTACACAAGATCTTGTGGCTTAGGATTAGAAAGGAAGAGACAGAAAACCTGAAATCAACCTGTCAGTTACAAAGTAAAATCATAAATTGCTCCTAGAATTAATTTATACCATCTATCTATATTTTTAAAAGACTATTTGATGGACATCCATGTTCAAATCCCTACTGTAAGGCAGAGTTAAATTAACCAAAAGGAGAGACTATATTGGCAGAGCCCAGTTAACATTCAATTATATTACTGAAGACAAAAGAGAAATATCAGACCTCTAGCAATCTTTGCCATAGTCACCTAATTTGTGTTTTAGAAAGATGGTAAGTATGAACAATTTTTCTATTTTGATGCCAATATCAAATATGAAGAGGAAAGAAAATTAACACTGAATACTTACTGTGAATCTGCTGCTTTGCTTACAATACCCTTCTTTAATCTTTAGAGCCAGCTTATATGGCAGTATAATCATCTTCATTATACAAGAATTTGAGACTCACAGAAGTTAAAAAAAAAAACTTACTCAAAAATCACACATCTAATAAGTGTTAAGACTAGAATTAGCCTAATCCAAGTCCTTTATCTTTCCATTTCACAAAGCTGGAGCAAATAGTAACCTGGAAAAGAACTCCTTTCTCATCTGAACTTGCATTGTAGACTAGGTGCAAAACTGAAACATTCATCACTATGATTTACCAAGTGAAAACCCATAGATTTGAACAGATTGTTCCATCGACACTCTAAGACGTCTACTGTAGCTGACTTAATATAATCGCCACCACACACACACACCCCAAATACTCAACCAAAGGTGGTTCAGTTCTTCAAACACAAAAAAATTGGAACTAAACTGAACTTTCATCAGTGGCAAATCACTTCCAAGCTGACCGGAAAAGAAGAGAGCTGGAGTAGTGCTTTTACCCATGCTGCTAACTCGGATAAGCACAGCTGGGCTGAGGAGACCTCTTTTCCTAAATTCTGTTGCCAAGCTGAATTTTATGATCTTCACTGGCAGCTGATCAAATGCAAACTCTTAACTTACAGCCAAGTTATCTTACAGCAGCTGTTGGAAAGAAATCATTTAGAATGCAAATCTAGTCCTTAATCTATGGGAAAACTGTTGCCAGTGATGGATGGGTTTTGAGGCAACGGTTCATGAAAGACACCCTGATGTCCTCTGGTATTGTGGAGTAAGAAATATTTAGCTGCCATTTGTGTTTGTTTTCTTTTGAGCAATTGTCCTTATAGGGGTTATTGGAAGTCTATGGAAAGAAAGTCCAGGTGTTTAAAATCTGTCTCAACTCTCTTTTCTACATAAGTAAAACTGAGATCACAAGAAATACTATAGTAAGTTTCAGATGATGTTCTCTTAGTATGTAGGACTTCACTAACTATAGGCTAAATCATCTAAAGAACACAGCAACAGGAATATAATATCTTCTTAGCATTTAGGACTGTACTAACTGTAGGCTAAATCATCTAAAGAACATAACAACAATATAACAACTTACCTAGAATTCTTTGTGATGCCAAGGAAGTAGCAATGTCAGTACCTATCACTGATCCTGCTTCTAAAGAATCATGTTACTCTAGGTATGAATGATCAATTAAAGTTGATAAAGCCTTTTTCTTTTTCCTTTTTATTCATCTAACTGCCAGCTAATGGTGCCCTTCTAGCACACCTAATACATAAAAAATTCACTGATTCTTTCAGTACCTTTGATCCTCCTCTCTTTAGCTGAATGAAGTCTTAGAAAATACTCAGTCCTGGTTATTAGGAAGTTGCTTACTGAAGAAACTGGGTTTTCAGCAACATCTACAAAGATCACATCGCATGGCAACTGCCAGAGTTAAAGCAACAGAAAAATGTACATCTCTATCTGCTCCTGTTTTGTTAGGCATAGAGAATGATTATCATGAAACTTCAAACCAATCTGAAGAATTATCAGAATAAGAATAAGAGGAAATTGCTCTCATGAGTAAAAGATTAGAAAAAGGAAAATATATCCACTTAGCAATTTTTTTTTTCATTCAGCTTGGCTCTTTGGGTAAAGCCGATGAATTTGTCTAGATAATTTAGCTTTGAATATCAGTCTAGAAGCTCTCTTAAACCATGTCACAGATCTAACTAGCCACTTTTACATGTGCCCACTGTTTCACATGAGCTAACCTCCACAAAGGGAAAAACAAAAAGGTATGTCTAGCCACACTTATTTCTAGGTCTTGCTTTCCTCTGATACCATCCCATCGCTAGTCACCCTGAGTTTTCTTAAATACACAACTGCCTATACGACTAATTTGCATGAGTCTGTGGTAGACAGAGTGGGGCTTTAACTGGGATGAAGAAAATATCCTGGATTCCCCACAATCATAACAAGAAGATGGAGCTGGATCTATTATGTTTAATAAATATTCCCCTATATTTTACAAGGTTAGGCACTGCCAAAGCCTTTGATTATCCAAAACTTTCTTAATGATTAAACAGTAACAACTTATTTGGAAAAAAAGTATATGTCTCTTTCGTTTTACTATTTCCCTAGCTGACAATTGGGAATTTATCACCAGGTATTCATCTTATTTGTTGATGAAGTAGGTAATGGAGGACTCTAGCAATATGCTTAGTGCTAAGATAGTAAGAAAAGCCTGGATCCACTATAAAACTAATGTCCATGACCAGAAAAAGTATTATGATGTCAGAAAATGGAGTAAGTTCACAGGAAGAAGACCACATTCCTTTACCAAGAATGAATTGGGGCAAAGATAGCTTCTCCCATTTCTCCTAATGTTGTCTCCATTTATTGTCATGGTGTGTAGGCTTCTATGGTTTGAGTTGGAAAGAGGAGGAAGCCCAGTTTGGGGAGGGCTGAAATATTTTAGAGCTTAAATAAAAGAAGGCTTGGATGTATATAACTGGCAAGCATCATGATATTTATTTGGTCATTAATTTATGCATTTAATTAGTATTTATTAAGCACTATATATGAAGCAATACTCTAATACTTAGATAAAACAGTGAACCAAACAGGCAAAAATTTTTGCCCTTATAGAGCTTACCTTCTAATTGGAGTTGGGCAATATACATAATAAATAATTATGTAGAATATTAAAACGCAATTAGTGCTTAGGAGAAAAACCATCAGGTAAGGAAAGTGGGGATGATGGGGTCTGAATCTTAAATACAGTGGCCAGAGTAAGCATCAAGAGATGACGACACTTGAGTATAGCTTGAAGAAGCAAAGCACGCAGAAATCGGAGGGAAGAGTATTCCAGACAGAGAGAAGAGTCACTGCAAAGGCTGAGAGGAAAGAGTGAGCCTGGTGCACTCAAGGTATAGTAACGACAGAGTCATGACTACAGTAAGGTTAATGTAGCACTTGTCAAGGAAGCAAAATTTCAGGGACACTAAAAAACTAAGTAATCAAGATGAATAACATTTTAATGTTATAGCTTAAAAAATTAAAATCAATGCAAAACAGAAATTCATGGTGAACAAAATATCAACTTTTTTTTTTTTTTTTTTTTTTTTATGAGATGGAGTCTCGCTGTGTCACCCACGCTGGAGTGCAGTGGCGTGATCTCAGCTCACTGCAACCTCCGCCTCCTGGGTCCAAGCGATTCTCCTGCCTCAGCCTCCCAAGTAGCTGGGATTACAGGTGCCTGCCACCACACCTGGCTATTTTTTGTATTTTTAGTAGAGACGGGGTTTTATCATGTTGGCCAGGCTGGTCTTGAACTCTTGACCTCAGGTGATTCACCTGCCTCGGGTTACAGGCATCTGTAATCACCTGCTGGGATTACAGGTGTGAGCCACCACGCCCGGCCCAACATTTTTTAAAAAGACACGATGTGACCCTGTGCTAGTACAACCCTGTCTTACTCACCTGATTATAATAAAATTTTCTTTACGAAAGCAGGCAGCTAGCTCATGGGCCACAGCTTGCTAATTTTATCATTTAAATATTTATTAAAATATTATTTGTCTAGATTACTGAGTTTTTCTAGAACCCTCTTAAATTTCACACCCAAGATCAGTGCCTCACATAGTCTTGGACCTGGCCAGGAGGCCAGTGAGGCCGAAAAGGAGTGAGTGAGGTGGGCAGTGGGAGAGGATGAAGCACAAAAGTCTCCCAGAGGCCATGTTTCATAGAGCTGCGTGGCCTATGAAATCTAAGGATTTTGCCTTTTAATCTAAGTGAAATGCAGCACCATTAGAAGATTTTCAACAGAAAAGCCACCTGCTCTTGGCTTATATTTTTAAAATGATGAACACAGGGAGTAGAAGCAGGGAGAATGATTAAGAATTTTACAATAATACAGATGAGAGACAATGGTGGCTTGGACCAAAGGGGTGGCATGAAGATGGTGAGAAGCAGTCAGATTCTGGATATATTTTGGAGGTATATGTAACATTCTGTAAGATTGAATCTAGTGTGTGAAATAGGAGTAAGAATGACTCCAATATGTTTAGCCAGTGGAACCAGAGGGATGGAGTTGCCATCATAAGAGGAATGTTCTCTGGTTTTGGAGGACTGAGATGCGGCCTTTGGTTTTGGAAGTTTTAGGTATGAGGAATCTATTAGGTAAACAAGTGCAGATATTGAGTGAGCAGGCAAATATCTGAGTATGGAGTTGAGGGAGAGAATCAGCTGGAGATACAAATATGGGGGTCATCTGGAAGTCTGTATTGATAACTTACTCCCTTCCCTCCATTTCCAGATACAGAAACATTTCTTCTGTGAAGCAGAATTGGAAACCCTTTTGAGAGAATATATCTCTCTTCATGAGATAGGATAGGTTGTGTGATATGTTAACTTTCACTCTTTTACACTCTTCAGTGACCTAGGAGTTTGTTTAAAAACCAAAGAAACTTGGTTCTGTACATAAAATAACTTCAGTGGAATCTCTGCTTCCACTGAGGTTTTAATTCTTGGCATTTTTTATTTTAAAGATTAGCAACTTGTTTCAAGTTAGAGGAGATGGCAGGGTCAAAATTTTAGAAACTGGATCCCACCACCACTGTGTTACTTCCTAAACCTGCATCAAATGTTCTGCCAACATGTAATGTGCCAATAGAATTATACGGTGTGAACTGCATATCTCAGTATCTCCACAGGGAAAAAACTGTGGTTGGGGCATGGAGGGGGGAAAGGGAAACTCTTCTTTAAGTTATTTATGTAAACTAAAGATTTATCATTTCATATTACACTGTCTACAATAAGTACATAAATACATTTTTCAGCCAATCTGAGTGTTTTATAAATATACAAATATTGCCACTTATGTTGGGGTGATTCAAAGTCAAGCATTAGCTCATACACTGTGGCTAAAGTTTAAAAGTTCTGTTTCATGTATAAAAAACCATACTGTGGGCTAAAATGACAAGTTCCTTGTGGTAAACCATTTGACTAGTCTCTCTGGTCTGAGAAGAGATGAACTAGTTTTCAGCTAATACGGAACAAAGGGAGTGGGTGCAGCAAAATATTCAAGTTAATTTTTAAACCTGCATAATAATAATGCAACCCTTGACAAACCTGATCAACTCCTATCCCAGGAAGATTCAAGACCACAGAGACATCAGTGAGCCAGTCTGAATGTTTAGTTCAGCTTTTCAAAACACTGAATGCCTATTCAGTGCTGTGTGGCTTCTACATTTCTACATAGATCACTTTCTCATTAATTGATGCCATTTTGCCCTGGTTTTGTTTCACGGATTAAATTAAGAACCAATAATATCTAAATGCTGGTATCAAATAAAAACACAGAACTCTCTGTTGGCCTATTTCAATCAAAAATAGATATATATCACTGTCATAGGCAGTTCAACCATAAAAGAAATTTTAATTTTTGTAATTAGGCCTTTTAATAGAAGGACATGACTTCTAATTAAATCCACATTATTCAGTAATTTCATATGTTAGTTTGTTTTCTTTATGCTTTGTACTCTAAATGTTAAAATGATTCTCTAAATTATTGTTTCAGATTTTATAAAGTGATAAAAATACAACAAAATACAAGAAAGAGAAAAATAGTTTCTTTATGGAATACACAAAGAATATATTAAATGTTTTTAAAAATCATATATTTATTTTAAATATTTTATGAAACCAATAAATGTTCTACCATGATAATGTTTTATCATTGTTATAGTAACTTTTCTGATAATGCTACGGTCTTAAGAAATATGGGTTGGCTTGGAGAAATAAGAAATATTTTTACTACAAACACAGCATAAGAGTAATGCTGATTTTGAGCAATTGATTTTAAAATATTTACTTCTCTATGTCTTTTTAAACCATGAAGATAGCTAGTTAGTTTTACTTAAAATAAGATGAAAATTAAAGATACATATTCCCTAGCCCAAGCCAAAACATAAAACAAAAACCTAACTTAAGAGACCATTAAAAATAAACAAAATTAGACTTGCAAACGTTCTAGTAATACATAGGCTACACTGCTTTTTACAGAATTACTGAATATTCATCGAAGTATAATTCATATGCATTTAGTTAGAAGCTGGAGAAAGCTTACTATGATAATAAAAATACAATAGATTATAAGCTCCTTTTTTTGAATTAAATAGGCAAAAGCAGAATAATAACAATATAGCACAAACAATCAAGCAAATTTTGAGAGCTATTTTGGTAGAATATTTTATATGAGAGAGAAGATAGAGTCAAAGATAGACATGACAACTCAATGAGACCTAAATGTAAATGATAAAACCATCGACAAAAGCCTTGAAGGAAAATGCTTTTCCCCTCGGGGGATGATTTGTACTGGCCTCCAGGTGTAATATTATGTGCACTGATGAGCTGATCAACGGAACAGAACTTCTACCCAGCTGTAATCAAGAGTGATTGATGGTTGGGACGAAAAAAGTTGATTATCATGACAAGTTCGCTGATGCAGAGAAAATAAGCTCTGCTTGGGAAATGGATAAAACCTGTTCAGAGACTACCTTCTGAAAACTTATTTATAAAGGAATCTAAGAGAAGGTTAAAAGTTGTGAAGATGAACCTGATGTCCCGATAAACCTGATAAGAATAATTTGCCATACGTCAATCTCCACAGATTTCGTAAACAAGAAATTTAAAAGCTCATTTATGCCCAATAAAGAGTAACCACATACCCTGAATGTTACTTATGTGATTATGAAAAGATCTACTTCTCGAAGTACCACTGAAAATCACATGTACACAGAGAATTAAACTTTCATGGCATATCTTGCCTCCGTTTCTCTTCAACTCCCTCCTCACGAGGTAAGACTTCCCCAAACGACTGCAATCTTTACCACTATCAGATTCAATTTATATCAAAACACAGATTTGGACTGAGACAACAGATCCCAGAGGCAGTATTTTGCATTTAAAATGAGGTTTGGTAGGCTTCATAAAAGGTGAATCTGGGCCAGTGTTGGGTGTAAGTACAGTGTTCTAATATAGTAGTACCTGGATTGTGCAAAGATCTGTAGAATATGAAAGAATACATTCATCTTTTCAAATTCTGATAAGTCATCTAAGAAATTCTAGCAACGTAATCCAAATGCAGTGTGTAATTTATGCATGCCTGGTACAATTTCATTCCCCTTAATTAGAGAATAAAACCAAATCACCACTCTTAAACCAATCACCATAAGAAACTTTAGTGTGAAGAAGGTTAAAAATGAATGGGTGCTACACAGATTTGGGGGCAGAAGGTAAATGGGAAATCTCTGTACCTTCTGCTTAATACTACTGTGAGCCTCAAACTGCTCTAAAAATAAAGTTCATTTTTTCTACATAGACATTTTTGGCCATGGAGACACTTGAGAAAGGTAAATTATTTCATCACAATTACTCTAGTTAATACAGAGGATAGGGCTCAGTAAAAATTAGACAACAACAAATAGCAACTGTTAGGAAGGGAAGGATACGAATGGCCACAAAACCCCAAATTACACAGGAATAGACATTAATATGAGTTACCTTTTCTTAAATTTCTTTGCTCATCTGACCAGGAACAAACCCTCCTACTGTCCTAGTTTTCAGGACTAGGATGAAACTGATTATTTATGATATGCTGAAATAAATTATAACAAAATATAACAAAAAAAGCAAGAGTCTTGATAAACAGGAACTAGGATTAATGAAATGGAATGAGCAAATTTTATCTTTGAGATTTTCAATTATTGGTGACCACTAATCTAGTTTCTACTTTTGGTTTCTATAAGTTTTGTTAGTGCCTACTAATACTTTAAGAAGTGTATACAGTTGTAAAAAGAGATACAAAAAAACTGATTAAAATTTTAATAGATATGTATATCCAGCAATTTGTGGGCAACTGGTTTTCATCAAGGATTTTATTCCATAGCTAATAAAGATTTCATCAGCGCTGGTGCACTCTGAAATATTCACAATCATAAAGCTAAAATTTGGGGATGTTTGACAATAGTAATTTTTTTTCAAATAAACTAAAACTCGGAGGCTTCTACAAAACAAGCTTTCAGAATCATAAGAACAAGTTTCTAGGTCATGCTCAAGTCTAATTGCACTTATTTACTTCCCTTTAAAAATATGTGAATTTTCATGTTTAGGTTTCAGAGAATCAGTTACTTAGGATATGAATCCTGCATTGTGGAGAGAGTAGTCACTGTGGAAAAGGAAGCCTAAACTTCATTTTTATCAAAATGCAGAAATTATGAAACTTAAACCATCTTAGAGATTCCTGGGTTTTTCTTCTCTTTCTTTTTTTTTTTTTCCCAGAGATGATGAGGTGTCAGCCTGCTGCCCAGGCTGGAGAGCGGTGGTGTGATCAGTACCCATTGCAACCTCGAACCGCTGGGCTCAAGCAATCCTCAAACCTCTGCTTCTCAAGTAGCTAGGACTACAGGTGCGCACCACCATGCCCGGCTAATTTTTTAAGATTTTTGGAGAGATAGTCTTGCTGTGTTGCCCAGGCTGCTCTCAATCCCTTGGCCTGCCAGTGATCCTCTTACTTCCACCTCCTCAAGCACTGGGATTACAGGTGTGTGCCACTGAAACAGCCAGGTGAGGGGGGTACCCTGGACAAACTCTAATCAGCCTGCCCACTGAGGTGTAGCCTCAGGAAGTTCAATAGGGAGGAGCCTGGCCCCTCCTCTTCCTGTGTGGAACCTGCGATTTCAAGGGCCGACAGGAAGCCTCGATCGGGGAACTCTGACCTTGCGGAGGAAACTTGTTTCCCTTTTTTTCTTCCCGCCGACTTTCACTCGATAAAACCCTGCTTTATTCACCCTTTAAACCTTCTCCAAACCTAAATTTTCCTGGCCTTGGGACGGACAAGAACCCAGTCTTCAGATGAAGGAAGGAAAAGTCCTGCAACATTCTTGGCGTGCAACGTTGGGGCTCTTGAAGAGGTGAGTGAAAGGGGGACTCAAAACCTCTCACTGTTGGCCGGGCGCGGTGGCTGATGCCTGTAATTCCAGCACTTTGGGAGGCCAAGGCGAGCGGATCACGTGAGGTCAGGAGTTTGAGACCAGCCTGGCCAACATGGTGAAACCCCTCTCTAGTAAAAATACAAAAATAAGCCGGTGTGGTGGCGCGCGCCTGTAATCTCAGCTACACAGGGGGCTGAGGCAGGAGAATCACTTGAAGCTGGCTGGGAGGCGGAGGTTTTAGTGAGCCAAGATCACGCCACTCTACTCCAGCCTGCGCGACAAGAGCGGGACTATCTCGGAAAACCGCTCACCCTTGTTTCTAAGACTTTTCATCCTGCAACTTCTGAGCATATGGGAGACCGCTCCCCACCCCTTGTCGCTCCTGGGGGTCGGGGGCCTTTTCACGGTCTTTTCCTTTTTCCAGACGGACTAGCGAGCAGCAGTTCCCAGCCGCTCCCCACTCCTTGCGGGGCTGGGATGCATGGCCTAAGGGTCCCGCACAGCCGGTTGGCTGGTTCCCAGCCACAAGCGTCTGCAGCCTTCCCCTTCCCCACCCAAGGGGTTCTACTCCATCCGACAGTAATTAAGCTTTAACTTTTCTTATGCAACTGGTGGAGGAAACAGT
This sequence comes from Homo sapiens, assembly GCF_000001405.40. Taxonomy (NCBI): domain Eukaryota; kingdom Metazoa; phylum Chordata; class Mammalia; order Primates; family Hominidae; genus Homo; species Homo sapiens. The sequence goes on from NC_000003.12 coordinate 21,543,642, forward strand.
TGCATAAGAATAAGAGGTTCTTCCCCAGGCATTCTTAAACTGTTGATTTTCTTTCCCCTTCTGTGTCCTGTCAGCAAGTTAACTTTTAAAGTTTCTTTTTTTCTTTCTTTCTAGAAGATGTTGTATTAAGGTAGGCCCCCCAGCCCCGCAGCTATCGCTGTTTATATTTTCTGCAAAGTTTTGGTTGTGAAATGAAGCCTCCATGTTGTTTTACATCCTGAGGGCATGGCTTGTAACTGGTGGCAAGGCTTTGTTTAGCAATCCTGCCTTAGGAAGTAAGTTTCTTTCTGGTTTGATATCTGCATGTTTTCCTAGCCCTGTTTCTTAAAGGACCCCACCTAGCGACTGGATTTTTTTGTGTGTGTGTAGTGTGTGATGTCCGTAAAAAGAGTTCTAATTAATTTGTCCTAAAGAAAGACAAGCACTTGGATCTAATATTTTTTAAAGGGCAGATAAAATCTGTGGTACCTTTCAGTTCACGTGGCTTTAATCTTTAAGAAATAAAAACAGCCCTAAAGACTTAGTAAAATGCAGGTCAGATGCAAGTGTTTTGAGGTTAAACTGCTTGTTGGGTTTTGAGAACTATTTGCTTTGCCAGCTTCGCAATTGGTAAGGCCTGGGGACATATGGAACTAACCACAGACTTGACTAAGAAGGCAAAACGTGGCTGCAGTTAGCACACAATTAAGGCAACTTATCAAGTTTTCCCTTAAAGTTAAAAATTGCTAGGAGTTTATCGACATTACTAGAAATGGATTTGCATGCAAGGTGTGTAGGAACAGTAAAATGTGTTTTGTGTTTTTTTTAGTGAAAGGTTATAAGAAGGTGTGGAAATGTAAACTTTCGCCTAGGGTTACAGGATTGTTTTGAGTTAGGAAAAAGCTGAAGGTTCAAAGAAGTGTTGGAAAAATTCTGGAAATTAATCTTGAAAAAGAGGTTCTCTGTGTGAACATATTGACTGAATTCAAAAAAAGGTATTATGTGGTTTTTCTGCAAATTGAGCATTGAAATACAATCAGAAGGTATTCTTAAAATGCTAATCTGGTCTTCGGCAAAATTTATAAAGATTCATGAAAGGTTTTTGCTTCTTTAAAATTTCTGAGTCATCATTTTGGCAAAATAAATAACTTTTTGGCAATCTGGAATTCTGTTTCATAATATTAAGTGTTTTAGACCTCGAACATTTAGCAGCCTAACCAAAATCAAACTTCAGTTTCAAAATTGTCTTCCCTGGCACCTGGCTTTGCGAATACTTCAGAGGGCCCCTGAAGTGTCCAGAAAAGAGAGGCAAACAGGATTATTTGACGTGTTCACGTATACAGGATTGCCAAAATGATGTTCAATCTTCCTTAGGTTATATCTTGGTGAATAATGCTAACATATGTTCGAAAATTGTATGGGATTTCTAAAACTAATGGCTAAGTATATGCCATCAATCATAATGAAGGTTGTTAAGTTATTGTAAACCATAGAGATAACTAAACTTCTTTCCCTGTTGTGTTTCTAACTGTAACTACCCTGGATATTTTGCTATTCACAGACAATTTTTGTCTTGTTTTAATCCTTTTCAAAGATGGTTTAAAATGAGCTATAGAACTTTAACAGGTGCTCTCAAATACAGACTTGTGATAACTTTAGAGATTGTAACATTGGAATAAAGGAAAATGTACAAGACTCATGAAGAGCTGAAATGCTCGTGAATATCAAGCAAAGCAAGAGTTTACTAAATGGACTGAACTCAAAGCAGAAGCAACTTTTTTGACTTTTGCCTGGAATATTGCTGATCTATGTTCTGTTTTTCAGAGTCAAGGAAACTTATTTTGAACTATTTAAAGTTTTTTAATAAATAAGGTATACACTCCTGTGATCAGAATTTGGAGCATGTTTGTTTCCCTCTGCCTGGCTCCTCTAGAATTTGGAAACTATGAGTATTCTTATGGCAATATAGTTGTTTGGATGACAGCAATAAAAATCCATTTTTCTTTTGCATTAGAACACAATTGGAAAAAAACTGTTATTTTATCAAGACTTTGACTGGAAGGGTATGCTTCCCTATAAGGAGTCAAGTTCGACTTACAGAGCCGATAAAAGCTCCATGGGAGACTGGCCTGAGACCCTCCTCTACACAGTCCCTAATCAGGGTTCCTGACTTGTGTTCAGTAAAGAGTGTCACTTTCTAACAGGTCTAGGAACTCCAAGTTTATCTTGGGACCTCAAGAGGAGAGGATCACCCAGCTCACAGGTTTTTGAGGATGCAAACCCATGGTTGGGCTGGGCTTTAAAAGGTCTTATCTGAGATTCCTTGTGGAACAAACTTCCATCAAAGCCAATACAAAAGGCCTTTGTAGAAATAATTATTCTTGCTGTACTTTATGCCAATAATCAAGCCAAGTCTATTTTGCAAACTACTCAGTCCTATCATATTTTTTTTTTGGTAACAAAATTGAGGACTGGAAGGAGAAATTATGTCCCAAAACTCATCAAACTTACCATACATCTGTCATTAAATTTGAAACTCATTAGTTGTTTTTAAGTTTTTGCCTACATTTTACACTAACCCTGCTTGTTCCTGTGACCCTACCAGCAATCTCTGGCTGCAGCTCAGAAAGAACTAACAGGATGAGTAATGTAGGAATCCGGATTGATACTCTAGTTCTGAGCAATTATCCTGCAAATCCTATCCGGTGATGGAATAAATAGTGTGCCCATCACCCAGAGGTTTCCTTTTGGGAAAGTAAGACCAAGGGAACTAACCAAAGCCAAGCACCATTCACCCAAATCCCAGCAAGCCTAACTATAGCCAGCAGTTAGATGGGTATGTCACAAGACATCCTTTCCTCTCCCTTGTTGGAGGAGGACTCAGTTCCACAGTTTCACCTTAGATTTGGCTTATGATAAGGAGTCCATGCAACCCCCCTGAGACATATTTTTGTCCCAGACTCAATTCCAAGCTTTAGGTCAAAGCTCTAGGAAAGAGAACTGGATCTAAGGGATCCAGAGGCAAGCAGAGGTTAAAAGGCACAGCTTAGGTGAGTGTGGCTGATTCCTGCCATTTAAGCCAGCCGCAAGCTTCCTGTTTCATGGATAAAGGCCACGTTAATATCCATGGCATAAATGAGGTCTAGGGAACTCCAAGGCTACTGGCAGTAGGTGGGAAAGAGACATAGGTGAGAGTGGATAATTCCTATTCTCTAGCCCCCCCCGCTTCATGGGTTCAAGTCACTTTTGCACTCACGGTGGTGCCTGCCAAAGTCGCTGGAGCTCGTGGATGCAAGGACAGAAGAGGGAAAGTGGACACTCTTCCCTCTCTGCCCTACATACCCTGGGTATCTGATAGGAAGAGAAGGGAACCAGGGACACTTGCTCCCCTCTTTCTAAATGGGTAGCCATTCATCTTCTGCCTGTATCCCTTTAGAATGCATGCTGAAACCCTGGGACTCCTTTGAAAAATGCCTTTTTATTCCTTTCTCCTCGGATCCTCTCTTCACTGATATGTAATTGTGTCTCTGTACTATGGGAGACTCCCCTCAGATGAAGCCTCCAAACTGGAAAGAGTTAATTTCCCAACCCTTAAACTGGTTGGTTTAGGATTGGGCTCAGGAGAAGGGAACCCAGAAGCCCAACCTGCCAGCAAAAGCATAGTTTTTTAACCAGTCGGGCTTTTGGCCTCCCTCTCCCTGTGCAAACTGGTAAAAGGCCTTGGAATTTTTTAGCTGTTCTTACCCCTCCCCTTGTTTCATTTAAATACATGTTTTCTAATAACCCAGTTTGTCTGTTCTTGCCTTCAGGACATCAAACTCCAAACAGTCATTCAACCAGAGCGTCTGACGATAGCCCCTTCTGCTGGGACCCCTTAGGCCTCTAGGGAAGCTCTGACTGCCGCTTCCCCAAAATAGCGCCTCCTGTTAGCAGAAAGCAGTTAAGATCAGTCTTCGTTCTTATTCTAAGGGCAGTTAGATGTACTTTTTGTTTTGTTTTGTTTTTTTTTTTTTGAGACAAGAGTCTCGCTCTGTCTCCCAGGCTGGAGTGCAGTGGCATGATCTCAGCTCACTGCAACCTCTGCCTTCCAGGTTCAAGCGATTCTCCTGCCTCAGCCTCCCGAGTAGCTGGGACTACAGGCACCCGCCACCATGCCCGGCTAATTTTTGTATTTTTAGTAGAAACGGGGCTTCTCCATATTGGTCAGGCTGGTCTTCTGACCTCAGGTGGTCCACCCCCCTTGGCCTCGCAAAGTGCTGGGATTACAGGTGTGAGCCAATGCACCCGGCCACACGTACTTCTTTAGATGGAGGAATGAGACAGCCAGGTGGGAGGGGGTCCCTGGAGAAACTCCAACCAGCCTGTCCACTGAGCTGTAACCTCGGGAAGTTTGTAGTGGGGAGGAGCCTGGCCCCTCCTCTTCCCGTGTGAAACCTGGGATTAGAAGGGTGGTGGGAAGCGCTCTAACAGGGGACTCTGGCCTTGCAGAGGAGCCCCATTTCTCTTTTCACCCAATAAAACCCTGCTTTACTCACCCTTTACGCCATTTGGGAGCCTAAATTTTCGTGGCGGTGATATGGACAAGAACCCAGTCTTTAACTGAACTAGGGAAATATGCTGCAACACCACCACACCTGGCTGATACTGTTTCTACCTTCATTTCCTTGTCACAGCAATGAGGAAAAATGTTTCTGGTTTTGAGTGCTTCTTTCATTTATTCATGCAACATTGATATCTAAGATTTTTAGAGCCTTCCTAGCATTAATGCCTTCTTGCCTCATTTTCTGGGAACCCATGGAAAACTTTTAGTTTGTTTAATTGGAAATATATCTCTTGCTTCACTACTGCATTTTATCTTCCTCCTCATATTCTGTGCTTCCAGTTTTACCCATGCTTAATCCTCTTCTCAAACTCTTTGCATTTAATGAAATAGACTCTCAACACAGATTCTCCTGTTCCCTTCCATACTTACGGTATTAGTAATGTCCTTTAAGTGGCTCTCAATTTTTAAATATGTTTCTATATCCCAGCAATTCCTGAACATGCTACTGATATCCACCTTGAATAACTTCTGTATTGTGTGCAGAACTTAAGTGACTGATGGTCTTAGTTGAAAACTATCAGCTGATGTCAAGGCAAGTCTCAAAATAAATTTCTCCTAGGGCATGTCCCCTGATATCATACATAAAAACATTATGTTAGGGAACTTAGGAGCCCTATTTCTTGTCCACCTAGCTGTTTCAGTAGCCTATTGCCCTTGAAAAAGTCAACTAAATATTTTGGTCTTTGGTTTCTCAACCTATACAATGTACAAATAGACATCACTATGGTTTGTATGATTTTATATCAAATACAAAACAATTTATGAGTTGTTCATAATACTCTATAGAAATGTAAATATCCCCTTGTTTATTGGAGGTTATGAATGTATCTACTGGTCACATGTAAAGTCAACTTTGCCTTTTTAGATATTCAAGGTCAGATTTTCCATGTCTAAGAGAAGTTGATAGAAAAAATGAATATTATTACTTTGTAAAGAAACCCAGATAAATACAAACTTAATAAAGATTTCTCCTTTCTTAGTCTCTTCCTCATTTCATCCTCAGATGAAACTCTGGAGGATCAAAGCCTGATTCGAAGAGTCCTGAAATGACCTAATATTGGGGTTTTATTTTTAAAAGCCTGCCAAAGAAGCACACTGCTTAGGTAGATTCCCGTGCTCTTGGCTGGCTCATTTTCTCTTGAAATCCCTAGCAGCTAAACCCAGTATTTTTTGCTCTGTCCTTCTGTTCAGGTTTTGTTATCTGAGAATTCCTCACAGAGTTGGGGGTTCCACTCAAGAGTTAGGAACTAGCAAGGTTGTGAGATAAAATGTGTCCCAAATGCCAACTCAGAGTATAAGCCCTTCAAAAAAGAGCTCCCAGTCACTTGTTTCAAACATAGTGACAACCTATAGGCCATCACCACACTCTCCAGAGCCAGCTTTTCACACAGGGTTGACCTGACAGCCCAACTGAAACTCATCAGGTTCTCAGATGTGTCTCTTCTTTCACACAAGCCGAATGGCCCTGTCAAAGGACAGCTTTTGAAGAAGAAAAAGGACCCAGTGGGAAGGCCATGGTGCTCAGGCCAAAGCTCAAATAACTCTGTGAGTCTTGGAGACTAACACAGGACACTCTCTTATGAAAGAGATGTTTCAAAGCTGCCTGAAAATTTAATTTATAAGTGTGTCCCTCAGAAGATCCTTTGGGATGCAGCGGCAACAACATACTTAAAGAGGTTGATAGCTTTTAATAGACACAGTTTTGACAGGGACAATTTGTCCCTGCATTTTTTAAAAGGAAATCTTTAGAAAATTGCAACTGAGGCCCTCAAAATGGAATTTATAATTTGAGAGAGCTGAATCCTAACCACTAGACCACGAGGGACCATCAAAATGTATAATTTGAGACAAAATATGCAGCTTAAAAACGTAATAGATGCAGTAATTCTCTTTTCCTTTATAAAATTCAAGCATACTTATAAAGAAAATTTGGAAAGTAAAGAAGTAAAAGAATAGTTGACCCCAATACAACCATTATTGGTTTTTGTTTTTCCCACAGCTAAACAGCATTTCCTTTAAACATCAATCCTGTGAATAATACTGATAAGTATTAAGATATATTAAGACATGATTTTAAGAAATTTTAATTATCTAATTTGGTCACTGGAAGCCTAATTTGGTTACTAGGGAGGAAAAAATACTCCTATCAACATCATCATTATATTGACACACTGGTAATGGATGTTAAGACTAAGAGATATGAATTAAATTCAGACACACAGCTTAGTTTTACTACATTTTTATGTTCTAAAATGTGGAAAAATTATATATATTTTTTAGACAGAGTCTCACTCTGTTGCCCAGGCTGGAGTGCAGTGGTGTGATCTTGGCTTACTGCAACCTCCGCCTGCCAGGTTCAAGTGATTCTCCCGCCTCAGCCTCCTTAGTAGCTGGGATTGCAGGCGCGTGCCACCATGCCCAACTAATTTTTGCATTTTTAACAGAGACAGAGTTTCACCATGTTGGTCAGGCTGGTCTCGAATTCCTGACCTCGTGATCCACCTGCCCCTGCCTCCCAAAGTGCTGGGATTACAGTCGTGCGCCACCACTCCCAGCTGATCTCTATTTTATAATACCATTAGAAAATATATCTCAATATATTGTAATGATACCAATGATCTACTTTTGGAGGGCTATCAGGCCTTCAAGCAATGTTATGCTCTCATGAGGTTTCTTCCCTTCTGATTTATCAAACAGTTCCCCAACATAATGAATGCTTGACAGTCCTGAATCATTAAGGACATGTTGTTACTTTATTATAGTTCAATAATATGAATTTCTGTTTACACTTTTGACATGTTTATGCTTGAATTGTTGCGTGTGTCTGAATATGAATAATACCATGTAAGAGAACTCATGAGTTCTTATGAGTGAGTTCTAGCTGCTGAATGGCTTTCCATAGCAGCTGTAACTCCTTCCAGTTAGTTCCATGAGGTAAGAAACCTTCAGGTCTTCTCTCTAGGACAGGCTGACTAAGCAGGAAACACATAGATCTTCCTCCATGCCATTGTAGTAACAACCATTGAAACTTCAGAATGGACTTGCTGCCCTCCCGTGACCAGATGAAGCACAAACAGCAGAGACATGAACATTGTCCTTAGCCAGCTAATGACCACATGGCCTTGTACAAATCTATACTCTCTACATCTCAGCTTTTGCAGGTGAAATTAGGAGTATGTCTCTTCTACCTCTAAAGTTTTATGAAATTCTATTGTTAGGAAGTTAACTGTAATAACACTTAGATGCTACAATCTTATATATCCTTAGTTTGGAATTTGAGATCTTATTTCCTATTCTATAGTGAATCATTGAGTATCCATTCTCTACTTCACTTAATAAGCTTACATCTTGTTGGCCCTCATGTAGTCTTTCAAAGGCACATTACTAATTTGCCTAGGTCACATGGTAATTTATGCTTATTTTAAGATGCTGATAAAATAATTGGACAAATTACAACCCTTCAGTCTTTAATTGGAAGGTTTCCACATAACCCCATGTATGTTTCATATGAATGTCAGGAGATTTGTCAGGAAAAAACCTACACCAGGAAAAGGTAATCTGATTAAAAATGCAAGCAATATTAATTTATGACATTTTAAAAGTTATCTGCAGGGCCAAAAATAAACTGTACTATAAAGGAAACAGTTATGGCAAAATACCAAATGACACAGTTTATGATAGGAAGGGTTAAAAAAATATATAAAAGTTTAGAGGGAAAGGAAATTGAATTTTCATGATACAAAGATGAAAAGAACTACAAACTATTATTTTCATTGGACGGGGAAGAAGCTTTGAAATGTAAAAAGGTTCATAAGGCAAAACTACTTTCCTATGTGATAGAGGATTCAACCAAGCATACAACTGAATTACAATGTTATTTTTCTAGAAAGATTCTAGGTTTAAAAATGGAAACAGAAAGATAAATTCCAGATTTACCTGGAAACAACAAAAGGGCTGTCGCATTGGGCTTAGAAAGCCTTTTCTTGAGTTTAAAATGATCTAATATGTATGTATATTTTGATTTTGGTTATTTAAATAGAGATAATTTTCTTACATATGGATCAATTGATAAATCCAATCAATCTTGACATTTGGTGTCTAAATATTTTGTAAAATTGGTACTTATGGACATGGCTGGTCAATAAGTAAACAAAGTTAACATTTCCAGTACATGAGTTTCTTTTATTCACATATAATGATACAAAGACATTTCTTAAATTTCTAAGAGAGTTTCTACTCTTGTATTTCAATTCTGCAATGATTGTTTGGTTTGTAAAACATAATTTAAAGGTTGGTATGTCATTTATAAAAACATTAGATCTTCTATTGAAAAATAAAACTACAGTGTTTAAAATTTGCACTGAATAGTGAATGATATTCCAGGCTGAAAACAATAGAAAGTATAAGGGCAATTTATTCATATGTGTCAGCTTATATAGACCAAAGAAACTGCAATGAGTTATTTGATAGGGTCATGAAATTCAGTTCAAACCTAAGTCAAACATTCAAATAAAATGGCGGTATCTGTGGTAGACAGAATAATGGCTTCCTAATGCTGTTTAAATCATAATCCCAGGAAAATATGAATATGTTACATTACATGACAAAGGGGAATTAGGTTAGCAGATAAAAATAAAGTTGTTAATCAGCTGACTTTAAAATAAGGAAATTATCCTGAATTACCCAGGTTGGCCCTTTGTGATCACAAGGGTCTGTGAATGTGGAAGAGGGAGGCAGAAGAGTGAGGCAATGATTACACGTGGGACAAACTGAGATGGCCCTTGCTTTTTTTGAAGATGAAATGGGGTCTGGCCCTTGCTGTTTTTGAAGATGAAATGGGGTCACAAGTCAAGGAATGCAGGCAACTTCTAGAAGCTGAAAAAGGCAAGCAACTGGATTCTCCCCTGGAACCTGCAGAAATAACATGAGCCTGTAGAAAGAACATAACCTTGCAGACAACCTGACTTTATCCTAGTGAGACCCATTTCAGACTTCTCACCTTCAGAATGGTAAAGTAATAGACATATCTCAGAAATATTGCAATTTGGTTCCAGATGACCACAGTAAAGCAAGTATCACAGTAATGTTAGTCATGTGAATTTTCTCATTTTGCAATGCATATAAAAGTTGTTTATACCATACTTTATTAACTGTGCAATAATATTATGTCTAAAAATACAATGTATATACTTTAATTTTAAAATATGCTATTGCTGAAAAATGCTAACAACGTGAACCTTCAGCAAGACATAATGTTTTTGCTGGTGGAGGGTCTTGCCTCAGTGTAGATAGCTATTGGCTGATCATAGTGTTGGTGGTTTCAGGTTGAGAAAGCTGTGGCAATTTCTGAAAATAAGACAACAGTGAAGTTTGTTGCATCTAGAACTCTTTTCACAAAATATTTCTCTTTAGCATAAAATGCTGTTTGATAGCATTTTATACACACTAGTACTGCTTTCAAAATTGGGGTCAATCCTCCCAAAGCCTGCCACTGCTCTGTCAATTAGGTTTATATAATACTCTAAATTCTTTGTTGTCATTTCAACAGCGTTCACAGCATCTTCATCAGCAGTAGATTCCATCTCAAGAAACGACTTCCTTAGCTCATTCAAAAGAAGCATCTCCTCCATGAAAGGAGGAGGTTATCTGAGATTTCATCAATTCAATCACAGATTCAAACTCTACTTTTAATTATACTTCTCTTGCTATTTCCACAATATCTACATTTATTTCTTTCACTGGAGTTTTGAAACCCTCAAAGTCATCCATGAACATTGGAAGAAACTTCTTTTAAATTCCTGTTAATGTGGATATTTTGACTTCCTCCCATGAGTTACAAATGTTCTTAATGGCATGTAGAATGGTGAATTTTTTCCAGAAGGTTTTCAATTTACTTGGGCAACATCCATCAGAGGAATCACTATCTATGGTAGCTATAGCCTTAAAAATATATTTCTTAAATAATAAGAGTGGGAAGTCAAAATTATGTCTTTATCCATGGGCTGCACAGTGAATGTAGTGTTAGCAGGCATAAAAACAACATGAATCTTCTTGAACATCTCTATCAGAGCTCTCGGGTTATGAGGTACATTGTCAATGAACAGTAATATTTTGAAAGAAATCTTTTTTTCTGAGCAATAAATCTCAAGAGTGGGCTTAAAATATTCAGTAAACCATGATGTAAACAGATGTACTATCATCCAGCCTTCTTGTTGCATTTGTAGACCACAGGCAGAGATGATTTAGTGAAATTCTTAAGGGCCCTAGGATTTTTGGAATAGTCAGTGAGCACTAGCTTGAATTTAGACACTAACTTCATTAGCTCCTACCAAGAGAGTAAGCCTGTCCTTTGAAGCATTAAAGCCAGACATTGACTTCTCTCTCTAGCTAGGTAAGTCCTAGATAGCATAATCTTCCAATAGAATGCTCTTTGGTTTATGCTTAAAATCTGTTGGGTAGTGTAGCCATCTTTTTTCAGCGGCCTTAACTGGATCTTCTGGATTACTTGCTGCAGCTCCTACATCAGCACTTGCAGCTTCACCGTGCACGTTTATGTTATGGAGAGGACTTCTTTCTTTAAACCTCATGAACCAACCACTTCCAGCTTCAGACATTTTTTTCTCACCTCTGTTAGCCTTCATAGAATTAAAGAGAGTTAGGGCCTTCCTCTGGATTAGGCTCTGATTTAAGGAAATGGTATGGCTGGTTTGATTTTTCTATTCAAACCACTAGCACTTTCTCCATATCAAACATAAGGCTCTTTTGCTTTCATGTCATTCATGTGTTTACTAGAGTAGTACATCTAATTACCTTCAAGAACTTTTATTTTACAGTCACAACTTAGCTAACCGCTTGGCACAAGAGGCCTAGCTTTCAGCCTAACTCTTCTTTTGACATGTTTTCCTCACTAAGCTTAATCATTTCTGGTTTTTGATGTAAATGAAAAGATGTGTGACTCTTTCTTTCACTTGAACACATACAGGCAATTGTAGTTTTTTTTTTTTTTTTAATACTTTAAGTTCTGGGGTACATGTGCAGAACGTGCAGGTTTGTTACATAGGTATACATGTGCTATGGTGGTTTGCTGCACCCATCAACCTGTCATCTACATTAGGTATTTCTCCTAATGCTATCCCTCCCCTAGCCCCCTGACCCTTCGACAGGCCCTGGTGTGTGATGTTCCCTTCCCTGTGTCCATGTGTTCTCATTGTTCAGCTCCCACTTATGAGAACATGCAGTGTGTGGTTTTCTGTTCTTCTGTTAGTTTGCTGAGAATGATGGTTTCCAGCTTCATCCATGTCCCTGCAAAGGACATGAATTCATCCTTTTTTATGGCTGCATAGTGTTCCATGGTGTATACGTGCCACATTTTCTTTAACCAGTCTATCACTGATGGGCATTTGGGTTGGTTCCAAGTCTTTGCTATTGTGAATAGTGCCGCAGTAAACATGCGTGTGCTTGTGTCTTTATAGTGGAATGATTTATAATCCTTGGGGTGTATACCCAGTAATAAGATTGCTGGGTCATATGGTATTTCTGGTTCTAGATCTTTGAGGAATCACCACACTGTCTTCACAATGGTTGAACTAATTTACACTTGCACCAACAGTGTAAAAGCATTCCTATTTCTCTACATCCTCTTCAGCATGTGTCATTTCCTGACTTTTTAATGCTTGCCATTCTAACTGGTGTGAGATGGTATCTCATTGTGGTTTTGATTTGCATTTCTCTAGTGACCAGTGATGATGAGCTTTTTTTCCATGTTTGTTGGCTGCATAAATGTCTTCTCTTAAGAAGTGTCTGTTCATATCCTTTGCCCACTTTTTGACGTTTTTTTTGTTTTTGTTTTTTTTTTTTTTTTTTTGTAAATTTAAGTTCTTTGTAGATTCTGGGTATTAGACCTTTATCAGATGGATAGATTGCAAAAATATTCTCCCACTCTGTAGGTTGCCTGTTCACTCTGATGATAGTTTCTTTTGCTGTGCAGAAGCTCTTTAGCTTAATTAGATCTCATTTGTCTATTTTGGCTTTTGTTGCCATTGCTTTTAGTGTTTTAGTCATGAAGTCCTTGCCCATGCTTATGTCCTGAATGGTATTGCCTAGGTTTTCTTCTAGGGTTTTTATGGTTTTAGGTCTTACATTTAAGTCTTTAATCCATTGTGAGTTAATTTTTGTATAAGGTGTAAGGAAGGGATCCAGTTTCAGCTTTCTGCATATGGTTAGCCAGTTTTCTCAACACCATTTATTAAATAGGGAAGCCTTTCCCCATTGCTTATTTTTGACGGGTTTGTCAAAGATCAAATGGTTGTAGATGTGTGATATTATTTCTGAGGCTTCTGTTCTCTTCCATTGATCTATATATCTGTTTTGGTACCAATACCATGCTGTTTTGGTTACTGTATCCTTGTAGTATAGTTAGAAGCCAGGTAACATGATAACCTCCAGCTTTGTTCTGTTCGCTTAGGATTGTCTTGGCTAATTCTGTGAAGAGAGTTAATGGTAGCTTGATGGGAATAGCATTGAATCTATCAGTTACTTTGGGCAGTATGGCCATTTTCACGATATCGATTCTTCCTATCCGTGGGCATGGAATGTTTTTCCATTTGTGTCCTCTCTTATTTCCTTGAGCAGTGGTTTGTAGTTATCCTTGAAAAGGTCCTTCACATCCCATGTAAGTTGTATTCCTAGGTATTTTATTCTCTTTGTAGCAATTGTGAATAGGAGTTCACTCATGATTTGGCCCTCTGTCTGTTATTGGTGTATAGGAATGCTTGTGATTTTGGCACATTGATTTTGTCTCCTGAGACTTTGCTGAAGTTTTTATCAGTGTTAGGAGATGTTGGGCTGAGACAATTGGGTTATCTAAATATACAATCATGTCATCTGCAAACAGACAAGTTGACTTCCCCTTTTCCTAATTGAATACCCTTTATTTCTTTCCCTTGCCTGATCCCCTGGCCAGAACTTCCGATGCTATGTTGAATAGGAGTGGTGAGAGAGGGCATCCTTATCTTGTGCTAGTTTTCAAAGGGAATGCTTCCAGTTTTTGCCCATTCAGTGTGATACTGGCTGTGGGTTTGTCATAATAGCTCTTATTATTTCAAGGTAGGTTCCGTCAATACCTAATTTATTGAGAGTTTTCAGCATGAAGGGGTTTTGAATTTTGTTGAAGGCTTTTTCTGCATCTATTGAGATAATCATGTGGTTTTTGTCATTGGTTCTGTTTATGTGATAGGTTACGTATATTTATTTGCATATGTTGAACCAGCCTTGCATCCCAGGGATGAAGCTGACTTGATCGTGGTGGATAAGCTTTTTGATGTGCTGCTGGATTAGTTTCGCCAGTATTTTATTGAGGATTTTTGCATTGATGTTCAGGGATATTGGCCTGAAATTTTATTTTTTTGTCGTGTCTCTGCCAGGTTTTAGTATCAGGATGATGCTGGCCTCATAAAATAAGTTAGGGAGGATTCCCTCTTTTTCTGTTCCTTGGAATAGTTTCAGAAGGAATGGTACCACTTCCTTTTTGTACCTCTGGTAGAATTCGTCTGTGAATCCATCTGGTCCTGGAATTTTTTTGATTGGTAGGCTATTAATTAACTGCCTCAATTTCAGAACTTGTTATTGGGATTTGACTTCTTCCTGGTTTAGACTTGGGAGGGTGTATGGGTCCAGGAATTTATCCATTTCTTCTAGATTTTCTAGTTTATTTGCATAGAGGTGTTTATAGTATTCTCTGATGGTAGTTTGTATTTCTGTGGGATCAGTGGTGATACCCCTTTATCATTTTTTAGTGTGTCTATTTTATTCTTCTCCCTTTTCTTTATTAGTCTGGCTAGCAGTCTGTTTTGCTGATCTTTTCAAAAAATCAGCTCCTGGATTCATTGATTTTTTTTTTTTTTTTTGAAGGGTTTTTCATGTCTCTATCTCCTTCAGTTCTGCTCTGATCTTAGTTATTTCTCACCTTCTGCTAGCTTTTAATTTGTTTGCTCTTGCTTCTCTAGTTCTTTTAATTGTGATGTTAGGGTGTCGATTTTAGATCTTTCTTGCTTTCTCTTGTGGGCATCTAGTGCTATAAATTTCCCTCCACATGCTGCTTTAAGTGTGTCCCAGAGATTCTGGTACATTGTGTCTTTTTTCTCATTGGTTTCAAAGAACTTATTTATTTCTGCCTTCATTTCGTTATTCACCCGGTAGTCATTCAGGAGCAGGTTGTTCAGTTTCCATGTTGTTGTGCAGTTTTGAGTCAGTTTCTTAATCCTGACTTCCAATTTAATTGCACTGTGTTCCGAGAGAATGTTATGATTTCCATTCTTTTGCATTTGCTGAGTAGTGTTTTACTTCCAATTATGTGATCAATTTTAGAATAAGAGCAATGAGTTGCTGAGAAGAACGTATATTCTGTTGATTTGGGGTGGAGAGTTCTGTAGATGTCTATTGGGCCCGCTTGGCCCAGAGCTGAGTTCTGAATATCTTTGTTAATTTTCTGTCTCATTGATCTAATATTGATAGTGCACTGTTAAAGTCTCCCACTATTATTGTGTGGGAATCTAAGTCTCTTTGTAGGTCTCTGAGAACTTGCTTTATGAATCTGGATGCTCCTTTATTGGGTGTATATATAATTCGGATAGTTAGCATATATATTTAGGATCGTTAGCTCTTCTTGTTGTATTGATCCCTTTGCCATTATGTAATGTCCTTCTTTGCTGTTTGATCTTTGTTGGTTTAAAGTCTGTTTTATCAGATACTAGGATTGCAACCCCTGCTTTTTTTTTTTTTTTTGCTGTCCATTTGCTTAGTAAATATTCCTCCTACCCTTTATTTTGAGCTTATGCGTGTTTTTACACATGAGAGTCTCCTGAATACAGCACACTGATGGTTCTTGACACTCTATCCAATTTGCCAGTCTGTGTCTTTTAATTGG
Organism: Homo sapiens; assembly: GCF_000001405.40. Lineage (NCBI taxonomy): Eukaryota > Metazoa > Chordata > Mammalia > Primates > Hominidae > Homo > Homo sapiens. Next base: position 21,559,148 of record NC_000003.12, read on the forward strand.
GGCATCTAGTCCTTTTACATTTAAGGTTAATATTGTTATGTGTGAATTTGAGCCTCTCATTATGATGCTAGTTGGTTATTTTGTCTTAGTTGATGCAGTTTCCTCATAGTGTCGATGGTCTTTACAATTTGGTATGTTTTTGCAGTGGCTGGTACCGGTTTTACCTTTCCATATTTAGTGCTTTCTTCAGGAGCTCTTGTAAGGCAGGCCGGGTGGTGACAAAATCTCTTTTGCTTGTCTGTAAAGGATTTTATTTCTCCTTCACTTACAAAGCTTAGTTTGCCTGGATAGGAAATTCTGGGTTGAACATTCTTTTCTTTAAGAATGTTGAATATTGACCCCCACTCTCTTCTGGCTTGTAGGGTTTCTGCAGAGAGAACCATGGTTAGTCTGATGGGCTTCCCTTTGTGGGTAACCCAACCTTCCTCCCTGTCTGCCCTTCACATTTTTTCCTTCATTTCAACCTTAGTGAATCTGATGATTATGTGTCTTGGGGTTGCTCTTCTCAAGGAGTATCTTTGTGGTGTTCTCTGTATTTCCTGAATTTCAATGTTGGCCTGTCTTGCTAGGTTGGGGAAGTTCTCCTGGATAATATTCTGAAGAGTGTTTTTGAACTTGGTTCCATTCTCCCTGTCACTTTGAGGTACACCAATCAAACGTAGGTTTGGTCTTTTCACATATTCGCATATTTCTTGGAGGCTTTGTTTGTTTCTTTTCATTCTTTTTTCTCTAATCTTGTCTTCACGCTGTATTTAAGTTGATCTTCAAGCTCTGATATCCTTTCTTCTGTTTGATCAATTCGGCTATTGATACTTGTGTATGCCTCACGAAGTTCTCGTGCTGTATTTTTCAGCTCCATCACGTCGTTTATGTTCTTCTCTAAACTGGTTATTCTAGTTAGCAATTTGTCTAATGTTTTTTCAAGGTTCTTAGCTTCCTTGCATTGGTTTAGAACATGTTTCTTTGGCTCAGAGGAGTTTGTTATTACCCACCTTCTGAAGCCTACTTCTGTCAATTCGTCAAACTCATTCTGCATCCTGTTTTGTTCTCTTACTGGCGAGGAGTTGTGATCCTTTGGAGGAGAAGAGGCGTTCTGGTTTTTGGAATTTTCAGCCTTTTTGGGCTGGTTTCTCCCCATCTTCGTGGATTCATCTATCTTTGGTCTTTGAGGTAGGTGACCTTCGGATGGGGTCTGTCAGTGGACTTCCTTTTTGTTGATGTTGATGTTATTCATTTCTGTTAGTTTTTCTTCTAATAGGCCCCTCTGCTGCAGGTTTGCTAGAGGTCCACTCCAGACCCTGTTTGCCTGGGTATCACCAGCAGAGGCTGCAGAACAGCAAAGATTGCTGCCTGTTCTTTCCTCTGGAAGCTTTGTCCCAGAGGGCTACCTGCCAGATGCCAGCGAGAGCTCTCCTGTATGAGGTGCCGGTCGGCCCCTACTGGGAGGTATCTCCCAATCAGGAGACATGGGGGTCAGGGACCCACTTGAGGAGGCAGTCTGACCCTTAGCAGAGCTCGAACGCTGTGCTGGGAGATCCGCTGCTCTCTTCAGAGTCATCAGGCAGGGAACATTTACATCTGCTGAAGCTGCGCCTATAGCTGCCTCTTTCCCCAGGTGCTCTGTCCCAGGGAGTTGGGGGTATTATCTATAAGCCCCTGACTGGGGCTGCTGCCTTTTTTTTCAGAGATGCCCTGCCCAGGGAGGAGGAATCTAGAGAGACAGTCTGGCCACAGGGGCCTTGCTGAGCTTCAGTGGGCTCCGCTCAGTTCGATCTTCCTGGTGGCTTTGTTTACACTGTGAGGGTATACCTCCTACTCAAGCTTCAGCAATGGTGGACACCCCTCCCCCAACCAAGCTGGAGCATCCCAGGTCGACCTCAGACTGCCATGCTGACAGCGTGAATTTCAAGCCCGTGGATCTTAGCCTGCTGGGCTCTGAGGGGGTGGGACCCCCGAGCCAGACCACTTGGTTCTCTGACTTCAGCCCCTTTCCGGGGGAGTGAATGGTTCTGTCTTGCTGGTGTTCCAGAAGCCACTGGGGTATGAAAAAGAAAACTCCTTCACGTAGCTTGGTTTCTGTCCAAACAGCCACCCAGTTTTGTGCTGGAAACTTAGGGCCCTGGTGGTGTAGGTACCCTAGGGAATATCCTGGTCTGCGGGTTGCAAAGACCATGGGAAAAGCACAGTATCTGGGCTGGAGCGCACAATTCCTCATGGCACAGTCCCTCACAGCTTCCCTTGGCTAGGAGAGGGAGCTCCCCAACCCCTTGTGCTTCCCAGGTAAGGTGACACCCCACCCTGCTTCTGCTCGCCCTCTGTGGGCAGCACCCACTGTCCAACCAGTCCCAATGAGATGAACTGGGTACCTCAGTTGGAAATGCAGAAATCACCTGCCTTCTGCGTTGATCTCACTGGGAGCTGCAGACTGGAGCTGTTTCTATTTGGCCAGCTTGCCAGCAACTGGCCATTGTAGGGTTTTAAATTGGCCTAATTTCAGTGTTGTGTCTCAGGAAATAGGAAGGTCCAAAGAGAGGGTGGGAGATTGGGGAATGTCCAGATGGTGGAACAATCAGAACACACACAACGTTTATTAATTAAATTTACCATCTTACATGGGTGGAATTCACAGTGCCCCAAAACAATCACAATAGTAACATCAAAGGTCACAGATCACCATAACAGATATAGTAAAAATAGAAAAGTTTGAAATATTGAAAGAAGAACCAAAATGTGATGCAGAGACACAAAGTGAGCTGAGATATGCCTGCATATTTGTGTTGTTTCAGGCCACTGAGTTTGTGGTGATTTATTTTAGCAGCAATAGAAGACTAATACAATAATCATCTGGTAAATGGTCAAGCCTGCAATTGTTTAATTATGACCCAAAGTGATTAGTCCATATCTCCAAATACCTTGGCCATGTTCCTTTTACGACATGCCACACAGACCTGAAAGCAAAGTTGTGAGAATGAGAAGCCAGTTGTCCCTAATAAATACATATTGATGCCCATTCTACTTTGAAACTTCAGTAACAAAATAAATTGCTACTCTCTCACCATGGAAATGAAATAAGAATACATTTTTGAAAAGTATGTTCATATTCCATGTGTTATGTCATATCAATTTATATTATTGTTAAAAATTATATATAAAAATATGTATGTGTTTTCTAAAGCATGTCTGACAATATTTCTAAAGTGTCCAATCATGAATTTGACATCAATCTACAGAATTAGAAACACTCCAAAAATAGAACCACTGTCTGGAAATGGTAAGTGACTCATCACTGGGAATAATCAAGCAAAAGACCTTGCCTGGATGTAAGAGGTGAAATTCTTGCACTTAGTAGGAGATTGGGTTCAGTGACCTTGAAATTTCTTTCTAATTCCTAGTTTAAAAGAAGTGTGCTTAATAAAGAGAATATTGACAGTGAAATCATAGGCAGGAGGAGATATTTTAAGTAGTCTCATTAAATATAAGAAGCTGACAACATGGCTCCTGGGAGACTTTTAAATCATCTGATCAGTTTCTAAGTGAAATATAAATACAGTTTAGGAAAAGAGGAACTAAAAAGCCACTTAAAATAATAATTATAAAACTATATAATTGTTTGCTGAGTGTTTAAAAATGATCAAAGTTGAAGCTGTTGAGTTTAGAACTCTTATTTATGTATTAAGAGGACTCTTTTTTAACAACAGCTTGAAGAGATTATTACAGTCATCACTTGAGAATACTTTATTGTTAAAATTAAGCAATTCTGTGGTAAAGTTCTATCCCTCAAAGTGCGCAGCATTAAAAAACAAAAAATCCCTTCACATAAAATATTATATGTTTGGTATATTCTTTTTGGTTTTTAGCAGCAAATACCACTTAAGTGCTGGTATGGTCTGATTATTTGTATACCTGGAAAATTCATATGTTGAGATTCTGACCCCCAAGTTGATGGTAGTAGCAGGTGGAACCTTTTGGGAGATGATTAAGTCATGAGGGCAGAGCCCTTGTGAATGAGATTGGTGCCCTTATAAAATAGCTTCAAGGGAGCTCCTTTATCCCTTCCACCATGTGAAAATACAGTGAAAATATGCCATGTGGGAACCAGAAAGCAGGCCCTTACCAGACAGTGAATTTGTCAGCACCTTGATCTTGGACTTCTCAGCCTCCGGAACTGTGAGAAATAAATTTCTGTTGTTTATAATCTACTCAGTTTATGGTACTTTGTTTTAGCTGGCCAAATGGACTAAAGTGTTATGCAGGCAATCCACTCTTCTCTTTTTTAAGTCAATGGATATTGTAAAATTACCTGATGATTGCATTAGTAAGTATGAGTTCTTAAGACGAAAGCAAAATAAAATGTAATGTTCTCTTCAAAGAGGAATAAACTATTTTGTTTATGCCTCATCTATTTCCTATACTCAATTATCTTGCATCCTATCTTCGTCACCAGAGCATCTAAGAGTCCTACTTGACTGGAGAGGTTAAATACTGGAAGGCTTAACGTTGTCCAGAATTCAGATCTGTTTGGTCATCTCCACAAAGTGTATCAACTTAGGACGAGAAAATGGTACCTCGATAGGATGGAGCCTTCTGTTTGCCTAGAGTGTGAATGCTCTCCAATCCCTATTCCTTCTAGACCAACGTTGCCTGTCTCTTCTGGAACTCTTAGGACTTAACTTCATATCAAAGCAGGTTTAGCGGGGAAGAGAAGACATACATTTTTTTTTCCCATTGGCCACAGATCAAAATTAATATCACTGTGATGGATCCAGAGTCCACCCTAGTCCTTAGAAATGGTAGAAAAGGTGTGAATAACTCCCTGAATAACTTGTGAACCACCAGTCAGGTCCACAAATGTTTCCCTCCTACATGTTCTCCACTGAAGTCTTTTGGGGCTTGAGTGGTTCTAGGACTGTAGGACCCCTGTTAAAATACCAATACTCCTAGGACAACTTGAGTGCTTTAGCACAAATATAATTAAGGACATAGCGGTAATATGGAATTTGAGGCCTCCATTCCAGGCAAAAAAAGTTTATAAACTCAAAATCTTGATCTTAAAATATGATTTGGTACCTATCTTATTTCAGAGTGTAACCTATTAAAAGTTCCATTGGTCGAAAGTTTTACTGTTCCCAAAGGCAAAGTGTATTATCTACATGTACCATTCCCAAAAGACTAAAAAATAAATAAATAAATAAAAATATTAAACTGCAAGTATTTAAGCTTGTTTACATGTGAATTTTCTGTAGTAAACAACCAAACATAACATAATAAACTCCAAAATTAAAGCACATAGTGAGTTAAAATGTTATCTTTGAATTTTGACATGCTCAGTTACTGGAGAAAATGTCTTAAGAAATCTTTTCTCCTGCAAGATTAGAACAGCAAAATGTATTTTTTTTTTTTAAGTGAACACTAAATGATAAACTTACATCAGAATTAAATCTCAACTGGCAAATGTTGCATGATATGATTTGCTTTCTTCGGTGGGGAAGAGGAACCCCGAATGTATGGTTTATTACAGCTTTCTGAATCGGGTCCATCTGTAATGAGAAAAAAGAAATACAACAAATAGAAATAAAGCTTGTCAGTTCCATTGGAATTTTGCCTATTTCATTAAAGAACCAATCTGTACAGCTTCAATCTACTGCTCACATTATAAAGAACCTTTTTATTCTAAGAAACAACATTTTTACTTTCTTGGAAAATAGATAACATTAAGCCCAAAGCTCAGTATGATAAGGAAATGATAAATTTACCCATTAGAGTCTGCATACTAACTGTTTTTCTCATTTAAAAGCAACAGTTGTCTCAGTTTAATAACCCTTAAATATAATTAAAGATTTATCAAAATTCAAGTTATTGCTAATGCCAGCAATCTAACACAGAAGTATGTCTATACCATTGCCCAAAAATGGATTTCAAAATAGACTGGTCAGCTGGGAAGCCATGAAAATAAATTATACACCATTATCCAACATGAACCTTATGCTATGTTTGGTATCTTTTAGACTCTATAATATACAAGTCCTGCTTTCCAATAATTGAAACATATGGAGATGTTAATTAAGTCATTCAGCAATCACTTGTTGACCATCTAGTATAGAATGTTAACCTGTGGACTTATTGGGGGGTGCCAAGGGATTTGGGGCCAGATACCAGTTATCTCCCTCCATTTTATTTCCAGGACAGGACAAACAACAAGAAAAACATAATGTCAGCAATCCAGCTCTGATAAAGTTTAGTGTCCCTTCACCAGGCTTTTGTCCTATGGTTGCTCTGGCTGGAGTGCAGTGGTGAGATCATAGCTCACTGTAGGCTCAAACTCTTGGGTTCAAGCAGCCCTCCCACTTGAGCCTCCCAAGTAGCTGGGAGTACAGGCTTGAGCCACCACACCCAGCCCTTGATCTTAATTCTTTCATGTAACTTCTTTCACTATCCTTGTCTATTAAAGTTGTGATGAAGCTTAAATGTGATAATTCATGAAATTTACTTAGGATAGTCAGTCTGGGCGCATTAAATAGATGCTGGCTATTTATTATTATATGTTCTGTGTTGTAGCACATGTGAAGATCAAGGTTAATATCAGCCTCAAACACTATACTCATTGTTGGCACATTTCCCATTTTTCAAATGATGAGATAAAAGGACTTATAAGTAAGTCTTCATAATAGATTGAGATAGATCAGAAATTATTTGATACACTCAAAAGTGCTCAGAATGTGTCAGAAATGACTCTCTAATATTCACCTTCTGTGACATATTATAGTTCATTAATTCCCCTAAACAAGCCATTGATCAATTTCATCTCCTTTTGTGTTTCTCAGGTCACTGGAATCAGTTAATTCACAGGCTCTCTTCACTGGAAGGAAGGAGAAAGTTTCTGACTTCTTTGTATTCACAACTCCTATTAGGTTGTCTAGGTACTGTTAACATACGGTTCTGAATAATAACAATAGTAACAATAAAAATAGTAGCAGTTAGCATTTATTATAATGCTTTCCATAGGCTAATCACTGGACCAGGTGATTTACATGGTTACAGTGATAAAGGAGTAGAACTCATGGGCGTAATCATTTTTCTTTTCCACCTTCCCTTTAAATTTATTATCTAACAAACATTAATCCTTGCCCAAATTCTGGATGAAGCTCAGCCTCTCCTCATTGTTTTTCTGGTCACTTTTAGGTATTAACAAATTATAGGCCAGGCACGATAGCTCATGCCTATAATCCCAGCACTTTGGGAAGGCCGAGGTGGGTGGATCTCTTGAGGTCAGGAGTTGGAGACCAGCCTGGCCAGCATGGTGAAACCTTGTCTTTACTAACAAAGTACAAAAAAATTAGCCAGGCATGGTGGCAGGTGCTTGTAATCCCAGGTATTCGGGAGGCTGAGGCAGGAGAATCGCTTGAACCCAGATTGCAGTGAGCTGAGATCATGCCACTCCATTCCAGCGTGGGTGACAGAGTGAGACTCTGTCTCAAAAAACAAATTATAGGATCACCTCTCTCCTTCACTAGTGAATTCTATAATATTTTCTTTTTATCTGATTTTATTTAGGTATTGTATAATAATTTACATACAATAAAAATCACCAGTATTAAGTGTACAAGTGAAATGTGACAAATGCATAGAGTGAGGATAATTGTCACACAGACCTTTTCCACTATCTGGACAAGTTCCCTCTTACCCCTCTGTGGTCATTCTCTGCCTCCTCCTCCCAGACCCTGAAACCACTGGCCTGCTTTCTATGTATTTTTCCATTTCTGTCTCAGTATTTTGCCATTTCACATAAATGTTATCATAGAGTATGTGGTGATTTGTGTCTGGAATCTTTCATTCAATACAATGGTGCTCAGATTCATCCATGTTGTTACATGCATCAGCAGCTTGTTCCTTTTTATTGCTCAGTAGTATTCCTTTGTAAGGATGCACTACATGTATTTATCCATTTGCCATTGATGAACACATGTATTTATCCATTTGCCATCGATGAACATTTCATTATTTTCAGTACATTCTTTGATCTTTTCAAGTCTGAATATGCAACCTAAGATCATTCCTAAAATCAGTTAAGTGTCTTAATCCAAACATTAAAACTTAATTTAAAATTACAGTATCTCTTCCTTAGGTTGGGCCTGCTGTAGAATAGCGGTATGAAGGGCCACAGGACATAGTACAGGATTCTTCTCTACATATACTGCCAAGTCCCTCACCCCAGCTAAGCTTCTAAACCTTCCTCAATCTTTTATTATTTCCCCAGAACCAAAATTAACAATGCACAGAGCTTGAGAAAGCCAAGGGCCACACAAATGTGTGAATCTGCGCTGCTTCAATAGCCCTCATTCTGTTCTCTAGGATCATTCTATCACATCTATAAAAACAACCACAGAGAACACTGAAGGGTAATTTTCCCTTCAGCCACCAGCTGACGGAAAAATTAAAAGCAGAAAGAGGTCATTGACTTACAGGTAGATGCCTTATCATGTTCTCTTGTGTACATTCTGTGCACAAACGGGATGTGTTTCTATCGGGATAAGGTGAATTATGCCTATAACCCATTAAGGAATATTGAAGTCTCCTTATAATGATACTTTGAAATAAAAATGAACTGTGTATGTATATCAAAGAAAGATGCTCTCCGAAAATACATACTGCTGAGTTTTTATCATATTTTGGTGATCAGGGTATTATTTTGGGTTTTTTTTAGTAACACTGGGGAGGCAGTGACCACATTCAATCCAAATTTGTAGAGGAGGTATTTTGGGACTAGTCACTTCGTGCAAATGTAATATAGTCTTTAGATTAAGTTATTTTGTTTGAATTGAATGATGTTCTGATCACTGTGGCTATAAAATCAGATTTCAAAATGCAAAGTGGTATATTCTGCAGAGACAATTTTATTTCCCAGAATAGTTAAAAAAAAACTTAACTGAATTACCTTTTAAAATGGATTTCACAAACTATAGATACACCATCAAAAGTAATTATCTTTTATCCTTTTAGAAATCTAGTACAACAAAATGTTTTAATATCTTTATTAATAACAATAAATCATTCACACGTATATATCTACAACCATTTACAATGAGGAATTATGAAAGGGCAAAATCTAAATAATAACCAGTTCTGTTATAAATAGTTAATTAAATGATACCACATGCCGTATAACTAAAAGTAGCCTCTACTGTCAAATCAGGGGACACACACACAGATAGTTTGATCATTTTGTCTAAACTTATCTTTATTTACTATTATAATCAAATATTTTATATAAAAAGAAAGTCATGTATATTGTTTTTCTCTCCAGGAACCAATGGGTCTGATCTGTCAAAACAGTAACATCTTATTTTGTGTATGCACATTATCGTCAAGAATTTTTCTACAAAATCTGCCTCACACAATGCCAATATTTGTGGTAGGCAGGAAAAAAAGGGGTTCTTGGGTCAGATAAGGTGTAGAAAGTCGAGGTACTACAGCCTAGACATTAACAGCACACAACAGAATATTACAATCTCTGAGATGCTGTACAAGAAAAATATGTTTTAAATGCATGATTTCTGACTTAATATAACCAAGGTTTTTATTTTTGTTTTTTAATTTACCATCATTGTTCAATGCATACGTTTTAGAAAATACTGATCTGAGAAAATTATTTTTAAAATATAAGTAAAATGTAAAGGTTTCAATACATTAGTAGACACCAAACGAAGAATGTAATACATAGAAACTTCAGATATATTTCACCTAACCTGTGCAGCACTGAATTAAAAACAAAAGAAATGGTAAAATCTGCATGGTATTTTAGGATATATTTATTCAGTTTCTAAATTGTGATATTTTGAAAGATAGAATTTTCAGAATAGGTGTGGTATGGTGCTGAAAAAAATGTATATTCTGTTGATTTGGGGTGGAGAGGTCTGTAGATGTCTATTAGGTCCGCTTGGTGCAGAGCTGAGTTCAATTCCTGGGTATCCTTGTTAACTTTCTGTCTCATTGATCTGTCTAATGTTGACAGTGGGGTGTTAAAGTCTCCCATTATTATTGTGTGGGAGTCTAAGTCTCTTTGTAGGTCACTCAGGACTTGCTTTATGAATCTGGGTGCTCCTGTATTGGGTGCATATATATTTAGGATAGTTAGCTCTTCTTGTTGAATTGATCCCTTTACCATTATGTAATGGCCTTCTTTGTCTCTTTTGATCTTTGTTGGTTTAAAGTCTGTTTTATCAGAGACTAGGATTGCAACCCCTGCCTTTTTTTGTTTTCCATTTGCTTGGTAGATCTTCCTCCATGCTTTTATTTTGAGCCTATGTGTGTCTCTGCATGTGAGATGGGTTTCCTGAATACAGCACACTGATGGGTCTTGACTCTTTATCCAATTTGCCAGTCTGTGTCTTTTAATTGGAGCATTTAGTCCATTTACATTGAAAGTTAATATTGTTACGTGTGAATTTGATCCTGTCATTATGATGTTAGCTGGTTATTTTGCTCGTTAGTTGATGCAGTTTCTTCCTCGTCTCGATGGTCTTTACATTTTGGCATGATTTTGCAGCGGCTGGCACATATACACCATGGAATACTATGCAGCCATAAAAAATGATGAGTTCATGTCCTTTGTAGGGACATGGATGAAATTGGAAATCATCATTCTCAGTAAACTATCGCAAGGACAAAAAACCAAGCACTGCGTGTTCTCACTCATAGATGGGAATTGAACAATGAGAACACATGGACACAGGAAGGGGAACATCACACTCTGGGGACTGTTGTGGGGTGGGGGGGCAGGGAGGGATAGCATTAGGAGATATACCTAATGCTAAATGACGAGTTAATGGGTGCAGCACACCAGCATGGCACATGTATACATACGTAACTAACCTGCACATTGTGCACATGTACCCTAAAACTTAAAGTATAATAATAATAATAATAAAAAAAATTACACCTTAAAAAAAAAGAATTTTCTAAATCTATTAATCAACTACCCAAACAAAAATGAAGTATGATACACTAGCTATTGACACGCTTACCCAAACTCTAGGCTAAAATTCAATTTCAAACTCAGCCCATGGCCTTATTTAAAGCCAAATGAATATGTTTTTCTTCATTTCAGACTGAAGAACCTTTGCATTTCTATCTAAGGCCTAGGTTTTCCCTCACCTCCCCTCTGGGGATTCTGTTAAATTGATTTGTAAATGAGCATACAGGGGACATGCTTCAAGTACAGCAGCCGCAGCTCAAGGTTCCCTTCTCTAGGACTGTTGTATTTTCAGAGAGGATGAAGCTTAACCCTGAGTTGACAGTTCCTGCTCTAAGAGACCTCTTCTGTCTGTGTTCCTATTATTACTGTGGCTTTCACAATTTCACAGTTCTTAAACCAAAGAATAATAAATGCTAGGAAGTTTAGAAGTCCAGAAATAAAAAGGTTGTCTTTTTCATCTGGTATTTGTATGTAATAATGTCCAGTGACAATAACTTTAAAGGTTACACTTACAGGCACTTTCTGTGTGTTTGATGGTCATAGAATTTTTATCCTAAGTTACTGAGGAGCTTTTATGGCCCTTTGTCCAATATCACATAACTAGTAAGTGGGAGACTTGCTAACACAAGCCTCCCACCATACCCCTGTGCGTCTCTCAGGCACCATAATCAAGCTTTGTAATATTCATCATATTCAACTATGAACATTTGTGACTCTCCAGTATGAAGTGACACTGAGTGGAGATCCTGGTGTATTTATTACATTGACTTTGACTTAGTAAAATGTTTTTATATTACTCACATTCATACGTTAAAAAACACTAAAAATTCCTTAAAACCTCACTCCCACAAAATTTTTCCATTTGAGAAATTCCTTTTTCTTTAACTTTTTAAATGGACAAATAACTTACACACAAAAAGTACATACATTTTAAGTGTATCATTTGCAGATTTTTTTAAACATAGGCATACCCTCATATTTACACCATCCCAATAAAGAGATGGAACATTTTCAGCAATCAAGTCTCTCAGTCCTGTACTTGGCAAGTCAATTATGAGATATCACCAGATAGTATTTTTACCTGCTTTTGCACTTCATAAAAATATAAGTATACAGTATGCATTCTTTTGTGTCTGGCTTCTTTCATTCAACATTGTGTTTGTATTTCGATCATTTTTGTTGCTATATAGTATTCCATTCTAAAACCATATCCTAATTTTTGCCAATTCTACTGTTGAATAGTTGGGTTGCTTTCCATGTTAATCTATTAGGAATAAGCTATTAAAAACAATTCTAGGCATGTGATTTGTTGGATATAGTAGTCATTTATCTGAGATACATAACTAGGAATTAAATTTCTAGGTTATAGAATATTTATAGGATAAACTTTGGTAGGCATGGCCAAAAAGTTTTTCAAAATGGTTGTTACAGTACTGCAATATAATACTGCCACTAACTATCCAGAGTTGGTGTAGACTCCACGATTTAAGGGCATAGTCCCCAACAAGACTCTACTTCAAACACCAGTCACAAGTTTGAGGGTCCACAAGCCACCTGCATTTGTGACAAATTGGCTACAAATTTTGGGGCTCCCATGCCCCCAACAGGTTTGACAACTTGCTAGAATGACTTATATGGCTCAAAAATAGCACTAAACTTATGATTATAATTTTATTGTAAAGGACACGATTCAGAAGCAGCTCAATGAAGAGACACATAGGGCTAGAACTAGGAGGATACTGAATCAGAGCTTCCACGTCTTCTCCCCATGGAATCGTGATGCATTACCCTCCCTACACCTTTGAAACCAAAGAACCTCACCCAAATTTCGCCGTCCATAGTTTTTTTGTGGATTGCATTATCTAGGCATGATTGACTGAATCGCAGGGCACATGAACTCAATCTCCAGCATCCTTCCACTCCTCAGAGGTTGGGATGACATTACTGGGCTCAAAGCCCCAGTCCTTGAATTACATGGTTAGTCTTTCTGGTGACTGGACCCCATCCTGACTCAGCTCATTAATATAAACCCAGATGTAATACAAGAGGTCTAGATACTACTATCACTTGGGAAATTTTCAAGTTTTAGAGGTTACCTAGCTGGAACTGAGGACAAAGATAAGGCCAAACTTTTTATAATACAATACTTGTACATCCTTGTACTTTTGATACATAATTTTATACAGTTGTAAGCATAATATGGAAATGATATTTATTTTGCTTTTCATTTAACAATATATCCCAAGAAACTTTCACTTCAGTTTTCATATTTACCAATTAAATGGTGGCATACAATTTCCCTAAATGATTGTATTGATGGGGCTCAGAATAGAATACCTCCAAGTATGTACCTTGACATGCTGGGTACTTTAAAGTGAAGGACATAGGAAGAACTTAGGTCATGTCCTTTTGTCCAATCACATTTCTACACAGTGGTCTCTTCTTCATCAAACCTACATATAAAAACAGAGTTTCCCCGGGCCCTTGGGTTTTCATTTCTGTTAAGAGTGTTTCAGGTAAAACTTAGATTAAATAAATCTCGTTAACCTGTATTTTGTTATAGGAATGTCAGCTCTGACCCTTATGATGAGTGAGAAAAGGTACTACAGCTTTCCACCCTTGCACAGCAGAAAACCTGGAAAGAGTAGAAACATGGCTCAAAGGGTCTTTCCAGGGAAAGATAAATAAATTCAACTACATAAAGCTTTATATTAGAAGAAAACAATAATGGCTAACTTAAAGTGGGTACTTAGATACATGAGGCACTGCCCATAAGGACTTATATGTCATATCTCATTAGGACTTCACAATATCCCTAGGAAGTAGACACTTTTTTTTTTACTCCATTTTTTATATGAGAATTTTTAAGCACAAACACATGAACTTAATTAGATTAGGGTTTTACAGCTGGGTACTTCTAGAGCTGTGATTTAAATTCAAGAAATCTAACTCCGCAGTCTGTACTCTTAACCATCACACAATATTTTCTTTCATCAGCAAAAGGAAAAATAAATATGTTTAAACAAACAAAAAGGTGAAAAGGAAATGTCTACACCCTCTAAATCAATTAGGTTCTCTAGATATACAGAGGAACTCTAGAAATCGCTATGTAAAAGATAAAATACCAATGGCAAAATGGTTAAGGTGCATTAAAAAGCAATTTGTAGAAGACAATATCTGAGTGGCCAGTAAAAATACAAAATGTACTGGTTAAAGTGAAAATAAAATTTAAAATAACAAGATTATGGTTTTTACACAAATGGTTGGCAAAAAGAAATCTTGACATTAGGTACTGACAAGGACTTGGGAAAAATGGAGAAAAATTTGGCAACACCAAGTAATGTTGAAAGTAAACCTAACGTATGACTTAAACATTCAACTGGAGAAGCTCTGACTCATGGGCACCAAGAGATAATTACGAGGAAGTGTTCTGCAGTTTTGTTTCTATCAACAAATGGTCAAAAAGCTACAGGATGGAAAACCATACAAAAGTTATAAGAAACTCATTAAATATTTATAAGCAGGGAAAGAAACAAAAACAAAATAGAGAAGAATATCTAAAATATGGCATCAAACACTTAAGAATTACACATGCCTAGTCAACAAAGAAAGTAGGAAGTTAGAATCATATCACTTTATAACTCTTAAAGAAATAATGGGCTGGGCACGGTGGCTCACCCATGTAATCCCAGCACTCTGGAAGGCCAAGGAGGGTGGATCACCTGAGGTCAGGAATTCAAGACAAGCCTGGCCAACATGGTGAAACCCCATCTCTACTAAAAATACAAAAATTAGCTGGGTGTGGTGGCGGGCGCTTGTAATCCCAGGTACTTGGGAGGCTGAGTCAGGAGAATCTCTTGAACCCGGGAGGTGGAGGTTGCAGTGAGCTGAGATGACGCCACTGCACTCTAGCCTGCACAACAAGAGTGAAACTCCGTCTCAAAAAAAAAAAAAAAGGAAGGGAGGAAGTGAAAGAAAGAAAGAATGTATCTAGGCAGTGACCAACAATTACTACTAATCAACATAAAGAGACAACTAGGCATCAAGTATCTCCTCAGGAAGCATAATGTCACCTATGAGGAAGTCTTGACAAAAATATAGAACTTGAATGCGATCAAGACTCTAGATGTAATTGTCTTTGGTCAAGAAATAGAGGGACATACACACAAGAAAAGTCTCTACGTGAATAAAGTCCGCAAATTCCTAACTGAAAAAACTACAAAATAAATGACAAGGTTTCCTGAACATATAAATGGCTAGAAAATAATTGGGGTAAGACCTATAACTAAAGATACCTCAGAGACATAGCAGCCACTTCAAACAATAGGCCTTACATGGTTCTTGATTCTAACAAACTGCACAATAAACATTAGGAGACAATTGAAGGAAAGTAATACTGGATTTTTGATAATAATGAAATACTTTTAAATCTTTAGTTGTAATCATTGTGGCATGATTGTGTGCTTCGAAAAATCATTATCATTATAAATATAGTGAAATATATACCAACAAAATGATATTACTGAGATGTGCTTCAAAATCTTTGAGAGGATTTAGGGGGTAACTGGGTGGGGATAAGATGAAATAAGATTGGTCCTGAGTTGATAATTGCTGAAGCTAAGTGATGGATTTTTAGATTTTCATTATACTATTCTATCCTTATACATGTTCAGAATATTCCATAATAAGTTAATAATATACATGCATCAATTCCATAAATTGATTGTGGATGCAAATATTTATATATAAAATTATGAGAACTAGAATGCAAGGAAGGGCACACACCAAACTCCTTGTTGTTTTCTTTTGGAGATCTAGGGATAGGACTAGGTAAGTGGCTAAAGAGGACTATAGCTAAATACACAATGTTTCATTTTCTTAACAAACATAAAACAACTGGAAGCAAATATGACAAAATATTAACAGTTGTAAAATTCAGAGTGAAACAAATATGGATTTCTGTTATAAAATTTATCATTATTTTCTTTTGAGTTCTTTACAGATACGTAAAAATGCCAATCATTCAGTGTCATGAATGAGTCAAAATAATTTGGAGTGATGTAGCCTTTATTCTACTTTCTATGGGATTTGAGTTGCTACAAAATTTAACAGGAGTATCAGTCACCCAAGACCAAGACCCAGGTCTGTGCAGGGTGGAGGTGGGAGGGTGGTGTTTAATGGAGGTACACAAAAAGTCTTACGGTTACTTTGCTTTTGCCAAATAGCAAAAGATATACACAAGTTCATTTAACAAATAAATTCATTCAACTAGGGACAGGCTTATTTCTATTAATCTCCTAAATCAGGTCAAACCCAAATTTGATGATTTGGTCAAAAGTAGGAAATATAACATGTATAAGTCGCATAAATACATTAAGGGAATAGCATTTTTTAATACACCAAGCTCTCTTTTACCTTTAAGTCATTTGCACTTCCTCTAACTTGAAAACTCTTTTTCCCTGTGCTTTTTAGTCCATCATCCCCTGGCTAGTATTTTCCCAGCTTTCAGGACTCAATTGTGATGTCTCTTTTTGCTGAACTCTCATCTGACCTTCTTCAACCAGGCTAAGTCTTCCCAGGCATGGAAGTACAACACTCCACACCATCTGAAAATGTCTCTTGACTTTTTGTCTCTCCCAAAACAGTAAAGTCAAGGCAGGGTTGGGTCTCATTATTCTTTGTACCCAGCCATTAGCAGAGTGGCTCACACTTATCAAGGGCTCAGTACCTGTCTGTTGAATTGCTAAATAAATTGAGCAACATTGAAACCCAATATCTAAACAGTATCAGCCTTGGTATAGTATTAACAATAGCAGTGGGAAAACCTGGATTCAACAAGAAAAGCTTAGGCTTAAAAAGGTGGAAAGAGCTTAATAGAAGCAATGGCATATGGGAGAATGATTTCATGACACAATATGGAATACAGAATACCAACTCTGTGAGTAAACTCTACAACTGCAAACCACCAAGCATAATTTACATATATTGTCAACTAAACAGTGGAGCAGTTGGTTTATCCGGTTCTCTCATCTATATTTAATGTGCCAACACCAGACTATTTTTGCACCAGGGCATCTTGTTTGACAAAGGCCAACACCCACAGTGGTCCCTTGAGGAACTAAGGAGGAGCTGATTTTGTTCAGAAAATCAGTGCTTGAACTTAAATAAGCAAAGGCATTTAGATGACTTCCAAGTACTCAGGACATGTAATTTAAGAAACATTTCATTGTCAGTAGATTTCTGCTATGGCTGTTTCCCTAATGTTCTATGGTAGCTTAATACAGCTCAAAGGATGGATGAGCTTAAGGGCATCTTCAGACATTATTTTTCTTAGAATCATTTATGTGCTCATGCAAATTACATTTAACCAATATATTGGGATCCTATTGTGGAATACCCACAGACATTTGCACTCTGCTTTTTAAATGGAAGTACGTAATTGTTACCAACGCAATTTGTCAGTTAAGCCCTGGGCACAATTTTAGAACTCATCCATGTGTGATATCTCCAGTGGGTGGAGACTGTGTTTCACCCATGCTCATATACCTGGTGATTCTTATTCCTTTCCCTGGAACCCAGAGCACTCAATACATATTTAAACTTTATTGAAACTTCTCACTTTATAAATGAGAAAAGCTACAGTTAGAGAAAAAAACAAGACTGAGAAAAAAGAAAGGGAAGAAAGTGATTTTGTTCTATTAATGAGCTTTCTTTTTCTGTAACAGGTTTTTTCTATACAATAGAACATTATTATTTTTAATTGATACATAATATGCATATTTATGGGGTAACATTGTGATATTTTGATACCTTTATACGATGTCTAATGATCAAATCATGGTAATTAGCATATCCATCACCTCTAACATTTATCAGTTCTTTGTGTTGGGAACATTCAATGTCTTCTCATTTAGCTATTTGAAGATACAGAATAAGAACTTAATCTATATCTTTAATAAAGTGCTAAAGAACAATAGAACTTATTCTTCCTATCCACCTGTAATTTTGTATCTGTTAACCAATTTCTCCTTATCCTCCTTTTCTCCCTATACTTTGCTGCCTCTAGTTATCACTATTCTACTGTTTACTTCTATGAAATCTACTTATTTAGCTTCCACATATGAGTGATGACATGTGGTATTTGTCTTTCTGTGTCTGGCTTATTTCACTAGACATAATGTCCTCCAGGATCATCCATGTTTCCAAAACTGACAACATGTCATTCTTCTTTATGGCTGAATAGGATTCCATTATGTATATATACCACATTTTCTTTATCCATTCATCCATTGATGGACACCCAAGTTAATTCCGTATCTTAGCTATTGTGCATAATACTGCGATAAACACAGGAGTACAGAGATCATTTTGACATACTGATTTCCTTTCTTCTGGATATATACCGAGTAGTGGAATTGCTGGATCAGATAGTAGTTCTATGTTTAGTTTTTGGAGGAACCTACGTGCTGTTTTTCCATAACGGCTGTACTAATTTACATTCCCACCAACAGTGTATAGAAAGAGTTCCTCTTTCTCCGCAACCTCACTAGCAGGTTATTTTTTGTCTTATTATCATAGCCATTCTAACTGGGGTGGGATTATATTTCATTGTGGCTTTGATTTGCATTTCGTTGATAATTAGTGATGTTGAGCATTTTTCATATACTTGTTGGCCATTTGTATATTTTTTTTCTTTTTTTTTTTTTTCGAGACAGGGTCTCACTCCATTGCCCAGGTTAGAATGATGTGTTGCAATCTCAACTCACTGCAGCCTCAACTTCCTGGGCTTAAGCGATCCTCCTACCTCAGCCTTCCAAGAAGCTGGGACTACAGGTGCTCACCATCAAGCCTGGCTAATTTTTTAAATTTTTTCTTTGTAGAGACAGGGTTGTGCCACGTTGCCCAGGATGACCTCAAACTCCTGGGCTCAAGTGATGCTCCTGGTCCCGGCTTCCCAAAGTGCTGGGACTACAGGTGCAAGCCACTGCACCCCACATTTATATGTTTTCTTTAGAGAAATGTCTATTCAAGTCATTTGCACATTTTTTTAATTGGATTAATTTTTTGCTGTCAAGTTCTTTGAATTCTTTGTATATTACGGATATTAATCCCTTGTTGAATGAATAGTTTGCAAATATTTTCCTTCACTCTACAGGCTGTCTCTTCCCTCTGTTGATGGTTTCTTTTGCTGTGCAGAAGCTTTTTAGTTTAGTATAATCCCATTTCTTTATTTTTGCCTTTGTTGACTGTACTTTTGAAGTCTTATACATAAAATCTTTGCCCAGACCAATGTACTAAAGTGTTTTCCTATGTTTACTTCTAATAGAGTTATAGTTTTGGGTATTACATTTAGATTTTTAATCAATTTCACATTGATTTTTATATAATATATGGGGAGAGATAGGGGGTCTAGTTTTATTCTTCTATATATGGATATCCAGTTTTCCCTGTATCATTTATCTAAGAGACTGTCCTGCCCCTATTGTATGTTCTTGGTGCCTTTGTCAAAAATTAGTTGGCTATAAATATGTGTGTTTATTTCTAAGTTCTCTATTCTGTTCCATTGGTTGATACGCCTGCTTTCATGCCAGAACCATGCTGTTTGGGTTTCTATAGCTTTGTAGTGAATTTTGAAGTCAGGTAGTGTAACGCCTCCAGCTTTGTTCTTTTTGTTCTGCATTGCTTTGGCTATTTGGGGTCTTTTGTGGTTCCATATGAATTTCAGGATTTTTTTCTATTTCCATGAAAAATATCATTGGTATTTTGATAAGGATTGCATTTTTTTAGAAAAGAATAAATGATGCCTGATTATCTTAATATCTATGGAGAAAACTTCAGCATTTAATTTGAACACTGTAGAGACCTTGTCATCAGCACTTAGAGTCTTAGTTCCACTCTTAATTCCTTTCTATTTTGATTAGAATCCTGTTTCTAGTGGCCTCACATAACAAAATCTCTTTCAAAGACAGTGAATGTCTATGATACCTATTGCCACAAAGAGAAGTCAGGTTTCTCGATGTTTATGACTGGTCTCTGAATAAAGTATAATTCTGGTTATTAACCCCACAGCTCCAGAATTGGGATTCTATTTTCAAGGAATGTCCTAGACAACATGGCATTATTAATTGAAAAGGAAATATATTCCAGAAATCTATTCTGTTACCAGCTGTATCAGAATTCCACAGTGCATCTGGTTCTTGGGCAAGTCACTGAAACGTGGGTCAAATGTTGAAAGCTACTGTACTGTGATGTGAAAATAAAGGTAAGGACAATATACTTTAATACATAAATTATAGATGGCTAAATTTTAAGAATTTTCTCTTATTCTAAAATATGTTCTTCTGACTTTACTGTTAAAATTTTCTTTTATGAAATCCTGGTGCTATTAAAGGGAGGGATTTATTCATTTACTTATTTTTTATGTCCAGGTTTGAAAAAAAGTAAAAATGAGAAAGTCCTATATTGGCCTTTTCATATTTATTTTTTAATATTTTAATGTGTTTTCTAGGACAGTTATAACAAAATACTGCAAACTCAGTGGCTGAAAACATCAGAAATTTATCATCTCACATGTCTGGAAGCTAGAAATTTGAAATCCAGGTGCTGTCAAATCCATGCTTCCTCTGAAACCTGTAGGGGAACATCCTTCCTTGCCAGCCGTCTCTGGTGCCCTTTGTCTCATAGGTACATCATTCCAATCCTCCCCTTTTGCATTGTATTCTCCCTGTGTCTCTCTGTCTCGGTGCCCAAATTTCTCCTTTTATAAGGCTACCAATCATATCGAATTACCCTAATGACCTCATTTTAACTTGAGTACCTCTGTAAAGGCTCTGTTACCAACAAGGTCATATTCTGATGTACTGTAGGTTAGAACTTCAACATTTCTTTCTTGGAAGGGCACAATTCAACTTAAAACAAATGGAACGGATGATATAAGAATCTACTAATGACTGGGAAATTTTACTCAGGCATAAGTGCTAGGATATCCTGGTTAATGAAAAATTAATAATTACAATTAGTTTTTCCTGTCTAAATGACTAAAAGGAAAAGTTCAAACAATAAATGAATTACTGAGACTGTTTCTTGCCTGCCCCTGTTCTGGACGTGACCAATTTTAGCCTCAAAGAATTTTGTGATCCCCAAGGGTCTAGGAAGAAGAAAAGAGCTCAAGGAATTAAAGTGTTCAGAGATGAGGAGAATAGACTTGAAATAAGTAGTGTACCAATTAATGGCAGATCTTTACTAACCAGACTGCAAACAATAGATATTTTTGAAATGTCACAAAATTAAAGTTACGAAGTCTATAGAAAACAAATTAAACAATGGCACATTGGTAAGAACCATATAAATGATTATCCCAGTTTTCATTGTTTGGTTGATTATGAAAGACATAAATTGTGGGCAGTACCTAAGCTGTACATTTTTTTCTTGCTTTACTGCCTATTTTTTTCTTTGTTTCAGTCACCATTTAATGCCTTTGGAAAAGTATAATGATGTATGGAATGGCTTTTATACACATTCCTTCTCTGTAGGTTATCTTTTTAACCTTTTCTGCATGACAATTCCAAGATAATATATATATATGAAATTTAGCACATAAGAATATCCTTGTTTTTATGTTTTGCTCAAAAATGCAAATGTACATATATATATCTGAATATATATGTATGTTTGTGTCTATGTGTGTGTATATATATATATGTATATACATATTATTTCTGTGCTGATTTATGTAACCATATTTACCCACCAATTCCCTAGAAAAGGTCCCTTCAATGCTTGTTATTTGGCATTCCTCAATTTCTTTTGTTCTGTGTTTTGGCTAAGGTGGATATTTTCTTGAAATATTCTACTTCTCCTGGCACTGAAGTATTCATTCACTAATTTACGTCCTTCCTCCCACCGTAAGTGCCCTGTATGCCTCTTTCTCTTAGCCAGTGATGTGGAATTCAAGCCACAAGGGACATTTTACTTTGGAAAACACTGCCTTCCAGGAACTAGCCAGGTCTACATTTCTCCATTCATTTTCCATTACTGCTTGCCCCAGACATTTTGCTGCAATAACGTAGACCTGCTGGCAATGCCTTACATAATCCAGTGTATTTTATTGTCTCCTTTTCTTTTCAAAGGCTCTTTCCTTTCTTCAGTCTTTATCACTTGTATATCAGATGTATAATTCCTATCTCTCCCTCCAAATGCAATTGTTTCCAGCAAGACTTCCTCTAGTCTCTAGAGTCGGCAAAGCTAATACAGTCCTTCAAGGCCTCATAGCACCCTATAAATTCTAGTGCCATGTGATTTACCATCTTCTACTGAAATAATATGCTTATATTCTCCCCAACCTAAATTGCAAAAGAGGTAGGGTGTTGTATTTATCTTAAAACAAGTGCCTGATGACAGAGAGGGCTCAATAAAGATTTATTGTTAGAAAAATTATTAGACATGTGAAAACAGCCACCCTAGTCGATTGTCAATCATTTTAAGGAGAAAAAGCTGGTCCAAGATATAATTCTTGGTTGAAGCCACATTGTTCAACTTTGTAGAAGAATTGCATTGTTATCTGAAGGTGACTGTGTTTTGGAGCCTTGATGTAAATATCCAAAATAAAAACTGCATGTTTATAAAGTAAAATTAATAATCTAGCTTTTAAAATGCTTACCAAGTATTTTAGCTATTCTCAACCCTGGCTGTATACTAAGAATCACCTTGGGAAGCTTGTTAAAGGTACAGAGCCAGGGCCCCAAAACAATGCTGATTCAACTCGATGTTTAAAATCCTCCTTAGGGATGACTGAGATGCATTGCTCAAAACATTAGTAATAGAATCACCTTTCTTAGATTAAAATTTTTTTACCAGATGTTTCCAAAATACCAATGTTCTGTCTTCCACCAATAAATAATTTTGTGGCCAAATAATTTTATACAGGGTACAGTATTATCCTCATTTTACAGAAAAGGAAACTGAGGAAAAACCAGGATAAATGATTTGCCATGGTATCCTATATGTTATAGCTGTAAGATTGACATCCAGGTTTATTGAAATCTAATGTTCTTCCTTCACATCATACTGACTCTGAAATTGTGTGGGGTTGGTAAACAAACTTCTGAACTCAATCTATAAACTGGATCTGAATCTGGGTTTTTTGGTGGTTGGCATATCACAAGGCAGAAATGCATACACATTAAATAAAACAAAAACTGATGGAGAAAACTAAACCAGAGCAACTTGAAATAAAACAAGGGCTATTAAAAAGTATCTCCAACAGTTGACTTGCTTTTAATACAGAGTAGGCTATTTTTAATTCCCACCAAATTGCTAAAGCACTAGTTCTCTCTTCTGCATATTTTTTTTCTCTACTCTGCCTATTTTTCACTCATGGGCCTTTCTTAATAAGTTAAAGAAACTAATGTAAAAGTGGACTAAGTCAGAAGCTTGAAACATTTAATAAAGGTCAAGTGTTCAGCAAGACGTTCTCAGTTGTGGAGATAAAGGAAGGATAAAGTCAAGGATATCTGATATTTCTAAAAACCTTAAAGATTAAGTCCACCTGAACCACAGGTGAAGCTAAGCCAGCACCACAGAATTTCTCTTAACCATGTAGGTACAGTCACCTTTTGGTTGCATTTTTAACACTTTTATTTATTTATTTATTCATTCATTCATTCATTTATCCTTTGAGATGGAGTCTCGCTCTATGGCCCAGGCTGGAGTGCAGTGGCGCCATCTCTGCTCACTGCAACCTCCACCTCCTAGGTTCAAGCAATTCTCCTGCCTCAGTCTCCTGATTAGCTGGGGTTATAGGCACACACCACCACGCCCAGCTAATTTTTGTATTTTTAGTAGAGACCGTGTTGGTCAGGCTGGTCTCAAACTCCTTACCTCGTGATCTGCCCTCCTCGGCCTCCCAAAGTGCTGGGATTACAGGCATGAGCCACTGCACCCGGCCTTTTAACACTTTTAATGTCTACCACATAGAAGCATATATACAATTTTTCGAAAAACACAAAATACAGTGCTGTTGGGTGATTGGTGGCTTCCTATATAAACTACAATATAAACTATAAAAACGAAAATATAAACTGTAACCATTTAAACCACTCTTTTCATGGCCCAAAGGGGTTTGCAAACCCCAAGTAGTTTCCCATGAGCAAGCACATTGAGAAACACTGATTTAAGAGGTTATTTTGTTAGAACACTACCTAATACATTTTGTATTTCCCATGCACTTCAAGACTTCCATAGGGGCTCTTAGAATATACTATCATCTTAAAATACCTTTTCTAGTTTTAAAATTTTCTTATCAAAGAATGCACACATAGCAACAAATACAAGGGTACAAAACAGCTTCAGATGAAGAACAAAACTCTCTGCTCTAACCTTCCCAGTCCAGAGGTAAATATTTAAAACACTGATTTACTATTAGGACTTTTTTTCTGCTGATTAACATCACAGCTCTAAATAACATGCTAATATATTTAAATCTCTAGGCGCTAAGAAAGATGAGAATTTAATATGTATATTCTGTCACATTTTTTGTCTTTTTTCCATACTTTTCTACATAGTCTTTAAAAGTTTTTATTCATTTAAATATTGTATTGTTATGTTACTCTACAGTTATTTTTATTCATTCAATATAAATATTAAATTAATATTTTCATTTAAATATTCTATTATGTTATAACTATACATAGTATGTTTCCACTTTTATGTTTGGTTCCCTTCATTTGAATCAGGATCTCAAATTCCCTGAAGTTATTCAATTTTTTTCTTTTCTTCTTCAGTTTCCAATTCTCAAATTATTTCAGCTATACTTACACATGTATTTATTTTACTTATTTACTTATTTATTTATTTATTTATTTATTTATTTTTTGAGACAGAGTTTTGCCTGTCGCCCAGGCTGGAGTGCGATGGCGTGATCTCGGCTCACTGCAACCTCCACCTCCCGGGCTCAAGCTATTCTCCTGCCTCAGCCTCCCTAGTAGCTGGGATTTCAAGCACACACCACCACGCTAGGCTAATTTTTGTATTTTTACTATAGACGGGGTTTCACCATCTCAGTTTGGCCAGGCTGGTCTCAAAGTCCTGACCTCAAGTGATCCGCCCACCTTGGCCTCCCAAAGTGCTGGGATTACAGCCGTGAGCCATTGCACCCGGCCCATTTACACGTTTAAATGTTCAAAAACTTTCTAACTGAAATATTCTGTCTTTTAACTGCAACTCATTGTTCCAGACTTTGTCTGTGAGTGACTTTAAAATTTGAAAGCTAATAAACAACAGTATCAGTTTTAATTTTATTAATATTTTTGTCTGCTGGCTGGATAATGTGACAGAATTAGACTTCTTTTTTACACTTGATCTTAGCCAAAAGGCCGAGAAGCTATTAGACTTCTTTTTTATGCTTTCAATACTACAAATCTTGGCTTGTTCAAAAGGGAATTTTTTAGCTTCAAGCAAAGTAGCTTCTCTTTTCTTATTATCCATCAGTACTTAAAATTCTGTTTTATTTTTGTCTTCTACATATATAAACCATGTTTTTCTAGTTTCTTTTTCCCTTTATTTTCTACAAATAATGTGTTTTTATCTTGATGTAAAACAAATTTTCCTCTTCTTAGTCATCAGTCACCATGTTTTCAGCCCTACTGGTCCCATGCTTTCTGCCTTATTCATCCATCATTCTACCTGCAGACCCTAATTCTAGACTGTCTCCAGGATCTGACCTCACACTCCTCTAGTTTTCTATTCCATGCACTTCATGTACCCTATGGTTTCTAGAAATATTTAAAGCTTTCATCTATTGGCAATCCCAAACACCTCTGGTCTTTTGCAGCTATATTTCCTTTTTGTATCTCTTTAAATTTAAGAAAATCTCCAGAGAAAAGAGATTGTATGTGTAGAATCTTTGTGCCAGTTTGAAATATAACGAATCTTTGTGCCAGTTTTTGAAATATAACGAGAGTTATTTCTAAATGTGTTTTAAATAACAAATCTAAAGAAAAGTAATCTTGGTTCCTAAAAATGTATATTCATCCAAAATACCTGACATCAATAAAGTTTGCAGGTAAAGGATTATTGTTGCTCATATTTGACCATAAAAAACTATTCCATTTAAATAATAGGCTTTCTAAGTAACATTTTGCCATCAAGAACATGATTTAGGATCATGTCACTTCCTCTGAAATCTTCTGGGAACTCTTAGTGAGAGTTACTTTCCTTTTCTTGGAATACATAATTCCTTCCATTATGAAAATAATATATGACAGCTAAAACTACATTTTTAGCTTTTCTCTGTTGCTAAATTTCCTTTGTCTTTTAAGTAAACTTTCTAAACCAGTTCTCCAGATCTTTCTGGATAACCATTTGCATTTTGTAAAGGAATCTTGGCTCAAAATAAGCAAACATAAAGAAAGGCAATCACAATAAAGGAAATGTACTAGTACTATAGATTTCTGTTAATTACCTGGCAAAATAATCTGGCTGCCTACGCACCTCCAGGATAGTGATGTTAACTCTTAAGAAAAACAAATCGTGGATCAAGTGTCAGTCTACTAAGCCAAATTTCAAACTACTCCAAAACATTCCACAGGAAAGGGCCATATACTGCATAACACGCCTTGGCAAAAGTTCCCGTAGCTGTTTTCACTTTATCATATAAATCCACAAAGGAATACATTAAAGACAACACATGGTTCAAATAGGTGATAAAGGGGATAGCTGAGCATGGAAAATGGAGAGATAAAATTGGTCCTAAAGCAATAAGGTATCCTGGCCTGGCGCAGTAGCTCATGTCTGTAGTCCTAGTACTTTGAGAGGGTGAGGTAGGGGAACTACTTGAAGCCAAGAGTCCAAGACCAGTCTCGGCAACATAGCAAGACCCCATCTCTACAAAATTAAATAAATATATTATAAATACAAATACATACACACACACACACACACATTTGGGCATGGTGGCACGCACCTGTAGGCCCAACTACTTGAAAGGCTAAGATGAGAGGATCACTTAAGACCAGTGGATTGAGGCTGTAGTGAATTATATTTGTGCCACTGCATTCCAGCCTGGGTGACAGAGGGAGACTCTGTCCCTAAGGGGAAAAAAAAGAAAGTATGTTGGAATACAAATATTGAGGTGGGTAGGCCTGTATTGGCCTTCCAGAATAGTGCATCCATTACTGTTTTTATCTTGAAAAAGACTACTGGGAAGATTAAATGAAATAATATAAGCAAAGTACTTAAAGCCAGGCATGTTCAGAATCCATAATGGTATTGCGGTTTTCAGACACCATTATCCTTCAGATACTGAGGGCCAAATAAACAGGAGAAGTTATTAGACTCCTATGCTGTATGTCCAATGCTTATGGTCATGATGAAATATATAATCATTAGAATATTCTATATTGATTGTAGAGAGATTAGTTAATATAGTAAAGAACTGAAAACAATGAATTAAAGACAAATTGAGGAGGTTGGGCAGTTTGATAAAGTTGTAAGGAAGAAGCTGAACATGTAGGCTTGCAAGAAGGATGGAATTCAGTCAGTGCTGACAAGCGGGAAGGATGCTGTCTACATGGACAGAAGATGTTTCCTGCATCGCTGCAGAGTTTTGTTCAAGGATGGATATGTAACCTAACTGGGCAGAAAAAATAATGCAAAACAAGTGGTTCTGACCTTCAGAAAATAACCCAGAGTAATGAAGGGTAGACAAAAACATAAATATATTTTAATTAGAATTAGCAAGTATTGAAATAAAGATATAAGTTAAGTACTTGGGAACAGAGGAAAGGGGTTGTTTACTCAGTTTGTGGGCATCCTGGAAGACTTCAAATGAGTGATAATATTTGAGCTGGATGAGTAGGAATTATTTACTTAGAAAGGAGAAAATGATAGAACAGAAACACCCATGTAAACGTATGAAAGAATGTTATGTCAGTAAACGTTTAAAATTTTGGTATGAATGGAGAATAGTATATCTGGAAGAGATGAAAGTGGCAAGATAGATTGGGACACGCAGATGAATTGTCCTGTGTGCTGTGTTAATGAATTTGGACTTTTCCCCTTTTAGCAATATTAGGTGAAAAGGAGCATTCAACTCAAATGTATACATAAGAAAGTTTGTATTTTAGAAAAAAATAATTTGGACAAGAAATTGAAGGAAGAAAGTCAATCTGGAGTTAAAAAGACAAGAAGTTTCGTTTTGTAATAGTCCAGCTGAAAAATACAGGACATAATTCAGCCTGTAGCAACTGGAAGACTGAAGGAGAGACTGGGGACATTTTTAGGATACAGGCTTTTAAGTCAGCAATACCTTTTTGAAATAAGGCCCCAGGCTCATTCTTCTCATTTGGGTAACTGAATGAATAGTGACAACACAGACCATCATATGAATAAAGGAAGAATGGCAAATTTTAGAAGGATGTGTAGACAAGGGAATTAGTTCATATTAGGAACATTAAATTTTATATGCTTTTAGCAGGTTTATGAGATGTGTAGTAGATATGTAAGAAACTTAAAATAAGGTTGAAGAGTTTTAAAATGTGTTCAGTGTTGAGGTTAAATATAAGAATTATTGGTATAACTGAAGACATAAGAGTGAATGATATGTAACAGACTTTGAGTAACGTTAGAAGAAACAGGGCTACCATTCCTGGGAAAGCACTGATGTTTTCAGGGATGGCAGAGAAAAAAGATCCAACAAAGGAGCCTGAAAAGGTGAGAGTGGGAGGAGAAATAGGAGAGAATGGGATACATATCTAAAGGGAAAGAGGACTGAGAAAAAAGGGATTATCAGACAGGCCAATTTCTGTGCAATTTTTGAAGGTTTTTAAAAAGGTAGGTTCTATTATCTCCTTTGGATGCCCAATTTTAGTGCCCATCAGTTTATAATGACTACATTATAAGCATGTAGTCCATGGCAGGCACTGTGACTAAGCCTGAGGATAAAAAGACAAGATAAAGTTCCTGGTCTCAATGAGTGTGCAGTCTAGTGGGGATGACAAATGTATGTAGAGATAAATACCACAGAACACGATATTATGATAATTGCTGTAAAACAGAATCATAATTAGAAACACAAGGGAGGAAATAATGTTGTTGGGGATGGGTCATAATAAGGCTTTATAGTGGGAGAAAAGTTACAAGTTAAGAGCAAAGTTGTTTTCCTCAAGCTTTCTCAGTAGTTTTATTAGGTTCAACTTTTAAGACTTTCATCTCATAGCTAAATGGAAAATTTCTGATTAATTACTAGCTGCTTTCAAAAATTTACCTTTATTTACAAATTCATATTTTATGATTTAATTTTTAGAATGCATAATGTTAATGTGTAAAGACCTGATTTAATAGAAGAATGTATGAAAAACTTAACTATGTCTGTAAGAATAATAAGCATTTATCAAACAGTATATAACCTTATAGAGATAACATATACAATATATATAAAGACATTAAAGAAAAAACTAAGACGTACATTTATGGATAGAAACATTAAAAATAATTTTTAAAAGTCTGTTTTCTTAAAATTTATAGAGTAAATGCCATGTGAATAAAGTATAATATGATTTTTCATAAGACTTGAAAGCATAATTCTAAAATTTACATAGGAGAGGAAGTTATCAAGAATAGATAAACCACCCTTAAAGAATGAGAACATGTAGAGGCCATGACCTACTAGACATCAAGCCTTATTTTACAGCTATGGATTAAGTTACTGGCACTCACCCAGAGAAAAAGAAATAGGCCACTCCAACAGATCTGAAGCCTACAAGCAGATCCATTTTCAAATGTAATATGCTCATACATCCACTCACTCAATTAGTATTACTGAGCATTTATTATGTGCTAGGCATTTTTCTAGGTTTTGGGGTTTCAGCAGTAAATAAAACCAACAAAAATCATTTTCCTTATTGTGTTTGTGTTTTAGTGGGAGAGAGACACAATAAGATAAATAAGACAAGTATACACAAATTCAAATAGTCACAAGAGTATTGGAAAAAATAAGGGATGTGGTATTGCAAAAGTTTGGAAAAGTATTGAATTTTAGATATAAATGGCCATATGTGGCCTCACTGAAAAAAATGACTTTAGAGAAAAAGGCTGAAGGAAGTACAGAAGGGAGCATGTCGCTGCCTGAGGGAAGAGCACTTCAGGCAAAGGCCCAAGCAAGTGCAAAGACCCTGCAGTCGGAGTTTACCTGAGGAAGATATGTCATTGTCATTCAGTGGAGACAGAAAAGACAAATCAATGAATGAGCTGGGACAATTGTTTGTTTACTCTTAAAAATAAAGAAATGAATTTTGTACCCTATACAAAAATTTCTAGTAGATCATAGACTTAAATGCGAAAAGCAAAATTTTTACCTTATAAGAGTGAAGAAAAATATTTTAATGGCCTTACTGTAGGAAAATATTTTTTACATAAGACAAAAAAAGCTTGCAACAGCTTTGAAACTAAGGACATTTGTTCATGCAAAGTCACTGTAAAAAGAACAAAAAGACAAGTTACAAATATGACAAAGGATTAATATCCTTCAAATATAAAGAACTCCAACAATTCAGTAAGAAAATCATATTCTAAGAGAAAATGGATATTTCACAGAAAAGAAAACATACCAATAAACATAAAATTCTTCTTAGTATCTAGGATATTTAGTGAAAAAAAATCAAAATTACTTTTGGATTCTACTTTTCATCTGAAAGATTTACATACATTTAAAAAAATGTATAACAGTAGCAACCACTGATGAAGATGTAGAACAAAAAGAACTCTTATACATCTAGGT
Organism: Homo sapiens; assembly: GCF_000001405.40. NCBI lineage: Eukaryota > Metazoa > Chordata > Mammalia > Primates > Hominidae > Homo > Homo sapiens. The sequence goes on from NC_000003.12 coordinate 21,589,894, forward strand.
GGGAGTAAAAATTAGTAGCACTCTTTGGTAACTTCTACTGAAGTCATGATCCTAGTACTATAAGACCCAGCAATTTCTTTTCTAGGTAATAGACTGTAAAGACTCATGCTAGACTGTAAAGACTCATGCAGCTGTGGACAAGTAGGCATGTGCAAGAGCATTATTAACAGAAGTCTTTGTAACAGCAAAAGCATGGATCCAGATATCCATCTACAGTGGAATAGACCTGTACCCTATGGTCTATTCACACAGCAGATTAGCTACACAGCACAATAAGAAAGGAATGCAGCTAAATGTGTCAACATGGATGGATCTCAGACACATAATAGGGAGTGGAAAAATAAGTAATGGGAGGTTACTATGTTTATGTATATGCTATGCTATTTCATAATAAAACTTTTTTTATTGTGATTACTTCTGACAGAGAGGCAAGGGGATATGACCAGCAGGGAGAAGCACAAATTATTTTAAAAGTGAAAGATAATGTTTAATTTTTTAAGTTGGGTACGAGGTACATGTAGTTTATATTACATTATGCTTTTATAATTTACATATATACTTTGTATATTTGTATACATCAAATATTTTATTGAAGAAAGCAAAATGAGAATTTATAGAATAATATAACTTTATAATGAACGTTTGAAAATTACACCATAAAAAATGAATTACATTGTTTTTATCTGTTGAATTTTCATCCCGAAAAATGGCCCAGACAACCAATCATTTAGTATAGTCACAATTAACAAAGTGGAGGCAGTGAGTGTTCTTTCTTTTTTTCTTCCTTTCATTTGTTGGTGGGAGATGAGCGGAGGATGTAGTATTAAACCCCAAAATTCCTATAATAGCTGTCTAACGCTGCCTAATCAATGAGAAAACCTAAAACATAAATATTCAAATTAATCTCATTTCCATTATATTTTTTAGAAAGTAAATTAAAATATTAAATATGTATACAGCATCTTTATATTACATGCTGGACCTGGTAACCGAAAATAAATAAGTATGAAAAATGTTTCAGGCCAGACGCAACTTCTCACTCCTATACACTCAGCACTTTGAAGGCCAAGGCAGGAGGATCACTTGAGCCCAGAAGTTTGAGACCAGCCTGGGTAAAATAGCAAGACCTTGTCTCCCCAAAAAAAAAATTAAAAATGAGCTGGGCATGGTGACATGTGCCTGTAATCCCAGCTACTTGAGAACCTGAGGTATGAGGATCACTTAGCTGGAGTGTTCAACCTGCAGTGAGCCAATATCATGCCACTGCACCTCAGCCTGGGAGACAGACCACATCTCAAAACAAAACAAAGTTTCATGAGGTTCCTCATACTTTCTTGGAATTAAATTATAATCAACAAAAATTCCATATTATAATTTTTTTTTTACAAGTGCCCCCTCAATAAACAAAATAATTTCACAATATTATATTTTATGTAACCAAAAGGAAATGAGGAGTTTGTTTGTCCCTCTATCACTTAAATACCTCTCAGGAGGGGGGAACATCAGTGAATGGTTAGCAAAATAGAACAAAGTGAAAATGAAATTTAATAGACTTCCAGAATCATTATTCACCAAGATTTACCTTTAATGAGTTGATTATAATGATTAATTACTATAATAATTAATGTTGTTTTAAAAGTCAATATTTTAGTCCAATATGAATATAAATTAATTTACTAGGCATCATAAGTATTTGCTACATTGTCCTCACAAAGAGGAAACCCACATGCAATACATTTAGTATGTATTAACCTGCACAGGGTCACACCCTGAGCCTCCATTTTAGCAGGAAGCACTCCGCTTCTGAAGTCCTAAACTCATTCACTCTGTCCACAAGCTTCTTTGAGTTACAGTCTGCTTTTTTATCTCTCTATATCATGTTTTTAGCCTCATTCAGAACAGTTTTTTTCCAGTTGTAATTCCTTCTCCAATATCTAGCCTAGGAACCTTTGTCTTTCATACCAATGGCTTTCATGTTTCAGTTGCTACACTACACTTCCAGCATATTTTTGTTTAAACTTTTCCATCATAGATCAACCAAACATCTGACTTCTTAGCTATTCATATTATTACAGTTCATCTTTACTGGCTGTTCAAACCCAATACTCCCGTTACTAGCAGTGAGATATGTTAGTTAATCTCTTTAAGCCTGATTATTTATAAATGAGATAATAACATGTGACATATAGGCATGCTGTGGCGATTAAGTGAGATTATATTTGCAAAGGACTTAATTACTATAGTTTCTGGCATAATTTTTTCATAATTATGATTTATGGTTATTAGTTGTTTTCTTGACTTATCTAAACCAAACACCTATGTAGATTTCCTGCTGGTTTCCACATTCTTGCTGCTTTTCTGTAAGATCTTTTATAAGATATGGCTTTTCTTCCCATCACTTGAATGATACTGTTCTTCAGTATTCCATCTGTATTCCAATCTGATGATTTATTTATCTATTGTGATTTAGTATTCTTGTGAAAGGATACTACTTTTTGAATCATAAACAGCAAGAGAAACAAGTTAATGATTGCTACAGATGGCAATATATTGATGTGTCTTGAATTACCCTCTTCTAATTGTGTTCTCTACAATAGGATTTATATTTTCTCATAGAGCTTTTCCTCCTTAGTAATTTTGTCTTCATGGCAAAAAAAAAAAACCAAAAACAAAAAAAAAAAACAATTATTGCATTATGTGTAATTTTCTGCTCTTTGAAAAAGAGAACAAAAAAAATCTATCTGCAGTAAAGCTTATGTTTGCTCAAACTCCCATTCTCAAATCAGATCGTTTAGAGGAGAAAGGAATGGCAACTTCTGTTTTAGGAATTTGAATCCCAGCAACAGGTACATTTCAAGAATAAAACCTATTCCATTTTCTTCTAAGTAGAAAACAGTTAGAATCTGTCAAACAAAGTACAAAACTTCCACAAGGGAAAAGCATTCTAGAACATAAAGCCATTCATTGATCCAAATCAAATGGAAAGGTGGTGGATCTCCTAAGCAGGCCCCTTGTTTTAACATGTTCTATTCCCTACACCTGCTACAGGGCAGCAAGGGCTGAAATATGCCCTGCACAGCAAGCTTCTGACCGACTTGGAAATGACATCATGTGTGGCAGATCCTTGCGTGACCTCAGAGTATCCTCCACACATCTACAGCCACCCGGGAATAATAGCTTCAGGTCACCAAATGCCTTTTCCCCGGCTGCTGTATGTCATGCTTTTGCTCATCTTTCTTTTCTGGTCACTCCCAACTAGTCCTGCTTGAGATCTCTCAACTCAACTCACTTACTGTTTTACAATGAGGACTCTGGCTATCTGTCCTTAAAGGAAGGACCTTGGATGTGATGGCCAAGGGTCTGGGTTTTCTCCATCATTCCCTACCTCTCCTAGCTTCAAGACTGCCTTTAGCAGTTATTCTACCTCCCAATCCATTGCCTCACTTCCTAGACAAATCTTTTTTTCTTTCCGTCTTTACCCTTGAACCAGATCCAACTCAGGGCCAAAACATTAAAAACAATTTCTGAAATGGAAATGGCTCTTACTCTATCCTTTGTGGACAAAGTTCCACGATTAACATATTTTCTATACGAGTTTTAAAAAGAGAAGGCTGAGGAAGGGGCAGAGAAGTAAATAAAAGCCTTTTGCCATCTCTTGCCTTTAGTATTAGTAGTAAATCTTTCTTTCTGAACACAATCCCACCTTACTCAAACATATGTGTGAGCACACACACATGCCAATATGTACACACAATGCATTTTAAAAACATGAAAAGGGTTTATTTTCCTTCTGGATTTTCTAGATATATATTATAGACTTTTTTTAAAAATTACAGTGAACAACAGGAAAGAAAATGTAATCTGAAACCATGGCAATAAAAAGAGGTTAAAAAAAAAAATAAGCTAGCCCTAAGAAACTGTTGAAAAATAAGAAAAAAGAGGTTCTTGGGGAGGCAAAAGAAGTGTCAGGGCACTTCTCAGAGCCAAGAGGCCTTCTGATGGATTTATCCCACCACAAAGACCCAACTTCACTGCTGCTTCCTGTCTAAATCCTGGCTTCCCAGAGCAAAGCTTGACCTAGTAATGAGTGGTTATACTGAAACAGTTAAGGCAGTTTAACTACCAGCAGACAGTAGACGCACAGCTTTTCACTGGAGTTGCTGACCCACAAGAACACAGGGAATGAAAGGCAAGAAGCAACTCTAGCAGATAGGGCTCTTTTGCATGATGGAGTTGGTCCATTCAGGCAATTCTAAAAGTTGTTCTTTTATCAATTAAAACCATAGGGGTTTCTGTATAATGCTTTACACCAGACCTGCCAAGATCATTCACACTTATTTTGCAGTATCCATTTGTTCTCTGGACTTCCCATGGTTGTAGAGCTAGCTAATAGATGGGGTCTGTGTATTTTAATTTAAAACAGCCCTGTCTTAGGTCTGACTCCCCAGAAGCTGACTCTGAGACAAAGATTGCACCGTGCAAGTAGTTTTTTAATGAAATGCTCCTAGGAAAGACTAGTACACTTGAGGAGGAGCAGAACAGGGATAGGGAAAATGCCAATCAACAGAATGATTTCAGGCCCAGGCTGTGGAGAATGGCTTCAGCCTGATCCCACAAGGGCTGGAAACAAAAGTACATCAAAGCCCGGAAAGGTGCACAGATATTGTAAACGGGATTGTGGGGGCCTGAGTAGATAACTGATGGTGTCAACTAAAGGCCCTTTAAGCAGACATGACATAGCCACCGGGAATTTAAAGCTTGGTGATCAGTCTGATGTGAAATATAAGCCAATCCTAAATTTTAAATTGCCCTGTGCCTTCCCTTGTGCCAAACAATTTTTAAACTTTTCAATAAGTTTAATCCTATGTTTAGTTTATTCATAATGTTATTCATATCTGCTGGCCATGACCCATAAACCCATGACCTGGGATATAACTTCCCTTTATAATGAGCTGCTGAACCCATGATAATTATAAACACATTTTTAAAAACACATGGACATATACACACACCTATGTATTATATAGTCAATCAAGTAAAGTACAAAATTAAACTGCGCATTTGCTATCACAGGTAAAACCAATAGTTAATTAAATGCTCTTTTTTCTTTTTATAACCAGCATTAACGAGTTGTGACATTTTCCAGCCCAGGCTTAACAAGATTATTGGTCTTAATAGAACTTAAACTGGGAAAAGGAACCTGTAAAACATGCTTACCAGTGCTCACATACATCAGGGAACTACTGACTTTTATCAGATATCCATCAGACCCCACCCAGTATTTCTCCCAGGGACAAGAATAAGTTTGGTTCTTTGTTGTTCAAGATCCTATAAATGCCTATAGTGGAGTCTTTTCACCTTTATTCAGTTCTTTACTTCAACCTCCAGGCGAGCCCTATTCACATATAGGTCTTCACTCTGGCACACCTGGGAGACAGAAACATATATAACTGCCATTCTCATTATATATACTATTATATCCCATTATATATGTATGTTTTATATCCCATTATATACAACATATGCTTTATATATGTAGTATATGTACTATATATGTAATATGTATATGTAATATATAATTATATATGTTTATGTAATATATATGTATGTAATATATACATAGATATATGTATGTAATATATACATAGTAGGAAAACAGTATACCTACTACGTGAGCAATGTTGAATACCAGACCATCTCTAGAAATTGGAATGGATTGATACTTAGTTTACTATTTTTTAATTTTTCTCTTCTATCCCAGGACTCCATGTTCAATGTGATCTAGCCAAGGGTAGCACTTACTATCATGGAATACATTGTTTTCAACAGAATCACATTTTGTCCAAGTGATTTTTGAACAGCAGAAATAATGATAAAGCTCTCTTAGAGAAGCAAACTAAAACTGTTTTGAGACATACAACTTCTAGTCCAAGAAAGGCAAAGTAAAGTAAAGAAGATAGTCACGAAGGTCTAGAGTGATCTTTCATGAATACCAACTATATCATATGTCAGGCTCCAATCCTTCATTTCTATGTGGTTTTCTAAAACAAAAAAAGCACAATACCTAATGCTTACTTAAGTCTCTTTAATCTAGAAGCACAAGTATCAATGCAATTTCACAATGCAAAGGCATTTTTATTTTTCAGGTGGTAAGAACCAGCAATTTAACAGCTTTGTCTGAAGCATAATGAACATTTAGTTGCTGAAATTCATAGAAACTCTTTGTGTTTTAACTAAAAGAAAAAGATGATACAGGAAAGAAAGTTATCCAAAGTTTGTCAGCCAACTCTGAATTTCAGTTTTCACAGCGGCAAGGAGGGAAGAGGATTAATTTGAGTCAGAAGCAATTAGTGCCAAGCACTTCAGTAATATTATAACACAAAAGGATAAATAAAATAACAAAGCCAAGATTAGAAAGTTACAAACCACACTATTCAGTTCACAGAGCTGAAGATACTTATAAGAGTGAGAACTTACTGTTCTTCAGAGATTCCGAGTCTCATTTTCAAATAGTCTACAAGCTGAATGATACAGGCAAGAGACATATTCTTTATCTGTCAAATATATTCTCATTTTTTGAGGTGATGTTATGAGGAAATGAAAGCCAAGGGGTGCAAGTAGTTTTATTTATTTATTTTTTTAGAGACCGTCTCTTGCTCTCACCCAGGCTGGACTGCAGTGGACTCAAGCAATCCTCCTGCCTCAGCCTACTGGCCAGCTGAGACTACAGGCAACATCATGCTTGACTTTTTTTTTTTTTTTTTGGTACAGTTGGGGGTCTTACTGTGTTGCCCAGGTTGGTCTCAAACTCCTGGCCACAAGTGATCCTCCTGCCCCAGCCTTCCAAAGTATTGGGATTACAGGCATGAACCAATGCGGCTGGCCACAAGTAGTTTTAATTTCCCTTCATGCTACTGAGGATTTGGGTGACTGCCATACCTATGTTTTCTCTTCTCTGCATAGGTAAGAAATACTGTCAAAGTTAATGGTGGAGAGGAAAGGAGGTCTTCATGACATTCCTTGGCTTCTCCCTTCACTTTCAGGCCTGAAAACAACTAATTCAGCCTAAGAATGCATCTGTCTGCTAATTCACTTTGAAGAAGTTGCAAGACAGAAAAGGTATTATAATGAAATTATTTAAAAAGGTATTTATAATTAAATAGTATATTTTTAGATTCGAAAAAAATACTGACCACTGACTGGAAACCAAGGCATTTTATCTAAATAGGGTTTGTTTTAAAAATGAAGCTATGTTTTAATATAAGGTTTAATCAACCAATTATAATTTACAACCTAATTAATTAATTGCTTCATTTTCTTCCTTGGTGGGGACACTCATAGGATTATTTTCAAGTAGTATTATCATGTGACTCGAAGATCTATAATTTATACCACATTGGTATTTATTAAATAGAATAAGCAATGTTCCCGCAACTATTTTCAACGTATGTTAAAAACTGTTAATTCAAAAAAAAAAGAAAAATAAAAGAATGCACAAGAAAATGAGCCATGATCTCTACTTCCACAAAACTTGTAAATATAATGAATGGACACCCAGTATTGGTAACATACAAATGAAATGGCATAGGAATTTATAAAGGAGAAAGAGAGAATGAGAGTGATTTTTGACTGGTGGAAAGAAGGAAGACTTAAATGGAAAACAGTTTTAAAGCTCAGACTTGAGAATTAGGTAGGACCATAAAAAAAATGGAAGGAGTGGTGTGAGGCACATACAACAGGGCAATTACACGTGAAAATAGATGGAATGTAAAAGATATAGAGGCAAGAAAGCATTTTCAGCCAAATGGGGGTTTTGTGATTTATCTGGAACATTAAGTAGGAGTGGGTGATAAACATAAAAAGGTAGTTTTAAGATAAGCTCACCAAACATCTTGAGTATAATTTTGAATGGGTGGAAAATGGCATCATGGACAGTCTTTAGAAGGTGTGATCCAACCTTCATCTGGAAAGGCAGTTAAATAGGGAAGAATGAAAAAACACACACAGGGATCTCTTCTGTATGGCAAGGATCCAGGCAGCACTTAATGGGTGTAGAAAAGCAAAAGATGATCTGACAGGATGATTGAGATTACAAAGAAGAAGTATTAAATGGAATTAATATTTACTGATTTACAATGCTACCTTAAAGGAAACTACTACTTTATAGAATACCTATAGCAAACACATTTCTAATAATTCATAAGCGGTTGAATCATTTATCATAGGAGATAATCATTAGAGTCTTAGAGAAACGCATCCTGCAAATAAATGCTGATGTTTTCATCATTTTCAAAGACGGTATCTATAAAGATATACTTAGCTTGATACATACATGGGTAAAATTATACACATATATCTCATTTCTGATTTATTTTCAGAGTTCTAGACTTAAAATAGTGTTTCAAAAAGGTAAGGATAAGCAGTAGATCATAGGTTACATGCATGTAGCTTTTAGCCTAATGAGTGAAAAATCCACAGTAATAATTTTAGAAAACATAGAAGCATTTTAAAACTTGTTCATTAAAAAAATTTAGGAAAAATTGCTGTCAAGCAGTACAAAACATATTCCCAACTGGAACATCATATGTGAGTAAACCATATTATTGGACTGTAATTGAATTTAATGACTGACAGTGAAGCAATATCTTTGTTCAAAACTGAAGAAAGTGAGCTTTCTGCCCAACAGACAAAAGGCTAGAGTCTCAAAAAATATCTGTCGACTTGGATACTGAGAGAAAAAAATGACTCAAGATTTCAAGCATAAATTTATGTCTGAAGTTATTTTTACTTTAAACCACAAATTAGGTACTGTGACTTAAATAATAAAGGAAATAAATATCTGAGGACTTGATATGGGAATGCTAATTTCTAACACAAAACACCCAATGAGTTTCACGACATATGTTCTCATGACCTCTCAGGTAATTACCAAAATTAATCTTATTTACTCAATTTTTAAATGATTCCAGAGAAGTTCACCATTCCCTTATGATCAGAAAAATGTTACATTGGGATCATCTCCATGCCTGAGCTGAATGGAACAACTAGGTGTCTTTAGGTCTCCCTGCCATGTTTGAAACTGCTTCCGATGTTGCAATTATAAAAATGGCTGAAGAGATTTCCACTAAAACAGTAGTGACTTCCAAATAAACTTCAAATCACCTATTTTTAAATGTGAATCTGGTATCACCTATAAACTTTTCTACAGGAGGTTACCAAAATGCAAATGCCGTTTCTCATTGCAGACTAACTTTGTTACAGACTGACATCCAGTCCTCTCGGCAAACAGAGGGGAAGCCATTTGATCAATTTGGCTGAACTATTTTTTGTATATGTGAGGATAACAAAGTTGAAAAAGGATTCCAGAAAGATCTTTTGAGGGATAAATCAAAATCATAGTGTTTGTTTGGCAAATACCAAATACTGAACACATACTACTGCATGAATGAATGAGGTGTGGTATAAAGAAATAAAAACATTAAACGTAAATAATTTCTATTTTATACTTTACTTTTAAAATAAAAATTTTTCCTAAGTTGCCAAAACACTTTTTCCAAAGTTTGCATAGGAGACAATTTCTCCAGGTGAATAGTAATAGCTACTATTATTGAAAATCTGCCATGAGCTAATCCTTTTGCTGACTATAATCGTGATCCATAGTATAAACATGGAGTTTGGTGTTATTCTTCCTGTTTAACAGATGAGGAAAATCATGCCTGGAGAGGTTATTTCCTTAAAAGCACTAGGATATGTAGGATAAATAAGCTGATAAGAAGTTACTTTAGTTGAAAGAAAATAGAATAGTCTGAAGATTTAAAAATCTCCAAGAAGCCACTTGTATTTTGATAAATATATGTGACCCTTCCTTCCTCCCTCCCTACCTATGGAGACTGGACTGCACTGGCAGAGGACACTCCTGTTGTAGGCATGTGAACCAGAGCAAGTCCATCATCTTGAATATGAGCTGGGTAAAATGATGTTGAGACCTACTGGGCTGCATTCCCAGATGGTTAAGGCATTCTAAATCACAGGATGAGACAGGTGGTCTGCTCGGGATACAGGTCATAAAGACCTTGCTGATAAAACAGACTGCAGTAAAGAAGCCGGCTAAAACGAAAACCAAGATGGCCACGAGAATGACCTCTGGTTGTCCTCACTGCTACACTCCCACCAGTGCCATAACGGTTTACAAATGCCATGACAATGTCAGGAATTTACCCTATATGGTCTAAATAGGGGAGGCATGAATAATCCAGCCCCTGTTTAGCATAATAAAGAAATAACCATAAAAATGGGCAACCAGCAGCCCTCAGGGCAGCTCTGTCTATGGAGTAGCCGTTCTTTCATTCCTCTACTTTCTTAATAAACTTGCTTTCACTTTATGAACTTGCCCTGAATTTTTTTGTTGCACGAGATCCAAGAACCCTCTCTTGGGGTCTGAATCAGGACCCCTTTGTTGTAATACTCCCATTATTAGTGATAGTTTTATTGAACAGCATTGAAGAGATGAGCAATTTGTGTTATAGCCACCAGAAAGGTTAAACGATGCCTCTCAATAACATCTGAAAACCCCAGAACAAGACCACACTCATTCATACTAGTCTTAATTAAAACAAGAAAAAAACAGCTTTTAGCCTTATCACTCCATATTGCTGATTCTGCCACTACTCATGCAGAACATCAAGTTGGCCTATTCATGATTTAGTCTTGAATGCAAATTTAAAGCTGATATCATAAGATATTTGAAGGAAGCTTTCAAAATACAAGACAGACCTAACAAAACAAAAAAACACACAGAGAGAGAGGAAATACAGAGGAAACGAGCAGTGCAGGTAACAAAAAAATAAGATAACAGTGTATTCATAAAAATAGAAAAGGATGCTGATGAATATCCAAAAGAAAAAAAGCTCTGAGAAATTATAAATATGAGAGTATATACATAAAAATAGGTTTTAAAGATAAACTTGAGATTCTCAAATTTAAAAATAATAAGTCAAAGGGATGAATAGATTAAAAGATAATGAAATTAAAGATTAATTCTAGAGAGCTGTCTTCTGATTAATGAAAATTCAAGAAAAAAAAAATCCTGACAAAATTTGCATGGAAAGTTGTGGTAGAAGCCTATGGAACACTTACTATTTTAATAATACTCCTAATGAATAATTCATAATAAAAATAATGTTCTTTTTTCAAGGAGGTTTTTATTTTTCACTATGCATGTGAATCACTTTAATAACAATTAAAAATTATTTGAAACTTCACAATTTTAGAAAACAAGGTTGAATCCATATACTCCACTTGATGGGGCACCAAATTATTTAGAAAGTCATACCTGTGACCAGTTCCTCAAAAGATTTCTTCCTTTATAAAGCAGATGTTAAACCATAGGCCAGGACAGATCTGAATTCTTCCTGCTGACTCATTTGCATGAATGAAGTAAAACAGTCAAAACTCCAGCTAATGAGGCCATTTGTGCAAATTCATTAGCATGAACACTTCCAATTGATTAGCACAAAGTGTTACAGGGAAACCTCAGGAGTAAAAAGTAACACAAGATTGTAGGCTGCTGTCCCAAGATGGAGAAAATCCCTGGGGATGAGGCACTGGAGCGTTAAGCATATGGCCTCCTTTGCTAATAAAAGTCTAAAAAGAAACAGCTACCAGAGCAACTTCTTCACTTTTATAAGGTTGCTAGAAGTGAAATCATCTAAGGAAAGCAAATTTTAGTGCTAATTATTTGTAAAATGTTACCATTATTTAATAAATGATCACCACACTTCTCTTGCTCACAAACACCCAAAGATGCCCTGCTCTGTGCCATGCAGGTAACTTTTTCGTTAGTGATAAAGACATCGTCACCCTTTGAGATGATTTTAGCAGTCCCGCCCCCTGGAAGCTTGAGCTGATCAGTTGATACCTTGGTGGTGAGGTGCTCCAATTAATAGTACTCAGACTTCCCTACATGTCTCCAACTGGAGCACTTTCCCCAACATTGTCATCATCCAGTCATTTGGTCTTTACTCTCCATATTTTATGTTCAGAGAGAATAAAGCACGTGTATTAGTCCATTCTCCTACTGCTATGAAGAAATACCCGAGACTGGGTAATTTATAAAGAAAAAGGTGTAATTGACTTACAGTTCCACATGGCTAGGGAGGCCTCACAATCATGGCTGAAGGTGAAGGGGGAGCAAAGGCAGGTCTTAATGGCTGCAGGCAAGAGAGCGTGTGCAGGGGAATTCCCATTTATAAAACTATCAGCTCTCCTGGGACTTATTCACTACCAGGAGAACAGTATGGGGGAAACTGCCCCCATGATTCAATTATCTCCATGTGGCCCCACCCTTGACACCTGGGGATTATTATAATTCAAGGTGAGATTTGGGTGGGGACACAGCCAAACCATATCAGAACGTGACTATCTTTTCCATTGTTCTACCCAAAGCTAGTTGTGGACAATCTAGCACATATTGGCCAGCGTGCAAATATTGATGAAAATAATAAATGAATGGGCACATAGAACTCTTATTTTACGGGAAATGCAGTGATGGAGACCCAAGTACTAGCGCAGGGTTAGTAGCAAAACCAAGAGTAGAATTTAGGTCTCCTGTTTCCCTGCATTTTCTTTTTTTTTTTTTTTTTTTTTTTTTTGAGACGGAGTCTTGCTCTGTCGCCCAGGCCGGACTGCGGACTGCAGTGGCGCAATCTCGGCTCACTGCAAGCTCCGCTTCCCGGGTTCACGCCATTCTCCTGCCTCAGCCTCCCGAGTAGCTGGGACTACAGGCGCCCGCCACCGCGCCCGGCTAATTTTTTTGTATTTTTAGTAGAGACGGGGTTTCACCTTGTTAGCCAGGATGGTCTCGATCTCCTAACCTCATGATCCACCCGCCTCGGCCTCCCAAAGTGCTGGGATTACAGGCGTGAGCCACCGCGCCCGGCCTCCCTGCATTTTCTAAAGTACAAACAGAACTCGGCCCACATGCAGGAACCACTAAAATGAAATTATAAGCTACTTTAAAAACCTTCTCATCCACTAATCCTAAACCTCCAGATAAAAAGATCTGTTTACTGTTTAGACAAAACCCAGTCATACCCCCTCTTGCTTCTTTTATGCCTCTGTCCATATCAGGAAACTTCACCTTTATAACTACCCCAAACTTACTATCATTCAGAGTCCAGCTTAAATTTCATCAAGTTTATTTACCAAAATAAAATGAAATTAAAATAATGAACACTGTATATGTACCAAGCCATATAGGAGACAAGAAGACGCATAATAAATGGCCTCTCTTAAAGAGGTATGTGATTTAACTAGGCTATTAAAAGGTTGATTAATATCTAGTGTTGCTAAGAAGGTGAGGCAACAGCTCTCCTTATATAATGCTGGAAGATATGCACATTAGTGCGACAGTTCTGTTTTGTACTGGAGGAAGGGAATTTGGCAATGTCTTTGGAAGTTAAAAGTGTGTCCCTTCAGACCCAGCAATTCTGCTTCTGGTAACATCATATTCTCCTATCCTTAGGTACATTAATGATGCCTTAATAGTTTTTGTAAGAGTCCAAAACTGGTAAAAGAAGTATCCATCTATAGATATTGGTTACATAAGTTATGTTACATCTGTACAGTTTATATTTTATTTGTAAAAAAATAATGAGCTAGTTCTCTATAAGGTAATATATAATAACTCTAAACAAGTGACAACTGCAAAGTGCAGAACAATATGTCTAATATGATTACATTTGTTTTAAAAATATACATTTGTATGCCCTTATATACATTAAAATTATGAAAGTATAACAAAAAAAGTACAAGTAGTAATCAATTTTAAATCTATGGATACTTAGCTAGTTGATGGAAAGGTGGTGGGAGTCATGGGAGATTAAATGAGAGTGGTATTTTATTCTGTCCTTGTAAATAGGGTTTCAGTAGGCAGGGATGGTAGAAGGATTGTGGGCATAAGGTGGACTATGCTTCCCAGCACATGGTAGGGAGGCATAGCCACGCAATTAGTTCTGGCTAATGAAATAGGAGTAGAAGTAGCTTATCTCAACTCCAGGCTGAGGCAGTGAAAAGCCCCCATATAATTCAGTTCAATTATAGAGAAGGACTTGTGTTGAGTTGGTGAAACAAGAATGAAGCAAGCGAGATTGCCGAGTAACTGCAAGCAGAACTGCTGCTTTGGTAAGCCTCCTGAATCCTGAAGAGTGAAAAATACACTTTCACTACATAAAAACACTCAGATTTAAGGGTGTTTATTACTGTAGGCAAACGTAGCCTAATAAAGATAATACCAATAGAGGGAATAAGATTGTAGGGAAAGGTTTTAGATATGGAGACCTATGTTTTTAACAGAGAGTCTGCTCTGTGTGTAGAAGCAGAGATGGAGGAGATGCTTCAAAAGTGTCCTAGAGCTCAGAAACAAATGAAATTGACTGCCAATGTGAAGAAAGACATTCGCTTTGTTTGGATTAACAAGGCGCTGAAAATTTTTGGTTTTTGGTTTTTAAGCTGGGAAGTGACATGATTGAAGTTTAGGAATTTCTATTATGTAGGAAGATTAGTTTGGCAGTGCTATGCTAAGAGGAATACTTAGTTTTGGAAATGAAAGAGGAGTAATCAGCAAAGAACACAGAAAAGAGTAAGAGAAAAGTAAGAGTATTTTGTGTTCCAGAGGCCACAGACAAAGGCTGAAGAAGGAAAGGATGGTTCCCAATGTGAAATTTAAGGAGGTGAAATGAGGTGAGGCCTGAGAATAGCGGTTCTGGTGATGAGCAGATGAACTTAGAGAAGGTAATTAGTAGAATAAGGTGGAAGGAAACTAGGTTGTAAGAGTCTGAGTGAACAGTGAGTAGGTGGTAAGGAAATGGGGTCAGCTGCTATAGGAAACTCTCCAAAGAAATATGCAAGGGAAGAGAAGAGAAGGAGAGAAATGGGAACAGCTTGAGGACAATTTTTAAAAGTTAAGGAAAGGCTAGTTTTATGTTTATTTATTTGGCTGTTTGTTTATGTATGAAAGATAATGAAATATTTGTGGACAAAGAGGAGCCAGGTCAGGAGAACAGAACACTAGAGGATGGTGAAGAAAGTTGCCTTGGGCATACCTCTGACACTAGAGAGAGGCATGAGAATGAAAGATTCTGAAGTGTAGAAGGGAGAACTTAAATGGAAATTACACTTTGTCCTAACACTTCTTAGTAGAAGAAATGAAAGGCATGTATGGAGGATGAGTATTCATCGGAGTATAAAGGCTGCAAGAGGATCTAGAAATGAGATCATTGGAGGGGGGCTGTGTGGGACTTGGGGATATTTAATTTCTAGGAACAGACAGGGAGTTGGGAAGGAAGACACACAAGATATGTGAGCCCCACTGAAGGTAAAGATACCAAAAGAAAGGATTTGTATTGGACTCAGTATAAATGTTGAGCAACCCTCCTGAGTTAGGCACAGCAGCAGCTTGGGGACAGAGTGAAGAAATCAGAAAATAAGGGTAAGAAGAGTAAGACAGAATGTGAATCATACCGTGCCTATCGTTAAATTTTCTAAAATCCTGACCACACGCAGGACCTCGTGTAGGGAACTAAGTGTGTGCCTATTATAGGAGACAGGCCAAGCAACAGAAAGAATGGTAGAAAGACAGAGGTGGCGTAAGCTAGTTAATGAAGCTTTTCCTAATCACACTAACTAAAAGGGATCTCTGCCTCTTCAGGAATCTTTCAGCATTTTTGTCTGACTGATTCCCATGGCATTTATGACTTCTTCATGCCTCAGTTTCCTTATCTGTAAAATGGAGATGACAATAGCAACCAACTGTAGGGTTAACATGAAGATTAGTTGTTAAATATCTCATTTATTCATCACTACCATCTGGTGAGTGATCATTAGTTGTAAGGATATGGATGAGGACATTGAAAGATTCTTACCCTGATCTTTAATGATTTCTTAAAACATTTGAACATAAAATACTTCATAAAACAGCCCACCTCTAATCCACACTATCCATTTGATTAATCAAATGCAAAATAATCCATGAACACAGGAAAACCACGTAATGCACATCTTAAAACGTGCAGACTGTGCTGGTATTCTCTGTTGGCCACCTCCTTCCACTCTGACTTTCTCTTGTGTCCTCTTTTACCTAGGGGACTCAGTCTATGGCTCTACCATCTGCATTCTTTCCACCTGACTTCTGCGGCACAAATAGGAGAACTGAGGGACTGAGATGAGAGAAGTCAGAGAACATATTCTCCAAACACTCAAACCTTTCTGAGAGTAGCTGCTTCTAAGATGATACTCAAATCATGCAGCCTGTCCCACACAGCCCTTGCTTTTCTGGGCTCCAGCAACAGTACCTCTCACCCTTCTGCCTTCAGGACAATGGGTGGTAATGATGCCACCTCTGGGTGCCTTGACATGACATATTCATTCCTGTAGCCGTCCTCTCACCTCTGAGCATAACCCATTTATTAACTCTCCTCCACTAAATGCTTTGAGTAGATTTTCTTTTTCTTATTAGTGCCCTGACTGATCCACAGAATGTATATGAAATACTATACATTTGATGTACAAAATGGAACACCATTAATATATTTTAGATCCATAGGTGACTTTAGACTGCATTTGATATAGATGAAGAAACTGAGTCCTAAAAAAGTAAATTGTCTCTAAGCCTGCAAGACTAATAAGAAGAGAACAGAGAAAGGCCAGGTCTCCTAACTCCCAGAACAGATGACCTGTGCTCTGTCATGCAGTCTCCCACAAGGGGACCTGAACTGAAAAACAAAAGGTTTGGATTATAGGAAGCCATCTGCAAGACAGTGACTGTGGCTTCTATTAAATAAATTCCACCATCAGACCTTTCCACCCCATTGTCAGAACAGCCCTGCCATCTCTCTCTGTGGAGGTAATTAGGATTTAACCTCCATGCTGGAGGCAGAAAGCTGCTAGCTTTCAAAAAGAGATGTTACTTAAGGGTCAAAACTATTTTCTTCTGATCAATTCTGCTGCAAATGGATGAAGTTCTTACATCTGCTTCTTGTTTGGGGGCAGTGGGATATCCTATTCTCTCTCCCTCTCTTGTGTACTCACAGCAAATCATATATTATCAGGCAAGTTAAGGAATGCAGTCTCCTAATAACAATTCCTCACTTCTGAGGCACTTACAGAGTAGACAATTTATTTAACACTAATCATAATTAACTTTCTAAGTGTGTTCTGTTCTCAAAATTATTCTTAAAATTGATGGTGTGTACAGTAATCAATGGCATCTCAAATACAAATATATATAGATACACATACAAATATATATATAGAAAAACTAATACGATATTAATTTCATCTATAATAAAAAATGATGGATCTTTATTGTTTAGTTGGGGAAAGTTTGCATTAATGACTTAACGTCATCCTCCAATAACTGTAAGTGGCATTTATTTTTATTGTCATTTAATGTATGATAAAACTGAATCATATTGAAATTAATAAAACCAGCCCAAGCTAGCACAGCTAGTAAATGCAGAAGTTCCAGTGTGAATCTAGACCATTCTATATATAACAAGTGTATACTCTTTGTATTTTTCTACTGCTCTATCATTATCATTATCAAGTTTATCCACAGAGAATAATTATATTGATGAGGCCAAACAATGTCCTCTGCCAATCATTTCTTTCCAGTCCCCATATCTTCTTGGAAAACTACCCCATCCTTTGGTTCTTGAAGAGACCTCACCAGTGTCTCTCCTGGAAATGTATATCTGTGTTTTGCAGATACTGGTTTAGGTTCTGTTAGTTCTTGGATGAAAGCATCCTGGGGAAGCTTAGGCTGCAGCCCAGCATGCATGTTGGGACAGGAAAAGCTAGTAAGAGAGACAGAGGAGGACAACTGCACATCTCCAGAGAGAAGCAGAGATGAGAGACCACTGAATTATGGAGAGAAGAGAGTAAGCCATGTCCCTGATAGCTTTCTGGTCCCATCCTTTTAAGATGCTTAATTATCTTTCCTACTTTTGAGTTTTCATGAGATGTCCCCTTATTCTTCCCGTAATTTATATAATCAAATCTGAATTTTATTGTGTTACCTTTAGCCAAATAACCGTAATGAAAAGATGTAATTCTTTTTCTTCTTTTTTTTTTGTTTTTTTTTTTTGAGTCTTGCTGTCGCCCAGACAGGAGTGCAGTGGCATGATCTCAGCTCACTGTAACCTCCACCTCCTGGGATTAAGTGATTCTCCTGCCTCAGCCTCCTGAGTAGCTGGGATTACAGGCAGGTGCCACCACACTTGGCTAATTTTTTGTGGTTTTAGTAGAGATGGAGTTTCACCATGTTACCCAGGATGGTCTCAATCTCCTGACCTCATGATCCGCCCACCTTGGCCTCCTAAAGTGCTGGGATTACAGGCGTGAGCCACTGCGCCCAGCCCTAAATTTTTTTCTGTTAATTATGTATGTCTTTCAGGATTGTCGTTAGTAAAATTTCTTGTTAGCTACTAAACCATAAGCATTAAGGTAGTATCAGATAACTAAAAATGTAGAATTTGCAGATGGCAGTTAAAAATATGAACTCTGTATTTAGATTACCTGTGTTTAAACCTTTGCATCAGTATAATATCAAACAAGTTATTTTTACCTATTCTGCTTCTACTTCCTCTGCTGTATAATATGAAAAATAAAGAATTTACCTAAAACAGTTGCTATGAAAATAAATTAATACGTGGAAAGCAGTCACCAAAATTTCTGACTTATACAAAGAGTTCAAAAAATGTCTATTAGTTTTGTTGTTATTTTAACTCTGATCATCTGCAGAGTGACTTTTCCCATGTTTTACCCTCTAGATAAAGCTTGATTTTTGGTTTCATGTAGAAGTCAAAATTCGTCTACAAATGAAAGTAGTTCCCAATCCAGTTGTGAAATAAAAGCAGGGCCTGTCACAGTCATTAGTATTAAATTGTGTTGTTCTTCCTTTATCTTTGTTTAAATTTCCACTAAGTATCATCCATTCTTATATCAGTGTATTCAGATGATGAGACTTCACTGACACAAGGAGGAAAAAAATTTTAAACATGTTGTCAATAATAAGTCAGAGAATCTTGAGATGTAATCAAGTATTTGATATGAAAATAATTGTGCTGTCCTTCATAAATGTAACTATCAAGCACTTTCATGAGGAGTTACCTGGGAGTTGTTTTCCCACCTGTGCCAAATAGAATTGTGCTAAATAACTTCTTTTTCTGCCCCATATCCCGAAGTAGGCATTTTCAGAAGAACACGAGAGTAAGAGTAAAGTCCATATTCCAGAACAGAGTAAAACCTACTGGCCCGCAGAGGGATTTACCCACCACATCAGTCTCATTAACACACAGCTCTCGCCAACTGAGCTAAATAATTAGGGTCAGCTATAGATAGAATTGCCATTAATTGTTTTCAGATTTCAATCTCTGGGCCTTTCATTCCAGAATCACTAATTATAATAAGAAAAAAAGTGTTCAGAAGTCTAGAGTCAATTTATGCTTCATAATAATCTATTAGCAAGCCAAATGGCTCATTTATGGAGAATGCTATCCAAATCGGGTTTTCCAGTAGTAAATATTTAAATTCCAGGCACTTGAGGAAAATGTTGCCAAATAAATTCTAGACACCACTATTTTGACTACTTAACAAACATGTCTTCCCATCATCTTTCTAAGAATAGGTCCACCCTTCCCCACTAGAAATAGGGGTAGGCTCGTGAATTATGCTGAGCCTTATGGAGTATCAAGCTTGACCCACAGTGGTAATAGTCACTGGTCCAAGGTGTCAGCACAGAACCTAATGGGGCCAATAATACTTATCTCTGGGATTCTTTTCAGGAAGCTGAAAGAGTGTGTGTTCCTTGACACTGTGGTCTTGGAACTGTTAATATATAAGCTACAGTGGCTTAAAGTCATTTCTAAAGCCACGCAAAGATAAATGGAACTCACAGGCAGAGAGAAATAGAGAGGAGATAAAAACTAAAAGGAAAAGAGAGTCCTGATGGGTATTTAAATTCCTCCTTCTATATGTCCTTAGCTTTACTCTTAAACTGTTTCCAGTTGCGCAGGCAAATAAATCTCCCACTTTTCTTAAACTAAGCCAACTTGTATTTCTGTCACTTCTAAGCAAAACAGCGTGTTTAATAAGCCACTATGCTGTTATTACTTTCTTTAAATACTGTGTAGCCTTGCTTTATTTCAAAGACCCTAAAATTATAAGGACAATTTAGGCAACAGTCGCATCTACCAAAAAAAAAATGTGTTTATGCATATATATGCATAAACATAGAAATATATTTTTATAAAGGCCTCATAATGAGCTTCTATTACAACAAAGGACAAACATTGTGGTGCTAACCATATAAGAACACGAATACAAAGATGTGACTCTAAAACTCTCCTTCCCTTCCTGGATTAAGCAATAGAGCAAGATAATGATACTAACTTTGAGTTATTACAGTGTACCTGGCATAGATATGAGCACTTATTAACATATTTGATCCCATAATAGGTCTACTGTGATGTATTAGGTATCTATTGATATATAATAAATTACTACAAACTTACTGGCTTAAAACAATAGACATGTGTTGGCCGGGCGCGGTGGCTCACGCCTGTAATCCCAGCACTCTGGGAGGCCAAGGCAGGTGGATCATGAGGTCAGGAGATCGACACCATCCTGGCTGACACGGTGAAACCCCATCTCTACTAAACATACAAAAAAAAAAATTAGCCAGGTATGGTGGCGGGCGCCTGTGGTCCCAGCTACTCAGGAGGCTGAGACAGGAGAATGGTGTGAACCCAGGAGGCGGGGCTTGCAGTGAGCCGAGATCGCGCCACTGCACTCCAGTCTGGGCGACAGAGCGAGACTCCGTCCCCCCCAAAAAAAAAAAACAATAGTCATGTGTTATTTCACGGTTGCTGTGGCTCTGAAGTCCAGACACAGCTTAGCTAGGTCCTCTGGAAGACTGCAATCAGGATATCAGCCTGGAATGTGGTCTCATCTGAGGCAAGGCTGGGAAAGAATGGGTTTCTTCGCATTCAGTTTCCCGTGGACTGTTGAACTAGGACTCTTGTGTAATGCTGGCTTGAGGTAGCCCCAAATTTCTTGTCATAGACCCTTTTCTATAAGCAACTTACAGCATGATAACTTACTTCTTCAAAGTCAGCAAGGAATAGAATCTCCATGCATGTCTGTTACAATCTTATGTGGCATAATCACATACATGTAATCACATTTATCCTGTTGCCTTTGCAGTACTATTCACTAGAAGCACATCACAGGTCCTGCCCATGTTGAACAAGAAAGGCTACACAAATCAGAATACCAGAAGATGGGGTTCATGGGAGCCACCCTACCATCTGTCTGCCACAGAGATATGTATTATCATTTCCCATTTTGCAGATGAGGAGGCTGAGGCACAGGGAAGTTCAGGTTGCAGAGCTGCGCTTGCAATCCAGGTGGGCTGTTCCTACTATGCTACTCCTTCTGGGGGAAAAGCAAAAACAAACAAACAAAAAAACCAAAAAGCCTAAACCACATGTGGCAAGTTCAATACCAGTCTGAGACTTTAGTAACCACATGAGCTGGAACAAAAGTCTTAATCTTGGCTGATCTTCACTTTATTTTCTCTCTATAAAGCAGACATGACAAAATCATTTCTGTTTTTTGTGATGGCCAAATGACATAATGTATATGAATGTACTTTGAAAGTACATTATGTTAAAAATATTATCCTATATCATTATGATAGAGAATGAAGATGTTGTAAACTAAACTGCTCTCATTTGCTGCAAGCCCATGAACCCTCATGGTCAAGGGCCAATGAATCATTCATTGCTTTCTGCAACAAGGATACCACATTGAGTCTTGTTAGAGAGAAGGAAGGGAAGATAAAAGTACCTGAAGATGACATGAGGCTTTACCACCACCAAGACCTGAGACCTGAGCACCTTGACTGGAAGGATAGACAGGCTTGCACAAATTCAACGAAATTATTTTGCTTGTTGTACCTCAGTATACTTTTATAAAGACTAGACTTACAGCCATGTCTTTGATAAAAATGGATGCAAAACTGAAGGAAATTCACATCTTGTGAGCATCTACTAAAAGTTACCATCATTCTAGGCAGTTCACAAATGTTATACCATTTAATCTTCAGGAAATTCTGTGGAGCAGTCATTATTATTATTATTATTTGAGATGGAGTGTCGCTCTGTAGCCCAGCCTGGAGTGCAGTAGCATGATCTCGGCTCAGTGCAACCTCCGCCTCCCAGGTCCTGGTTCAAGCAATTCTCCTGCCTCAGCCTCCCAAGTAGCTGGGATGACAGGCACACACCACCATGCCCCGCTAATTTTTTTTATTTTTTGTTTTTTATTTTTAGTAGAGACGGGGTATCACCGTGTTGGGCAGGGTGGTCTTGAACTCCTGACCTCGTGATCTGCCCACCTCGGCCTCCCAAAGTGCTGGAATTACAGGCATGAGCCACCACGCCTGGCTGGAGTAGTCATTATTAACTATTCTCAGATAAAGAAACTAAAAATCAGGGAGGTCATATAATTTGTTCAATGTAGAATTCAAACCGAAGACTTCTTCAAGCTAGTCAATTGGGGAAATATATATTTAACTATGTATACTACCTTGTGGGAGAACCTATTCATTTGTTCAATTATCAAATCACAAAGGATAATTTAGCTCTTATAACATATCAGTCACAGACATATAAAAGCAATGAGAAGTAAGATTAATTGCCACAGCATTTTGAAAGAGAAACCATTGACTCAGAACTCAAAAGACATCTATCCTGCATCTTGTGCTATTGCTAAAAAGCCATGTGTCCAAATCAAATGATTTATTAGAATCTATAATCTAAACCTCAATTTTTCTTCTTTCATAAAAGGTGACACTTACCTTTGCTCTTTTTTTTCACAAAGCAGTTGCTGAGATCAAATTAATTCACATGTCTATTAAAATAAAACACCTTAAATGAAGAAATTTTCACAGTCCTAGGTAAACACACCCAATCTTGAACCCATTTAGCTTTGAATAATGGTCAAAAAACAAACATCTTCATGCAACATCTTTTTTCTTTTTTCTTTTTTTTTTTTTTTCAAAACCAGGGTACTAAAGAACACCCTCTAAATTCAGTGCTAGGCTCGTTACTTTTTCAGATTTAAACTCTCACCCTGAACATATCTGTTATACTTCAAGGTGAGTTAGAAAGTGAGTGGAAAGAATGTTCTTAGAAGTTATTTCTGTAACAGCATGGGTAACATCAAACTTATACAGGAAAGTAACGGTAAACCACAACAAATATATTTCATTAAAGTCAAGCTGAATGTATACCCAACTCAACTTCCCCCATGAGCCCTATTCTAAAAATGCCTGGGGCTACCCCAAGACCACTCAAAATGAGAAGATAGACAAAGAAAGAAGTCAGAAGATAAAAAAAAAAATGTCTTAACTGATTATGTTTTTATAGTCTTACTTATTTTTTTGGCGGTTTTAGAAAAAAAAAAAAGTGACCATGTGAACACATTGATAGGGTCCTCCCTGGGTTTTTAGAAGCAGGTTTTACAAGCAAGGGGTCCTGAAACAAGCTTCATCAGTTTCACAGAAAATCCTCCTCTGTGGGTTACTGACAGCATACAAAAGGACCCAACATCACGTGACATTTGGTCAAGATGACCCTTAGTGAATTTCCCAGTATTGTAATTACATAAACCTCTGTTTATTTATTAATTGAATGGCCCTTTGACCCCTTACAGCAGTAAATAGGTACACTTGTGTTATTAGTCTAGGACAGAGTGAGAATATTGGGGTTGAAAGTTGGAGCTAAGCATGTGAATGAATCATAGAAACATGAATTTGTAAGGGAACAGACACTCTTAATCCACAGCTCAATTCCATGCACATCATATCCACGTTTACTTGAGCAATCACTGCCACATATTATAAGGTTGTTTTGTGCAGAAACATTTGCTGGCTTGGATGAACAAATTGCTATATGAGTTGGACCCCAAATATAAGAATGACTCAAACACAGATGGTTCAGCTGTTGTGCACAAGATTATAATAGGTGGGTGGGCAGGCCTGAAGTGAGACTCATTTATGTGTGGTCCCCCAAGGACCCTAGATGACAAAGGTTCTACTTCATTTAACATCTGGTTTTCAATGTTGTTGTATTAGTTTTCTAGGGCTGCCATAACAAAATACCACAGACTGGGTGGCTTTACTAACAGAAATTCATTTCTCACAGTTCTGGAGGCTGCAAGTCAAAGATCAAGGTATAAGCAGGTCTGACTCCTGAGGCTTCTCTCCTGGGCTTATAGATGGCCACCTTGTTTCTCTGTCCTCACATGGCCTTAACCTCTGTGTGTTCAGGAGTCAAGAGACTCTCTAGAGTCTCTTCTTGTATGTCCTAATCTCTTCCTCTTAAAGGACACCAGTCAGACTGGATTAACGTCTTCCCTAAGGAGCTCATTTCAATTTAAATACCTTTTTAGAGGCCTTATTTTAAAATACATTCACATTCAACATAGAGATTTTGGAAGAATATAGTTCAGACCCTAACAGTCCCCTAGGGGTTCCCTTGATTGCAGTCACACAGGAGTGGATATGAGCATGGAGGAACATGGATGAATGGCAGGGGGTGATTTTTTGTTTTCCAGCCAGCCCTGAAGTACAGATTTTTTGTTTGTTTGTTTTTTTGAGATGGAGTCTCACTATGTCACAAGCTGGAGTGCAGTGGCACGATCTCGGCTCACTACAACCTCTGCCTCCCAGGTTCAAGCAATTCTCCTGCCTCAGCCTCCCAGGTAGCTGGGACTGCAGGCGAATGCCACCTCGCCCAGCTAATTTTTCTATTTTTAGTAGAGTCGGGGTTTTACCATGTTGGCCAGGATGGTCTCAAGCTCTTGACCTCGTGATCTGCCTGCCTCGGCCTCCCGAAGTGCTGGGATTACAGGCATAAGCCATCGTGCCCGGCCCCTGAAGTACAGTTTTATCAGGTGCAGATAGGTTATTTTAGCTAGAACTCAGACACATGGCTGTACTCACAGGAAAGCTAGGAAACATAGTACTCTGAATAGCCATCTGCCAACAAAACCTCCCCCAGTGGAAAGTAGAAAACATTTTTGGTGAAAGATAAGTGATATGTTTTGGATATTTGCCCCCCTCCAAATCTCATGTTTAAATATGATCCCCATTGTTGAAGGTGGGGCCTAGTGGGAGGTCTTTTGGTTGTGGCGGTGAATGCTTCATGAATGACATGGTGCCCTCACCATGGTAATGAGCTCATATGAGACCTGGTTGTTAAAAAGAGTCAGGGACCTCCATCCTCTCGCTCTCTTGCTTCCTCTCTCAGCATGTGATAAGCCTGTTTCCCCTCCACCATCTGCCATGATTGGAAGCTTCCCGAGGCCCTCATCAGAAGCAGATGCTGGTGCCATGCTTTGTGTACAGCCTGCAGAACTGTAAGGCAAATAAACCTCTTTTCTTTATAAATTACCCAGGCTCAGGTATTTGTTAATAAATAGTAACACAAAATATACTAATAACAGTGGTGTCTCTGAAATGGCGTCATATTCAAATTAGTATGCTCCATATCAAAATGTAACAAAGAGTCTCATATATAAGAACTCAACAAATATGAATTTATTCCATTTAACTTCTGTATTTTATTCTCACCCCAATGTTCTTGATTTTACCCTCTACCCATTTTTTTCAACATCAAAACACTAGAGTTTTATTGTTTTTTTCAGTTGTCCTTTGCTTTATTTGTCATTTTCTATTGAAAGCCTTAGGATAGTTAGGGTTGCAGGTGGCTAAACTATCTTATAAGGCCTCCCCTATCTAATTTCTGGAGAGAATGACTGCAAAGAAAATGGAGAAAGAGTGTGTGTGTGTGTGTGTGTGTGTTTACTGGTTAAAAAAATCAATTTGCAAAGACCCCATTATTCAGTGAACGAGGGGAAAAGGCATACCAAGCTAATCTAAACACAGCTTCCAGAATCTGAGTGGTTTTATTTACCTAGGATGGGAACAGACAACTTTCTGAAAGGCTAATCAGAATTAATGAATAGAAAAATTAAGAAATAGAATTAATTCTTGGAAAACAGGAAAGGAAAAATTGTAATCAGGCATCAAGTTTGTTCAATTTAAATAAGCTGAAATCTATTAGAATTAAGAAAAAACTACCTTAAGGCTAACCTTCCCCTTAAGATTAAAAGAATGAACAAAATAAAAGAATTAAAAATGAAAACCAGTCTAATAGTAATCATATAATGATAATGTACACAATGTGATTAAAATAAAGGTCAACCAAAGGGATGAGAACACACAATATCAGGCGATTTGAGAATCCGGGGTGACTACAATGCATGCTATTTCCTTGCAAAGGAATCTGGGTAATAGAAACAGGGCAAGGAATGGCTTAATTTTTGTTTACTGCTGGGAATATACAGATACCTGACTCACTGATAGTGCTAAATTAGTTGTTTCTCCACTGATGCTAAAGATACCCTTCAGTACCTTCCATGAGAAAATCAATTTCCTTGCGGGAGAATTTTTGAAGGAGGTTGGGGGACCTTCTACTATTATGCTAAGTAACTAGTCACAGCAAAATACACTTTTATTCCTGAAGTGACCTCTACAAAACAAGGCATATTTAGTCTTGCAAACCACAAATGTTTCTCTAGCCTTTACATTTAACTAGTTTTATAATTAAAAAAAAGATTCATGTTCCCATGCTTATTTCATATTGCTTATTATACTTAGTATGTGGGTTGTTAAAACATCTCTAAACAATAGTGAACATCTCTGGAAATAGCACTCATTATAACATTTAATGTCTAAATGCATAGGACAAAATACTTCTCATGATTTTTGTGTGTTTTTGATAAATAAGATGAAAATTACTAACACAGGTCACTTTGAAGCTGGGACTTCAGTGTTATAAAAGGAAATGTGTGTATTGTCATCACTTATGAAAATGCAATAGAGTTCTTTATAGCTGCAAATACCCAAATTATTACTTCCTTTTCCCTGATTATTTTTTGAAAGGTCTCAAAAAAGTCAGAAGGTACCCTGTCTGCCTAAATCACAAGAACACATTGATTTTGCCACTATCACATATGTTAAAATACAAGCCTCAGAGCCCAAATTTGAGCAATCTCCTCTCTGTCCTTGAAACCTGTGACATCAATAACAATTTCTACATTTACAAGCCTTAATGTGTTAAGTATTAGAGAATTCTGGCTTCTGTAGCCACTAAAGGTACAAAATTTTCATTTCTAAGCTTACACTTAATAAAATTGATGGCAAGGTCTCTCAGCTCTCATGTGCTCAAAACAATAACCTAAGTTCTTCATGTCCAGGTTTCCCTGGCAAGAACTCAGAGTGTAATGTGGCCATGCAAAGAACCAAACTAGGTTTGTGAGAACTGGGTTTGAGTCGTAGCTCTGTTATTCACTAGCTATGTGACCTTGAGGGAATCACAACTCTTAGGACCTCCTGCGTTTATCTGTAAAAAATGGTATTTGGATTAGATGCTTGTTAGTGATAGCTAACATTACAGAGTGCTCCCGTGGTCCAGATAATCCCCAATGCTTTATGTATGTTAGTTCACTTCATCCTCGGAACAACCCCACGAGAAAGATACTTTTATAATTTTTCCTGCACAGATGCAGAAACCCAACACATGAAGTTAAGTATCTTGCCCAAGGTCAAAACAGCAAGTGATTGAAACGCGGATTCAGTTCAGGAATAAATGCTCTTGGCCACTCCATTATATGGCCAAGGTCCTTTGTTGCACTGATGTCCTTTGATGTCTATCAAACTGTTTTATAAAGTACTTAGTTCTGGTGCCCTTGGTACGATGTTTGAGACTGCATGGTGGAAGGGAAAGAACACTGGGTGAGGAGTGAGGAAACTGGCCTTCTTTCCCTCCTTCACCCCTAAGAAGTTGTGTGCAGCCAGGGAAGTTACTTTTAAGCTTTCTGTAGCTGACAAACCCTTAAAACCCCTTCCAGTTCTCCATTTGTGGGAATTTAATTCTGAATTAACAAATGGCATGTCTCTCATTGTGATTGAAAGGCTAGATTCCTGGTACAATTATTTCTTTTCTCCTATGCAGTGGGTTGAATGGTGTCCCCCACCTCCCTGCAAAAAAAAGATTTGTCCATGTCCTAATCCCAGAAACCTATATTATCTTATAGCAAGAGTGTAAATTTTACTTTATTTGTAAAAAGGGTCTTTGTGATATAATTAGTGATGCTGAGAGAAAGAGATTACCTTGGATTATCCTGGTGGGCCCTAAATCCCATTGTAAATATACTTAGAAGATAGAGGCAGAGGGAGATTTAACAGACAGACACACAGAAAAGATGGCCATGTGAAGACGGAGATACTGGAGTGATGTGGCTGTAAGCCCAAGAATGCCGAGGATTTTCTGAAGCCAGCAGAAGCTAAGAAGAGGCAAAGAAGGATTCTTGTCTAAAGCCTTCAGAAGGAGCCAGTCTTGCCATACCCAGTGTTGGACTTCTGGCTTCCAGAACTGTGACAGAATAAATTTCTGCTGTTTCTACTCATCGTGTGGTAATTTGTTATAGCACTCCTAGAAAATTCATATAGTGCCCTATTCAGAATGAATTGGGTAAAAAGAGGCATGTCTGAATTATCTGTATATCCCAGTCATTACACAGTAAATGAGTAACAAATATATATTTTTAAAATATGAAGTGACATAAATCAGTACACCTTAGGTTCTGTAAGTATAAATTGGGAAACACTGGCAAGGATGAGTATGTTAAATAAGGAAAAAAGTCTATCAGTTAAAGAACAAAAGTCTACCCAACATAAAGCAATACAGTAGTGAAACCAAGGGCTAAACTTACCTGCCCACCAAACTTAACTGCAAACTTGCTTTTAATCACTTCTAGTCTACCTTAAAACTCCCACTAGCTTCCTTATAGATAACATCTCTGACCGTGTGTCACTACAGTAATGGGTGTTTGAAGCTGTTTTTACGGAACTAGGGGATAGCTCTTGTCCAGGTCAAGCCAGTTGAGACTAACAGTTCTTCAACTGGGCCTGCACAGGTGCCCAAGGAGTGAACTTCTCACATCAGGGAGCCAAAACTCCAGTCTTAGATCATGCTAATGTTGCCATTTTCTGCACATGTCCTACAGCAAACCATGTAGCTAGATTACACTTGCAGAGAAACCCCAATTACCTCACCTTTTCTACCCACCAGTCACCTCTCCCCACACTTTAGACTGTCCTGTTTCTTATCCCATAAGTATACCCAAGTCCTATTTTGGGGGAAGCAGATTTGAGATTTGTTCTCTCATCTCCTCGCATGGCAGCCTTGTGAATACAATCTTTTATTTTTTGCAAAACCCATCCTCACAGTGACTGGCTTGTTGTGTGTGGGTACAATGCACCTGATCACTAACAAACAGTACAGAAGACTTGAAATGTAAACCTGTCTTTCTTAGTTGTCATCGTGTGTGTGCGTGTGTGTGTGTGTGTGTGTGTGTGTCTATGCATGTAAGTATGAGCATGTACATATTTAGGTTCAACTAGGTATGTCTGTAGTCTTTACTTTCTAAATTCATAACCCATTATCCAACCAAAACAACACTGATAAAACACAAATCCGATGTTCACATTATTCTCCTGTTTAACACTAGCACTATTATAGAGAGAGACTCTTCCGTTAGAAACTCCTTGAGGATAACAAGTCTTTGTCCATCTGGGGAATGGTGGTAAGAGTTGTAAAATCTGCAGCAGCTTTTGTTTTCCCAGCCCTGGCCTGCTGAGGGACTAATGGTGGGGAAGACCCCACTATATTCTAGACCTAATTGCTAAAGTGATTCGAGGAACTGCATCAGATAAAGAGATATCCAGAACTCTGGTAACTATAATCCCTAGTAATTTGTCCACACTGTGCCTGAGAAAGAATGAGGGAAAGTGGAAGCTAGGAAGCTCTTGCAAACCTAGTTTGGTTCTTTGCATGCAGCAGCCACATTACACCCTGAGTTCTTGCCAGGGAAACTTGGGCATGAAGAGGGTACTGACACAGCCCTCTGTTCTGGGTCCCAACCATGCATCTCTCTTCAATGATTACTAACAAACCTAATGCACCGGTATGATTAACTGGACTAAAAGCCTGTAAGAATTAACACTGTAGGTATTCAAGGGCCCGTCTACAAAACATTTGCACGTATTTTAGCATAAGGGAAAGTTATTTTACAAAGTAACGAAGTGTACACCAGAAATAGTCAGCGATCTCTGGCTGCTTTGTATTTTAAATCAAGGCCAGAAAGGATCTAGGCACTGGTCCTCTAATATCTTTTCCAAAACAGAGGAAGGATGCTTAAGATGGGGCTGACCACTACTCAAATGAATCATCATAGCTCATTATGGAAGAGTCCTAAAAAGAGGAATTTTTAAACCCTCTTCCTCTGCCCCCATCTCCTAAATCCCCTCTTAGTGGTTCTTTTCAGTGAAGAGGCACAAGATTGGGGTGAGATTTTTCCATTTTCCTTAGCAGGAAGCTTTATGTGAATAAAGCACCATTTTATACCAACAAGCCAATGATTAGTATCCTTCAATGCAGACTGGGATTCATACTACCCATATGCCAGGGCATTTTTCCTTTAGCACGTCAGCCTGTCCTTTTAGCATCAGGTAGCACTGAATGTCAGGCAAGATATTTCAATCTCAGCCCCCTAAGGGCATTCTCATTTGAATGCCCTTAATCTATTTGATTCTGAGTTTCATTTTTGCCTGACAGGCTGAATCCTGAGTCACACACCGAACAGGAACAAGGGTAGTTGTGATACGGTGATTGCCAGTGAACTTAACCCCTGAAATGTCTTCAGTAAGAGGCATTTTCCACAACACTCTCGAGGCAGAATTGACAAGGCGCACGGAGCCCCCAAAAGGGAAAGCTACACATGCAAACCACTAATGCTGTGTTATTACTATGCAAAATCATCATAAGTGAATTCATCACAAATTAAACACTGTAGGTAAGCAACGCTATGTGCCTGTGTGCTTATACTGTGCCCACAGGCATGCACATGTGTGTGTGCGCACACACACACACACACAATTTTCTGAAGCAGGAAATACCTGGTTAACCATTAAGCAATGGAAAGCAGTCTTTACATTGTAAAAATCTGTGCTACTTACAATGATGTTAATAGGGAGGCTGCAAAAGCACAACTTTTAAAGCTGGACTCCTTGCTGCAAATACTGGGTGGCTTTTTCCCCTAATAATTATGCATTTGCTTGCTGTCTAAGATTAATCAGGGAAGTTAATGATGCAAAAAATTACATTTATAATCCAGTCTGAATACAGCTGTACTGCAAGCTAAGTTCTAAGTCCTATTAAAGTAAATGGAATTAATGGGCTGTCGCTGGCAATCTTTAGATCTATCAGTTACTAATTAACATTCTTCTGTAAAGAATAGTTCATGGTGGGGAAAAAATAAAGCATACCTTAGTAGCAGCTATGGTAAAACATAAAGCGGAGTCATTAAAGGCAGGCCACAGCAGTGGCTACTAGGAATGAAAATTCAGGTTGTTGACAAGGCATTGAGCAAGAAACTGCCAATTTGCTGTGTCATCAGTTAAAAAAAAAATTCCCGTGTGTGTGTGTGTGTGTGTGTGTGTGTGTGTGCAGTGTAGTTTGCTTTATGCAGCAGCAAATGATCACCACTAAGGACGACCTTTCCATGAGAAATGTCCACTTGGCTAATAATGCAAGGACAGAGGCATGTGAGCTGTAAAACAGGAAAGTTAAATTAGCTACTAAGGAAAAATGAATGTAACCTATTATCTTCTGAGATACTCAAGCACATTGGCTGCTCTTATCACAAAAAGCTCCCCATTTGATTACTAATTTTATGTCTTCTGTTCTTGTATTAATTTGAAGTGTTCCTTCCAACCTGTTACCACTGTGTGTGTGTGTGTGTGTGTGTGTGTGTGCGTGCACGCACGTGTGTGCTTTCTTTGGAACTTAGTCTACAAGAGGAAATGTATTACTCTTCTGGATTTTAACTTTTTGTATTTTTGTTTTGCTTTTATTTCCTTAGCGAGGAACATGTGCTTTGTCATTTTACAGTCCAGAGAAGAGACTCAACCTGCTAATAAAAGGTGCAATTTCTTTTACAGGAGGGACCATGAGCTTCCACTCATTTTTTAATGCACTCAAATTAAGACTCTGATGCCATAAAATCTCCCTTAGCTTTTATCCTAGATAAAAGATGAATCTATTTTAATAGGAAAAAAGTGATTAAGGAGGAAGTCATTGAAAAATAAAACTTCAAAAAGAAAATAAAGTCAAAAGCAGTTGTCTTCAGACTTTCAATATCTTAAATTTGCCTTGACACAAACAGTTAACAGTGTCCACAGAGGTCATTTGCTTATAAACTTTCCAGATTCCAAGGCTTCCTTTTTCACTTAGTTTGGTACTGAACCTGTCAAAGCAGAAAGGAAAGCTAATGCTTTGAGAAGTCAAGTGATGGAATAAATTAAGGCCTACATTTTGAGTGAGAAGATCAAGGTTGAAATTGTAGTTTTGCCACTTATTAGGAGAGAAATCCTGAAAGTTAGATTTTCACCCATCAAAACAAGATAATCATACATGACCTTTCTTCCTCCTAAGGAGGTTCTGAGATGTTAAAGGCTTCACGTAATATTACAGATAAGAAAGTGTTCATACATGTCAACTAATTCTCTGTATTGAATTCAGTCCATCCATATAGTTCAAGAAGTCTTATTTTTAATTTATATTGGTAATGATTATTATTTAGCTTTTTCATCTAAAATAATGTGGTTTGCTTAATCATCAATTTATTTGATCATGGCTCTAATACTTCTATAACCTAGGCTTATTTTAACCAAAATTCATGTCTCTAAATTAATTTATCTGTTCTTTCAACATGATTTATGTGGAGGATGAAAGCAAAATATAATGGTAAAGGAGAATCACATTTCTATATAGCTTGCCCCAGATGAAAAAGAAAATGCTTATTAGCCTTTCTTTCCCAACTTGTCACTGAAAAAAAGATGATGCTAAGACGATTTTCTCAACTAGAAGAACAAGTATTTAAATAGTTAGAGGCAGTATAACATGTTCGAGCACAGGGGTTCAGATTTTATACTGCCCTCATTTATCTTAGAGCTCTGCTGTTACTGCCTGTGTGATTTTGGCTCTCAGTTTCCTCATCTGTATGTAAAGAATACAAAGCACCTGCCCCACTGGGTTGTTGTACAAATCCAAAGAGATAATGTAGTTCAAGCACTTATGCATGGTATCTAGAACCTAGTGTATGTTTAATTGATACAAGCTCCTATTTTATCGTAAGTCATAAAATGATGTTTGGCATTTATGACACTTTTATTACACATTAATAACCGATCTCAGGGAAAAAACATTTGTTTTTGTTTTTTTCTGAAATGATGGCTCACACCTTTAATCCTAGTGCTTTGGGAGGCCGAGGTGGAAGCATCTCTTGAGCCCTGGAGTTTGAAACCATCCTGGACAACATAGCAAGACCAGTCTTTACAAGAAAATCAAGAAATTATCCAGGCATGATGGTGCATGCTTGTAGTCTTAGCTAGTCAGGAGGCAGAAGTGGGAAAATCGCTTGACCCCAGGAGTTCGAGCTATGATGGAAATTGAGCCCACAATGAGCTATGATCTCACCACTGCATTCCAGTCTGGGCAACAGAGAAAGACCCTGTGTCTTAAAACAAAAACAAAAAAACAAAAAACCACAATGTCTTTGTGTACACATGGTCCTTAAAATATCACTACAGTATATGGTATGGTTGCAGATACCACAGCAGTTTTGCTTTGCTGCTTTTTATAATACATGGCCCAATGATACTGATTTTAAATCATTTTCCCCCAATTTACCATGACTATTTGAGCTGAAGATTCTCTTTCTTGAAAAAGTAAAGCAATGTAACTCTGACAAAATTAGTACAGGATTATGCATGTTGACGGGTTTGAAGTAAAAAGCACAAATATGTTAAAATAATCAGGTTGTATTGAGAAAGGGAATGGCTTTATGACGACTTATGGTAGTTTGCTTTTTCAGAGACATAAATGGATTGAAGCATAAATCTAGTCAAGATGGAACCAGAAAAAGTGAAGAAAATGTTAAAATTATCCAATTCAGCTTCTTATTCCCATTTCATATGCAACCAATCAACATCATTTAATTTATGGAAACCAACCGCACTATTTTAAGAAATGCCTCTATTCATAAAAGTGCTCTTGATTGCCATCACAACACAGTTTTGGAAATTACAGTTTGTTCTGCCCTTGGAGCTTCCCAGCTTGGCCACAAACCTTAGCACAGAGTCCTGCTT
This sequence comes from Homo sapiens, assembly GCF_000001405.40. Lineage (NCBI taxonomy): Eukaryota > Metazoa > Chordata > Mammalia > Primates > Hominidae > Homo > Homo sapiens. The sequence goes on from NC_000003.12 coordinate 21,624,290, forward strand.
TGTCCTGCATGGGTGATCACCATGTCATATGTCTGCTTTTCAGGGGGTGACCTCCAAAATTAGTCCTATATTAAATATGGACATTGAAGGAAGTAATTTTTTTCCCCATAAAGCACTGCAATAAACATATCAATGCTATTTCCAGCCAGACAGATACATATAAAAGATGAAAAAGATATGTTACCTGCATTGGGAGAGACTTAGTTTCTTTTAAAATGACAGAAATCTGAAAAATAATCATACTCTGAGACTTTATAATGACTGCTGGCAAGAATTGGATTGGTGGAAATCCGGGCAGCTGGGAAACTGCTGGCTTCCCAACTTTCCAGAGAAACTTTGAGTGCCTACCTAGAACTTAGGAAGGAAACCATTACTCCACCCTTTTACCCACCAAGCTCAGAAGACCCAACTCAAGCAGCATGCAGACTTAGTGCCAGGCATTCCAGGAAAACGTTGAGTCAGTTGCAATCTGAATCCTGGAAGGTGAGGAAACATCTTATTTCAACTGAAGTCACTCCGCAGCTGCCAAATGTTTTCCTGTTTCCAAGTTGAAGCCAAGTTTGAATCCATTAAAGAACAGAGGTAAAAGTTTCCTTCTCCTTAGAGTGATCTGCCAAACCCGCCTTACCTTCATTCCCAGTCACATAGGCTTTAAAAGGAGGGATAAAGATTCCATAAAAATTGAACTTCGTAAGCATTCATTCATGTATAAATATTCTCATAATATACCTCCTAACCATCTCCCAAATATTTTCTTTGATTCAGTTCTAATAAATTTGTTACAATGTAACAAGATAGATCAAAATTGACTTTCGGAAAAGACTTAAAAATAATTTGATAGCAGACCCCAATAGTCGGTAAGGTACTAAGGATATCACCTAATTAACTTTATAAATAAGAAGCAAAGGAAATGATTCCAATTTTAAGGTCAGAGACTTCCTAAGTCTTCCCAAGGTTCACATTTTTCAGATGCAGGCATTTTACGTGCTTTTGCCGTTCTCGTTGACAGTTAATATATGAAATGATCCAAAGGAGGACAATCAGGAAGGATGACATGAGACTTTTACAGGGCATACTGAAGTGGAAAGTTCCTAAACCAGCGGTGCTAAAGATTTTTGGCCTTCTGTGACAAAATCATTCACACAATCTTTGTCTGAATCCAGTCCTCTTAAACAAGAATACTTAGCAACATTTTTCTTTTCCTTCACTGATGGCTATAGAAACACACACATATTCATTAAAAATGAATGACTCAAGAGAATAATGTTCCTTGCTTACATTAGAAGAAAGAGTCTTAATTTGACCATAACTTTAGTCCTTGGCAAATAGCAAAGTGTTCAGAACTTACTTTTTTGCCATTTTGATGACTGGTTGAGACACAAAAAAAGTCATATAGCTCCTATTCCTGTGCTGTTCAAGATCATGGACTCCAGTTAAATGTGACTATTCAAATTGAATTAAAACTAAAACTTTAGTTTTATATTTTACATGTTCAACAGTAGCACACAGTGAGTATCTACCACATCAGACAAAAATAGAATACTTTTATCATCACAGAAAGTTCTATTAGTCAGTGCTGCCAAAGTAGTCAAAGCGATTTGAAATTATCATTCAAATTACCCCTCCTTTCAGGTTTCTTAAAGCTAACATTTTATTTAAATCTTACTTTTGGTTAGGTACTCTTCACTTTGTATCTCCACTTAATTTTCAGAACTGCCCTGCCTGTGAGATAAATGATATAATTCCCATTTTACAGATGAGGAAACTATTAATAAAATTGAGGGAGGTTACACAAATCACCCAAGGTCACATACCTAGGATTCAACACCAGGTCTGCCAAGTCCAAAGCTCTTGTTCTAAGTAAACTATAAGAATTCTGAAATTTATATCTACTGGTCCAAGATATGTCAGAGGCAGAGGTTGTAGAACAAACCCACACAGAAGCCCCTCATATGTGTCCTTTGGGTGAAAACATGACAGAATGAGGAAGAAAAGGAATTAACATGGATTGAGAGCTGCTACTGTGCCAGAAACTATGCTACATGTGTTATCACAATCTTCGCAAAAAGTCCATATAATGTAAACCCAGAACACAAATAGGAAAAATGATAGTCATTAAATTTAAGTAATAAAATGGCTTACTTATGTAGAGGATGGAATGTCATCTCTTAAGATAATATTTGGTTCTGATCTGTGACATTTCCTTTTGCTCCTTGTGGGATGTTCCTGTCTGATTTCAGGTAGAGATCCCCAGAGGCTATGTCAGGATAAAGCGTTGAGGAGCTTTATGGCTTTGTTGCCATTACTATATGGGTGGCCAGCCTTGGCTACTGCAGTTCATTTCTCCTCTGAAGGCATGGCTGAGTAGGTAATGCAAGTGCCTATCATCTTTGGTTGAGATGCCTGAATGTGATGGGAAGTGCAAAGATGGAACCTGAGAAGTGAGTTCAAAATGGATGAAAATGCTAGAAAACCTAAGATTAATATTTGAAGGCAGAATAGGGAAAGAGAACCAAGGAGAAAGAGCAGCAGGCAAGTGTGTTAGAATTTATAAGTAGGCAGGGATCTCACTGAGTGTCAGAGCCAGAGGCCAAGGCAATGCACATCAATGTGTGGTCCTGATAAGCCTGTAGAAAAGAACTGGGTATTGAGGGGCTTAGGGAAAAGATTGTCAGTTAGGGATTTGGTGCCTATCAATGATGAGATTTTCAATGTTTTACAGTGAAAAATATAAAACTTTTTTTTGGACAATTTAGGGAGGTGTTTTTTTTTTTCTCCTACACAACTAAATAACTATAATTACAAGATTGTTTTCCCCACTAAGATTATGTCTTTTGGTGTTAAATATATTTTTAAATGAGATGACATTAATGGTATTTGCTAGGCTATTTGTTTCAATGTCTTTACTTGGCAAAATTAAATACTGGCAACCTTATGCTGGTTCAAAGAGGTGTAGGGTGTGTGTGTGTGTGTGTGTGTGTGTGTGTGTGTGTGTGTGAATTACTACTGGTTTGTGAAGGTCAACCACTATGCTATGGGACAACTAATGAGAAAGCTCAGCCCAGCCTCTGTACTCTAAGACCTCCACATGCTTCAATTTACACTGGGTCCAGAACCTTGTTAAGAGTGATCCTTTATTATGTCATTTTTTAAATAAGAGAAGCTGAACGTTCATAAGGCGAAAAAAGATGCTGTGAAAATCAGGTCTATTAATCAGATCAAGTGTCTATTTCTCACCATCTATCTCATTCCCATCCCTGAAATTCTATACTCCTCCTTCCTTTATTGGGGCTGCTATGCTATATAAATCTGAGTTATCACAAACAGCAGAATCAGAATAAAGGAAAAGTGAAATGCAGAAAAAAAGTTCAAAACAGTTGCCTTAGGCAATGTGCAATAGTATGTCTACATGATTTTCCCATGAAACATAGCAAAATGTGTGCAGCTGGAGTAAGCTTTACCCAGGAATTATCTACTGTTCTGGAGTGGAAGGAAATTTTCTATTAAAGTTCATCGTCCCAGTCACTTATAAGGAAAGAGGTCTGCTGGTCATCTAAGTGCCTTTGAATGAAGCAACAATAAGGGTAGATTTTGATTTATACTACAAATATAATCTTATCTAGAGTTTATCTTAAATTTTGTTGTGCTGACAAAAGCAGAGCAGACTAATAAAAAATGTCAAGTGCCTTCTTTGTGAATATATTAATAATCTTTTGTCTGAGATTTGCAAGACAAAATTGAGCAATGCTTGAATGAGTTTACTACTGACATCAACAACTGCTTTTTCCATTCTGCCCTAACTCTACGGACAAAGGCCTGTTTAATGGCTGCTACTGATTGTTAAAAGTTTCAAAAGCATGGAGGGTGGTGACACATATAGGAAACCTGGAGCTAAAATTGAGTAAAAGGCTGTTGCAAAAAGTCTTCACTCTGACACCATGGGCTTTAAGGTGGCATTTCATTGTCAGATGGGATTCAGTTTAATTGCTCACAAGCAACAATCTTGCTTTTCAAAAAGGCAAGTAGCATTAACTGAGGAAGGTTGTGTGGTTCTAGGGAGAAAACATTAACTAACTGGCAGTGGAAAACAAGGAGGATTTAGTCCTTAGTCTGCCACTAACTGATTGTGTTACCTTAGGCAAGTCATTTTTATTCATTTCCTAAAGGGTACTCTTGGAGAAAAAGGATTTGTAGTAGTTTATATGAAAAATCTAGATTTTAAAAAAATCTATAAGGTAAGAAAAAAAAGGTAGTCGCTTAATGTCTCCAGGTCTTGATTTACTCCCTGCCTAAAAAAGACAAGTGAGTTTGTCAATTGTTGCTAAATTCCATTTTGTGGCTTACTGCCTGGCTGCCAGCAGTGGAATAAACTGAAACCTTCTTTAAAATACAGATTCCCTAGAACTGCAAAATTCTGGCTTGGTAAGTCTAGGAAGGGGCCAGGGAATCTGAATTGTGATAAGCACTCCTGGTGATTCTGACACATAAACAAAAGTGGGAATAGAAGCACTATTAATAATGATAATAATAGCTAAATTTCTATAGCACTTACTATGTGCCAGTGACTCTACTAAAATAATATATATACATGCTTCCTTAAATGTGACCTAAAATATCCTTTCCAACTCCATGTTTTATGACTCCATGTACCTTTTCACTTACATTTTGCCTGGGAAATGACTATTAAGGGCAAGACCAACAATTTTTTACAAAAGAAAATCCCTCTGGCAACCAATACTGACCATTACAATGAACAGATAATTAGTAAGGTTTGGTTGGCTAAAATGCAGAGGATCAGGCCTTTTTTTAAAAAAAATTGTGATCTGTTGATCTGTTCCCAGTCAACTCTGGGATAAGTGGGTCTGACATTTTGGGGAGGTGCACCCTTCTCTTTTCTTGAAGACTTTCTAAAAGTTGTGGTGGGTCAAAATCATTTGCTTTGTGCAGGAGAGACAAAAATGTGCGGTATTCTGTATGAGGCCTCTTCTGGCCACACCTGCCTATAATTTCAGGTGGAGGTTGGGGCCTACAGAAGCTGATCCTCCCTGCATAGCATTCTATAAAAATTGACTTCTCATGTCCATGTTTTTCTCCAGGCTTATTTGTCTATTACCAGGTAAGAAAGTTCATCCTTAAAGCATAAGAAAAAATGAACACATATATTTTATGTTTCCTTGTTCACTTTGAGAATGAAAAGAATAAAGACATGAAAAATGACTACTTGCCCAAGTAATGGGAACTGCTGTCCATGACAGCTTAATCAGGCACATACTCTTGTCTGCCCATGTAGAGTTTCTTTTTCTTCTTCTTTTTTTAACCCAATCAGCATTTCCTCAGGCTTCCTTCTAGGAAAGGTGGCCTCAAATTCCACCAAAAGATGGGGAGCCTCCCCTTTGGGCTACTCTTTTAAGCTCTGTTTGCCACTGGTTCCCATGGTTTACCAGAGAATGGAATCTAAGATGCAATACACATCACAAACTCATCTGGGTTTTTAATATCTAGTCATGGATTAAGCAGAAAGAGGCAAAACTGGAACACACTGGACTGGCTGACTCTAGAACTGCTTTAATGGAATTGTATTCTGACATCATTTCATTAATCTCTGCCAAATGAAGGTGAGGAAATCCATCACAATATTTACTGCAATGATATGGTTAAATATTCACTGTATTTATAATAATTTCTCTGGGAGCACCTATGGAGAAAGTGTCCCTCTGTATATTTTTCCTCACTATGTCCTCCCAATCATCCTATGAAGTTTATTTTATTATTATCATAACCATTTGATACAGAGGAAAATTAAGATGATAAAATTTAAAATTTTTCCTCAAAATTTATTTATATATTTAGCTAAGAAATGGTAGAACCAGCATTCAAAATCAGGATTGTTCAAACCTACCACCTTTCTTTTCTTTCTTTTTTTTTTTTTTGAGACGGAGTTTTCCTCTTGTTGCCCAGGCTGGAGTACAATGTTGTATTCTTGGCAGCTCACCACATCCTCTTCCTCCTGAGTTCAAGTGATTCTCCTGTCTCAGCCTCCCAAGTAGCTGGGATTACAGGCATGTGCCACCACACCCAGCTGATTTTGTATTTTTAGTAGAGACGGGGTTTCTCCATGTTGGTCAGGCTGGTCTTGAACTCCTGACCTCAGGTGATCTGCCCGCTTCAACCTCCCAAAGTGCTGGGAAAACAAGCGTGAGCCACCGCGCCTGGCCAAACCTACCACCTTTATTTTCAAAATCGTAACTGCACTTCTGAAACACCCCCCATTTCCCAGCACCATTAACATATCATGTACACTTAGGCAGCTCTTCATCTTTTTGGGCCTCACTCTGCACATCTGTAAAATAGAAACATGGGGCTAAACAAACTGGAAAACCTATCAGAGTTTGGATGTTATGATGACTTACTAATCATTTTTCTCATCAGAAATGTGGAATGAAAAGTCCTCTTTACTGTGATCCTCACCATCATCATAATATCCATCACTAATATCTATTGAGCACACATTATGTGTTAATCACCATGTCAGGGGTTTTATGTCTCTAACATACCCAGGAAGGTAGTACTATTGGTGTCTCTCTTTTAAAGAAGAGGTAGGGGGAATTAGTGAGATGAAGTAATTACCCAAGTCCACATAATTAGTAGGAGGTGAAGATACGATAAAAATCCAAGTCATCTATCGAGTTTCGTAGTTTCGTAAATAGATACCAGGGAACAACTTTTCAACTCATATGAGGGAATGTTCTAAAAGGATATTTATATTTAATGGTTTGTACTAAGGATTTGGAACATTACCCTGTGTGGGCCTGGGTTTGCGGTTGTGGGGAACGTGAGGTATACATACTCACATGAAAACACTGAATAGAAACTTTCTGATGACAATTTCCTTTTCCACGCTGCACTTCAGTGGACGGTTGGGAACAGTAGCATCTGGCTCCTCACCTGTTTCCTTGCAGACTTGGTCACACAGATTAAGAGTTCTCCTCTCCTACCCTTCCAAGGCATGTCAACCCTAAACTACCTTATAGCAATCAATATTTCCAGAACACATGTCTGAACTTCCTATATCCGATATGATCACAAGAGCAGGCCCACCTCCTCTTATCAGCCTATCTCCCCACCCTACTACCATTATAAATTCAGAGTTGATGTATTTGGAACCAATCAAAAATATTTTTTAAAAATCCCTCTTTGGAGAAAATACCATCTTCAATATCAAGAAGATCACCATAGATAACATTTTCTTCTCTTTTTGCTAAGAGTAGTTTCTCCTTTTCCCCATTAAAAACAAAAATGTATAATGGCACACACATTTTTCAAATACCCACGGTGACTTGGGCAATCTAACCACCTTTTCAAACCTCAGCTTCTTTAAAGATGGACATCAAAAGGGATTTCCAGCTCCTCAAACCTTTTACTTTTTGGCTTTCTTTTTTAAACTAAGTCAGGATTTGAGATAGAGGAAACTTCCTGATGCCAGAACTTGGGTCTAACATAAGAAGGTGTTCTGATGAGCACTGGGATAAAGCTCACCAGAACATTTTAGGGATGCAATCTCGTCATGTTTTTAGGGATGCAATCTCATCATGTTCCTGGAAACAAAAGCATTTCATTGAAGCCTTCAGCTTCCTAGAGGCGGATCCTTATTAATTTGGACTTCATCTAAAATCCAAGCTTAAATAAGTGTATTGGTATGATGTGTATATCTAGTTATGAACATCCAGTAAAGATTTCCCTCATTTCACCAATATTTATTAAATTCCAAATGTGCGTCAGGCACTATTCTAGGCACTGTGACACTGTGGTGAATAAAACGTACTGTCACAGAGATAATATTCTTGTAGTGGGAAAGAAAGTTAATTAAAAATGGGGGGAAACTTACAATAACATTTCTACCCTCAGAGAGCCTATTTTTAGTGGTAGAGAGATGGATACTAAATAAATTTGTAAAATAATGTTGGATTTTTGGTAAGCATCATATAGAAAAATAATACTAGAAAGGAGCTAGACCATAAGGGTGAGATAACAAAATTGGTAAGTTTTAACTAAAAGTGACCAATTTGAGACTGGCTTTCTTAATTTGTTTATTTACTGAGTCTATATCATTAGTTTATCTTAATTTGTTCATTTACTGAGTCTATATCATTAGTTTAAACCGTTGGGAAATATATTAAATTTTTACTTACTTCTCATGCTGATTTTTGTCAATTCAAAACAATTCTGCATAAAATGCATTAAGTAAGTTAATTTCCAAAGGAATGCAGTTAAGGGGGGAAAAGGCAACATAATAGTGTTTTGCTCTGGGAGATTGAACAATAATGCACCATACAAATTGGACCCACGGAGTGTATTCTTTAATGAAGGAAACCAAAGAAACGACAAATGTATTTTCAGATTCAGCTGACACGAACTGTTGCTTTCCCTAATTTGTAGTGGGTCATACATCATCTCTGCTGGATTGGCTGTGACAAAATTTGGAGAAGCAAAATAGAAACCATTGTTTTACATGACAATTGGAATCAAGTTACATTGTCATCAAGCAATGGGAACTCCTGAGAAATTATTTTTCATGTATCTTAGTCAAATAACATAATGTGAATAACTGGGACATTTGCATTCTATCTATTTTATTTATTTACTTGATGAATTCATTTATAGGGAAGTTTTTGTTATCCATTTACTCTAATACATTTACTTCGAACAAATCTGTGATGTTATTAGAATGGAATATTTTTAACTTACTTGAAATGAAAATGCACAAAAGTCTAAAATTTGGTATATTCTAGAGATTTAACAGAAAAAATTATCATTTTTTTAGCTATCATAATCTGATAGTTAAAGGCAGAGAAAGAAAAGGAATATGTGTAAACTCACTTGCTTGGGTCCTTGTATAATACAACAGTACAACTAAATTGTTAGAAGTGGAGCAGTTTTTATTTCATTCTGAAGTCATGATTATTCAATTACCTCAAATAACAGCTGGCTATAGCACTTGGATTATACAAGCCAAATTATTGTGTATGTCAAAATGATGAAACTTTAAATTGGAGTATGTAAAAAATATGGAAAAACAAAACAACTATACTAATTATAGTAGCACCTATATAAACAACTATACTAACAAAACAACAAAACTAAAAATAAAGCAAAACAAGAAAGAAAGAGCAAAGAAGTAGGACAAGAGAAAAAAACCTTTAATACACATATCTGTATTCAACTATTGCACCTGGATAAATTATCAAGAGATTATTACTACAGCATTACAAAGACTTCTGGACAAATAACTATCTTTATGCTGCTCTGAATATTAGTTCTGGGCTCTCCTGACTTCACTGAGGAAATATCAGATAGTATTTTAAGTTATTTAGGCAATCAATAAATTCATTATGATTCTCAAAGGTGGATGTTTTAGCATTGTATTCTTGTAATGAATCTAGTAAACAGGAAAAAGTATAATAAAGAATAAAACTGCCTATTTCCTCTAACTCCAGACTTTCCATAATGTATACATTGCTTTATTTATAACGTATTTATAAACCTAATAAATCTATGATCTTATCCTATAATAATGTCTTTGTTAATGTTTTAAACCAGTGGCATTAGTGGTTAAATAGAGGAAATGGCTGGGTACAGTGGCTCACATCTGTAATCCTAGCACTTTGGAAAGATCAGGCAGGTGGATTGCTTGAGCCCAGGAGTTCAAGAACAGCCTAGGCAGCATAACAAGACCCCCATCTCTGCAAAAAATACAAAAAATAGCTAAGCATGATGGCACACACCTCTAGTCCCAGCTACTAGGGAGGCTGAAGTGGAAGAATCACTTGAGTCCAGGAGGTCAAGCCTGCAATGAACCATGAGCATGCCACTGCACTCCAACCTGGGTGACAGAGTGAGAACCTGTCTCAAAAAAATAGAAAGAAAGAGAGAAAGAGAAAGAGAGGAAGGGAGAGCAGAAGGGAGGGAGGGAGGAGGAAAGGAAGGAAGGAAGAAAAGAAAGGAAGAAAGGAGAGGAAGGGAAGGGAGAAAGGAAAGAGGAAGGAAGGGAGAGAGGAAAGAAAGAAAAGAAAAAAAGAAAGGAAGGAAGGAAAGAAAGGAACGAAAGAGAAGAAAGGGAAAGGGAACAATGGCTTTTCTTTTTCATAATAAAAATAAGCCATAAAATGTATTACAAAAGAAATCTATCATGCTCAAACTCTAAATAGCATTGTATGCTACACATCTGTTATTTTAAAATATATATACCTTTTTTAGTATTTAAGAAGTACTTATCAATATTCAAATATTTTTTTAGTCAATAAAATGTGAATATCAGATGCACTTATTTTCTAAGGACATAAAGGTTAAGTAACAACCTTCTAGCTTTTCTAACTACATAATATAACGTTCCTGGTAAATTGCATGTCTGTTTTGTTATTGTTATGTTTTCTTAAGTATACAAACATCCAGCTATTCAAATTAAATGGAAATAAGTCAGTGTCCTTAAATGTGATATTTTCCTTCAGTGTGTTCTATGATTTGGCTTACTCTTTTTTTTTTTGGATGGCAATATTTTTCTTTTAAATTTTATTTTATGAAGAGACAACAATTGTCACTTAGAAGAAATGTAATTTAAAATGTGAGTCAAGCAAATGAATTTATTCATACATATCAGGATAACTTGTGTCATAATTTTAATAGGAACAAACCGTGATTTCCTGCTTCAAGTTTAACTGTGCTATCAAAAGGCACTTCCCTAAAAATCAAAGTGGGTCTTTAGGCAAATAGAAACCCATAGACCACGTACATATATGCAGAGAACAATATCACAGAAAGAGAGATTTCTTTTATTTACCTATTTAGTCAATATTAAGCATTTACTTTGAATGAGGCATTGTGGTTGCCTAAAAATATAATGATGTGTAAGCTAGACCCAGCTTCTATCATCGTAGAATGAAATGTGTTCCACAAATGTCATTGGTTTATAAAACAAAAACAAAACAAAATGTATAAATAATTAAATGATCTCTAATAGGTAAAATGTATGAGTGCTCACTACATGCCTGGTCCGTTCGACATGATTAATATATATTAACTAATTTAATCATCATGACTTTCCTACAAATTGTGTTTCAATATTGTCCCCTTTATGTAGATGAAGAAACTGAGTTACAATGAACTTAAGTGACCTGGACCAAACTTCATAGTTAATAAGGTGCCTGGGACAGGATTTCAGCTCAGGCAATGTAGTTCCAGAGTCACTGTTTGTTGTTGTTGTTGTTGTTTGTTTGTTTTGTTGTTGTTGTTGTTTCCATAGGTTTGGGGGAACAGGGGGTGTTTGGTTACATAAGTTCTTTAGTAGTGATTTGAGATTTTGTTGCATGCATCACCTGAGCAGTATACACTGAACCGAATTTGTAGTCTTTTATTCCTCACCCTCCCTGTCATCCTTTGTCCCGAGTCCCCAAAGTCCATTGTATCATTCTTATGCCTTTACATTCTCATAGCTTAGCTCCCACTTATGAGTGAGAACATACGATGTTTGGTTTTCCATTCCTGAATTACTTCACTTAGGATAATAGTCTCCAGTTCCATCCACATTGCTGCAAATGTCATTAATTATTTCCTTTTTATGCCTGAGTAGTATTCCATTCTACATATATGCCACAATTTCTTTATCCACTTGTTGATTGATGGGCATTTGGGCTGGTTCCATATTTTTGCAATTGCAAATTGTGCTGCTGTAAACATGCATGTGCAAGTATCTTTTTCATATAATGACTTCCTTTCCTCTGGGTAGATACCCAGTCATGGATTGCTGAATCAAATAGTAGTTCTACTTTTAGTTCTTTAAGAAACCTCCACACTGTTTTCCGTAGTGGTTGTATTAGTTTACATTCCCACCAGCAGCGTAGAAGTGTTCCATTTTCACCACAACCACACCAACATCAATTATTTTTTGATTTTTTTTTATTATGGACATTCCTGCAGGAGTAAGTTGTATTAGGGTTCTCTAGAGGGACAGAGCTAATAGGAGATATATAGATATAGATATATAGATATACATGATTTTACATATATATGATTATATATGATTATATATATATGATTATATATATATATATATATATATATATATATATATAGAGTTTCTTAAGGAGTATTAACTCACACGATCACAAGATACCACAATAAGCCGTCTGCAAGCTGAGAAGCGAAGAAGAAGCCAGTCCGAATCCCAAAGCTGAAGAACTTGGAGTCTGACGTTCAAGGGCAGGAAGCATCCAGCACAGGAGAAAGATGTAGCCTGGGAGGTTAAGCCAGTTTAGTCTTTTCAGGTTCTTCTGCCTGCTTTTCATTCTGGCCACACTGGCAGCTGATTAGATTGTGCCCACCCAGATTAAGGGTGGATCTGCCTTTCCCAGCCCACTGACTCAAATGTTAATCTCCTTTGGCAACACCCTCGCAGACACACCCAGGATCAGTACTTTACATCTTTCAATCCAATCAAGTTGACACTCAGTATTAACCATCACAGGTGGTATTGCATTGTGGTTTTGATTTGCATCTTCCTGATCATTAGTGATGTTGAGCTTTTTTTATGTGTTTTTTGGCCATTTGTATATCTTCTTTTGAGAATTGTCTATTCATGTCCTTAGCCCACTTTTTGGTGGAATTGTTTTTTTTGTTGTTGTTGTTAATTTGAGTTTCTTATAGATTCTGGATATTAGTCCTTTGTCAGATGTATAGATTGTGAAGATTTTCTCCTACTCTGTGAGTTGTCTGTTTATTCTGCTGACTGTTCCTTTTGCTGTGCAGAAGCTCTTCATTTTAATTAAGTCCCACCTATTTATCTTTGCTTTTGTTGCATTTGCTTTTGGGTTCTTGGTCATGAAGTCTTTGCCTAAGCCAATGTCTAGAAGGTTTTTTCCTGATATTAACTTACAGAATTTTTATAGTTTCAGATCTTAGATTTAAGTCCTTGATCCACCTTGAGTTGATTTTTGTATAAGGTGAGAGATGAGGATCAGGTTTCATTCTCCTACAGGTGGTTTGCCAATTATCCCAGCACCATTTGTTGAAAAGGGTGTCCTTTCCCCACTTTATGTTTTTGTTTGCTTTGTCAAAGATTAGTTGGCTGTTAAGTTTGTTAATTTCTGTTTATTTCTGGGTTCTCTATTCTGTTCCATTGGTCTGTATACCTATTTTTATACCAGTACCATGCTGTTTTGGTGACCATGGCCTTACAGTATAGTTTGAAGTCAGGTAATGTGATGCCTCTAGATTTGTTATTTTTGCTTAGTCTTGCTTTGGCTATGCGGGTAGAGTCAGAGAGCCACTGTTCTTAAATACTGTAGAACTTCTTCGGCAACTGATCCTGTGAGAGCACTAACACCAGTCCACATTTGGCAAGTAAATTTCAAAGTGGGGTTTAAAGAATGTATGGTCTACAAGGAGTTCACTTGTTTCTTTCTATTCTTCTGGCTTTTCCTCCCCACGAAACCTAGATTCTAAATTTTAAATGAACTTAAATGAGTAACTCTCAGGAAAATTGCTTCTTTGTTAAAGGAGAAATTAAATTTTAAGAAACTCCTGATTATTTCCACAAACTCAACAAATCGAAGACCTCTAATACTGACTCTGGGTTTAAGCTGAATCTAAAATTTAGTCTTAATACATTTGCCCTATACTTTCCTATCTTAATCTGTTATTGAACATATCTTCCACAAAAATTCCAAATAATAATCAGAGGAAATTTAAAGAAGCTTGGCAGTAAAAATAAAATAATACTGGTCATTACATTGTGCTGGACATATTAGCAGAGAAACTTTAGCCAGCATTTTTCCTAAACATACCAACAAATATGAACAAATTCAAGAAAACAGACAACATTTAGGAAAATACAAATAACTCACAAAAATTAGTATGCAATATACAGTTGAGACAGAATTCTCCATGAATCTTATGTTTCTGCACTTCTGAGAAAAGGGCCTTGACAGCATTGTTCTGTTTGTTATACAACAAACAGGTTTGGAAATTAGTGTTTCCCTCTGAGCAGAGGGCAGATTTGTTTCCTGACTGGTGTAATACAGATAATGTCTTTCTCTGAGGCAAAGGTTGGGAAGGTGTGCAACAAGCCTCCTTTAAAAGATTTTGGTATTTCTAAGTGCAGAGGTCCTCAGCTGTGATACAAACCCAGTACATGTGCAGCATCCACCTGAGCCCATCCCTGCATCGCCCTGTGGGACTTGGGAAGCAAAAGGAACCAATGAGAACATAAAACTCATGGTGCCTGATATGACATCTGTCATAAAGTTATTTATCTCTGACCTAGAATCTCATATCTTCTGCCAGCATCTATAAAACTTGGGAGACTAACTCATTAGCTTGCCATTACTGTAAAGTCTCAGACCATGTGCTGTTTCTGGCATATCTCAATCAAGAAGTACATTGGTTTTGTACATAGAAAGCTACTTTAGTTATGCTTTATTTAAGCCTTTATCTACATCTTGTAATACTCAGGTTTCTGGAAGACCTATAGTGAAATATAAGCTTGTACTGGAATTTGACAAGGAATGTCGAAATGGCAATAACATGTGAACCCTTTATCTAGAGAAATTTCCTCAGTAGCTGAAGCATACACACATATGCATTGGTAAGAAACCACAAAGAAATGGAAACTCTGATACAGAGTATAAAAAGCAGTTTTTAAAATTCACCAGATAGATCTACATATACGCATACATATTTTAACATCAAAAAGAGCAACTCTAATTTGTTATGTAATCCGACTCCCAATCTGACTTATCTAGAATTTCAGAACCTAGGGAGCAACCAATTATAATTTTTCAAATTGTTCAAGAACAACTAAGATAAAAAGCATATAGAAATATACACTGATCACTTCCACATGCCCTGTATCTCTTCCCTGCTTTATTTTTTTTCCAGAGCAGTAAGCATCTTCTGGAATACTTTATATATCACTTGCTTATTTATTTATTATGTGACTCCCTCCACTAAAATGCAGGCGGCATGAAAGCAAGAATGTTTGTGTTTTCTAGATCCCCAGAGCTTTGGCAGCATATGATACATAGTAAGTATCCAATAAATGTTTGTTGAATGAATTGACAAATACATTACATAAATAAATAAAGCTAATATAATTTTTAACAAAATTGGAAAATTACTTAAAATGCAATTTTATATAATGCTTGAATTTATCATGAGCTCTTCTTTATGTCATTAAATATTCTTTCAAACCATTATTTTTTATGACAATATAAAATACAATTTTACTGATCTATCATAATTTGAAGATTCCCTCATTGGTAGACACTTGGCTTTTGTCCAGCATTTTGATATTGTAAATTAGCCTGCCTTATACCACCATGAATATTAATATTTGACCATCCTAACACTGCCTATGCATGATAGTCTCATTTTAATGAAATTCTCTATATTGTTCACATAAAAACCAATTGTGTTATAAACATGCCCTGCTTTAAGCAATTTTGATTAAAGTCTAATTATATATAATAGTTATAGATTTTTTATTTTAAAAATGTTCACCATGTGAGTCTGCTGAAGAGAAATTCCTTTACCATACTATTGTAGTCCAGAAAAAAGAAAATTGAGACCAAACATTTCAGACATAGTTTTATTATATAAGAAACAATCCAAAGACACTTTTAGGGTTTTAAATGATCTTTCTGGATTATTCTTCTTTTCCAGCACTTTAAGCTTTTAAAAATTTAAATTGTTAGCCTTAAATTATTTTCAATTTTAAAATCAGAATGCTTTCTTTCTTTCTTTCTTTAAAGTTTTCACTTATTCTTTTCTTTTCCAAGTCTTTGAGAAATAAAGAAGCCTGGACTCCACTCTGTGCTGTGAGAGCTTCACAGATCTAGAACTGGTCCTCTCAAGCTTTCTAATTCACATGTTATACTGCCATTAACATGGTGGAAATTGGGCCTTGTTCTTTGGTTCCCTGGCTTTTTTCCACTTTTTGATTGAGCCATGATAGTGACTAAAGAAAAGTGTGAAAATACATCCCGTTCCACACAAACCATGTTCTTAAGGTCTATCGCCAAATAATGGAAAAATCTGAGTCACCACGCTAGAAACTCAGATGCTTACTGTTATGGACTGAAGTTTGTCTGCCCCAGATTCGTATGATGAAGCCCTAACTTCCAGTGTTATGGTACTAAGAGGTGAGACCTTTGGGAGGTAATTAGGTTTAGAGGCAATCAGGAGGGTGGAGCCCCCATGACAAGATTAGTGCCCTTATAAGGACAAAGATACTAGAGAATCCTCTCTCCTGTGAGAATACAATGAGAAGATGATCATCTACAAGCCAGGAGGAAGTCCCTTGCCAAACACAGAATCTGCTGGCACCTTAACCTTAGGCTTTTAAGCCTCCAGAACTGTGATAAATGTCTGGTGTTTAAACCGCCCATTCTATGGTATTTTGTTATAGAAGCCAGAGCTGACTAAGACTATTTTCCAAATTTATTATAATTTTTCTAGGCACTGAGAAGCACAATGTCTGCTGAAGGTGAAAGTACCTCTAGCGACAGGGAGCTACCAATTCACTAACTATAACAATGACCTAGAATGTTTTGTGAATGTATTCTTTCGTGTTTGTGACTGCACATGTGAGAACCCACAGCTTTGCCTACTCAGAGGTATATGAAGGAGTGGGATGGTATGAAAATGGTCACTGTTAGAGTCTAAATGCCCTAAGTCACCAAATCAGAACACATATTCATAACCAAGACTGTCTGGATGCCCACCTTTATGTAGTAGAATGTCCCAAATTCTCAGCAATATCGTAAAGGCTGGAAGTAGAGTTATGGTTTTCCTGACGTGTTCTTGCTGTAACTATTTCCTCACAAGTTCCTGTGGTGAGCATCCTTCTCATTAGTCCACTTTCATCAACACTGGAAATCACTCCCTACCTTCCATTTTCCTAGTGCTCTTGGGTTTAGTTGAGTGTTAAGGAGTACCTAGAGCAAATTTTAATATGAGGAATGAAGTACAGTACCAGACAAGTTGGTGAAGAGGAATAGGAGGAGGAGAAGGAAAAGAGAGGGAGTGAGCAGAGGAGGGGGAGGTGAGAGGTATGTGGGGGAGTAAACCAATGAGGAAGAAAAATTATTATTTATTATTATTATTGTCTCATCACTGGGAATTTCAAAGGTTATATTCCTCTATTGTCTGGTCCCCTTGCTGTGTAACTCAGGCTGCTTTTTCTTGTTATACCATTATTACATCTCTCCGTTCTCTCTATTAACACATATCACCAACTCTCTATGACTGGACAATGTAAAATTTTTATCATTTTACTATGCAGAACAAGTCAGCTTTTTTTTTTTTTTTTTTTTTAATATAGAGATGGGGTTTTGCCATGTTGCCCAGATTGATCTTGAACTCCTGAACTCAAGTGATCTGCCTGCCTTGGCCTCCCAAAGTGCTGTTGATACAGGAGAGACAAAGAAATTATTTAGACAGATAGTGAGTGTAAAAGAGTCCTTGGTGGACCTTCCCTTTTAACAAAAAGCAGCCCCAAATCATTTCTTTTCTAACTAAGGGCATTCTAAAATATCAAGCTGCACACATAAATAGGCAAGCTGGAAGCTTGCATGGGGGAATGCCAGCAGCTGCGCCAATAGAAAAGGACTACCTGAAGGCAAGGCATGTCCAACATTGAGGCTCCTTCTTCCCTTTTCTTTGTCACCACGTGTACAGTAAAGAAACAGGCAACATGGCACTGGCCAGGCAGAAAACTCATCTGCATAATAAAAGATTAGGTTGTGGTGGCCAGATTTTCACACCCTATGCAAATGGCACACCTAGCCTTAACCAGTGTTTTGCGCTTTATGCAAATGACACACCTAGTCCAACCAGTCTTTTGTGCTATATGTAAATCAGACACTGCTTCCTCAAACTCATCCAAAAAACGCTTTGCATTCCATCGCAGAACTGGCAACCCATTTCTCCAAGACCCCTTTCTCTGCAGCAGAGAAAGCCCTTCTCTTTATTTAGCCTATTAAACCTTCCCTCTTAACCTCACTCTTTGTGTGTCCAAGTCCTTGATTTCCTTGGCATGAGACAAAAAACCTCGAGTATCACCCCAGTTAAACACTGCCACTTCACTGGGATTACAGGTGTGAGCCACCACACCCAGCCTCAGCTCTCCTTTTAGGCAATGTCCTTCCATAGCATGACATAACGTATCTTTTATAGGCCAAGATGCTCCTTGAAGTATTTTCACCCTACCTAGATTCAGTCAGCAACATTCACTAATTAAGAGAAAGCAGAGACTTCTGAGTATATACTTAACAGTATCGAAAGTGGTGACTCAGACATATATTTGCACACAAATGTTTATAAAAGGATTATTCACAACAGTCAAAAAAGCATAAATGGCCCAAATGGATGAATGGACGAACAAAATGTGGTTTATACTGTGCATACAATGGAATATTATTAAGTCTTTAAAATGAAAGAAATTTTGACACAGGCCACAAAATGGGTGAACCTTGAGGACATTATACTAAGTAAACCAGACACAAAAGGACAAACACTGTATAACTCCATTTATACCTCATACCTACAGTAGTCAAATTCATTGAGATGAAAAGAAGAATGATGGTTGCCAGGGTCTCGGGAGAGGGAGAAATGATGAATGCAGAATTTCAATTTTGGAAGATGAAAAATTTCTGAAGACAGATGGCGGTGACGAATGCACAATGTAAATATACTTACACTTAAAATGGTACATTTAAAAATGGTTAAAATGGTAAAGTTTATAGTATATCTATTTTATCACCAAAAAAAGAAAGCAGAAAAAAATGTATTTTAAAAAGCCAATGTTTTGAATTGTAAGACCTGGGCAATTGAGCCACAGTGTATAAAACCTCCATCATAAAAAGACAGATTGAGAGAAATGCATGCTCATGTAAGAGCTAATTTTCTCAGTTCAAAGGAAAACACCAATCCTTGGGGTGAAGAAGAGAGGAAAGAGAGGAGAAGGTAAAAAGCTAGCATTGGTTGTTAAATAAGAAGGTGAGTAGCAGAATGACAGGATAGCCATGTGATTTTTGGAGAAAATAGGCAAAAGGAAACTTGTTCCAGCTGTATCCTCCATCTTCACTCTACCCTAACACCAGGAAGGACTGGTGAAACAGCAAATACCCAGAGTTTCCTTGTGTTCACCATAGTTCAAAAGAAAAACATATGTCTGCATGAGAGGTAGGGGAGATCTAAGCAAATGAGTCTGAGTCAATCTCACAGAATCCCAGAATGCTCCTGTGACAGGGAGTTCAGTAAAATGAATTCTCATGCACCTCAGAGTAGCATTGACACTATTATTGCCTTAGAGATCCCTTTCAGTGTTCCAGATATTTAGAGTGTCATGGGAGGAATGACTGAATATATTTCAAAACACTTAATGATGTGTAGAAATGGCTGAAAGTGAGGTGATCCGCCGAGACCCTGTGGTTTAGAACTGTGGTGTCCAATGCTAGCCACATGATGCTAGTGGCTTCCCATTTGAACAGTACTGATACAAGACATTTCCAAAACTGCAGAAAGTTCTATTGTACAGTGCTGGTTTAGAACAAAGGGCAACAATAGCAACTTATGTGGCTGGACAACCAAGAATAATGTGGGATAGACTCTGAGTGCATCCCAGCTCTTGCCAGTACAAACAGAAAAGGACAAAGAACAGGATGTCTCCTGCCCCTTGACATTTTTAAAGCACCCAAGATTTAGGTATAGTAACTCTTCATTGAATGTTGTCAATGAGTTGTTGGAAATTGCAACTTTAAGCAGAACAACAGGCAGCAAACTAATTTTACTACAGGCTAATTTATATAAACAAGTTATGTTTCTATGGCATATTTCTGATTACAAAAACATCACCAAACTTCTACATAAAGACCAAAACATTTCTGATATTCAACATTAAAATAAATGTGAGCTATATACACATTTAAGAAAGATTAATGAAAGCAAGATAATTATTTACCCAGTTATTCCAGCTCAGGGTCACAGGTGGCCAGAGACTCTCCCCATAGCTCAGGGTGCAAGGCAGAAGCCCACCTTGCATAGGACACCATTCCATCACAGAATGCAGGTTCACACACAGTCACACTCACTCACACTGAGACAAGGTAGGCATGCCAGTTAACCTCACGTGAACTTCTTTGGGATGTGGGAGGAAACCAGAGTACCCAGAGAAAACACACGCAGACATGGGAGAAATGCAAACTCCACACAGTGGCCCTGGCCAAGAAATGACATTTTTTCTCTTCAATTTTATAGCAAGATAATGTTGAAGTAAATGATGCCATTTGAGTACCTGCTGTATATTCCAGGAAAGACTGAACACAATTAAAATTGTATCTTTACAATACATACAACGGAGGCTCAAAATAATAGACATTAAGTTCGGTTTGAAGAAAAAAAAGTAAATTTCCTGCATATGTACCTCCTGGATTAAAATTTATACTACATCACACAGGAATCACACTTGTCTGAGATGAAACAAGCCACATTATTGTGTAAAAGTGACTGCAACAACTTTTTTAAAATAAAAATTGTGTTCCAATCAGCACCTAGATGAAATGCCCAGCACAGTGCCTAGTTTATCTGCCTAGTTAATAGATGACACTCAAAACTGATTGCTTTTCTGATTACACGAAATAAAAGTACTATCTGAGAAGAAGCAAAATTCCCATGTCTACAAACAGGAAAGCTAACTTGGATAATAAGTGTGCAATGAGAGCCAAATGACCTTGAAGGCTTCTAAATCAGAAAACTCAGTATATGTTTGATGCAACGGTCCCTGAGAAAGTTTTATGATTTCAAAATCATATACTATATCAGGTTATTTTGCCCACTGGCAGTACCGGAATTGGCAAAGCTGTACTTTCAAATTCACACTAATCAGTTAACAGTTGTTGAAATCAAATTGCAGCCAAGGTTGTTAGAGTCACTGATAAAATAAACAGTTGTTGAGAGGGGGTGGCACAAGGCAGTGAGATCACACTAGCAGCTGGGACTCAGGGTGGGAAGATGCCTGGGAAGTCAGAAGGCAGTTAAGACCTCCACAACCTACACATTTGCAGACACTAGTTTAAGCTACTGACTCCTTTAGTCTTGAACTCTCCTAAAGGTGGGGGATCTTAACTGCATTTGCAATTACCAGAAAAGGTAAATAAATGGTAAACCGCTGAATCCACTGGCAATCCAAATTGCGAGATTTAAAGCTGGGCTGGGAATTTGAGAAAAATAGAGTTGGTAAATTAGCTACTTGGTACAACTTCTACAGATGTTTTTTTGTGAGCTCTGAGTTTCTGGAAAAGCTAAAGTTCCCTGCAGTCTCCACCTACTTCCAAAGCAGTCACCATGGCTCGCTGTCAGCCAAGTTTCCTGCCAACAGTCCCTGTGTGGGGGAAGGAAAGAATCAAAGAAGGACAACTGGACAAAGGTAGTATGACTTCATCCAACTAGATATTTTTTCTCCCTCATTACTAAGTCACAGTTCTGGGTCTTTTTTCAGTTGACCTTTTCTAGGTCCATGTTCAGCATTATGTATAGAGAAAAACTGTACATTTTCACCAGGAATGGTTTGTACTTGGTTATTTTAAAATTCAATATAGATGAGTTTCAAATTTGTCTTCTACCTCAAAATGCAGCAAATTCCAAGAATGGAGTTTAAATGAGCATTGTGTAAAAAGCTCATTCAAAGAAGCTCGGTCCTCATTTACAGGGAATGAGAAAATACCTAAAAAGAATGTGGAGGCTGAGGCCAAAGTGTCAGATAAGTTTTTTTTAAAGAAAGAAAACCTCAGGGAAATTTTTAAAAACTATTTTTCATTTTAAAAGTTAAGGAAGGGAGATGTATAATTTTTAGGGTGTCAAAACCGGCCATGTAAGTATATGCAATCATGGTTTTGATTATGGTTAAGTAAATGAAGAGGAGAGGAAACTGTCATACTTATGGACCTGCTTATTTGTGATTGCGCTTATTACTGTATGTACATCTCACAGTAATCTACAGACAGCTTACAACAGTGCTGCACACGATTAATCTGACTTCACAGTGAGACGCTGAGAAAGGTGAAGTAAGTGGACTGAGAGCCACAGCTCCCAAGGGCAGTGCTTGGATAGGAACTCAGATCTTTACCTTCAAAGGTAAGCTACAAATTCAAAAACTAATAACCACAGACTATTTTCAGTAGTAACTGAAACTAATTCAGCAAATACTAACTGAGTGTCTATTGTGTATTGACCACCTAACAAATAGTGAATTTTGGAAATATGTCAGACCTAGATAAACTCTGATAATCTTGACAACTCTTCAGTCTCCATTTACTTCAGAGGCAATTAGAAAGAAAGAAACAGGCCTGCCTTCACTTCTCAACCATCAGAGGCCTGTACAGACCCTTCCAGTTACTTTCCTTCCTTATATCATCTGGGAATGTATTAAACCTGCATTCTGGGCCTATGGCTTTCATACATTCGGTCACAAATAGAAAGCAATGTTAAGTCCTGGGTTGCTACCTGTAATGGCAGTCCTATCCAGCCCCTCTCTGTCTGATGCTAAGGCTCAATGAAATCAAGGCCAGACAGAATTGAGGACCAGTCCAAAGTTATTCTCTACTCCATCATTTATTCTAAGCTGCCAGTGATCTTTATAATTGGTAGCTAATTTCTTAATGGCATATCCAGTTTCTTGCTGATAAACAAAACAGTGGCAAGGAAAACAGCAAATATGGACAGATTTAGGATTTTTAATATTATATTTACAGACAATCCAAATGTTCAGAGTAACTCATTATGCAAATTCTGATTTGGCTTTTAAGTAAAGTATATTTTCTAAGTACTAGTATTTTAAAGGAATTGCCTAAATAATATGTAACAAAAACAAACAAAACAAAATCTCATATGAGAGTTTCCTTGTTGTCTTATTGTAAATTATTCCAGATCTACATTTCTTTGGCAAAATATTCAAATATGGCAGCAGTGAATTAATTAATCCATCCTTCCTTCCTTCCTTTCTTCATTCCTTCCTCCCTCCCTCCCCCTCTCCCTTCCTTCCTTTCTACCGTTCTTCCTTCTTCTCTCCCTCTTTTCCTTCTCTCACTTCCTCACTCCCTTTTTCTTTGCTTGCTTCTTTCTCACTCTCCCTGTCTCCTTCCTTCCATTTACATACTGCAATTAACACGACTAACCCATGCTTATTTTTCAGAGCACTTATATCTGAAGAATCTCCAGTAATATAGCTAATTATGTAATATTGATTGCACAGTTGAATCCCTAAAATAATGATTTCATTCTACTTTCACTGTAAGTCTGTTTATTTTACCCACAGAATTAATTGTAGTGGTAAAATATGTTTCTCCCTTTATATTCCTGACTGGTGTAATCAAATAATTTCTTAAAGCACATCACTTTTCATTTTAAATGTAGCTTTAAAAACCAGGTTAACAACTGCCTACATTTAACTGTAGATTTTATGTGCTATAATATTATATGTCATCTATTACCTGTTTTATAGGCTTGGCAGAATAAAATAATCATTGATCTTTTTTTCATATGAATGTTACTAAGAAAAATGGTATAAACGTCAACCGATTAAAATATTACTTAAGATGCTTTATTAAAATTTATTTTAAAGCAGTTTTTCTTATAAAGACTTGACAAATCTAGAGAACATCTCATTTAATCTCATTTATGAGGATGTTTTGCATGCAAAGAACAACCTGAGGGAGTGTGAGATTCCAGAAAGGCTTGGGCTAATATGGTTTGGCTGTGTCCCCACCCAAATGTCATCTCGAATTGTAATCCCAATAATCTGCACGTGTCAAGGGAGAGACCCAGTGGGAGTTGATTGGATCATGAGGGGCGGGTTTCCCCCATACTGTTCTTGTGATAGTGAGTTCTCATGAGATCTGATGATCATATAAGCACCTTGCATTTCCCCTGCTTGCTCTTCTCTCTCCTGCTGCCATGTGAAGAAGATCTTTGCTTCCTCTTCGCCTTCTGCCATGATTGTGGGTTTCCTGAGGCCTCCTCCAGCCATGTGGAACTGAGAATCAATTAAACCTCTTTTCTTTATGTTACCCAGTCTCAGGTATTTCTTTATACCATGTAAAAACTGGCTAATACCGGCTGTATAGAGTGCTAGGACATGTAGGCAGTTCTTACAGAACTGCTGTGCAAATTGCTTCTTGCACAAATCAAGAGGGGAAGAAAGATGGGAGAATCACAATCTTCTCTGTAGTTTTGTTTTTATAAACATTGATAACAACTGGAAAAAGAACAATTGCCAATTAAAATCTCTGTATGATTCTATAAGAATCTCTTATGATTACTTGCTTGAAATATCCCATAATAGGAATTCATCAAATTTGAAGAGTGTGAATTGGAGTAGAATTGGAAAGCCTCTACTAAGAAAAAAGAAAAGAGCAATCATCATTGCCACCCTCACAGCTACCCAAGACAAGTACAGTATTACTAAGGCTAGGTGTGTTCCAACAAAAAAGATACGGAGTGATATTTCATTTAGTCCACATATAACCTGAGATGCACTTAGTAGTATTTTCCCCACTTTGAAATCTTTCTAGCCATAGTAGTATTATCTCCATTTTACATGTGAGAAAACTGAGGCACAGGGAGACCAAGTAACTTTCCCTACATTATATATCTAGTAAGTGGTAAATCTACAATACAAACCTAGGACTCTGTGATTCCAAAACCCATGGTCTTAAGCACCACCATCTTGATACTCAATATGTGGTCTGTGGACAGGCATTGTCAGCTTTACCTGTGGCTTTTTTAGGAGTACATAATCTGATTTAATTGCATACTGACATTCAGAAGCACTGCTCTATACTATAACAATAATATGAATAATAATAGCATATATGACATTATATGTTTATTTATAACTTAAAAGTATGTGCACATATGCTACTTAGCTGTGGGTGATACAAGGCTGGAAGGCAAATAAGGATGATGTTTTAGAAGAAAAAGAGTCCACACTGAAGTTTCTGAGATAACATGGACACAGTGTACTCCTGGAGGATTAAGAGGGGAGTCATCATAGATTGATGTCCCCAGGAACTATTTAGCAGGATGACATCATGAAAATTTGCTAAATTTTGCCCAGGAAAGGTTGTCCAGCCACATCAAGAATCTTACCAAGAGTGACACTAACAGTAAGAATATAATGAAAGAAAGCCATTTTATAAGAGTTTGTTTTCATTTACACAAGAAGAAATCCTGGCAAAGCAACTCTTCAGACCCAGAAGATATTTAAAGCTTCAGTCTCTTTCATTGAAAGTTTTAAATAGCTCAAAGCACCAAATTTAATTAATTTATATTGAATGCAAAACCGGATATAATTATTTTATCATAAATGCAAGTCAGCTAAAAAACAAAAGGATAGGCTAGAATTTATTTTTTCCCAATTCTTTGACTTTGTCCAAATAAGAGCCAGTTCACTAAAGAGAATCAATCTGCCAAATTAGTAGTACTGAATTTACTACTTAAATTATTTAAAGTGTATTGGTTTCTTTTGCTTGTCTCTTTATAAATTATAAGCTTTATTCTTCATTTATTCCACAACATTCCACACACATTTATGATTGCCAGTGTCAGTTCAATATCATGGCTGCAGACCACCTAACACATGCAAGGAAGAAAGAAAATAGCTTCTATTGAACCAGATCAATAACTAGAAATGGAAACAAACAGTGAATATAGAAAAAAAAAATTACAAACATTAAAGATGGCAGGAAGATCCAAAGATGTGAAAGGAAGGCAGGTATCCTGGAATCCTAGTATTTCAAAAACTGAAGATATGGAAAATGTGACCAGAGTAAAAGCACAGTATAAAGAATTATATATGTAATAAAACATTTCCATGAAACTACAGAATTGCATATTAAATATAAACAAAGTTCATCTATTTGTCAACTTTAAATCTCCAAAATAATTTCAGGAACCAAAATTCAATTTGGAATATTTCTCTTTGCTCCTGTAGTGAGTATTTTTTTCTTCAAGTTGTTCTTTTAGCTTACTTGGCTGTAATAATAAAAGTAAAGCTAATTTCCCCTCTCCCTGCCAATTACTGTAAAGAAAGACCATCTAAACCAGTTAAATACAGGCAACATGATACATAGATGAGAAAGCAATATCTACGTGCATTTATTTTTTATTAGCCAAGAATTTCTTTAAATTTATTTTAAAGAAAGAAATTTTAAACATTTATTTTTTAAAACAAATTTTTAAAAAATCCTCTGAAGAGCTCAAAGGCATCAGCAAACGATATGCAATTTAAAATAACATATATAATGTATCATGTTTTCAAAGGAATTCTAAGAGTAACGTGAGCGCTCCAATTCTACATGCTCACCTCTCACAGATTCTCAACACTTTCTAATGAAGTTAGAAATCAATGAGTTTAACACAAGCATTGAGATTTTCCTCATCATTTTGGACTAACAGTTTCTGAGACCAGTGTGTTTGGCCTTAAATAGAGTGGAAGTTATTAAGTAACACCTAAACTGAGAGTTAACTGATGGGAAGTTTTTTGCTGTTGTTGATATGGATTGCTCTCCTTTTTAAGGAGTATGTTAGCTTTTATTTTTGCCAGAAATATGATTTTCAGGACCTCGCAATTATCCTAACAATTTGAAGTCTTAAGAAAAAAGGGCCAGGCGCGGTGGCTCACGCCTGTAATCCCAGCACTTTGGGAGGCTGAGGCGGGCAGATCATGAGGTCAGGAGATCGAGACCATCATGGCTAACACGGTGAAACCCCGTCTCTACTAAAAATACAAAAAAAAAAAAAAATCAGCTGGGTGTGGTGGCGGGCGCCTGTAGTCCCAGCTACTCGGGAGGCTGAAGCAGGAGAATGGCGTGAACCTGGGAGGTGGAGCTTGCAGTGAGCCAAGATCGTGCCACCGCACTCCAGCCTGGGCGACAGAGCGAGACTTCATCTCAAAAAAAAAAAAAAAAAAAAAAAAAAAGGTGAAGAAAAAGTCTAAGGCTAAGAGCATATAAAATATTATCTCATTTATGTTCTGACTCAGGTTATTTTAATTATTTTCATTCAGCTAAAATGGAACATATTCATCAGATCTACCATATAGTATGTCTGTGATCACTAAATTATATTGTGTGGAAAGAATGGTTCTATTTTGGCTAGTAGGCACAGCAATGTGGTATTTTTTTTTTCTTTCTCTTTTTTTTTTTCTTTTTGGTAGTGACGGTGGTGAAGAATGGTTTCTCAAAGTCATTGTGAAAACTATTAGAATAATGCCATTTATATAGCAAGTTAAATGTACAGACAAGTCTGTTCTGCCGATTTTAAATTTAAACTGAACTTCTTAACCTCCTCCAGGAGTTCTGTGACACATATAGTGGGATTAATGAGCCTTGCTTCTAAAAGTCAACTCTTCCTAATACTCAGAGCCCAGTGCTCATCTAAAAACTAGAGCAATTGCTTGAAAAATAAAGACCTTTCTATAAAAAATTAAGCATCAAATTGACATTTTAAATTTTGCAAGCTAGATCAACTTCTTTTAAGAAAGTGTAAATAAAATCTACCACTTCTGAGAAATAATTAAAGGGCAGTGCTAGGAGGGTAATGTTAATTTGTCCAAGACTAAAATACCATCCCTACTCTGAAACTTGATGCCAGTTAGAACATCATCTCAATCAGATTCCATTAGAATTGATACTCATATAAGCAGCAATTAATAAAAACCAGAAATTTTACTAATCTCTTTTACCTTCACTGAATGTATAAACGTTTAAAGTAAATTATAATGTCTTTAATAGGTAAATTTAAATTGAATTTCAGGAGTAGGTTGCCAATCTATCTTCATAAACACATTTTCTGATTGACTTTTCAGTCACTTCTACATAGTAGAAAGTTACAAGAATCAATGCATCAACCTTTCTACCTGGATATTATATAGTTCTACTATAAGGCTTTTGAACAAGCCAAATTATAACTGTAACATAAAGACCACAGACCTGGGGCATGTTAGATATGCCTCTCATGTCATGTCAGATAATACAAACAAGTGTCTGAAGCTGTCACATTTAAGTATTTATACTGGCTGGATCCCAAACTAATGATATAGGTAGCAAATATTGCAATAAAGTATTAATATATTTTTTTAATTTTATTATTATTATACTTTAAGTTTTAGGATACATGTGCACAATGTGCAGGTTTGTTACATATGTATACATGTGCCATGTTGGTGTGCTACACCCATCAACTCGTCATTTAGCATTAGGTATATCTCCCAATGCTATCCCTCCCCCCTCCCCCAACCCCACAACAGTCCCCGAAGTGTGATGTTCCCCTTCCTGTGTCCATGTGTTCTCATTGTTCAATTCCCACCTATGAGTGAGAACATGCTGTGTTTGGTTTTTAGTCCTTGCGATAGTCTGCTGAGAATGATGGTTTCCAGTAGTATTAATATTTTGCTGAAGATATTTGCTGCTTATAAAATTTGAAAAGCTTTCTAAAATACAAAAGCTATATAGATGATATACTAAATAACAATGTTGATCACCTGAGTATTAACGTGTCTTCATTTTTGTTCAGATTTTTTTTTAAATAACAAAACTTGAACATTACAGAAATCTGGAAGTTTCCTTGTTTTTTCCTTACCTCTTCCAGTGTCACTCACTCCTCAGAACCACCTGCAAATAAGGACTTGTGTGGTCTCCCAGTCTATGTTTCATGTATTGTAAATTAATTTCAATCTCCCTCTCTCTCTCCTGCTTTCTCTTTCTCACTGGCATGTGATTTAAAAATACACACACATACACATATATTCTATAATTCTATTACATTTTGCAACTGGTGTTTCTTCCCCCAGCAGCACTGAGCTTTTGTGATATTTCCATGTAAAAATAATTCTTTCATTCCAGTTGTCTCTTAAGGTATATTTTATAATTAGATCTTAACATGTGTATATATGTGTGTATATATATGTCTATATATGTATAAATGAAGTATATCAGTTTCCCATTGTTTATATTGTTTCTTTTTTTGCTACTAAAAACAAAAATGAACATTTTTGAACCAAGTCTCCTGATACACATATGTAAGAAAGAGTTTTTCTACATACCTGCACTCAGTATTTTAAACCATGAGCCACAGTAAGAAGCTTGCATATGTGCATAAACATATGTATACATATACATAGGTATATATACACAATATATGTATGTTTTTTCTCTCTAAAATTATAAAATTTTCACTATGATTTTAGGTAAGTAAAATTAAAAACAAACTTGAAGCTCAAAATAATTATTTATCTGCCTCATTCCAAACAAGGCTCTTAAAACCAGATTCTGTCAATAGCACCTCATAGGTAGCATAACTAATTAAGGTGATTCTAAAAATCAAATATGTACTTAATGAATTTTTTTACCTAAAAAAAGTAAGTAGAACTATCCGGAAAAAAAAAGGCATTTTCTTTATAGAGCTCCAAAAGCTCCATCTATCTGAGTACATAAATTCTATATATGTTAGAAAGTGGCAGAAAACGCTGGTTATCTGTCTTATATCACAGGTTTTTTGGAAGGCAAAAACTGTTGCTTTGCAACATACTATGTGGTAAAAGTCACAGAAGCATTAACATGGTACATATGTACAGATGTTCTAAAGAACATAAAGATGTTTTGATAAAACTGATTATTTTTCTATGTGATTTCTTTAAAGAAACTGCTTTAAAATGCCCCAATCTATTGTACAACTGGACTGTCATTTCTTTTACCTTCCATTTAAAAAAAAAACTTGAATATAGAAATTAAAAAATAAAGTTTCTTATCTCTATATATAGTCACTTAAAATACCTATTTTTTATTTGAGTCCCTTAAAATTCTTTGACAGGTCCTTGAAATAAATTTCATTTTAGAGTATTCAGGGAAAGACGTTCAAGAATTAACCACTAATTTTATCATTTTAATATTTGCCCAAACTCAAGATAAAATGTGGAATAAGAGGTTATACTTCGAAGAAAGGCAAAATGCAAGTTATCTTACTTTTACTCTACTACTGTCTTGATTTATGAGCTTCAGAGAGAACCATCTGACATTGGCACACCTCTTCAGGATAAGAGAAATTACGTAGCGCTAAAGGAATTTCAGTAACAATGTTCTTGTGACTCTCAACCATACGTTATATGAATTACCTAAATAACTGCTTCAAACTCCCCTTCCTTTTCTACATGTAAATGGAACCATGAAATCCTAAACATACAACAAACAGAGCAGTGCTTCTCAACAATCTTTGCTGAAGGACCAGCCCTACCCCCATCAGTCATAGACCAATACTTTTATAAAATACAATAAAAATGAGTTATCAGAAAAAATAAAATGAAATAGACTTACAAAATATAGCCATAATTCTTGATTGGTTTTCAAAGATGTGAAATTACTCTGTTAAGTTGCTATAAATACCTCTAAATGCTCACTCTCAATTTCCATTAAACAGTTCTCAGATCAGTATGGGTCTGTGTACCACACTTTGAGAAGTACTGAGTCATGAAACAAATATACTTGCTGGCAAAAAGTTCTCATTCCTTTTACTAAGAGTAATTGTTCTTTACATTTACGTTGGTGGGAGGGAGATGTGGAAGAGGCAACTTTACTCAAGTGATAGTCTGAGAAAGTTAGTTATTCTTTCATCTGTACTTAGTTGTGAAAATGGATTTTCCCACTAATTTTGGCCATGAGGTAGAACACAGTGACTCTCAACACTTAAAGGGCAAAGAAATCACCTTGGGGAAGTGCAAAAAACAACAACAACAACAACAAAATGCTTATTAAGGCTTCAACACCAGAGATTCTGGTTCAATAGGCTTCCTCAATGCCTGCAATTTCTGTGTTTCTCCTAACCTTCAACACCTTTACTCACTCCTAGAAGGTCAATATGATTATTCTAGTTTCACAGATGAGAAAATGCAGGCTCCACGTTTTTGCCTTAGGCTGTAAAGTATTAAACATAGAACTCAAATCTTTTAGATTCAAAGTTTAGTGTTGTTGCTTTTTCTTATGTATGCCCTATAGTATAAAAGAATATTGAGTTTTACAAAGCCTAAATTGTTACTGAAATAGCAGTGTATTTTTTAATTTATTAACATTTAAAGTTATTTATTCCCCTGACAATGATTGCCATATACAGCAAAAATACGTGTGCTGGTGACATTAGACAGCATCTTTACTGTCCACTGATGTCCTAGACGCTCTTTTTTATAGTCATTCAATCACAGCCAGACTCTCATTCAGGAAATATTTTGCTTTCTCAGTTAAGTCCCTTGAGGTATACCAAATTATTAAGTTAATTAGCTATTAAAGTATACCAAGGCTCATATAGCTGATTTAAAAAATTACAACCATTTGCAGACAAGAGGTCATCTAGCTATGTTGAAAACAAATTGTACTGAACTTGGATCAAGGAATCTGAAATCTAGCCATGATTCAGTGATTTACCATTTGTATGATTTGGGGAAAATAATTTTCTCTCTAAGTTCAGCTTCCTTATCTGTATCATTTAGATAACCTGCAATATGCAAGGCTCTTATGAAATTAGATTTTAAAAATAATGGGTATAAAAATGTTTTCCCTACAGTCTTTGTCACTTAGTTGATGATCAATACATTTTTTTTCCTATTAAAAAAGGCAATATATCGTGTATTTACTTCCTTGGTTCATAAGAGTTACAGGGTAGGGGGTGCTAAACTAGCTCCAAATAGAGAACTTTCTTACCCTTACAACTGTATGTAGATGACCCACAATATAGAGTCTCTCACCCCACATGTAGGCCTATATACTTTCACTGGATGTAGTCAGGTAGGAAGCTGGATTACCAGTTGTCAGGAACATTGCAGAAGAAATTCCAGCAAGTGTGGGTAGGCAGATCAGATGGCTCTAAATATCCTTTTCCTATTAAGGGTTGTCATAATAATACCATAGACTGGGTGGTTTCAACAACACACATTTATTGTCTCACGGTTCTGGAGGCTAGAAATCCAAGATCAAGGTGTCAGCAGGGTTGGTTTCTTCTGAAGATTGTTAGGGAAGGATCTGTTCCATGTCTGTCTCCTTGGTTGTAGATGACATTCTCCCTGAATCTCTTCACTTTATTTTCCTTCAATGCAAGTCTCTGTGTGCAAATTTTCCCTTTTTATAAGGACACCAGTCATAATGAATTAGGGCCCACTCTAATGATCTCATCTGAACTAATTACATCTTCAATGACCCTATTTCCAATTAAGATCACATTCTAATTCACTAGGAGTAATGGCTTCAACATATGAAAATTTGAGGGACACAATTCAACCCATAATACTATTATTCAATATTTAGGATCTCCATGAGAAGTAGATGTCAGGAGTCCCAGTTTTCTCTTAGTTTTGCCATTTGCTAGCCATGAAACTGGACATCACTCAATAACTCTAGGCTTGCTTACCTGTAAAATAAGCATGTTGAAGAAAAAAATTAACTCTAAAATATTCTTTCATTTTAACATGTCTATGTCTAAGTGTGGAGTAGAGGTCTCCAAAAGAGCTACTGGATCACAAAATGAGGTGTAAGCTTCAATATTTTCTTATTTGGGTCCTCTTATTTACTCAAAATCCCAGTTACTAAGAAACTCACAGTAGGAAACAGGCCAAATATATTACTTGCAAAGCCTCATCTCATTATGATTAGGTTGACTACATAAAGGATATCTATATATAAATATATAGATGTGTGTGTGTGTAATGTGTATTATGCCTCGATCTTTAATGAGAAGAACAATTAACATACGCATAAATCAAATATCTTTGGAAGGATAGATACAAAAGCCATTTACCACATTGCTTGCCACTTAAGAGAGAACTAAGTTGCAGGGGAAGAGCAGTCAGGAAATTGTTGCATTCTCTTTAGATTTTGAATCAGAGGAGAATGCGCTACCTATTCAAAGAGTAAACAAGGATTAAATAAGAAAAATATTCATGCGTTGTGCATTTGTTTAGCCTTTGGTTTCTAAGTCTGAATAGTGTATATTGAAGTCATTTTGTGCTTCGAGGTCACTATAATAAGTACATTTGACTTTGACAAACTTTCCATTCTGCAGAAAGCTACAGGACTCAGCAAACATGCTTAGATATCTGCTTCAGTGTGAAACGTATAATGAAAGAAGACTTCATAAGCAGCTGTTTCTTAAGAAGCTTGTGTTATACAAATATGACACAGTTAATGAACAGAACTAGAGAGCAATCTGCTACATCTGTCTTCAAAGGACAAGGAAGATAGCAATCAATACTGTATTTACGACGGCATTTTTCACCTGAAAAGTTTCCACTTATCTACCGCTTCTGTCTAAGAAAGACAGGCTTTTTTTTTACTTAAAATTTCTCCCTTGCTGCTTACCTATTTTAGTGGTAGCAGCAGTTGTATAAACTTAGTAAGAATAGTTATTAATGTGTAAACTGAATTAATTAATATCTCTTTGAACAAAACAAATGGAAGTGTGCCTAACCACTGTTTCTATCACTGGCTGAGGGAAAGAAGGCATTTCCGTAGCTGGAGCAGGTAATAAAATACAGAGCCAGAGAAGAGAGCACTATACAGGAATCATTTTTTAAAGGAAAGAAGACAAAGTGTGCCAATTCCATTTTAAAGATGAAGGAGACAAAGATTCTGAAGGGTATATATCCAAAGATAATAAAAACGTGAAATTTTCTGTCTTGGATTCTGTATTTTTATCTGTAATATTATAAGTGTACATCTAAGCTAAAGTTCTAGAATAATCTCTATATGTTAAGCATACTTAATGCTGTCTTAGAGTCCTAAAATACCTCACCAACATTTTATCACTATGACAGCCTTTATGGACTTACACAAAATAGTTGATGAATACTATAAAGAATTGATTTGTAAGTACATTCTTTGGGCAACCACTGGGATTTTTACATCACTGTCCTTTTATTAACCAGAGTAAACAAACACATGAGCCAACTTAAAATTACAGATGCAAATTAAGGAGATGACTCGAGTCTATGCTTGCTTTTCTTTCCTAATAAGTGATTAAATTAATAATTTCTGTTAGATGTCAGTTATCTAATGCATAAAACAGTGAGTGCTTAGAATTTTTCTTTCTTATTGACACAATTCCATCAATTACACTTCTTATGGTACAAATGTTATGGCTATTTCTCTTCTATCAATTATCTGTTATGTGTTTTTCCTGTCTTTTTATTTATCTATATCTATTACCTATCTACCTATATATCTATCTATTCCACTCTATTCATTCATTCAAAAAAATGTGCGTTGAGTCTTTGCTATGTTTCATGTTCTATACTATGGTTACCTTAATAAAAAATATGCATATGGTATTTATCTCAGATTCCAAAGCAAACCTTAACCTTTACCATATAGCTTTCCTTGGCCACCTCCAAGTGACCTCTCCTTCCTTTGAACTCAGGTAGCATTTACTTTTAAAGAACTTTGAGCATTTAATTATAGTTCTTTATAGAATGATTTAACTACTCCACCCCATTTTCAACAAATGAAGCAAACTCTAGAGGTACCTGCCAGTGTAGAGTACACTGTTTAGTTTAATCTATTAACATCTAGGTGTTTTTCTAGTACCTGATAGAAGAGAATGTTTAAAGGAGTACTAATCAACTATGTCAACTTCATAGATAACCATTCTTCCTCCTCCTTCTGCCTTTCCTCCTCCCTCTTCTCCTTTTTCTCCTCCTCCTCACTATCCTGCTTCTTCTCTTCTTCTTTCTCAGTGTTATCACTGTCATCGTATTTCTAGTGTCTACTATTGTCAGACACATTATCAGTGCTTAATAAATGCCCAGTAAGTGAATCAGTAAAAAATTACCTCTTCTCCCTCCTCATACTCTTCATTATATTTGTTAATGTTATGTTTTTAACAGGTGCTTTCAAATGCAGTTATTTTAAGTAGTCACATTTTTCAATATACAGAATTATTGAGTAGGACTCAAAAGTTTGTAAAAGGAAGAAATCATTGAATGAATAAATGAAATACGCATCTATGTGTTTTCCTCAGCAACATTTTTGAGATCATGACACACATAAAAACTTGTAAAATTTCATAGAAAAATGTTGGCCTGTAATCAGTTGAAACGCAAGTGGTATCTGGTATGTAGTAAGCGTTCAATAAATGGCTGCTGTAACCAGAGTCCTGAGCAATGTCATACAAGGAAGGCTCGTAGCATTTCTGGAAGCTAAAATATAACCACAGGAGGACCATTCTTGAGATACAGTTGCACCTATAGAAAATTCAAATTTCCCCCGTCTGTCCTCTTCCCAACACCCCACCACACAAACACCGGAAGGTAAGTTCCATAATTGTAAGAATTTAGTTTGCTAGTTTCACTACTGAATCCTCAGGGCCTAACACATAGTAGGTATTCAATAAATATCTGTTGAATAAATTTTTAAAAACCCCACTGTCTGGGAGTGTAAAAATTGTTCAATGTATTTCATCTTTCTCCTGCCTTCCCCTCCCTCTGCCTACATATGTTCAAAATCTCAGGCCCCTCCCCAGAACTTTTGATTCAGAATCTGTACTTTTAACATGATTACCTGTGATTTCATAGGAGAAGCACTGCTATAAATCACATAAATTTCACTTTTCTGTCCTCCAATGGATAAAACTCCTCGACTTGTTGATCAAAACCCAACCTCACAGTACACTCAAGTTTCCAGCAGTTGGTCCTTTGTAAAACTAGGAGTCAGCTGCTAGGACTTGATCTCTCTCTCTCTCTGTCTCTCTCTCTTTATCCCCCTCTCTTCCCCACCTCCTCTCTTTGCTCTTTCTCTTTGCTTTCATGATAAAATCATATTATACAGAGGAGCAGCACAGAGTAAAATTTCATATGCTAATTTACATTTTTAATGTTAAAGAACCATCAGCCAAAGCT
Source organism: Homo sapiens (assembly GCF_000001405.40). Classification (NCBI taxonomy): domain Eukaryota; kingdom Metazoa; phylum Chordata; class Mammalia; order Primates; family Hominidae; genus Homo; species Homo sapiens. The sequence continues at coordinate 21,660,267 of NC_000003.12, forward strand.
AGCTAAAGCAAAAGTTATCCTCTTTTATTGCTCTTTTTTCTGCCTCTCTACTTCCTATGTGACCTCCTCACTCTTCCTTGTGCATATCCTAGAAGGCAGAATAACTAAATATTTACTGAGTATCTGGCATCTGCAGGCACAGGAAGTCAGTTTTCCTCATTTAATCTTTATACCAACTGGAAATAGAGCCATGGGGACGGGGGCATGGTATCATGCTCAGTCAGTCCTCATGAACACATTCTCCAAAAGTAGTACTTTTTCAGTGACATTCTAAAAGTTTATTATTGTCACAACTGTGAGTTAGAATATGAAGAAAATACATATGTTAGAGAAATAAAGAATAAAAGGGAAATGGTGAGACGCTAGGAGAAAACTGTCATAAAATGTGGCCATTTTTTCATGATTACCTTCTGTTCTGAACAACAACCCAAAGTCTGGCCCAAGCCATTCTCCTTCGATCTCTAGCATTTTAAAAGCCAACTATACCTCTGATAACAAACCTAAGAGTCTGGGCTTTTAAATTGTTTGTTTAGTTATTTTATTGTACAGGACACTGGGGCTCTGATAGATTTAGCCTTTGTCCACAGTTACAGAGACAGTCAGCTTTTCTGATTCTGCATAGTGCTTTTCATTCTATCACTGGCATCTCAGCACCAGGGCCACCCCTGCTTTACATCCCAGAGACTGGAAGCCTGAGGCTTATATGCCCATGGATCCTTGCCAACAGTGCCCAGGTATATTAGACGCCACTGAAAAGAAATATTTCACAGAATGTGGATGGAAATAACTGGGATTACTGAGTGTCCTGTGTCTGCAACTCCATGACTCCATGAAAGAGAACGGAAAAAAACGAGAGCTAGCAACAGTCTTCTCTGACCTGTTTGTCGAATACTCCCAATGGTTTTGTATGCACCTAAATCCTTAAATTATTTCCCATTCGAATGCCTGGAATAGTTTGTATTTTTTTCACCCAACCCTCACTAAGACAACCATACAGCCATTTGCTCCTGTACTCAAGCTAACATTCTATGCTGTACATCTTTCTGTATAAACACACTTTATTAACAAAAATTTCCTTATTTGTCAACTTCACCTTTACAAACTGAATTGTTTTCATGGCAGAGGTCATAACATAATCTGTTTTCACTGTTTCTGGCACATAATGATGCAGCTGCTGAATAACTAGCAGTTGACTGAATGAACTAAGCTCAAACCCCTTTCTAATATTTCTTCCTAAACATCATCTATCTACTCCCATGACTGTTCTCTTTCAAGAAATACAAATTCAGAAGAGGATCACTGGGATCAGAATATTTTTAAGCACTGAAACTCTAATGTCTTAAGAGATTAAAGGGCAGGCTGGGAAATACGTGAGGAATTCAAGGAAAGCTATCTTTTGTGTGAAAGCTACTAGAACATCAAGGGATACATTTCTAGGGAATAGCTTCTGTTGTGGCTCCTTAAAAGTTGGCTTTGAGGAGACTAAGGGATCCTGATAGTCTCATTGAATGTCTTATTTTATACCTATAACTCAGCTCTGATTCTACATCTTTCCTTCCCCTCCTAACTATGCTTACTTTTATAGACGTTTCATTCTTGCTGATTCACACCCAAACTTCATGGTTTATGCTCTTGTGGAAGACAATAATAAGAGATATCCACTTATATTTTTTATACATTTTATAAGTATACATTTTAAAATTTTTCCTTTATGTTTCTGCCAACTCTATCCCAAACAGAGAGATGACTGCATATTCATATCCTCAGGGGAAGAATATAGTCTCTGATCACCAGGCAGAGAGTCTCTGATCATCATGGACTTTGCTTTATAAAGGTCATATGGGTAAAAGTTGTTGGGTGGCAGAGTTCATCACTTATCATCAAAGAAGGGATAGCTGTATTGTGGATCTAGGTAGGAGGGACTGCTGACTGCCTTGCAAAGTTTGTGTGTCTAAGCGTGGCACAGAAAAAGCTGAGAGCCAGGTGCCTAAAGGGTCATGCTAGCCAGGTGCTGACCATCTCATGAATGCCTATGTGGATAAATAACTTGATGATCAGAGGAAGTCTCCCACCAAAGCCTTATAACCTGTTAGATAATTGTTGGAGTCCAAAACCTTAGCATACCCTGAAACAAAATTAGAGTGGATTTCCCTCCAGCCTGATGAAATGGGCTCTCTTGAATGAGAAATAAAGTCAATTTATGGCAGTAAAAATTACGTTTTATACATACCGAATTTTTGGGTTTTGATTCATATCTGCTATAAAATCAAGAACTCAGACTGTTACTGAAGGAAATGCTCTGTGCCCTAATTCTGAGTCAAAAGCTACCTGATTATGGGCTTTCCAACAATTCACTTCAGTTGGAAGCAAGGAATGACTTCATCCTTGGCTGGCTATACCTTGACCATCACTGGAAGGGAATAACCAAGGAAAAAGCAACAGTTGGAGCAACAGAGGGCCTCTTGGTTTAAGTAGAATAAATATCAACACAAGTTAAAATCCATGATGGAGGAAAAAGAATCAAGTCAAACTTTTGCAATCAGTTAGACAAGGAACTGTCACATTTTCAGAATCAGAAGGGTTTACAAGCTGCTTATGAGCATGCTGCTTATCACTTAAATAGTGCTTGTTATATACCAAGCCCCATTCTAAACGATTAACCCACACAACCCTTACCACAGACTTATGAGGCGTATTATATTATTAGTCCCATTATGTGGATGAAGACTTGATGACACATGGGAGTTTTGTGACCCTTCCAAGGTCTTATCGATGGTAACAGGCAGTTCTGAGATTTGAACTTAGTGTAGCTACAGAGTTCAGCTTGACCAACACACAACGCTGCCTTTGCCCATGAAAAAAACCCACAAATCTCTGAATGGTATAACCTCCCAATAAAGAGACTATCATACCTTTTATTTTAAAGATGAGGAAATAGCAGCAAAGAAGGTAAAGAGATTTGCTCAGGATCATGTAGCTCAACACATCACTCATCTTTGTTTTATGTTAAATGATATTCATTGTCAGTCAAGTTAACCACTTTGTTATTAATATTTCCCAAGAGGCAAATCAAAAGTTTTAAATCCAGCCTTTTATGGCCTTCCAGGAATTTTACCTAAAATGCTCTTAAGCTGACATGGGACCGCAGTGATGGGATGCCAAGTGGTCTCAGAGGCCAGAAAAAGCACCTTGATGGGTAATTCCCCTGGGTGTCTGGGACACAAGGCTGTGCCAGGAAACCACTTAACAGAAGAGCAGGCAAGAAATCAAGGAAAGGGAACCCAGGGGATTTCAGTGTAGTCATTTAGGAATAAGGGAATTTGATGCTGAGCAAGGTTTCCTCTACTCTTAATGAAACACCTAGGATTAGAAACCTGTGTTTTGTAAAGGTGACCTTTATGTTGCTTTATTTATGAGATATCAATTTCAAAACGAGATTCGTATGGAAAATTCCTCTCCCTACAAAAAGCAAAGGGATCATTTTGATTCTCCCTTGTCTTTTAGCAAGGACTAGCATATAGCTGTACTGACTCATTGACATGTCCAAAGGCCATGTGACAAAGTACTGTTAAGGAAAATAAGACCCACTGCTATCTCCTGAAGAATTATTTAATTGTGGGCCGAATATATATATATATATATATATATATATTTATTTATTTAAATCCATCATGGGGACAAGATATTGCAACAAGAAAGCTGTGTTATTTAGATCACTGGACATTGAGTGACCTCTCATGTTAATCCTTTCTGCTTTGGTTGCATTGACATGTCCTGTCATTGACAAGCTCAGACTTGCCTTTTAACAACCACTGTTGTTATCTGAAGGCTGAAAAGATAATATTAAAAAAAAAAAAAGTCACTTACTCGTTTCTAACCTTTTCAACCCTTATTTCAATTTTCATCCTAAGAATACTCTTACTGATCGCAGAAAAAGAAACACACGATGGTGAAAATGATGCATCTGCCAACTTACAAAAAGACGTCTTAAAAGTGAAAACAGAGGCAAGAAAGTAATTGAACCTGTGCTGAGAGGCTATTGACAAAGCCCAAAGAAACAAAGAAATATGAGAGTTAACTTGGGCAACAATAACACACACTAAAACTCTTGCTACCAGAACCCTGAGTTGTTTTAAGTTAATGGTGGGAAGAAAGTGCTGTATACTTAAAACATAATCACTGCTGCCATTGTCAAGGTCCTATTTATTAAGTTAGAAAAACGTAACAGATTTGGAAATTAAAATAGATAGAAGAAACACATTTTTAATTTTTAAATACCTGCTGAAATTCTAATGTTCTCTCTAATAAATACATTGTTTCAATATGGATGTATACCTACAAAGCTATAGAATTGTTGCTGTTGCCCAGAAGACACTAGAGGGGATACATCAACTCATGATCAACCGAATCGGATCGAATCTCTTTTTATTTTCCTTGAAGGAGCCTGGTTCTGGGGATTTTGCCTAACCAAGCAAACAACTAACTTCATTATGGCTTCTAGACAAACCATGCAATGAACAATATAGCAAAATGGAGGCAGTGGCCGAACCAACCCTGGCCTTTAAGTTAGTTTTCCAATACCTTCCACTCAGGCAAAGACAAATTTGGCAGGTACTTACCGCATTGAAATTGGGGAAGAGGTTGACTGCAGCTGCAGTGTCAAGAGGAAAGGGAAGAAATGGTTTAATATCCAGCGATGGTTGCAAAGGAGGGGCTGGTGGACGGACAAGGGCCGGGAGAGCAGGACTCTGGCATGTACCACCTGTGAAGACCAGAGCAAAGGGAGCAATCAGGGACACCACGCATGGAAAAAAACACCAAAGTTGCTTTTGAGACAAAAAAGGCCAGCTTTGTGGGTCACTGGAAAAAACAAGACATGGACTCTATTGACCTCAACTGGGAACCGGCCAATGAGCAAATTTGCCATTAGGCAGAGGGAGCTAGTTGAACTGCTCCATTTTCCTTTGATTATAACTATCTGGTTATGTAAGTAACATCAACATTTCAAATGCCCCAACCTGTCTTTATTTTCCTGCCTAGAGCTCCAGATTGGGTCAGTCACAAATCTGCAACCAAGATCTCTGAATTCAAAGGGAAAACCCCTCCATCATGCACCCATCCCTCTTTGAAAACTAAACCACTCACAATATGCATTAAGTCTGAGTGATTATTTTACAGAACTGCTCTTTGCTACCACATCCAAAACTCTGGCAGCAAGATTACATGAACTTGGCACATAAAAGAAATTTAACCTCGAACTCAGGCAGCTGTACCTTACTGCTCTAGCAACTGGAGGATTAAAAACCAGCAAAACCAGTGCTACGACGATGTCTGAACTATTCAGCACCCCTACAGCTCTGAGTATTCAACAACTCCCTGCCTCCCTCCCAGTCATGAGTAGGTGGAATTTAGATGGCCACTGTTGAGCAGGCAGTGGGAATATTATGCCAACAAAGACATCCCCTTTGCATGCCAGTAAGTAGCCAGCCTTTTGCAAGAGAGCACATACATTTGCCCCGTTATAGGACTCTGCCACACTCAGGAGCTGGAAGGATGGAAGCCCATCTTTAGTGTTCAGTCTCCCATATTTTGGTAACATTCCAAAACATCAATTTGCTGTTAATTAAAGGCTGTTTGAATCCTAGGAAACTGTTAAAATATGCCAGCATTCTTCTAATCTGAGAGGCAAGCAACAGACTGTAAAAACCTGCTGGTGAGAATCCAACAAGCATTAGGAAAGCAAAATGCAGTGGGATTTTTTTCTCTCTAACAGTAAAGAATTCTAGGAGACATGCTTGCGCCACTTACTTGCCTGCCATCTCGTTTTTAAAAACAAAGTAGAGTGAGTCTCCTCGTATAAATTGCCTTTGCAAATTTCACAACAAACTCTCTGGCCAACTGCACACAGAACATCATCTTGCCCTCAATCAGTTACCAGAGCGCAAAATTAACATTCTGAAAATGATTCCCCAATGATAAATCCAACCCTATGGAGCCACGGAGGATCTGCTAACAAGGTAGATGACTTAGTACCTATAACAGAAGCCATCAGCACAGGATTTAATTAACCATACACAAGAACCATCAGCTCTCCTGCTCCCAGGTATAAAATCAGCTGGAGCCAAATTAAGAAAAACAGTATTTTCCCCCACTGTCTTACCTTCCTTCTTGAAATAATAATAGCACGGCCAACAATAGCAAAGTCAATAACTGAAGTCTGTAATCAGTAAACTAATTTTCAAAGTAGTACAAGGCAGTAAATAAAGGGCAGATGTCAAAACAAGTAGAGATAACAACGAAATATAATAAGTCTACATTCACCAGAGCACACACACTATAAACTTAGTTTATTGTCCACTTGGTAGTGTATTGAGTGTGAGTGTGTAACCATTTTTAGAGAGGGCATCCATAAAACTTTAGTGATAGACCTGTCATGAGTTTAGTGTTGTTAAAAGTTTCTCTTTTATTAAAAATTTTAAAAACCAAAATAAATTTTTGGATGGTACATCTTTAAAAAACTCAGAAGTAAGGCCAGGTGTGGTGGCTCACGCCTGTAATCCCAGCACTTTGGAAGGTCAAGGCGGATGGATCACTTGAAGTCAGGAGTTCAAGACCAGCCTGGCTAACACGGCGAAACTCCATCTCTACTAAAAATACAAAAATTAGCCAAATGTGGGGTGCACACCTGTAATCCCAGCTACTTGGGAGGCTGAGGCAGAAGAATCACTTGAACCCAGGAGGCAGAGGTTGCAGTAAGCCGAGATCGCACCACTGTACTTCAGCCTGGGCGACAGAGCAAGACTCTATTTCAAAAACAAAAACTCAGAAGTAAAGTAAGATTTGGTCGAAATCAGTGATGTGGTGAAATTTAAGAAGTAGTTTTAAATTACTTTTATTTTTGTTGTTGCTTTTGAGACAGGATCTCACTCTTGTTTCCCAGGCTGGAGTGCTGTGGTGCCATTATGGCTCACTGTAGCCTCAACCTCCCGGGCTTAGCTGATCTTCTCACCTCAGCCTCCCAAGTGGCTGGGACTACAGGCGCATGCCACCATGCCCACCTAGTTTTTGTACTTTCAGTAGAGACGGGTTTTTGCTATGTTGCCTAGGCTGGTCTCAAACTCCTGAGCTCAAGCAATCCACCCACCTCGGCCTCCCAAAGTGCTGGGATTACAGGTGTGAGCCACCATGCCCGGCCCTAAATTACTTTCATTTGTGTCACACATCATTCTTTGCAAATGATATTCATATACATTCACCTGGTTTGATTCTAAGATTTCAGAAATTCGGTAAGGGTTAACAACATAACATCATGTAGAGAAAAAGAAATATGTTGATAAACTCTGCAGTTGTTTATCTTGCTTCCGCAGAAAATACCATGCTTATAATTACAAGAATGCAATTTAGCAAGAAAATATTCTACAATTGTTTATTTTAAGTCCTCCTCTGGTTTAGGGTATCCAAAGAAGTTAAGGAATAGCTCAAGCTGATTTTTTATCTAGCACAATGAGAGATATAAATAATAAAAATATGTCCATTCAATTATCATGTAAATTTAATTTCCCATTCTCTCTTTTAGGATATCTATTTCATTTATACTTGTATAAACAGTTCAAGGTCCTCTCTCAGTGTTGCAACTGGAGTTTCCTTCCTAGGGGTTAAAAAAACCTTCAAAGAAGAGTCATAAAAACCTTAGAAAGTTCGAAAAAATATTTAAGCTCATCTCTTCTCACCTGTTGGAAGAGAGCAATGTATAAGATTGTAGGAAAGCAGAGGACATGTGTCTACATATTTTTAGACTATCTGCTATGCAAATACAGGTGTAGGGATGCTGTGGGTCTGATTCCCAGAACCCCCTTCGGCACCAAGGCACTCCTCTCAGCTGCTTGGAGTGCTGGTGGCTGATGTCCCTGGCCTGAGAGCCTCTTTACAAATTGCCCTGGGCCAAAGGGAGCTGCCTTACCTAAGGTGACCCTTAAGTGGAGGAGTTGATAGCCCCAAGCAATGACTGATTCATGCAGGAGTTTACTGGCTTTGCCCCCTTGCCTCAAAGCAGGAAAACTCTGAAGCTCTATTTTACCTCCAAAGTTCCTCATGGCATCTAGGGTAGGCTGAGGCCTCTGCTGTGACTACATCACAGTCCAGCTCCTTCCTCTTCCCAATCCTATATCCCTCACGTCTCACAAATGATGTTTCCATGAGCACTCCCTAATAAAGTCTCAGAGCTCACTTTCAGAATAACTTGATCTGTGACACCAGGATACAGCAATTCAGGTGTTTAAGTAAAATGAAAAATTGCTTTATTCTAAAATAGATGCTTGCCTCCAAACCTATAGCACTGATATTGAGGCACGAAATCGAAGCTACTTCTTAAAAATTATCTGTGACTAACATTTCTGCTTTTGAAATCTGGATTAGTCCTAAAATATTTTACTTGTACCAATCTGTACTTGCTCAGCAACAAGAATACTATTTGCAAATAGTGCAAAATCAAAACCGGCAAATATAATATGTTTCATCTGTAAAGCAAAGTAAAATATTCTCTTTGAGAAAATAGCTATTTCGTTTTCCCATATTTAAATAGAAACTATTGCATCTAAGGTATGAATAAATGTTTATTATTTTACTTATCATAAAATTATCTTGATAACTATAAACATGAAAATGTATAATAGATTTGTAGACATTTCTATAGGTGAGAAAGTTTTGTTCTTAATGTTTACCAACAATGTCACTTTATTCATTGGAATGCCACATTTCTGGAAATATTAATATTCTTAATTGAAGCAGGTCTTTTAAAGCCTCCATGGAGTAGGGTCAGAAAAATATATAAACTCTATGTCTAGTACCACATATTTCATAGCCTATGCTATTTTATTACACAGTTTTAACAAATTAGTCTGATTTCAGAGAAGTTACTATCTCTACACCAAAATTTGTTGTGTGACATTAAAGTCAACAAATGACAAAAGCATTTATTAGTACAGAATAGCAATCAATACTGAATAAGGTACTGAATAATTAATGTAAACTAAGTGATCATTAATGTTCACAAAATTCTTCTCCCTCCTTTTTTGATGTTTTTGTTAGCATATGTTTAGAATTTAAGTTTCAAATGCGAACTATAGAATAAACATAATAAATGTTGTTTCGGTCAATTTAAAAGGGCCGTATATTCACAAAAGTACTAACTTGTGAATATGAAAAAACAAAAACAGAGTTACTAATTCCTAAGTATTTGTTAATAGAGACTGAGAAAGTAAGACACATTCATTTCAGAAGTTTGCATTTTTGAAAAGCAAATTAATATGTAAATTTAGACATGTTTGTTTTGATAATTCATACAGATAAATAGGAACTCTAAACCAGTGGTTGTCAGTGGAAATTTACTGTATTAGATAATATATATAAAGTGCCCTAACACAGTGCCTGGCCAACTGGCGCTCACCACATGAGAAATATATTTTTTAATGAACCGAAGAACTTCCAAAGCAGCTACTTAGGCTTTCTGAAAGCAGTCAATCAAGATAATTTTAAAGCTACCTTCATTTTTTTCTCTTCGCTTATCTTGACTGCCTCAGAAGAATGATCACAATAAGAGGTTACTTTGTAAATTAATATATTGAAATACTCCATGAGAGTGCGGTGGTTTTCTCTCCATAATACAACGCTTTTAACCTTGAACTTCTGCACTCAATCCATTCAGCATTCGTCAGTCACAGACATCCTGCCTGACAACTTCATCTTAATCTTAACCTTAATCTACTACTTAATCTTTCATTTCCCCAGGTGACAAAACTGAAGTTCAAAATGATCACGGATTGCCACTGTTAAATATTCATGCCAATGGAGAATTTCGTGCATCATTAAAACATATATATATTGATAGAAAACAGCAGAAACATCTAATTTCCTGATAGGATCATTTCTATAGTATCTTTAGTATCTTTTCCCTACATCATCAACTTATCTGTATTGAAATATATATACTTATTTATATTAAAATATATATGCACTTATTTATATTGACATAAATACTTATGTTGAAATTATGTGTTTTTCAATAATAAGCTATGATTACATTACTAAACTCCTCCAAACATTCACATATAGCAGGAAATCATACAGAGCATTTTGTATAATATTAGATCCTAAGTAGTTATTTAATAAGCAACTAATTTGACATACATGGAGAATTATTCAAATCCATTTTCAAATATTTCAGTTAGAATTTGCTATGTCCACCGGGCAAGAGAGGGACTCACTATAGGAATTCAGAGGTCTATGTGATAGTAGGCATAAAAACTTTAGATCTGATCCTACTAATAAGAAGTCGAAAATAAATAACGGCATAAATGCTGAGAAATAAAAATGAAATCCTAAGGCGCCCCCCCCCCCCCCCCCCCCCCCAATGACTGAACGAATCCCCTTTGGCCAAGGAGAACCCAAAGAAACCTTGAAAACTGAGTTCCCAGCCATGAAGGGATGGGAGATCAGACACGCCTACTTATACCCCCTCCCTCACTAACAGCCATTAGCCTTTCTTCCTTATGGGCTAACCAGAAACTAGCCCTTTCAACCAAACAACTGATGCTGCTCCGTTTTAAGTTTCCACAAAAAAAATGGACCAGCATTCCTTGTGGGTAAGAGACCACCGATGGCAGAGTGCTTCTTGCTCAGTCTAGGGAGAATACGCAGTGAAGGTTTTTGTGTCCTCTGCTACCCTATTTGACATCAGAGGGCTCCAGACTTCAGCCTTGGATCATGCTAACATCGCCATTTTTTGAACACAGGTCCCACGGAGAGGCATAAAGCTCAGTTGTGCATGTACATCTTCTACTTTCATAAATATTCATGGCTCCTTTTATAGCATATTACACATGTATTTGGCCACCTCTTTCAGCATAAATTCCTGTTCCCTTCGTCCCTTCCTTGAAGTGTCTGTTTCTGGCTTCTGGTTGGAGGCTATGCTTCCCCGCCTGTCAGAATGGCCAGCCTGCAGGCTGCAAACGTTTATGAAAAATAAAGCTCTCCTTTCCAAATTTAAGAATATCATCATTCTTCAGTTAAAAAAGCAAAACTTGATTTGGCCAAAACATTGGCCATGGAGTGCTGTAGTTAATGGAATTGGCCAGCCAGGGTGGGAGTAAAGCTAGAGAATATAGATAATTTAATATATCTATTCATTAATTGGCATGGATTAGCCTTCTATCCTCTTAATTCCTTTAAAACACACAATTCTGCCAGGTATCTCTTATAATATCCAATGTATAAAATCAAAAGCCAAGCTTCTAGGAAGCAAAATATCTTACCAGAAAGAAACTGAACAACTCTAATGATTTTTAATGCACTGATACAAATAGCTTTTGAACTAAAACAACAATATGATAAAAACAAAACAAAACAACAATTTAAAAAATACACCTTACAGAATCATTTTGTCAAATTAGTTCCGAGACATAATTTGTTAAAGCCAGCTATCTTATGAGAGGTTTTTATGAAAGGAAGGTGGAAGGAAGGAAGGAAGGAAAGAAGGGTCACATTCCTTGTGAAGGAATATTCAGTATTTATCGCTGATTTTTATCCCCAGCATGGGAACATGCTGGCACTGCCTTATATTTGAAGAAGAATCCAGAAAGATATGAGTATCATATCAAATATGTTTCAAAACCCCTCAAATTTACATTCTTTAACATCTGCTGACCAAATCGGATAAATAAATATGTGTTTGTCACATTCCCTTGCATGTCTGCCTCTCAAATATTCAAGGTTGTTGGTTGGGGATAACAATGAGCAATTTTCCTGTTGGGATTTTTTACTCTTTGTCCAGGAAAATTGTATGTTTACCCATATTTCCTTAAACCTCAGTCATCCAAACTCCATCCAGTTCCCATCTCTGTCAACAGAATGATATAACTAAAAACATATTTTGACATAATATTTGAATTTAGTATGATTTGGTAACCATTTTTCTTTCGTTGTTTCTTTTTTTCTTTTCTTTTCTTTTTTTCTCCCCGCCCCTCTCCTCTGTTTTGGATTGTTGATTCACTGACTAGGTTTCAGAAAGTTGATCCAGCACTTACTATAAAGCTCCTCATTGACCTAAAGTGAACTGGCCTTAGCAGGTCAACTCAAATGTTGAAACTCAAGGTCTGATCCCATAAGGGCAAGTTGTCAGCCCTAATCCACACAGGATGGTGACTGCTGTCTCATACATCCTGCTTATGACCACAGAGAGGAATGAGGTGAGAATGGGAGTATGAGTCAGGGCAATTGGAGCTCCATTCTGGAAATACTGATTCAAAAACATTTGCCCATGTCAATGGTCAGTGATTCGATCTTTTCCCATGAAGGAAATCACATGGAAGTGATCTGGGTTTCCCCTTGTCCAAATTATTTATTCATTTTCAGTTGTGGTATTTAAATATTCCAGTAAGTCACCTCAACACACTTGGAAGGAAGCTAGGAAAGAAGCACTAATAATATTTTATCTGTCACTGTCATTAAATGCCACGACCAAAATCAAAACACTGATAATTATCCAGTTGCCAATATCCTGAATCAAGGTCTCCACTAGAAGAAAAACGGGATCTCTCACTTATTTAACTAACTTTGATGACAATTTCTGGTGCCTGAAACATACTAGAGAAAAATTATGTTAGGAGTATCAGGCAAGGAGTTTTAAATATTTAACCCCAAATATCCCTCTGTACTGCAGCCCCTTTGTCAGGTAGACAGTGAATAATTCAGGACAGGTGCCTGCTTTATAGGAAATCAAAAGATTTTGCCTGGAATATTCCTCTCAAGTTTACTGCTAGTGATATAGAATATAAAATCACAAAATTTCCCTCCAGAGGAATTTCTTAAAATTAAATTTCACACCATGAATCATAACTAATAAAAGAGGTATCATGCTGGGATGTCTAATATGGTGGCCATTGACAGTCACATGTGACTATTTTAAATTTGAATGAATTAAAATTAGTACAATAAAAAAAATTCAGTTATCAGTCACACTAGCCGCATTTCAAACGTCTGATAGCCACATGGGGCTAGAGGCTTCTGTATTGTACACTGCACATATAAAACACTTCCATTCTCACAGAAGGTGCTATTGGACATTACAGCTCCAGTGCAAAGCAATGTTCTCAAGCAGCAAATAATTTACAGATAAGATGCTTGATACAGTCTGTTTCAAAATGAATTGCTAATGGGAGAGAAACTCTTGCTTTCTCCTGGGTCCTTTGACTTTTCAGATTGAGGAGAAGAGTTTTCTCAGAGCTGAATGTGTCACTGTCAGAAGCCAGACACCGTTGGGACCATGCCAGAAAGAAATCATCGTCCATTTCTAGAGATGACCATGGCAGTCTATGAATCTTCATGTGTGAGCAATGATGATCATACTCAAAGAACAAACCAAATTTTTAAAAAGTTAATGATTAAGTAAACACTAATGAATAATGTGTGCTTTAGATAAAAATAATATCACATTTTTGAACCAAGCACGCATAAAGGAGCCAGTCATAGGGCAAAGGAGTGTTTATTAGTATCTGATAACCCTTGGAAGTACAATCACAAAGTTTTCATTTCTGCCAACAAATTGTGTCAAAATCTAGTCTCATTAATGGCAAGTGTTTAAACTAAGCTAATGTATGCAGTTAAACCTGGCTTACTACATCTGTCTCTCAGGGAAATTTTACCCATGATATCTAGGCTTTGGTCATCTCACTCTTTAAAAAGAAAAAATAATGCTAAAATCTTGTTACATGGTCTTGTTTACTCATGATCTGTACCTCTTAACTGAGACTTGCCTGCACGAACTTCTCTGTGCCAGTGGGGCTGGGCAAAAGGGAGAGACTGTTTAGAAAAGGAAAGAATGGTCAACATTGTCTCAGGCTGCAGAAGGATCAAGTAAGATGGTAATGTCTGATAGATTTAATGTCATGGAGATTTTTGGTGACCTTTACGAGCCATTTAAGTGCAGTCATTTATGTGGGTCGCATTACAGAGAAGCCACTTTTGAGGAGGGTGAGGAATGAGTGAGGGTATCATAATGGAGACCAATGGAGACAATTATTTTCTCCACTTTGACTGGGAAGGAAAAGTAGAGTGGGACACTATACATATGGGTAAATAAGCCTGATAGGCATAGAAAGGAACTGATTCAATCCAGAATATCTAATAAAACTCACTTTTGGAATGTCACATTTCAACTAGCAATTTAGACCCCAAAATGTGAATCATAAAATGTAAATTATAACCCCTGAAAGCATAGTAAGCAATGTAATTTGTGTTATCTAAGTTACATTGCACCCAACTTGCTCTTGAAACCTACATCAAAGTATTACTAAGAAAACCAATCATCTATTCCTGGTGCAGGATGCAGCTCAAACACGAGTTACTCTATTCAGTATTTCCTGGACATCTCTGTAGAAAGATCACTCCCTGGTGCCCTGCTCTGGCCTGCACAGGCTTCCTTCTAGCCAACATTACTAGACTTACTTGACTTTGTATCTGTCTCCCTATATGAGGAAGCTGTTTGTTAAGAAGAATATCTGTTCCATTCATTCTTGACTTCTATATATTAGGAGGTTCCTGGTATCTATTAAGTGACTTGTGTATTGTTTTAGAAATGGATGGATGGATGGATGGATGGATGGATGGATGGATGCATGGATGGATGGATGGAAAAATGAGTGAGCAAACAAATGAATACATGAAGCTGAATCATCACAGCCTGCTGAGATATTGTACCCATTTTTTTATTGTGTCCAAATTAACAATGGTGTACATTTACAAACCAGCAGCTTCTTTGAAGAACTAGAAAAGAAAAGCGGATTAAACTATCAGAGTTTATTGGAGTGTACTGCTAAAAGGTGAGAAACATTTTATCAAAGATTTTTAGTGCAATTAAGCTCCCATTATTGTTTTCTTCAGAAAAATAAATGGCCCAAACACACTAAGTCCTAGGCTTTTTATTTTATTAACATCTTTTCCTCTATCTTTCTTAAACATGGATTTCATTTTTAGGTGTAAATTTATGCTATCTCATAAACAACTCCCCTTGATTCCCGTGGCATAAAAGCAATATTATTTCTGCTTCCATACACTGGGTACTGTACTGGGTCCTCTGTAGGATAGCTCCTTTGATCTTTTAATAGTCTAGTGAATAAAGAAATGGAGCAGTAGTAAGGTTAAAACAATTGCTCAAGTTCATGCAGTTAGTAAGTGGTAGAGCCAGGATTTGTCCAAAAACATTCTGCTTCCAGAGTGTAAGTTCTTATATCTACATTTTGTTCAGAGATTGCCCTTTTTTGATGAAAGGTGGTAGAGAAAAAATGTATAAACAAAAAGCTAGTTTCAATTAAACTTTGCCAGAGCAAGTCAAATCAGTATATACTAAGAGGCGATCATTTGTAAGGCAAAGGATTATTCAAAAAGCAATTTCATAAGCATCTTGCCTCCACAAGTTTATCATGTTTATAATCCAGTATATTGTAGATTATCCATATGTTGAGTCTACCAGATAACCATGTGTTTTTCCATAGGTATTAGATTTGTATTCTTTTTGTATCAACTCATTATTTATTCAATTGTCCCTTTTATTTTGCCTGCATAGTTTAGAAGAACAAAATAGAAACTAAGTTTGCATTCAACGTAACTAATTCTACTTAATGATGATAGCTCTAAGAACATTCACTTGATTGTGAATGTTTTCACTCAACGTTCCGTTGTGATTTTTTCCACATTTTAATCTAATGTTATTTCATAAAGACCATGGCACAAAATTCCTAGGAAACCTAACTGTTGTTGGCATGTCACTGTCACCAGCATCAAATTAAATAAAATTTATTAAGAACAGTGAATACCACACTGTCACTGTTTTAAGGGCCTATATTTAGCACATCTCTAGCATTTGCAGTACCCATTAGCTTCCAAGGTTTAGGAACTGTGAGTTCTTGGATTCCATTGCTTTGGTGAACATTCTTACAAACTCTATAATACCAAAAAGATACTCTGATTTCAATTTCCTTAAGAACATTCCCTGCGGAGCTGACTTGAGCTCTGTTTAGTCTCGGCCTCAATGTGATTGTTTCTTCTGGCAGGTTGTGCTTAAAACAAACCTTACTTTATATTTTCTTTTAATTCTGAAACATTTAGTCTTTGGAGAAGATGTAAAATCAGTTCCTAATGGAATTGTAGTAATTGTGGAATCCCAAAAAGGATTTACTTTAAATGGAAGAGAAATAAAATGCCTATTAAATGATTGTAAGCAAGAAGATCCACACAACCATATTTTATTTTTATAAGGAGTCCTGTCCCTTTGAGCCTATATTATGGTCTAGGTTCTTTGCTGGATAACTTTACATACATTATTTGTATAAACAATGAAGATATCCTTATTTTCATTTTACAGGTGAAGAAAAGGAGGTTTAGCAAGATCATCTTACTCAAGATAAACCACTCGCTAAATGGTAGAGCTAGGTAGAATTAGAAACCAGATAGGGATGATTTCAAAGCCCATATGTATTTTTTTTTTTATTGTATTATACCTCTCTCCTTTTCAAATATCTACCAAGTCCTGATTTCCACCAAATTGAAAGAACAACTGATAGGAGCAGAAATGTCCTCCAAGGAAAGGACCTGCATTTTCACATTCAAATGGCCAGAAGGCAGCAGATATAGGATTTACAAATCCAGAAAAAAAGAGAAACTGCTTATAGCCCCAGGTAGAAGAAAGTCCTCATATCAGGGTTAAGGAGCTATCACCAATGCAACACATAAGGAAAGGGACATCTATATTATGATAAAAGGAAAGACATCGTAAAATAGTGCAGTTAAACACAAGGATTAAAGCTAAACTAACATGAAAGGGACGCAAATAATCAGTGGGACTTGTCATTGCTGGGGGCCATGTCAGTGGAGATAATGAGCATTAAAGGCTAAATCTGAGGCAGCTTTTGGGAGGGTCCCTGGGCCCTGAGAATCCCAGCACTGACCAGAAGTCCAAGATCAGAGGCCAAGGTTAATGAGAAAACACAGGTTTTTCTGGTTGACATCATCATGTTCTCACCCTCTTGTGAATTGCAGCCTAAATATACAAATCTGGAGCTTGGCATGAGGCACATATACATCTTGACTTGTACAACTAATTCCCATCCATTTTGCTCAACTCAGGCTGAGCCAGAATTAACTAACTAATGCAGAATGCCACAGAAATTGCATCTGATTTTTCTTTGGCTGCAGATTCACTAGAAGCTCATGTTCTTACTATTCCTTAGAATTTGGGAGTCTAGAAAAGCACAGGCCTAAATAAATTTCTAAGAGAGAAATTTAATTTAACAATTAGAGTAAAATATTCTGGTAATGAAATTGTATTCTGCTAGTGTGTGGGGGATCATATAGACTGAATTATTTAAAGCAGTCCTAATTTCAAATAATAATAACCAGTAAAATAATAATAATAACCACTCTAAATTTTGAGTAGTTCATATATACATAGGCTGTTAATTTTCATAGCAATTCTGTTAGTCCTTAATAATTTAGTTTTTTAGTTGTGGAAACTGGGGAATCTATGAAATTAAGTACTCTGTAGCAGCTAATTCAACCTATGCGTACATAGGTTGATTGATTTTAATGCTCGTTCTTTGTAAAAATCATATTATCTGTATTGTCCCCATAAGCCAAGTATAAGAATCCATTATACCACTCCCCTTCTAGTACTCAGGGCATATATTATTCATCAATTATATTTCCAGTTGGCCTCAGAATCCTCCTTAACACAACATACCAGTATCTAATCCAGTTAATCACAGTTTGCTATCCCCGACACAAACCCTCAACATTAGGGCATCCAAACCTCTCTGTAAGTCTTGGAAGACAGACAATAGAATAATGCTGACAGTTTCCTTATACCTCTGGCAAAGTGTCCAATCATCTTTTGGTTAGAATCCAGTGAGAGGACTAAGAAAGGCATCTGATTTGTCTGTCAAAGCTTGCCCAGGTTATGAAGATAACTGGAGACCTACATTTGTAACTCAGTAAATGGGAGACTTTCATTCCTGGACATTCTGCAACAGCCAGTGTTGACCTGGTAAATCTACCTGAGATTCGCTCATGATTCCAATGTGACTGAATGCCTTGAGAATATACAACTCCCTCACAGCTATTCTTCTTTATTGATATGTCTTAGACAGTAGAAGTTCGTGAAGTGACCTAATCACTGTAAACCCAAACGTTTTGTAGAAAACGCAACAACAAATAACCCTAAAAGGAAACTGGAGAAGGGGCTCTGATCACAGCCTCAGGAATTGGAGTTAGTCCCTTCAAATTCATGGGCCTGTTTGACTTAAATTGTAAAGATTATTTTGTGCTTTTGAACGGACATTAATCCCAAAGGAAGAACAAACAGAATGAGTCAAATTGCTTTGAGCAGGAATGCCTGCTGAGAGGGGAGAGAAATTCTGTAAGAAGCACGGCTTCTGAAATTGGCCCTGCATTTTCCTGAATGATTCTGATCTGTACTGCATATAGTTTTCAAAAGTCATTATGCTTTCCAAGTGCTAAATATTTGCTTCCCAAGTTATCAGTGTCATTATGACCTTTGCTTGCCTATTTATACAGTTTAATGTCCTCCTTATAAGCGAAGATAAGAAAACTACTTTTTAAAAATTTTGTAAATTTATGTTGTTCTTCAGCTGCTCTCTGCCCTTCAAGGTTCAGCTGAAAGGCCCTGCCACCCACCCCCCAACCCCATCCACTTAGCATGATAGTCAATTTTCCCTTTTGCAAACTTCTACAGAATATTCTAAGTGCTTAAGAGGGCAGGCTTTGTCATCAGAAACCTGCATCCAAATTCCAGTGTTTTCATGTCCAAAGGAAATTAACAGCTATTTCGGTTCTCCTTCTATAAAATAAGAATAACAGCTAAATTCCAGGATTTCTGTAAGGCTTACAGGGAGAAATAATAGAGTAAATACTAAACTATAGTAACTATTCTTAATGTCTTTTTTACTCATTTTTTATCAAAATGATATGAAATAATGGAATATATTTTATTAAATTTTTATTTTATTAGCATTATTGCTTAAATCATTAATTGGTATATCTCTTATGATACTTACATTTTGTTTGCTAGTAATTTGATTCTGAGTTAAGCTTTTGAAGGGGAGTATTCATGGCTGGGTCATCTTAATTTTTTTCTATGGTGTCTAAGAAAGAGTTTTGAAAATTATAGGCACCCAAGTACTTTTCAGTGAATGAATAAATAAGACATTGTTGCTTTGAAAGCTAATCCAGAGAGAAGAAATGAAAATGGCAAACTATACTTAATGTCATTAATACTATTAGGTACCTGTTTTCAATGTGCTCATTGTGAGATGGTAGGCATAGGAAACAATATTGAAAAGAGAGAGAAAGAACAAAAAGGAAGGGATGGAAGGAAGGAGGTTTGGAGGGAGGGAGACTAGCAGGGAGGGAAAATAGCAATTTGGAGAAATAATTATATCCAAGCGACTTACTTGATTGACCTCGATAGAACTGTTAGTGAGGCAGCCTGTGAGTAGCACTAAAAATACCCCCAAGTCATCCTATATGGAAATACCCACTCTTAAATGATCTCATGGTAACCCATAGAAGTATATGTCTTTTAAACTGGAAAGTGATCAACCAAGAGTGTGGCATTATCTGACAAAATATTGTATGAGAGAGACTCGCTCAGTGCCTAATACGTGGTAAGGACTCAAAATATGATAGCTGACTTGGAATCTGGGACGTAAATATTTAATATTATTTATGGTCAGTGGAAAAATAGAGTCACACTAATTCACTTCCTCCCTTTTCAGCTTGTCCTCAGTTTGTTACCTGTTCTGTCACCTCTTCTCTCTTGGCTGCCCTCATCTTTCATTCCTCTCAGATTTACTTCTTGGCTCACTCGTTCTTTCTCACAAACATTCATTCAATATTTATTGGTTACTCACTCTCTTGAATACACTGGGTAAATTTCAATAAAAGTAAATGTGATATTAAGCCCTTTAAAGCAAGGTAAAGCAATAGTGAGAGAATAAGCAAAACACTTTTTTTAAGTTCTTGTTCTTGCCGGCTTCTCCTTTGGAATCATCATTTTCTCTTATTTAATAAAATAATATTATCTTTCCTAACCATCAACTAAAAACAAGTGCAATTTTCTAATATTATCACATAGTAATAAAAAGACATTGGTAGACCACAATTTGTTCTTTCCTGCGTATTTTCAAGAGTTTGCAACCCACTTCTTTTAGTGAGGAGCCACATGTGATGTTTAACTAATAATATCGGATATGATGACTGATGCTTTTTTATCAAAAGGTAATATGCTCTACTAATCACATGGACTAGAATCATGGCCATTCAATTTTATAAGTGGCTTTCTTGTTTATTTGCTATGCTTTCACCAACTACTCCAGCCAAAATTTTAGATGGCATATTGGCACTGGGGAAATCTTGATAACAACTGTTTATGGCAGTCTTGCCTATAGCTTAAGAATTCCATTAGTCTAGCCAAAATTTTAGTTGGTTATTTTTTTTTCACATATCCTAGCTAAATCTTAAGTGCTACACAGTTCAGCATAGAAATATCCTTTCTTCTCTACCCTTGTAGGCAAGCCCATAGTCAGACAGTCCCTTACATCGCAATGTTACACACACAGCCTTTCAACGGCTGCTGCCACAAGGCAGGGAGATGCTTTGGATTTTATTTCTGTATTTTTAAAATGTTGTCTTCCATTGAATTGCCCTTAGCTACATTTACATTTAGCTAGTCTGGGCTAGGTCTCAACTGACTGGTAAATTCCAATTACAGATCTGAGTGTAACAGAATTGTTTCAAGGAACTCAGAGTCTCCTATCACATTTCAGAGTATTATACTGTTGAAAGACATCTAAGTCCTTCCCTGATAACGTAGGAATATGGTAAGGTAAACCTTCTGACAAAAAAAATTATTTTTATTTTAAATAAGTCATAGATTCAGAAAGCCTATGTGAATATATTCCATCAGTAAAAAAAAAAAAAAAAAAAAAAAAAACCTACATTTTTGGCACATGGGAAGTAAATTTGATTGGCATGAAACAAATTATGTTATTCATTATGTTTCTGGAAAGGTAAAGGCTGTACAATTGGTAAATTAAAAGTGATTATTTCAGTAATGAGATATTTCAGATAAGCAAGCTTTAATCTGCCAAAGGAAATGGCAGGGCATACCTCAAGGGGAGAGCTTAGGAAAGCTGGCTGACTCTCAAATAAATCTGTTTTACCAAAAGCACAAATATACATCACAGTTAAAGTGGGTAGAAGGGAAACCAAAGGAAACAGAACAATAGAGCTGCATATATTTGGAACACAAATGTACACACATGCATTTTCTAAAAGAATCCAGACTAAGAATGATAAAAAAAAACGAAAAAAAAAAAACAAACAAAAAAGGAAATAAAACAATCAACCAAAAAAATCATGTGTATTTTTGGTGCTACAGATTAGAAAATATCAAGACTGTAAATCAAACTTAATGTGATGAAATGAGGGAAAGAGAGGCAAAGATTTCATTGATTTACTGATCCATTGGCTCAGGTATTGAAAACATGTAAAGAAATGGGAAAACAAATGTAAAATGAAAGTTGGATACCTGGAGTATGTTTTATGAACTGGTCAGCCAGTGAAAAATATCAGATGATAGTGAAAACCATCATGACAAATGTTTGACATCATTGAGGCCAGACTCAGAAAGTGAGAATCAACCACAGTAAGTCTAACTGTTGCACCAATTTTGGAGGAAAAAAGAGTAATGTAAAGGATGTAAGCCACATTTGATGGATTACAAGCAAAGATATGGTTGGAAGATGCATAATTACATAGAAATCTAACAAAATAAAGAAGAGCTGAATCTTGGACAATTGGCAGGTTGGTTTGTTTTTAGTTTAGCTTTGTCCTTTTAAGTTAGAAGCCAGAAAGATTGGCTAAGTATGTTGAAAATCTAATAACTTATGAAAGATGTACACAACCTGGAAAATAGCCAAAGCAGAGAGACAGACATGATTAAAGGACAGGCAAGTAAGAGTAAGGGGAAAGCTAAAGGTACTGGCAATGTTTTTGTGAAGAGAAGAGACTCAGGGTGACTTAATTGCCTTCAAATATTTAAAAACTAACATAGAAAGAATGGTGAACAGATGTTCTTCATTTCCACTTAAGACAGAAAAAGCCATCAGAGGACTGAAAGGATAGTTGCAGTCATGTCTGGAAGAAAGGACACATTTTCAGGTCCTTTAATAGAAATGAAAGTCAAGGGTTAATCTTTTTTAGGGAAATGAGCCTCTAAATCTCATATTGCAATTTTGTGGGATTCACATGGAAGCTGTACAAAATTAGAGCAAGTTAGAACTGGATGAAACCTTAGCAATCAAGTAATCTACTTCCTGAGCAGGAGAAGACAAACTTTTTTTTTTTTCCTTTGGGAAAGGGCCAGATAATTAATATTTAAGCTTTGTGAGCTATCAGTTCTATAGTGCAACTGCTAAGTCTGCCATTGTAGTGTGAAAGCAGCCATAGACAGTATGTAAACAAATGGGCATACCTATGTACCAGTAAGATTTTACTTTCTAAGATAGTCATCAGCCAGATTTGGTTCTCTGGCACCAGCTGTTGTTGGCTGACCCTGGTCCAGAGAGCACTGGCCCTCAAACTTTAGTGAGCATCAGAAATGCCTAGAGGGCTTATTAAGACACAGACTTCTGATGTCTTCCTACCCCTACTTCAAGTTTTGATTTCTGAGTGGGAGCTGCTAATTTGCATTACTTACTAATTCCTAGGTAATGCTGATGCTATTGGTACATGATCCACAAATTGAAAACACTGAGGCCAGAGAACACAAATGATAAACCTAAAGTCCAGTTAAGGATGTGTGTCTCTAGGCATATTTAGCAGAATTCTATGACAACCCCCAAGATTTCCTGCTTCCTGCTGTACACACCCTACATCATCTGTAGGACTATTAATTTTGTGGATATTACTTTTGTGATTAGGTTATGCGACGTGATACAGTTGACTTCAAAAAGAAGAGATTCATTTGTAATCCCAGCACTTTGGGAGGCCGAGTTGGGTGGATCACGAGGTCAGGAGATCAAGACCATCCTGGCTAACACTGTGAAACTCCGTCTCTACTAAAAATACAAAAAATTAGCTGGTCACGGTGTTGTGCATCTGTAGTCCCAGCTACTCGAAGGCTGAGGGAAGAGAATTGCTTGAACCTGGGAGGCGAAGGTTGCAGTGAGCCGAGATCGCACCACTGCACTCCAGCCTGGGTGAGAGAGTGAGACTCCATCTCAAAAAAAAAAGAGATTGTTCATGTGGGTGTGAACTAAGCACATGAGCTGTTCAAAAGCGAAGAGCATTCTCCGGCTGGTTGCAGAAGCAACAGAAGGATTCAATGTGCCCTTACTGGCCTGAAGATCGAGGCCACATGTAAAGGAATGCAGATGGTCTCTGGGAGCTAAGAGTAGCCCCAGGGTGACAGCAAGGAAAGCAAGACCTTCATTCTACAACCACAGGAACTAAATTCTGCTAACAAGAATGAATTTGAGAAACAGATTTTTAACACAGAGTGTCCTGATGAGGACTCAGTCCAGCCAACATCTTCATTTCAGCCCTATGATACCCTGAACAGAGAACATAGCCACATCTGTGCTGGACTTCTGACCTACAAAACTATAAGCTAATAAATGTGTGATGTTTTAAGGCACCAAGTTTCTGGTAATTAATTACGCAGAAATAGAACTCTGACACTGTGAGTGTGGTATATGTCCCACTTTAGACCTAAAGCTCCCTAGTTGAACTGGTTACATATCCACTGCCAAACATCACTGTCTCCTGTAACAACTTTCAAGCACGCTCTTTTTACTCCTGGCCCCTTTAGTTTATAAAGCGCCATGTTTAGGAGTTGTCTCTCTTTAACTGAGAATACTTTCCCACTGCTGACTCTCTTCTGGTTAGAAGCTCTGGGAAATGAAGGTAATAAATATCTCGTATGTTTGACAAACTTCACCACACTAAAGCCATAAATGGTTAACTGTTCTCCTCTCTCTCTCTCTCTCTCTCTCTCTCTCTCTCTCTCTCCTCTCTCTCTCTCTCTCTCTCTCTCTCCTCTCTCTCTTTCTTTCTTTCGTAGCTTTACATTCTTTACCATCAACTGTGACCCAACCCAGACCATTTCAATAACGGAACCCTTTAAAAAATCTTTAATAAGCCCAAATTCATAAAAGTTCAAAAAATACCCTCAATAGTTAAGTATTATAAAGTCACATTAATTTTAAAGCATTACATTTTCTGACATTTAAAAAGTCTCTGACATGGCATATCCATAGTTTGATTTTTCTGATGTTCTTATAAAGGTCATGTTTATGGTATAATAAGCACACATTTGCAAGGGTTATTAATCAGAGCAAAGCTGGGTGGCAAACAGATTTCCAAAGAATTTTCCATTTTTATTCTGAACATATTAGCTAGTTAAGAATGTCACATTTTTAAGAGCCTACTTGGAAAAAAATTAACGATTAATTTTGTTCAAAGGGATGTCTTCATCGTAAGTGAAACTGGAGTGCTTCTTAGGAAAATAGATGACAGGGATGCATTTTGCTAGTTCAGCAAACTCGTATGGCAATTTGGAAAATTCTAATTTTTAAGCTAATGCTTTAGAGCAGTTAGCAAGGAAACCAATGGGCTCCATAAGCTTTATTAAGAATCCAGTGGGTATTGGCAAAAGCATTTCTAACTTGTATGTGATAAAGGAATATACGTTTTTAACGCTAAGAAAAAAATACTGCAAAATCCTGGCCCATACAGGTGTTATGGCTTATTATTTCAAACAATTTCCTTTCTATTTTGTCTCAGCAAGAGAGAAATAGATTCCTTCTCAATGAACGTAGAAAAGTAGATTTGCTTTAATATTCAAGAAATGCAAGAGGAGTGTCTCTGAAGATTTTATGGCTACTGGCTATTTGGAAACATTACTTGCCTTGGTGACAAGAATTCAACCTATGCTTGAAACACAAGCACACTTTCAAAATATTAAGCTTAACAAAGAGAAACAAACAGAATATGGTACAGCCTAAGAGTTCATAAAAGACAGCAGAAGTGGCAGACTCGTAAGCATTTGATATTCAAATCTCTACATCTCTCTTTTTTACATCTACATCACAGGTTTTTCCCTGTGAGTTTCTCAAGCTTTGTCTGTGATTAATTTTACTTATCAAACAGACAAGCAGCACATGCGGTCTTGCTCCAACAAGAGGAAGTATTGGCACCAAAGAGCCGCTTCACCTGATGGATGTTGAAACCAAATGGTCTAGACAAATCTCAAGGGCTCTGAATAGCATGGCTCATAAAAAGACAAAGTACAAACCCATTAGAAAATAATGAAATTAGTAATTGGCATTACCTAATTATCCCAGAATTCTGAAAAATCTTTGTATGGAGCAATACATCTGCCTATCCTAATTTAGAAAATGAAGTGCTGGAGGTACAAATGATTAGCTACCTTGAGGTTTTGGCCAAGAAACACAGTAAAGTAATAAGCCACGCATGAAAGCAAGACAGGTGAATTCTCCCAGGCAATAATTCCTCAACTGAGACAATCAGAGCAGGGAGAATGGGTGAACCGGGAAAGAAGAAAGAGAACAATGGTGAAAACTGAGGGGCAGGCAGCTTTGGTGGTCACAGATGTCCAGCCTGGCTTTCCCAAAAAATGAGAGACAAAGGCAAATTGAAACAGTCTAGGCTTTCATGTGACCTATATAAGAATGATTAAAGATTAATAATAGAGAAAAAAGAAATAGCACAGTGGAAATTTAAAAGTAACCTTTTTTTAATGTCAGATGATTTGTTAGTTGTAGATATTTTAGGAAAGTGTACAAATGTGTACTCAAATCGTAATGTTTCATTTCTAAATCTCTTCACTGTTATAACACCAAATTGTTATTGTGTTTGGATTTTTAGGTTGCTATAATTATTTTTGGCAAGTGCAGATTATGCGTAGGTATAAAAAGATATAAATATTGTACTTTGTTCCCTAGCCACGGAATTGTAAAAAAATAACCATTTGTAGTTGCTGTGAGAAACTGTATGAAAAGCATCAGTGTATAGAGCAATACTGAACTATCGCAATATAATGTGAGCCATAGAAATGAGTCACATATGCATTTTTGAATTTCCTAGTAGCCACACCAAAAAGTAAAAATAGGTGAAATTAATTTAATAATATATATTTTATTCAACCCAAATAAAGGCAAATAATAATAAAGGAATATTTTACACTCTTTTTCATGTACAAAGCCTTTGAAAACCAGTGTGTATTTTGCACTTACATACAGCACACCTCAATCTGGACTAGCTAATTTTAAGTGTGCAGTCGCCACATGTGGCTAGTGGCTATTGTGTTTGTCAGTGCAGACCTAGAACTTAATGTGCAATAGTTTTTAAGGAATATTATTTTCATACGAAATTGAAATTAGTTATAGATTCAAGGTTTAATTGTCACAAAACACATTTTATCCACAACTGTGGGATCTTACCTTTATATTTCTGGTCATCCCCTGGGACAAGTTAAATACAGCCACTAGTACTTGCTGGTTCTCCCATCCTGAAAGGGAGCCTATTTTCCCATCCTATGAGTTATCACTGGCCTCATAACTTGTCTTGACCAGTGGAATGTGGCATAAGAGACACCATGTGCTTTCCAGAGCCCAGGCCTCAAGAGACCCTGCAGCTCCTGCCCTGGCTCTCTGGTAATATTGTCTGGAGAACAATAGGTAAGGAAGCCAGACCAGCTTCTGGGAGAGTAAGAGGTTATACAAACGGAGAACCCAGATCCACAGTCAACAGCCAGCAGCAACCTCCAGAAACATGCGTGGGGTCATCTTAGACCTTATAACCCAGGTGACCCACAAGATAAATGCCGCTATATGAATGAGCCAGATAAAATAGGCAGAGGAAGTGCTCAAACCCAAAATATATTATGAAAAATAACATTGTTATCGTGTAAGCCAGTTGCTTTTGGAGTTCGTTTGTTAAGTAGCAATAGACAATAAAACGAATATGTATAACTCATAATTTTTTTTATTAATAGGCCACTTTTTGGAGCAGTTTTATGTTCATAGCAATATTGCACAGGAAAGCACAGCAATTTCCCATATACCCTCGGCCGCTACACATGTATAGCTTTTTCCATTATCAACATCCCCCACCAGAGTGTTCATTTGTTACCACTGATGAACCTACATCAACACATCATTATTGTCCAGGGTTCATAGTTTACATTAAGGTTTACATTAAGGCTCACTCTTGGTGTTGTACATTCCCTGGGTTTGGACAAATGTATAATGATATATATAGTATCATAAAGAACAGTTTTATTGCCCTAAAAATTCTCTTAATATGTTTTTGACTAAGGCAAAAGGTGGATCTAAATTCATAGGAAATAAATATAAAAAGAAAAAACCGATGATTCACCAGTGATGATCATGTACAATTTTGATTTGTTTCATTTGAGAATAGCTGAATGGCTTAATAAAGCCATATGGTTATTGTAGAAAAGTCTGACAATGTAAACAAAATCTGTTTTTTTTTTAGACAGAGTCTTGATCTGTCACCCAGGCTTGGAATGCAGTAGCACGGTCACAGCTTACTGCAAGCTCGAGCTCCTAAGCTCAAGGGATCCTGCTACCTTAGCCTCCCATAGTGTTGGGATTACGGGCATGGCCAGAAAATTTTTTTTAAACATCATGGTAACTTCAGTACCATAACTCACCTCTATTATTTTTGGTGTCTCTACTATTATTTTTGGTGCCTCTACTGCTTTCTTTTTTTAAAAAAACTATGTATTTGAGGGGAACAAACACATTAGTTTGCAAAAGCATAAGTGCTTGAAACCGCCTTTGTTCTGTTGGAATAATTGTATATCTTAAATATACTTCTAAAACATAATTTTAAATTCTGACAAGTACTCTATTTTAGGGATATACCATAACTAGTTTAAACAATGCCCCATCATTGGTCATTATTGGTATGTCCAGTATTTATTATAAATAAAGCTGACATATAGCAATTTTATAATTATAAATAAGTTATTTCAAATGAAACAAAATTTAAAGGTAATTAATAATTTAGGGAAGGAAAAGATCATGAATACTATGAGACACATAATGACATTATTCATTAATTATCTTTATTTAACAAAACTTAGAAAACAAGTCTTTATCACAGCTAGACATTAACTACATTCTTTCTGAATCTCAGCTCCTTTAGGTGGTTTTATCAATGTATCTGTTCCCATAGTGCATGGATATCCAATAAACTGTCTTTTAAATCCATGAATTCTTCCATAAACTATTGCTGTCTGATGAAATTCTAATATGCATTTAATTAACAACTCTAGGAATGCAACATGAAAACTAAATACCAAGCTCTATAATTTTTAAAATGACACAAAGAGAGATTTCTCAGTTCCCACTCAACAGCTTTGTATTATACCATATGTTTAGAAAATCAATTAAGAGCACAACAGGATATCTGAAAATAGTATGTGCATGCTATGAAATTATTATAATGTGCTTGTGTTTCCAACAACATACTACAATATATATGGAGAGAGACAGTCCTTAACCAAGAAGATTGCCGTCTAGTTAAATACATAAGCCAAGAAAACATTCTCAGTGACAAAGTAAGATTACCTGAATATACAAATCTTACATAATTCTTATGGCTGAGACTTGCAATCTGAACATCTAAAGATTTTTCTGATGTAAAAAGATTTAGAATCATCTGTCCTGCCCCACCTTATTGAAGCAAAAAAAAAAAAAAAAAAAAATACTATTCCATTTAAAGACTGAATAGTCGTATCTCAGAGCAGTTAAGCCAAGCTGCCTATGCTCTAATAAAATACAGTACTATAACAATAGAGACCAGAGAGAAAGAATTTTGCTGTTTACCTTGTGCATCACCAGCTTTAATGGACCACTAATACTCAGTCACTGAAGAGGTGTGTGCTCTGTTGCGGGGCAGCATAAGCTCGATTCAACTTACAATACCTAGATGAACTGTGGCTCAAAACGACCCACTTCCCTTTTCTTCCATGCTCACTAAAGAACCTGCAGATTGATTGGGGGTCTTTAGCAACTTGAAAAGGGTGGACTTGAGGAAAAACTATAAATACAATAGTCACTGGAAATTCTGTGTAGACTCAACTACACATTAGTAATTAGACACTTAGGTTTAGATTTCATATGCATTTAGTTCACAGGTATCAATCTTTGAAAACCTGCTTGCTTCTTAGTAATAGCACAGATTATGGAGGAGGTCAGTCAGGTAACTGTCTGTGGTTAATCCATATATAAGAAGCTCTAAAGCAGTGATTCTCAGACATCATCAGAAACACCTGTAGGGCTAATTACCACACATTTCTGGGCCTTACCACCTTAGAATTTCATTTCTAAGAATTGCCCAGGCGATACTGATGCTACTGATTTGGAGACCTTGAGGATCACTGCCCTAAAATATTCTCAGATTAAATTGAGAACGTCTTCCAAGAAGGGCGAAAAATTGCAAAAAAAAAAAAAAAAGTAGCAAATAGTTGCCAATGAGAAATATAGAAATATATTTTGAATGAGACTTTACAACTCTTAATGAGTGCAAGTGAAACACTAATATTTTTGATTGACAGACTGAAATTAAAGATAACAAATATGTTAAAATGTATGGCATGGATTTTATTAAAAAATCCTTTATTCTAGCCGTAAAATGTGTATATAATTTGTATACATGTAACATATTTCAGTAAAAAATCCATTTTTCTTGTTCTCACTAAATAAATATAATTTTAATATGAAATAAATCTGTATATGTTTGTGTTGTGTTTGTGTGTGTGCATATATACATATATACATCCATACACACACACATATTCATATACATCCATATAGACACATATACATCCATATAACGAAAATTCAAAGAATATTGATTTGAAGGGGCAATAAATCTGCAAGCTATCTGGAATGCATATGTAATTGATACAACCTTGCCTAGGAGTCCTACTATCTGACCCTGCAGACCTACAGTGCCACACCAAAGTCTGAACTTTGATTAGGTAAAGTCCTGATTAGATGGTCAACAGGTCAACCTTGCAGAAAGCATAAGCTGAGCCCCACCCAACTTAACTTCTTAATTTTACATTCTCCTAGTCATCATCCTCTGACCTTCTGCTCATTTCCTCATGTTCTTTGACAATGTTGGCATCTAAACAGAGTCCTCTTTCTTTATCTTCCACTGTGT
Source organism: Homo sapiens (assembly GCF_000001405.40). NCBI lineage: Eukaryota > Metazoa > Chordata > Mammalia > Primates > Hominidae > Homo > Homo sapiens. The sequence goes on from NC_000003.12 coordinate 21,690,615, forward strand.
ATAACACTTACCTTGAAGACCCACTCTCACCATACACTTTTCTCTAGGCTCTACTCCAGTGGTTCTCAAAGTATGATCCCCAGGCCAGCAGCGTCAACATCAAATGGGATCGTGTTAGATATTCAAATTCACTGGCCCCACCCTAGACCTATGGAATCAGAAACTCTGAATATTAGGCCTAGTAATGTGTGTTTTAAAGAGTCTCAGATGATTCTGATGCACATTAAAGTTTGGGACCACGCTGCATGTCATCATTCATATCCACTTGCCATCACCCTGTGCACCTACGTGATCAATATCTAAAACTGTTCCTCCTTCAAAATCTTGGAACTCTGGCGTTCTACCCTCGGATAGAAATCCCTGTTTACTACCTTTTTCCCTCATTAAAATCTGTGGTCCCTGAATGTTGTCCAGTCTCTTCTCGGTCTTTCAACCCCTCCTTTTTTCCTTTCTTTCCGCTCTAGCCTGGACCACATGGTCAAACAATTAAATTGTATTGTCAGGAGTACCCTCAATTCCCTCAACTCTTTAACTTTTGACCGCAGCTGTCTTGCCAATGCCATACCGTAAATCAATCCAGCTGCCTGTTTCTCCAGGTTGTTTCTGTGTTGCCAAGTACTGCTAGAGAAAATGACATAGCCACGCTCGCTGGCTCCATTGCAGATTTATCATATCCAACCTTAGCTGCTTCCTCTCTGCTACTTGGCAATTTTTTTATTCTTCCCCAGTCTACTTCCTTTCCCACCCACAGCAGATGTTCCACAGTTTTGTAACTTTCCCCATGCCCCTAACCTCACCCTCAACCTCCACATTCATTCACCAAAAGATACAAATCACCCGTCAGACACTCCTTAAATCTCCTTCCCCTCTACCCAAAAACGGACCCAAATATTTGTGCCCAACCTTTTCTCCTTTCTTTCTTCTAAGAAGAGGTGTCTTGATTTCCTTTCTTTGGCAAGCCACCCCCTTCTTTTTTCTTTGCTCACACATCCACCAAGATTGTGTGTAGCTATTTCATAATTCTGATCATCATTGCTATAAAACTGCATTATTTGTATTCACTGATCACATTCATTCTCACAATACTGTTTTTTAAGTGATAACATGTTTACATAAAATTTACCATTTAAAAATGTTAAGTGTACCATTTAAAAAATGGTAGTGGTATTAACTACACTCATACTGCCATGCAGCCATCACCACTATGCAAATCCAGAATGTTTTCATCATCCGAAAGTGAAATTCTGTACCCATTATACAATAACTCTCCATTATTCCCTCCCCCAGTCCCTGGTAACCACTATTCTACTTTGTCTCTATGAATCTGACTACTCTAAATATCTCCTAGGCGTGGAGTCATATAACGTTTGTACTTTTGTCTTTACCTTACTCCACTTAGCATAATGTTTTCAAGATCCATCCATGTTGTAGCACATATCAGAATTTCATTCTTTTTTAGGGCTGAATAATGTTCCACTGCACATATATATTATAATTTGCTTACCTGTTCATCTGTCAATGAAGATTTGGGTTGTTTCCTCTCACAACACTTTTCTGGGTGGCATATATTTTTAACCACATTTTTGGATGAAGACCCTGAGGTTTAGGGAGGTTAAGGAACTTGTTCATATTCACACAGCTGTTATACAAGTGGAGGAGCTGGATTTGAAACTTCTGGCTTTATATTTCTGGCTTTTCCCACTACATTCCTGACTCCATCTCACACACTCCCACTTTGCTGGATTTTCTAATACATCCATTTCCTACCCTCGGTTAAGCTTTTCTCTCTCACCAATCACAGTTTTCTAAAATCATGCTCAGTTCTGTCCAACCTCAAAATAATTTGATTTCTCAGTTTGGATTGCTTCCCAAACTCTCCCATATTTGGCCATTAAAACTCACCAATGATGTCCTAAGTGCTTCTCAACCCTCCTCTTCCTACTTGACACCAGTCACTTTGTGCCTTCACAATCCAGCGCCAGTGTATTTTTCCAGCTTGAGCTGCTGATCACACCCTTGCTGCACTCTACGCAGAATGCCACAAGCACGCAGAACACCTATCCCTCCCAAAGAGTGCATGTCTTCATTCGTCTTCCTATATTCTCCTTAGAAGGTATTCTTTTGCCACCCCTTCTTCTGATACATTTTGTTCAGGCTTAGGTCAGAAGTTGCCTTTGTGAAGTTTTTCAGGCCATCACAATTCCCATGTGTCTCAGGCAGAATAACCATGTCTTTGTCTGAGCTACCGATATGGATGCTACTGTCCAGAATTTTATTATCATTATCCAGACATCTGTCAGCTTCCTCCAATATACTGCTCACTCCTTGAAGGTAATCACTATTTTAAATAAAGTAGAAAATTTATTTATTGGACATTTATTGTGAGTTCCTAATAACCTCTTTGCCATCTTTTCCAGTTATATTTGTGGCAACTAGCATCACACAGACAACTTTGTACCCAGAGAACTCCTTGCCTACAATGGGTACAAAGGGTATCTCTGACTTTCTTCCCCAGAGCTTTTCTGATACCTCAATGAGGGATAACTATGGAAGCTGAGTTCACATACATGTGCAAATTTGGATATATTAACATCCTACGGTGACACTCATACCCAAAGGGAAATGGGAGCTGGTGGACAAATGCTTCCTTCTTCTGTGTCTGAGTGGAAGCTTCTGAGACTATTGTCCACAGCAACGCAGAGGAACCCAGTGTTACTGAGCCTAGTTGCCCATATCAGTGATCATCTTGGGGGCATACCTTTGCTTCCCTCTTGTTAGTCCCACACTCTTTTATTCTTCCTTTGTTTTAAATGAAACACTTACAGTATAGACCCTTGTCTCAGGCTCTGCTTTATAAGGAAACTCAAGCAAAGGAAACTTACAATCAGAACACCAAAGCTTGGCAAAGCTTTGCCATTTTTAAGCTGTGTACACTTGTGCCACTTGACCTCCTTGGGTTTCCATTTTTCTCATCCATAAAGATGGGATACCAAGAGGAATCATGCTAAAATTCATAAACCAAAAAAGTATATGTCCTTTGTAAAGTATAACAGGTGTTAGAAATACTGGAATCATCTCCCTATTGACTATTTTTAAAGGTTTTTAAACGTGTTTCATAGATGTATGGAAATCAAAAGCCAATAAATGTTTTATGAATTTAAAAAATAAAAAATGATGTATCATTTAGCCAGAGAAGAGAGTCAACTCCAGACAAAAATATTAATACTGTAAAACTTTAGGAAATCTTTTTAGAAAATCTTTTTTTTTCTTTTTTTTTTTTTTTTGAGACGGAGTCTCACTGTCACCCAGGCTGGAGTGCAGTTGCGCGACCTCGGCTCACTGCAACCTCCACCTCCCGGGTTCAAGCGATTCTCCTGCCTCAGCCTCCTGCGTAGCTGGGACTACAGGCGCGTGCCACTACGCCTGGCTTTTTTTTTTTTTTTTTTTGAGACAGAGTCTCGCTCTGTCGCCCAGGCCGGAGTACAGTGGCGCGATCTCGGCTCACTGCAAGCTCCGCCTCCCGGGTTCAAGCCATTCTCCTGCCTCAGCCTCCCGAGTAGCTGGGACTACAGGCGCCCGCCACCACGCCCGGCTAATTTTTTGTATTTTCAGTGGAGACGGGGTTTCACCGTGTTAGCCAGGATGGTCTTGACCTCATGATCCACCCACCTTGGCCTCCCAAAGTGCTGGGATTACAGGCGTGAGCCACCGCGCCCAGCCTAGAAAATATTTTAAGGAGTACCTCCTGATGCAAGAAGGGCTCATAGGACAAACCTCACAATTCTGGTACACACTCAAAAAGCACCAGAAAAAAGTGGAAGGAGCTCAGGTTAGGGGATTCTCCTGCTCAATATGGCCTGAATCTGCTTTCTCTCAGCCCTCTGGAACAGTAACTGGTCACAGCCAGATCTGGGTACTCAGGGAAGATTCTTGGATCTTGCAGCATCCCTTGCTCGATAGAGAAAGACAATTCGGAAAACAAAGAGAAATCAGAATTATGGTGAACTATGGTGAAGTAATCCCCTGCTTGGCAACTTGAGTGCTCATTTGTGTGCATCTAGACAAAAGATGAAATCTTGGGTGTTCGAACATGTGACAGTGATTAAGCATAACTTAGAATGCTTCTTGTTATGTATTTTAATTAAGCAACCTCATGACTCCAATTGAGATCCACTTCTTACTAACTGTGTAGTGTCGGGCCAGTTATTTAACTTCACTGAGTCTAATTAAAACAAACAAGCAAAAAGAAGGAGAATTTTAAAAAATAGATGAAAGGAGATGTAAGGGAAGAAAATGAAAGCAGAGAGGAAGGGAAGAAGGAAGCATGCATCAGCTTGGCTTTTAAAGTGAGTCAGTCCCGGAGTTGAATTTTAGCTCCACCACAAAATTGCTTCTGTGATTTAATAAGTCATTTAACTTCTCTGTAAAATGGGAACATTATATTGAAGATGAGATATAAGGTATGTGAAGTGCCTGAAACATAGGAGTTGTGTATAAATGAACATATATTTGCCATCATCATTGTAAGTGTTACCATCTTATCACCTCCCGGAATACAAAAGCGCGATGTGAAAAGCAGAGTCAGACATCCAAAGGACATCACAAGAAGGGCAGTGTAATGGAGTTATTTTTCTCTTTTAAAGTAGCTTTCGGAAATTACTTTTCTTTTCCCTTTTAAATTAATCTTTGGATGCCTCTGGAGACAGGTGATTTTCGAGAGCTGAGAGAAAGTGAAGCTGATCCATAGTGGATGGTAATACTCAAGGGATATAGCCTGGTTTGCAAAATGTGTGTCATCAGCAAGATGCTACCTGGTGCAGCACTTTTTAGTTCAAAGGTTGGGTTGCAGATGTGTGATTTTAAGCAAGCATCGCTGCAGGATACAGTATATATTATAGCCTAAGTGGAACTGACCAATAGCCCATCCAGCTAATGCCAGGTCTCTTTCTCAGATAATGCCAGATGCTTCAATGGAAAGTATAAAACTCGTCAAATGATCCTTACCATGCTCTACAACACCATAGAGAAAATTTATCCTTGACCTCAGCCAGTCATCAAGCTATGCCCAGGAGTATGAGATCTTATAATCCTCATAACAATTTTATCCTTGCTAGTCAAACTGCAGGTGCTGTTAAATATATATTATATATATATATAAAGTTAATAAACATATTTCATTTTATTCCTTTAAAAAGCATTCCCTTGTCATTTTAATTGCTGCTACCTGTTGTTACAGTGAAAAGATGTAGTGTTAATAAGAATGGTATTTAATTCTCCCAAAGTACTTTGTAATTATAAAGATAATTGCCATTTCCATGTCTTCTAAATGGTAGACCCTGTGCTAAGCAACTCCCATATATGAATTCTCATCATAACAGTGCTAGTGGTATTATAGCCCTGTTTTACAAATAAGAGAAGTGAGGTCCAGATCGGTAAATCATTTTGCCCAATTTCCTACAACTATTAAGTGTCAGAGTTGGATGGGGACTCAGTTCTCTTTGGCTCCAAGGCCATCAGAGTGTACTTCCTCTGAAGTGTTTTCAGAGTAGAGAGAAGACTGAGGACTGATCAGTCAGGATGTTTAAAAGGTAAAGGAAGTGGTGGAGAGTTTGAACACGGACTTTGGAATTAGATTATTTAAGTGAGAGCCCTGACACTTAGCAGGTGGTCAACCTTGGGGAATTTACTGAATCTCTCCATGTCTTAGTTACTTTATCTATGAAATGGAGATAGTAAACTCTTATGCCTAAGCATGCTGGCGATAATCCCTGGTCCCTTACATACATGTCACAGAGAAAACACACTACAAATATTGGTTGTTATTATTATATTCATTGTGTTTTGACAGCACATAATCATTATATACAGTCATGTAGAAGCTGGCCCATATGAGTGAAACCCAGGCAGTAAATTCAGCTACCATCCAGAGCACTTAAACAAACATTTCCCTCTTACACCATTTAATCAATGAATAATAGGCTTTCTGATCCAATCGGCATAACTGTGTATCCACACAACATACCCATATCCATCAGACAGTAGCTCTTTAAAAAATTGATCATTGTCCATCAAGCTTCTACAATGCATTTAGAAGGAACTATCCCACAAAATAATGAAACTTAGCTTCTACAAAACAGTGCTTTATTGTGGGGGAAAATCTACTCCTGAGTCAACCTCCCCATAAATCAGTAGAGCATACAATTACTGGGACCTGAAGGGAGCAAGCACATTACCTCTGAATTGGTTTTCTCTGGCTGGTAATAAGGAACCTGAAGTTAGTATTTTATTTACCTGTTTGTATCCTGTTAATATTTCTTTGTTTTAATATTATTTAAAAGAAAGGAAAACTACAAGAATACTTTTAAAAGTAACAGTTTATATATCATTCTCATCAGTGTGTTTGCATATTGTTTAATTCAGCAGAAGAGCTTAGGTTAAGTACTTGTTCTCTAAGAGCAGCCTGCCTAGGTAGAAATCCATTAACTGGCTGTGTGACTTAGGGAGAGGTACTTAGCCTCCTTGTACCTCTGCTTCCTCATCGTTAAAGGGAGGTAGTAAAAGCTGAAGCTACTTCATGAGATTCCTATTCATCGAAAAAAGATTTGAGTGCTTACTTTGGGTGAGATGCTATTCCACATATTGCAGATACAACAGTGAATAACATAGATTAATTTTCCTGCTCTCAAAAAGCATATAATCACATGAAAAAAAGACAAGAAATCAATATATAATGTAAATAGTGGTAAGTTGAATTCTGTCTTTATCTCTGACAATAAAAAGTTTCGTGATTTGTTTTGAGTGTCCTATTTGCCCATGCTGAGCTTTATATTAGTAAAACGAATAAAAGTGATGTGGAGTAAAGGGTACAGAATTGTACTGTCTAATATGATAGCCACTAGTCCTATATGGCTATTGAATACTTAAAATGTGGCTGGTCCATTTGTAACTAAGTACTCAAAAGCAATTGCAACAAAACCAAAAATGGACAAATGGGACTTAATTAAACTAAAAAGCTTTTGCACAGCAAAAGAAATAATCAACAGAGTAAGCAGACAATCTACAGAACGGGAGAAAATATTTGCAAATTATGCCTCTGACAAAGGACTAACATCCAGAATCTACAACAAACTCAAATAACTCAACAAGAAAAAAATGAATAGAAAGTGAACAACTGACATAAACAGACATTTCTCAAAAAAGGACATAAAAGCGACCTGAAAACATATGAAAAAATGCTCAATACCATTAATCATCACGGAAATGCCAATTAAAACCACAGTGAGATACCATCTTACACCAGTCAGAATGGCTATTATTAAAAAGCAAAAAACCAACAGATATCGTCATGGATATGGAAAAAATGGAAAACATACACTGTTGGTGGGAATGTAAATTAGTGCAACCTCTATGGAAAACAGTATGGAGACTTCTCAAAAAAGTAAAGGTAAAACTACTATTCAACCCATTAATCCCACTACTTGACTATCTACTCAAAGGAAAAGAAATCATTATGTAAAAAAGACACCTGCACACATATGTTTATTGCAGCACTATTCACAATAACAAAGTCATGGAATTAACCTAGGTGTCCATCAACAGATTATTGAATAAAGAAAATGTGCTCTATATATATCATGGAATAACTATTCAGCCATAAAAATAACAAAATCATATCTTTTACAGCACCATGATGGGGCTGGAGGCTATTATCCAAAGTGCAATGACTCAGAAACAGAAAATTAAATACAACATGTTCTTACTTATAATTTGGAGCTAAACAATGAACACAAATACAAAGTCACCATAAAGATAAAGATAATAGACCCTGGGGACTCCAAAAACAAGGAGGCTGAGAAGGGACTGAGGGTTGAAAAAGTACCTCTTGGGTACAGTGTTCACTACTTGGTTGATGGATACACTAGAATCTCAAACCTCACCATTATGCAATATATCCATGTAGCAAGCCTGCATATATGCTCCCTCAAGCAAATATCCAGAATCTACAAAGAACTTAAGCGAATTTCCAAGAAAAAAAACAAACAAACCCATTAAAAAATGGGCAAAGGATATGAACTGACACTTCTCAAAAGAAGACATTTATGCAGCCAACAAACATAAAAAAAAAAAGTTTATTGTCACTGGTCATTAGAGAAATGTAAATCAAAACCACAACGAGATACCATCTCACGCCAGTTAGAATGGCAGTCATTAAAAAGTCAGGAAACAACAGATGCTGGAGAGGCTGTGGAGAAATAGGAATGCTTTTACACTGTCGGTGGGAATGAAAATTAGTTCAACCACTGTGGAAGACGCTGTGGCAATTCAAGAATCTAGAACCAGAAAAACCATTTGACCCAGCAATCTCATTACTGGGTTTATACCCAAAGGATTATAAATCATTCTACTATAAAGACACATGCACATGTATGTTTATTGTGGCACTGTTCACAATAGCAAAGACTTGGAACCAACCCAAATGTCCATCAATGATAGACTGGATAAAGAAAATGTGGCACATATACCCCATGGAATACTATGTAGCCATAAAAAAGGATGAGTTCATGTCCTTTGCAGGGACGTGGATGAAGCTGGAAACCATCATTCTCAGCAAACTAACACAAGAACAGAAAACCAAACACCGCATGTTCTCACTCATAAGTGGGAGTTGAACAATGAGAACACATGGACACAGGGAGGGGAACATCACACACCGGGGCCTGTCAGGGGGTGAGGGGCTAGGGGAGGGATAGCATTAGGAGAAATACCTAATGTAGATGACAGGTTGATGGGTGCAGCAAACCACCATGGCAAGTGTATACCTATGTAACACACCTGCACATTCTGCACATGTATCCCAGAACTTAAAGTATAATAATAAAAAAAAATGAAATAAAGTAATTTAAATTAAATACAAAAAAATGTGGCTGGTCCAAAGTGAGATGCATTCTACATGTAAACAGAGTGTATTTACCAGATGCACTCTAAATGTAAATACAAGAGTTTGAAGACTTAGTATGAAAAAGGGAATATAAAACATTTCATGAATAGCTTACATTGATAATGTTGAAATAATACTTTTGATATATTATTAAGTAAAATACATTATTTAAATTAATTTTCCTTGTTTTGCTTATTTCAAATATGACTACAAGAAAATTTAAAATTACATATGTGACTTGCATTTGTGGTTCATGTTATGTTTCTTTTCCTTTTTTTTTTTTTTTTTTTTTTTTTGAGACAAGAGTCTTGCTCTGTCGCCCAGGTTGAAGTGCAGTGGTGCGATCTTGGCTCACTACAAAACCCACCTCCTAGGTTCGAGTGATTCTCTTGTCTCGGCCTCCCAAGTAGCTGGGATTACAGGTGCATGCCACCATGCCCAGCTAATTTTTGTATTTTTAGTAGAGACAGGGTTTCACCGTGTTGGCCAGGCTGGTCTCAAACTCCTGACTTCAGGTGATCAAACTCCTGACCTCAGCCTCTCAAAATGTTGGGATTACAGGCATGAGCCACTGCTCTCAGCCCCCTATGTTATGTTTCTATCAGGTAGCGCAGGGCTAGAGAATGTCGGGGCCAGGTTGTGGGGGTAAAGGGGTTTAGCATGGTCAAGGAAGACCTCTCAATTAAGGTGATACTGGTATAGGGACCAGAAGGAAGTGGGGGAGTAAGCCATGTAGGTTTCTAGGGGAAGAAGCACTCCAGACTGAGGGAATAGTCAGAAATAAATGAAATAATTTATGCTAAGCAACTTAAAAGGCATCTGACACCTAGTAAAGGAGTAAACTTTAGCTCTACTGATTATTCAGCCCCAAAGCCTGGACTTATATAGATAAGCATTTATACCATATGATTAATTTTTAAAATTAGTTTTTTTCTTTTCCTGAGAATGAACAGCCAGGATTAACCCATCTTTAGGGATTACAGAAAATCAGCTGGAGATGACAGAAGACCTAAGTACACTCTGGCTCTGACAAGTTTTGTGACCTTGTGATATTCAGTAACTCACTTGGCCTTTCTGATCCTCATTTACTGGTGTGTAAAACGGTGAAGAAAGATAAATAAGAATACCTGTCTTGCTTTCCATAGAGAGGTGTTGTAAGGCTTTTGGAAAGTTATTTAAATTGTATAATGCAAGAAAATCATGTTGGAATATTTAAGTGATATGTATTAATGTTAATGTTAATGTCATGATTGAAATGTACAGGTAAGACATCCAAAGCAGTTCCAGTTCATCTCTGTTACAATTTCCTGTAATGCTTTATGTTGAAAATGATTTCATTCAGATAAAAAATATATCTTAAATAACTGTTGTGAATATTTTTTCTCCGCCTCCAGGTGTACTCTAACTTTCTCCACCCTTTGAGGCTGTCCTGCATGGACAGCATCAGTGCACTCTTTTGCACTCTTCTGCTGGCTTTGGTCATTGGGAGCCAATAAACAATCTGAAGGCAGAATGAGTATAAGTTGGGAGGTATTATTTCCTGATGAGTTACCATGGATTGGCTATGACCCTCTACCAAACCTTCTGTGAGACAGCACTCTGCAGGTATGTGTTGTCCATTTTCATGTTGCTAATAAAGACATACCAGAAAGAGAGGTTTAACTGGACTTACAGTTCCACACGGCTCGGTAGGCCTCAGAATCATGGCAGGAGGCAAAAGGCACTTCTTACATGTTGGTGGCAAGAGAAAAATGAGAAAATGAGGAAGAAGCAAAAGAGGAAACCCCTGATAAATCCGTCAGATCTCGTGAGACTTATTCACCATCATGAGAATAGCACGGGAAAGACTGGGACCCATGATTCAGTTACCTCCCCCTGGGTCCCTCCCACAACATATGGGAATTCTGGGAGATAGAATTCAACTTGAGATTTGGGTGGGGACACAGCAAAATCATATCATTCCAAACCTGGCCCCTCCAAATCTCATGTCCTCACATTTCGAAACCAATCATGCCTTCCCAACAGTCCCCCAAAGTCTTAACTCATTTCAGCATTAACCTAAAAGTCCACAGCCAAAGTCTCATCTGAGACAAAGCAAGTGCCTTCTGCCTATGAACCTGTAAAATCAAAAGCAAGCTAGTTACTTCCTAGATACAATAGGGGTACAGGTATTAGATAAATACAGCCATTCCAAATGGGAGAAACTGGCCAAAACAAGGGATTACAGGGCCCATGCAAGTCTGAAATCCAGCAGGGCAGTCAAATTTTATAGCTCCAAAATAATCTCCTTTGACTCCAGGTCTCACATCCAGGTCACACTGATGCAAGTGGTTGGTTCTCATGGTCTTGAGCAGCCCCGTCTCTATGGCTTTCCAGGGTATAGCCCCCATCTTGGCTACTTTCATGGGCTGGCATTGAGTGTCTGCAGCTTTTCCAGGTGCATGGTGCAAGCGGTTGGTGGATATGCCATTCTCGGATCTGGAGGACAGTAACCCTCTTCTCACAGCTCCACTAGGCAGTGCACCAGTAAGGACTCTGTGTGGGGCTCTGACCCCATATTTCCCTTCTGTACTGCCCTAGCAGAGGTTCTCCATGAGGGTACCACCCCTGCAGCAAACTTTTGCCTGGGCATCCAGGCGTTTCAATATATCTTCTGAAATCTAGCCGGATTCCCAAACCTCAATTCTGGACTTCTTTACACCTGCAGGCTTAACACCACATAGAAGCCCCTAAGGCTTGGGGCTTCCACCCTCTGAAGCCACAGCCTGAGCTCTACATTGGTCCCTATCAGCCATGGCTGGAGCAGCTGAGACAGAGGGCACCAAGTCCCTAGGGTGCCACAGCACGGGAACCCTGGGCCCGGCCCATGAAACCACATTTTCCTCCTGGGCCTCCAGGCCTGTGATGGGAGGGGCTGCTGTGAAGGTCTCTGACATGGCCTGGAAACATTTTCCTCATGATCTTGGGGATTAACATTAGGCTCCTTGCTACTTATGCAAATTTCTGCAGCCAGCTTGAATTTCTCATCAAAAAATGGGTTTTTCTTTTCGACTGCATCATCAGGCTGCAAATTTTCTGAACTTTTATGCACTGTTTCCCTTTGAAAATGGAATGCCTTTAACAGCACCCAAGTCACTCTTGAATGCTTCGCTGCTTAGAAATTTCTTCCACCAGATACCCTAAATCATCTCTCTCACGTTCAAAGTTCCACAAATCTCTATGGCAGGTGCAAAATGCCACCAGTTTCTTTGCTAAAACATAACGAGAGTCACCTTTGCTTCAGTTCCCAATGAGTTCCTCATCTCCATCTGAGACCACCTCAACCTGGACCTTATTGTTCATATCACTATAAGCAATTTTTTTCAAAGCCATTCAACAAGTCTCTAGGAAGTTCCAAACTTTCCTACTTTTCTATATTCTTCTGAGCCCTCTAAACTGTTCCAACCTCTGCCTGTTACCCAGTTCCAAATTCACTTCCACATTTTTGGGTATATTTTCAGCAACGTCTCACTCTACTGGTACCAATTTACTGTATTAGCCAATTTTCACGCTGCTGATAAAGACATACCAGAGACCAGGAAGAAAAAGAGCTTTAATTGGACTTATGGTTCCACATGGCTGGGGAGGCCTCAGAATCATGGCGGGAGGTGAAAGGCACTTCTTACATGGTGGTGGCAAGAGAAAAATAAGGAAGAAGCAAAAGTGGAAACCCCTGATAAAACCATCAGATCCATGAGACTTAATCACTATCACGAGAATAGCATGAGAAAGAACAGCCCCCATGATTCAATTACCTCCCCCTGGGTCCCTCCTATAACATGTGGGAATTCTGGGAGATAGAATTCAGCTTGAGATTTGGGTGGGGACACAGCCAAACCATATTAGTGTAGCTCAAAGATAACCATTCTTCTCCTTGCCCAGGATATTGTGCAATCCCTTGGTTGCCTCAAACCCTTCCCAATCATTGTAAATAACCCCTCTATTAAAATGTTTTCCATTACACAGTTTCAGCACGCCATTTATTTCTTGCTGGGTGTGTAAAATAAACTTTTTAAATAAAAAAGCAGTTACTGCAACCTTGTAAATATAGCTCATGCTCTTTATCCTCTTACAAAAAAAAAAAAATGGCATTCTCCTGTGTAAAGACACCACTGTAGTTCTTTTTTCATGTTGGCTCATGAAGCTGGCCATTATGCTGGTGAGTTGGCCAAATATGTTGTTATTTGTAGCATCTTCTCTTCTTGACCTTTGGGATTAAACTGAGCCCAGGCACTTACCTAGCAATAGCTGCTACTCCTGTATGGTCAACTCTCACCACTTTCTTCCCTACACCATACACTCTAGCACTATGCAAGTATTCCTTTAAGATCTTCGAACATGCCAAACTCCCTTCAGAATCTGTGTCTTGAGCACTGTGCTATAGGTTGATGTTGCTTTGTAGGGCCCTGCCTGTTTATGTCTTTTACCAACCACAACCACTGAAAAGAAATTGTTGTGCCCCTTTTTCATATGCTTTTCAAGTTAAAAGCAATGCTCAATCATAAAAGACAAAACACATATTTGGAAGTTAGAACAGATTACTCTAGGGTTTTTGCTCCCATGTAAGCTCCCTGAAACTGAACTTATTTTTGAGGTGACATTGCCTTGCTGCTGTAACTTAGCTAGTGGTTGGTTTGCCTACTCAGTCAGCCACCAACGTTCCTCTTTGTTCTTCAGGATTCTACTCAGGTCCTGCCAATAGCTATTGCTAAGTGCTGAATTCCAGATGAAAAGCCCTGCTTTATGTGTACTTGCAACATACTGTGTAAACCCCCTCAGAGTCCCGAGCACACATTCCTGTAGTCACTGGGTTACCTGTCTTCCCCTTGAATACCATTCTTCATTTACTATCCCTTTCCCTACCCCATGTTATTTCATAGCCTTTACCAAAATCTGATATTATTTATTTTATTTTATTTTATTTATTTATTTATTGAGACAACGTCTCGCTCTGTCACCCAGAATGGAGTGCAGTGGTGTGATCTCGGCTCACTGCAGCATCTGCCTTCCGGGTTCAAGCGATTCTTTTCCCTTAGTCACATGAGTAGCTGGGACTACAGGCATGCACCACCAGGCCCAGCTAGGATATTATTTCCTGATTCATTACCTTTTTCTCATACTAAAGTAAAAGCTGCATTAAATCATGTTTTGTTCATCACAGTATCCCCAGTACCTAGAACAGTACCTGACACATAGTAGGTCCTAAATAAATATCTATTACATGAAGGAATAAACTATATAATCTCACATTTCTCACATAGTGCTAGAAAAAGTAGATACTTAATAAGTACTTGTTATAAGCTTAACCCTAGCATCCCTCTGCAGTGGGGTGCTATGTCATATATTTCCAAGAATATGTCTCATATGGCTTGGTGGTAACCATGGTAAACTGCAGAGGCCCAAGTCATCTGTAAGGGGCAGTTGGGACTCAACTCCAGACATGTATTATCATTCAAGAATGTAGGGTTCGTGTTGCCAGATCTTCCTATGTTTGAAGAAAAGCCAAAAAGCTTGTTTTTTCCATGTTAAAATCTATTCATTTTAAAATGTAGCAATGAATTTAAATTATTATAAAATATTGTATGAACCAAATGAAATATCTGCAAGTACAATGCAGCTGGCATGCTATCAGTTTAAGAACTCTGACCCAAATCCCTGCTTAATAAAATGTACCCATAAAAGAAGGCACACTTAGTAAATATCAATACCCTGGACTAATAAGCTCTTTTAAAAACATCAGAAATATTTTCTTGGTACAGATTAAGAAAGGGCAGCAAGTTCTCCTATATTTATATTTTTAAAGAATGTTTTCTTATAGAAGTCCCAAAGAGCATGAGACAAAACTGCAAATTAGAAACAACTAATTAACTTGAAATGAGCAAAAGTGAATTCTACCGTGTTGAAAACTTATTGATCTCAATGATCCTACAGCTTTCAATTTGTGTAATGTAGTCTTCTACCTACGTGGGCATGGGAAGGCAAAGAATATGAGAGTAAGAGGACTTCCTCAAAGGTCATTTCTTAATCTCTTCATTTTACACCTGGGGAAATTAAAACTAAGAGAATAAAAGACTTGTCCATGGTCATATGATGGCAGAGCTGAAAACAAAACCTTCTCTGTGTTCCATTGCTTCTTTCCACCACCCCCAAAATCCACTTGCTCCCACATGCCTCTCCTTTGGTTCAGACTGTTTGCATTCGAGGTGGATTTTGCTGTTCCACTCACATGTTTGGATTTGGCTGTCTGGACTGTCCCTTGCTTCCTGACCCTGCAGTACCCAGTAGCTCAATTCCTGCCACTCCCACACCAAGCTCTGGTTGCCAAAGCCTCAGCCTGGGACATGTGCCCAGATGAGCTCAGTCACCAGGAAGAAAGCATGACTCGATCAATGATGGCAAAGGTGGGGGTGAGGAGTGGAAATTTACCATCCCTGTACACGACAGAACATCTGATGCACTACTTTGACTCCTCCAAGGGTCTAACTCACTCTCATATGTCTTGTCCTTAGAATAGTTACTCATTGGTTACAGGACTAATAATGACTGTAAAATTGGCTTACCTTTCTCAAAGGACAAAAACAGAACAGATTTCAATGAGGACATACAACCTTATGTGATTTCACACTGGCAAAACAAAACTCTTGTTGAGAAATTTGTCCTTATCATGCAATCAGCTTTTTTTTTTTCCTAATAGCTTGATTGAGATACAGTTCACATATCATACAAATCATCCCTTTAAAGACAATCAACTTTTGACAGCTCACGTGACATTTTTACACTGGGATCAATGAAGAACCATATATTTCTCCAAAAAAAAGTACATCTTTTGGTAAAAACTACAGTGATGCCAGGAATTAATTTTGCACAAGTTGTAGCATACTTACAATTTGAGGAGACAAAAGTGAAAATTGTAAGAGCTTTTCCTAAGTTGTAGCTGGCCCCTTAACTAGAGGCAGAAACTGGGGCTTAGGAAACATGTTCTCAAACTCATGTCTACTTTATAATGCTACCATCAGAAGTGATCAAGGACCAGGATGGTTTATTGCCATTATTAATCTTCTTAGGTAGAAAAGAGTCAGTTATAGTTAAGACCAATACCCAGAAATGCATTACTTTGCATGCACCATGTACATGAAGGCATCTGTTAAGGTAACAGAGCACCACATCACCTAACATTCCACTTCTGAGAGAGCAGCATTTAGATAGACACAAAGATAATAGATGATAGATAGATAGATAGATAGATAGATAGATAGATAGATAAATAGATTAGACAGATAAATTCTAATCACAGAGACAAATCAGGTTTAGGAAAAGGACAGATTATTTTCTTCCTCCTTCTTCAAGTAGCTGCCTCAGCCTTCATCCCTCTGTATGCGTAGATACATCTACGGGAACAATTTGAAATGCTTGATGAAGTTTAAGTTCAAAGGCTTTCAGTAGCTTACCTTTAATAAAACCCAGATGTGATTCAAATTTGAGTGGGCTTTACTTGCCAAGAATATTTGTTATTTTTTTTTAATTGAGCAAGCTGATGAAATGAATCACACTGCCAGGAGAAAAGGATGCTTAGTTAAATAGTTATTATTCTTTTTTAATAACTCCTATTTAGATTGGCTTCATTTTGTGACTTACAAATCACATCATCTTTATTAAAGGCACTTAAAATATTCAACATGAAATGATATTCAGAATGCTTGATTTACTATAAATTGTGCACAGGTGTGGGATTGTTTACAGTCCTTTGGTACAGTAGGAAGTCAAGCTTTCATTTATATTTCATGGTGCAGTAAGCACCGTTTAACTTTGAAGTGTTAGGATCATTACCAGGAGGCTTAAAATTCGAAGCAATTGTCAATGCAGATCAAATTTTAGACAGAACCCCCATCCTGATATCTCCTTTAATGACATTGTGAGTGCTTCTTTGTTAGAATCTTGAAAGGGAACGAAAGACCTCTACATATAGAAAATGTTTAAACCCATAAATGCTCTAAGGAGAAAAAATGTTGCAGATTACAGCAGTGTATGCTAATATGAGCAAAACCTGAAATGGGCTCTCCTGAGATGGCAGCATTTGGAAAGGGCATGGTCAATTCGAATATAGATATAAATTTATACTGAAAGTGAGATCACTTGAGAATGTACCAGTTTCTTTAATGCTCTTGGTTAATATTTCCAATTAGTAATATCTATTCCCTTGATCGGTCTTCAAAGATGGGAAAAATACAAACTGTAGAAGATGAAAGATCTGTTCTTTTAAAATTTTAGAAGATGAGAAGTGAGTAAGCAGGATTATACGTGTGCATCTGTGCTTAGTGACCTGAAGTCACTTAGTGGTGATGCGGAAGGAGCTCTGAGCTGGGAACAGACAGCTGGATGTTTTAGTCCTGGGTCCGGCACTACGGGCATGTAGGACTTTGGAAAGTAACAATCTCTATGTGACTCAGTTTCCTCATCTGTCAAAGAAGCAGCTAGAAATGATATCTTCATTTCCTTTTTGCTCCAAATCTCCATGACAAGCCAAGTTCTAATATTAGGTCAAAGATCCTAAGCATCAGTTTAAATTTGTTGGTGCTTATAAGGAAAAAAGTAAAAGGAAATCAGTCTTTCTGGGTTAATTTTAGCTACTGTTACTCAAATGGGCAGCAGCAGTAACTGCTAAGAACTTATTATGTTCTAGGCCTTGGGCTGGGAACTCTGCAAGCAGTATTTCATGTAACGCTTACAGCAACACAATGAGGGTGGTGTTATTTGCTCTCAGCTAGAGTAAAGTAACTTACCCAAGATGGCACAGCTCTTAAGCGGAAGAAATAGGATTTAAACTCAGGTAAACTCAGTTACTCTTGCCTAATGCCACTGCTCTGAACTGTTATTCCCTCCTCCTATAATTTATGATTCCTGAATGTTCCAGTCTACTTATTGGCTTCTCCTGACCCATGGACATTCCTCACCCAAGTCCCAAAATGTGGAAATAAATTTGAAATTACTCTATTACATTACTAAATTTTAAAAGATGCTTTCACTCCTTATCATTTTCTATGTTTTTACAGATTTTTTGTATTCAATGTTAAAAATTATTTTATTACAGCTTGGTTTGATTCTCCCCTCATTCTAATATTTTTATTTTGTCATCAACTTTCATAAAGCAATACATTTAGTTTTCTAAGAATTTCAACAGATTTGCATCAGTAGACTTTGTTGGTTATTTTTCCTTTCTAAATCTGTTTAATTAAGCCAATAATTAAAGCATCCGAAGTGTGTGTGGGCGTGCACACACACACACACACACACACACTAACAACAACAATAATATACTGATCTTAATGTCCTTACTAAAACTTAACTATCATAAGGCAGTTTCTCCTTAAAGGCAAAGGTTTGTTTCGAAAGCTTCCATGGTAGAAGAAGCCACAGTGAGAGATTTAGGAACACATGGGTAGATTGGAACTTAGGTTGTAATTAAAACTCTCACAGGCTCAATACTTCCTCTCATATTTCTTAAAATAAAATGCACAAACCACAAATATGGTGCTGTCAGTAACATATTATATATTTTACATGAGTATTAGTGGATACCATAATGTTTATTTCCATTTTCCATCTCCTTCAGGATCTCACGTTCCTTTCAGAAACAATGATACACATAAATTCACTGTGCTTTGATGAAGCAGTGTACTCAAAGGCAGATATATTGTGTTTTCTATGCTAATCTTCCTTCCAAACATTCAATGACTTTCTAATTTTTCGAGCCAGAGTTGTCTGTACCTGCTTTTTACTAATAATTTAGTCCCCATGAGTTTCCAGAAACCCTCTCTAACCCTAAGGTGACTGACCATACTCTTAACAGAAGCAGGGGTTCTCTCAGGCAACTTCATACCTCCTGAGGCTTCTATGAAAACAAAACAAAACAAAACAAAACAAGACTCACCTTTTTCTTTAGCCTCCTTGTCTACTCTTAAAGCATCAATTTCCCAAGTCTTTTCAATAGAAGTGACTCTTGAATGATATTAGAACTAAACACCTCAAGGTTAAATAAACTATAAGAGAAAAACATCACATACTAGTTTTAGCAGAAGAAAAGTCATAGATAAGAGGGACGCCTCTATATGTTTTTTCAATATTTATTGTAAAAGTAAATTCAATAGTTTTCCAGTTTTGTATAAAGTTAGATATACACTTAATATATGACTCAGCTGTCCCACTCCTAGGTGTCTTCCCAAGAAAAGTAAAAACTTTACGAAAAACCTATTTGAAGATGTATACGGTGCACTCTTTATAATCACCAAAAACTGGAAACAAACTGTCCTTCAATGAAGTGAACAGATTGACAAGCTACGGCACACCCATACGTGGAATTCTTCTTAGCAATAAAAAGGAACGAGTTATTGATACACAAAACATGGATGAATCTCAAGGGCTTTGGGATGATTGAGATGAGCCAGTTTCAAAAGACTACATACTCTATCATGGCTTCAATTACACGACCTTTTAGAAAAGGTAAAACTACAGAAACAGATATCAGACAAGCGCTTTCAGGAGTTGGGTATGGGGGTATGGTTTAGAATAAAAGACATGAAGGAGTTTGGGGGAGAAAATGGAACAGTTTCATATTTTGATTGATGTG
Organism: Homo sapiens; assembly: GCF_000001405.40. Classification (NCBI taxonomy): domain Eukaryota; kingdom Metazoa; phylum Chordata; class Mammalia; order Primates; family Hominidae; genus Homo; species Homo sapiens. Next base: position 21,710,216 of record NC_000003.12, read on the forward strand.
GTAGTGGTTACATAGACTGCATGCATTTGTCAAAATTTATAGGACTAAAGATCAAAAGGAGTAATTTACACTTTTACGAAAATAAATAGATAGATACTTGCTTTTTTAGTAAATTGGCTCTGCAAGACCCAATGATCTGGTGAGACTGGGGTAGGGTGATATGGTTAAGATTACCTGTGTAATTCCTAAAACCCAATTTATTTTTTATAAAGTTCAACTGTATGGCTTTTTCTGAATTCCTTAAGGTGCACTGGCTTCTTTTTGTGTTTTTCATAATCCTCCATAACCTGAGAATCATTCGATGCCACAATGCATATTGGTGAGCAGTGCCCAATCTGTACTGCATTTTAAATTAGTATGTTACAGTCCTCGCATTTTCTCAGCTTTGATGCTCAGTTGTTTTTACTTATACTCATGCATGTTTGGGACAAGATATCTTAAACCATAGACAAAAAAGGATCTATGATAATTCTGCAGACTTTTAGTGTTGGAAGCAATATTTAAGGTCTTTGAAGCATGAATGCTTGAACATCTCCATGTAATGTTTTCTCCAAAGAAGTTATGTAACCTCTCATTGAATACTTCTAGGGTGGGGGAATGCATTACTACATGAGCTAGGCTGATTAATTGATCCACAGCCTTGATGTTAAGAAGTTCTTCTTAGAATTCAGCCATCACTCACTCATGACCATAATAATAAAGTCACTTTTCTAATCTAAATGCTCTCTGATTTTCCCCATTCCTTCCTCTATCATAGCGATGTGACTTTTGTCTTTGAGCAACTTAAACCTCTCTAGGTCTTAATTTCCTTATCCCTCTAAAAGTTTTTTTTTTTTTTTTTTTTGAGATGGAGTCTTGCTCTGTCGCCTAGGATGGAGTGCAGTGGCGTGATCTCGGCTCACTGCAACTTCCGCCTCCCGTGTTCACGCCATTCTCCTGCCTCAGCCTCCCGAGTAGCTGGGACTACAGGAGCCCACCATCACGCCCGGCTAATTTTTGGTATTTTTAGTAGAGTCAGGGTTTCACCGTGTTAGCCAGGATGGTCTCGATCTCCTGACCTCGTGATCCACCCGCCTCGGCCTCCCAAAGTGCTGGGATTACAGGCATGAGCCACCGCGCCCGGCCGCCAAAAGTTTCATATAAATTAAATACGTAATCTTTTTCCCCTAAATTGATTTCAAAATTTCTAATATTCTATTAATAAGTTTGTAAAGATTGGAGAAATCATTCAGAAATTTAGAAATGATTCACCTCACTCGCTTCAACACATTTTTTAAAAACGACAGTAATTAAACGACAATTCTGTTAAAAGTAATCCAGTTCAGATAGCCCCAGAACCCATACATCATTGACATGCAGTCTGTTGCTATCTTATAGAGAAAACAGACAGAAATTCCCCATCTCCCATCCCCAAAAACACTCACTCATTCTGCCTCTTCAAATTTTAAAATGCATCCAAGTAATCTGGATGTTTATTTTTATTTTTACTGACATATGCATCTCCAAAGATATTAACAGGAAATAAACAGCAACATCTAATGCTAAGCCCTATTTCCTCCAAGAGCTGTGGGAAAGAATTCTGAGATATAGTGAGCTGGACTGAGGTAGGAATTCCATCTGGTAACCCATTTTTCTACCTTTTGCATATCATTAGGTGTGACAATCCTACAGAATACAAGTATGGAATTATAGGCCAAACAACTGCTTTCTTAAAAAACACACAATTATGTAAATGTCACTTTGCTAATTATAATCTTCCATAATATCCTATAGCTGATTATAACAATACTATCTAATTATTTATTTGGTGAAGGATTTGAAACCTTTTTAAAAGGTGTACCCCACCATTTCTGGCCTCTTCTGCTACCAGCTACCACCACAGCCCTTTCCCTCGATGGCAATAGTCAGGTAATGATTCCCCAAACTTGCTCTTTCCCACCTTTGCACCTCCCTTTACTATGGTCTTTCTGCCCTAAAACATCCTTCCTTCTTGAAAACCATTATGTATCTCTGCAATCCTTCTCTCTCTCCATTGTACACGTCTACTTCTAAGCCATCACAGTAGGAATCTGAGACCCATGTTACAGAGCAGGATCCCTGCCCATTTAAGCCAGGTGCCTTGCATTCCTTATTCTCCAGTGAACACCTGCCCCACCCACCCTAGCATAGCCCATTGGCTGATTGAACTCACGGTCTCTTCTCTTACTTCATTATGTGGAATGTCACTTCCATCCCTACATTTGAACAATGTTTCTACAATCTGTAACATCTTTGTATACCTTCAAGAGGTTTAAGCCATTATCAAATTTATTTTAAATAATAGAAAAGTAAACTTTTTTTAAAAAAAGTCTGTCACTTGTAACACCGCTGTAAAATGACTTGAGAAATTTCACTGTCTATATATATTGATTTCTAATGTGGAAGTTTCATGCAGAAAAAAATGAGAATCGTTCCTATGAAGAATATCCCAGTTTGCAAATATATATGCACTTGAAAACGGGTTTTTACTATTGTCTGAATACATAAAACCTGTTGGTTGCCTTTATCTACTCTGAGCAAATACAGTTCTCTCTACTCTATCAAGAGTAATTTATTTCTTAAATCTACCACAAGCTTTCTGCCTTTACTGTCAGTGAATTAATTCCTTCTCCATTTATCCCCTGAAATATTGCAACAGACTCCTAACTGGCTTTAATGCTTTCAGTCTCAACCCATCACACACACAAATACACATGCACAAACACTATTTCCAACTTGCCAGTGGTGCCACTTTTTTGGACATAAGAATCACTCTTCGGTGTAAAAATAATTTTCTTTCACTTGCCCACTATGCCAACTTGGCCATCCTTGGAGCCACTGATGAAGAAGGCCAAGAGAATACCCTATGCACTTAAATTAAGATGGCTCCTCTGTTTCCATTTTCAGAAGCCAAGGGCACACCCACACATGTGGAGTTAAGAATACCTGCTCACCAACCTCAAAGGAAGTGCAAAGAACAAGAAGAGCCAGCAGTGTACAAGGGAAGTTCCAAACTATAAAAAGAAGACTGCCCATCTGCAGACCTGCACTTGTCCATAGCAGAAGTAAATTGAGAGCCCAAACTTGAGTGCTCTGCAATCTTCTTCAATGATGTTTCTTTTCACCATCTTGGTGCTGAGGGCACTGCACCCCCTGTAATCTGTCATGTGGTGTCTGTTTTCTCTTCCACCCTCCTGATACCACTGGGCATAGAGGTGGGGTATACATTCTAAGTGCTCTTCATCACCATCTCCAGGCTGGTCTCCTTCCCTCCTTCTCTCTCCTAGCTTCAAATTTCATATCCTCCAAACAATCACTACCTTCCATTGCCACTGTCATTGCTGACCTGGGGCTACTCTCTTCTTGATGGTTATAGCACTTCGTTCCCTATCACTGTCTCCTACACTACAACTGACATAATTTTTAGTGATTTTGATATACCCATAGTCCATATGTCCAGTTCACTGGAGTATCTGATCCTTAGCCTCCTCTTCTCCAAAAATCTTGTCTTCTACCCTACCCATACCACCCAGTCCCACAGTCAGAGACTGCATTTTGTCATTACCAATAACTGCAACTTTACTAGAATCTCAGTTTCAAACATCCTATTCTTCAAACACCACCTTTTTTAAAGTTTACATGTCACTCTCCTTTTACATCAACTGAGTCTTTCAACCCTGGGACCCAAAGTCTATGGATCCTACCACCTTTTCAGCCCTTTACCCTGTTCCTGATCTTTTCTCTACCCAGCTTAAGCCTTTGGTCAATCAATATAATAACACCCACGCACACATCCTCAACCCTCTAACACTTTATTGGTTCTTTGCTCCCTTGGCTAAATGAAATTCTGCTTAAATTTAAATCTGTGCCTACTCCTGCCTTCACCCATACAGCTGATTTGGTGAGAGAAGATATTAACTGTGCCCATAATAACTGCTCTCAATTAAAACCCATGGTCATTAACAGTAAGTGGGCCTTCCGGCAGACCTTCCTGCTGTCCAGTAAACAAACTACCTTTCCTGACACTTACTGAGCACATTCATTCACTTTCCTGCTTCCCTAGACTAAGTTATTTCATAAGTCTTTTATGTTTCAGTTTTCTCATGAAACCTCCAACACCTCTTTCCCCATCCACTTCTGAGCCTCACTAAAACGTCACTAAAGGCTCACTTCTGAGCCTCACTAAAGAATGGAAACAACAGAAGATAAGTATCATAAATTCCCATATTCTTATCTGTGCCTACCTACTCTACCACTCCCACTTTTTATGGATGAACAATATTCCAAGCTAAGGCCAATCTCTCCTCTTGATTCCTGCCCTGAAGCCTGAACACAGACACCACTCTTCTACTCCTCTCTTTCTCGTTTGCATCATAAGTTTTTCCTCCTTACTGTGTCCTATTAATTTTCCAACATGTATTATTTCTCCAATCTTCAAAAACAAAAACAAACAAAGCAATTTTCCTGATCCTATATCCATCTCCAGCTAACACTTCATTCTCACCTTCCCTTTACAGCAAAGCTCCATGAGAGGGTTATCTATAATTTCTGTCTCTAAAATCCCTGTTCCTACTCTCTCTTTTTAAAAAAATAAATTTCATTGTGTATGTTTATGATATATAGCATGATATTATAAGACACACATGCATATTAAAATGGTTACTAAAATGTAACAGATGAACGTATACATCATCTCACATAGTTACCCTCTGCCCGATGCCCTTGGCAAGAACAGCTATAATCTACTCATTTAGCAAAATTCCTGAATATAATACAGGATTATTAATTATAGTTTTCAGGTTGTATTTTAAATCTTTCCACTTGTTCGTCTTACATATTTGCTATTTTTTTTGCAATGGATAATGTACTTCTAAAATTTATATACATTTATGGGGTACAAGCGCAATTTTGTTACATGCATCGTGGTCAATTCAAGACTTTCAGGGTATCCATCACCTGAATAATGTACAGTGTACTCATTAAGTATTTTTTCCTCATTCCCTCTCCTCTCACCCCATTACTCGTTCAAGTTTCCATTGTCTATCATTCCACTCTCTATACCAATGGTGTTCACCTTTTTTTTAAGCACCCACGTATGGGTGAGACCATGTGATATTTGTCTTTCTGTGTCTGCCTAGTTTCACTTGAGATAATGACCTCCAGTTCCATCCAAGTTGCTGCAAAAGCCATAATTCCATTCCTTTTTAATGGCTGAATAGTATTCCATTGTATAGGTATACCACATTTTCTAAATCTAATCATCCATTGATGGATACTTAGGGTGATTCCATATCTTTGCTATTTTGAATAGTGCTGCAAGAAACATATGAGTTCACATGCTTTTTTTAAATATATTGATTTTTTTTTCCTTTGAGTAGACACCCAGTAGTGGGATTGCTGGATTGAATGGTAGTTCTAGTTTTAGTTCTTAAGAAATCCACATACTGTTTTCCATAGTGTTTCATCCTTATAACTCACCAAATTTCTATCTATATGTTATCTGTACTAATTTCTTTGGCAATCTCTTCCAATCTCATGTTTTAAATATTATCTATCTGCTAATAACTTACATTTGCATCTCTAGTCTAGACTTCTCCCCTAGACTTCGGACTCCATATATCTAATTGCCTACTCAGCATTTACATTTGGAGATCTAATAGGTATTTTAAAAGCCTTGCATGTCCAAAACCAAACTCCAGCTATTCACCCTTCAAATCTGTTTCTCTCAAAATCATCTTCATCTCAGGAAACGGCAGCTTCATCTATCTAGTTATTCAACTTTGAATAACTTTGAATAACCCTGAATAACCCTGAAACTTTGAATCAATCTCAATACCCCACACCCAACCCCTCAGCAGATCCTGTCCACTCTACTTCCCAAAGTACACATTTCTTACCACCTCCAATGTCACCACTCTTATACGTGGCACCATCAAGCCTCATCTGAAATATTTTGATAGCTTTGTAGCTAGTTTCCTTGTTTCTTCCCTTGTCCATATTCAAGCTATTCCCAACACAGCAGCCACACATATGTCAGATCCTTTTCATTTATTCCTCAGAAACTGCCAATACCTTCCATCTCACTCTGAGTGACAACAAAGGCCTTATAATGTCCTAAAGTCCCCATATGATCACTCTATAATCTCCCTAGATGATCCCCACCATTACCATTCTCATCTCCTGAAGCACATCTCCTATAACTCTGTGCTCCTCTCATGTCCCTCCACCCATGCTGGCCTCTGTATTATTTCTCTGACATACCAGAGACAGTTTTCCCTCAGGACTTCCACAATGACTATGAATAACCTGTGCCTGGGATGATGTTTTGCCTAGATATGTGCCTGGCTTGATTTCTCGGCTTCTTAATTATGTTACTCAGAGTTCACCTTTTCATTGAAATCTTCCCTGACCCCTTATTTCTCTTCACCCTCCCCTTCTTCATTTTTCTACTTAAAAATGTATTTTCATACAGCATAGAGAACACTTTACTTATTTATCTTGTTATATCTCCACTAAAATGTAAGTTCTATCAGGTTAGAATTTTTGTTGTTGTTGTTTTTTGTTTTGTTTTGTTCATTGCTCTGCCCTCAGCGCCTAACAAAATTTCCAGGCTGGTGCGGTGGCTCATACCTGTAATCCCAGGACTTTGGGAGGCTGAGGCGGGTGGATCACAAGGTCAAGAGATCGAGACCATCCTGGCCAACATGGTGAAACCCCGTCTCTACTAAAAATACAAAAATTAGCTGTGATGTGGTGTAGTGTGGTGATGTGCGCCTGTAGTCCCAGCTACTCAGGAGTCTGAGGCAGGAGAATCGCTTGAACCTGAGAGGTGGAGGTTGCAGAGAGCCAAGATTGCGCCACTGCACTCCAACCTGGCAACGACAATAACAATAACAACAAGATTCCTGACACATAGCAAATTCTCACTGAATACTGGGTTAATAAATGTATAAATGGTTACTTCTGAGTAGGCACTGACTGAAAAAATACAAGGCAAAAGTTTTTGTGAATACAGTTATGCCTTTAACTAAGTTCTCCTCTTTAAATCATAAAATCACATAATACATTCAAAGAGGAGCAGAAAAGGTATGCACAGGAGGATATTCTGAAACTCTCTTAAATTTTCAAACTTACAGACAGTATTTGGAACGCACATGGGGTTTTCAAATCCCTTGTGATGACTTTCTGTTTCTCTCTGAGGTCCTTGATACAGAGATTGCGATCAGTGCTTAATAGTTCTGCCAATGTAATCTTGCCAAAATACAAAGCCTCAGCATGTCACTCCTCTGGTTAAAATCCTTTAGAATTGCTTATGACTTGATATAGTTTCACTGTGTCCCCACCCAAATCTCACATTAAATTGTAGCTCTCATAATTCCCACGTGGAGGGATCCAGTGGGAGATAATTGAATCAGGGGGGCGGTTTCCCCCATGCTGTTCTTGTGGTAGTGAATAAGTCTCATGAGATCTGATAGTTTTATAAAGGGAAACCCCTTTCACTTGGTTCTCATTCTCTCTTATCTGCCACCCTGTAAAACGTGCCTTTCACCTTCTGCCATGATTGTGAGGCCTTTCTAGCCATGTGGAACTGTGAGTCCATTAAACTTCTTTTTCTTTATAAATTACCCAGTCTCAGGTATGTCTTTATTAACAGCATAAAAATGGACTACTACATTCCTATAGCAAAGCTTCTCAAATTCTCGTCTGCATCAGATTCATCAGGAAGGCTTCTTAAAACACAGACTGGTGAGTTGCATCTCAAAGTTTCAAATTCAATAAGTCTGGGGAGGCACCACAGAATTTCTATTTCTATCAAGCCCCCAGGTGATTCTGTTGTTGCTGGTGTTGGGACTGCACTTTTTAAATCACTAGGCTAAATAAAAAGTGAACAGGGTTGCTTGGCATATGTCTCCCACAAATGAATCTACATGATGTATTTCAGAAGTAAGCCATATGGGCCTTCTAGGCAAGCCCACTGGGAGATTTCTTGGAATGCTTTTCCAGATTTACTCCTGATCAATCCTTCCATGGTTCCTACTCAGACTCCACTCTGCAATTTGATCCCTTGGGGTTGATATGAAGAATGGTTCTTACTCAGTCTCCAGAGAAACCCTTCCAGGGACATTCCTGAAAGCCCAGTCAGAAGACTAAGTTCTGGGAACCACTGGTGTCTACATTAGTCAGCCATCTGTAGCCACCAGCCAACAAGGTATGATAACAACGAAAGCCAGTATTTATCTAAGCACTTACTACGTGCCCGGATATTTGCTAAGAACTTTACACATATTATCTTATTTAATCCTCTCAAAAATCCTACAAGGCAGGTGCCATTATCTCTATAGATGAGAAAATGGAACTTCATCAAGATTAAGTATTAATTAAATAATAACTAAATAGCTTGTTAGTGGCAAAGCTTGGACTTGAGCCCAGACATTCAAATTCCAGAGGCCAAAATCACAACCACATTTCTGTACTACCTTTTCCTAAATATAAATCTGCAAAGATAAAAACTAAAATGATTAAAGTATTTGGTTCTCAACCTGAATGGAGAATGTTCAGGCCAAACTGACAATCACAACTGAATCAATTTTTAAAATGATTAGTATTGTAAGGTTTATTTGTCTCCAAATCAATTTTTACTTTTTTCTTCACTTAAAACTGTATTTTCATCAAATAGTTAAAAATTTAAAAATTGTTAAAATTCTAACCCAAAAAAATTAATGAAGAAAAATTATTCAAAAACTTCTAAAATTTTAAGCGGCTACAAATTAGTCTGATACAGTGCCCAAGATATGCTAATTTTCCTTGTAGTAGCTATTATCTTGCATTTGGGCCCATGGCTTCCATCATTTGCATTTAAAATACAGTACTGATAAAGCCCAGGCAAAGGTATATTTCAACCTTGATACTCAGTAGTCTGTGAACCAACTGCATGGGCAAAACCTGGGGGCTTCTCAGAACTGCAGAATCTCAGATACCACCCCACACCTCCTCAATCAGCATCAGATCCCAGGTGGTCACGTTATGTACTTGTTACTAAATTTTAAATCCAGGCATACTGGTAAGAAGTGTCATATTGTTAAAGTGCCCTGGTCCACATGAGGCAGAATAAGTAGTCAAGGAACTGACCGTGTTCTCTGGATGCAGCAACCCTGGTGACTGTAGAGCCAACACAATAAGCCTCAGCATTTGCACTGTAATTGAGCTCACTCAAGCAAAGGTATCTCCAGTAGGGAATTTCCTCTGGAGAGAGCACGCGCACTTTAATTTTACCGATCCTCAAACTGATCCTTTGCTCATTTTAATAGTAAAAAAACACACCCCTGGGTAGAGATTTAAGATGCTAATGAGACATATGACGTATGAACAAGCATGTATAGCTACTGCACTTGTGCACCCAGAGGACCACCCAAAACATGCTTATTCTTTCCACCCCCTCATGAATAATCATGTAAGACTCTCTAGCGCCAGTCCGATCCTTAGAAGCAGCCCGACTGGAACTCTCTCTCTCAGAGTATAATGTCTATTCTGCACCTAACTTACAAAATATTCTTTTTCCCCTGCAGTAAATTACTCTATGCTGCATCTCTTTTGCTGTGTGTTTCTTGTTTAAATTCTTTTAAACTAAGAAGACAAGAACCCAGATAGTACATCAGCCATCAACACAATCAGGAGAACTCTCTCTCTCATAACTAGCTGTATGACCTCAGATGATTTCACTTCTCTTGGCCTATATTTTTTCATTTGAAAAATAAGGAGAAAGAAAAGTGGACCTAGAATAGTGGTTGTGAAACTTAGCTGCGCACTAGAATCATCTAGTGTGGGATCTTGAAAAAATACTAATGCCCAGTTCTCACCTCTAGAGAATCTAATTTAAATTGGTTGGGGGTATGGCCTGGGCATTGGAATTTCAAAAACTTTCCTCAGGTGACTGAAATGTGCAGCCAAGGCTGAGAGCCACTGGCCTAGAATAGCTATTCTTAAGTATAGTCCCTAGACCAGCAGCATCGTCATCATCGGGAAACTTGTTAGAAATACAAATTCTGGCCAGGTGCAGTGACTCAAATCCCAGTACTTTGGGAGGCTGAGGCAGGAGGATCCCTCCAGCCCAGAAGTTCTAAACCAGCCTGGGCAACATCGTGAGACCCTAGTCTCTACAAAAATTTAAATGTTATCCTGGTGTGGTGGTACACATCTGTACTCCCAGTTACTCAGGAGGCTGAGATGGGAAGATCACTTGAGCTCAGGAGTTCAGGGCTTCAGTGAGCTATGACTGTGCCACTGCACTGGAGCCTGGGCAACAGAACAAGACCCTGTCTCAAAAAAAATGCCAATTCTCAGGCCCTACCTCAGATATACTGAATCCGAAGCCAAAAGCTCTGGGAGTGAGGCCCAGCAATCTGTGTTTCACAAGCTCTCTGAGTGATTCTGCTGCAAATTCCGGTTTGAGAAGAGTGACTTGGAGAAGTCATCAAGGTCTTTTTCTTTCTGTGTAGCTATAAATTTAGCACATATTTCTGATTGGCTATGTTAACAATATGTTTGCCCCATGAGTCCTCTGGCATTTAATTTAAAGACCTTCTATTGTAGGGTAGTAGTGGGGTTTGGGAAGAAAAAGGAGGTTCTCAGAATGATTTCCATATGGTGACAAAAAGTGCGTGATTGCAACCACGCAATTATTTGTACCTTTTTCCTGTAAGATTAACTTGATAATGGAGCAGGGAGATAAACAGTATATGCCCATGTGCTAAATGACACGCTTTGCTTAGAATTTCTTCTATTTAATTTTTAAAAAACATATCCTTTCTTATCAAAAGAAAGTTGTAACAGGTTTTTTTTTTCTTTTTTCTAGTGGACAAAGTTTATTCGAAAACATACTCTTGCGGTTTATATCCTTAGAAAGGAGCATAATGACTTTGCCCCCTCCATTGCTATACTGGTTGTCTATGAGTCCCCTAAAAGGTCTCAGCCAGCGTCAGTGCTTACTCTGTACGTTCCAAGACTCAGGAACCAGTCAGTCCATTTAAGATTCTTACCTTCAGGTAGAACGCTGAAGCAGAGTGGGTGAGATAAGAATATTGATGGACATTTCATTTGATATGAAGAAAGGGCAACTAAAATCTTTAGACAGGCTCTGTCTCTCGGTGGTCTAAAATAGCCTTCCCATGGTTATAAAAAGAAATAGTCCAGAGAAGAGAGCATCAACATTTGGCAGATCCTAAAAAAGACTCCACACAAACAGAGGAAAATCCCCATCTTCAAATATAAAAAAGTAACTTATTTTTTTGCTTTGAGTTTCTTTGAGATTTAATAATCAAAATGAGGACAAGAAAATCCTATTTGGTAGGCTACCTAATTTACTTTAAAATATTTTCGATTCTTAAATCCCTTAGCAATGATACTAATATCATTTCAGACTATTTTAAGTTATGCACGTGAAATGCTATACTTTATGGAAAAGATGCATTTATAAATCCACAAAGCCTCTCCACTTTATTTTATAAGGATCATCATGGAGTCTGGAGCCAAGCCTCACATTTTAAGTCAGAACTGTAACAGTATCCTATCTTAAAGAGATATTTGTGGCCAGGCGCGGTGGCTCACGCCTGTATTCCCAGCACTTTGGGAGGCCCAGGCGGGTGGATCACCTGAGGTCAGGAGTTCAAGACCAGCCTGGCCAAAATGGCGAAACCCATCCCTACTAAAAATACACAAAATTAACTGGGCGTGGTGGCGTGTGCCTATAGTCCCAGCTACTCAGGAGGCTGAGGGAGGAGAATCACTTGAACCCGGGAGGCGGAGGCTGCAGTGAGCCAAGATCGTGCCACTGCACTCCAACTTTGGAGACAGAGTGAGACTCTGTCTCAAAAAAAAAAAAAAAAAAGAGGTATTTGCAAACACAGGAGAGCAGCAGGGGTGGTGCTAAGTCCCAAAGGGGACAAGTAAAGTAAGTCAATGGCAGCCCCCAGCAAAGTTGCTGTTTCTAACAGACCTGCTTTACAATAGCATTTCCCTTCCCTGTGGTTGAGTAAAATAGCAAGCAGCTCTGAATAAAACCTTTTCCTTCAGCACTACTGTGTGAACAATAGACATTTTGTAGGATGTTTGTATCTATCCTTCTTCCTCTCTCGTCCTCTCCCCTTTGCTCTTGAAAACCACCAAAGCTTGTAACTATCTAGTGCTTAGGTCTTGTTTGCCTTGCTCTTCTCATGGCCAAGAAATGCAATGGCACCCACAAATCAGGCCCAGGCCTGCTTCTCAGGAGTCTAGGCTCCTCCTGCTAGAGGAAGTTGCAAGTTGGTTGTGCTCCCAGATGGGCTAGTAATAAGGCGTGGGCGCCACAGTGCCTCTGATATTCAGTGTTGCTTTTCCTCAAAAAGCAGCATCGTCAGACCCATGAACATTCCATGTCTCACACCTCACATTCTCTCTGAATTCTTCCCCCAATATGATCTAGATTCTTTTGCCAACTTCCACACAAAGGAGATCAGATCCTCTTCTCCATGTTTCAAACCAATTTTGAAGCCTGCTGGCACCAAACAAAGGTCCTAGAACTTGCAAGTGACCCTGACTGCCTTCTACAGTGTATCTACAGTATATTTGGTTTCATCCACCGGATTTTTCTGTCTTCTCCTCCATTTCTCATACCTGTGTGAGCTTGTACTACTTTTGGATGTTGGGTCTATGACCTGGTTGTCCTCAATTAGTTCCCTGGCTCGGATACAGCTCTTTGAGTCCTAGCTCACATATTTGTCACCCAGCCATGTGCTTCCTTCCAGTCTTGATGCCTCAGAGCTGAGCCTGCTCATGTTAGGCCCCAGGCAGTTTCCCCAATATTATAAAGGGTAAAAAACAAAGGAAAGCTAACAAAGAGAAAGGAAGAGCATGTCCACTCAGAGACCCCATCCAAAGGTCACCAACATCAAAGACGAAAGGTAGATAAATCCACAAAGATAGGGAGAAACCAGCACAAAAAGGGTGAAAATTCCAAAAACCAGAACGTCTCTTCTCCTCCAAAGGATCAAAACTCCTCGCCAGCAAGGAAACAAAACTGCATGGAGAATAAGTTTGACAAATTGACCGAAGTATGCTTCAGAAGGTGGGTAATAACAAACTCCTCAGAGCTAAAGGAGCGTGTTCTAACCCAATGCAAGGAAGCAAAGAACCTTGAAAAAAGGTTAGACGAATTGCTAACTAGAATAACCAGTTTAGAGAAGAACATAAATGACCTGAAGGAGCAGAAAAACACAGCATGAGAACTTCGTGAAGCATACACAAATATCAAATAGCCGAATTTATCAAGCGAAAGAAAGGATATCAGAGATTGAAGATCGATTTAATGAAATAAAGAAGACAAGATTAGAGAAAAAAGAATAAGAAGGAATGAACAAAGCCTCCAAGAAATATGGGACTATGTGAAAAGACCAAATCTACATTTGATTGATGTGCTTGAAAGTGACAGGGAGAATAGAACCAAGTTGGAAAACACTCTTCAGGATATTATCCAGGAGAACTTCCTCAACCTAGCAAGGCAGGCCAACATTCAAATTCAGGGAATACAGAGAACACCACGAAGATACTCCTTGAGAAGAGCAACCCCAAGACACATAATGGTCAGATTTACCATGGTGGAAATGAAGGAAAAAATGTTAAGGGCAGCCAGAGAGAAAGGTCAGGTTACCCACAAAGGGAAGCCCATCAGATTAACAGTGGATCTCTCTGCAGGAACCCTACAAGCCAGAAGAGAGTGGGGGCCAATATTCAACATTCTCAAAGAAAAGAATGTTCAAGCTAGAATTTCATATCCAGCCAAACTAAGCTTCATAAGCAAAGGAGAAATAAAATCCTTTACAGACAAGCAAAAGCTGAGAGATTTTTGTCACCACCAGGCCTGCCTTAAAAGAGCTCCTGAAGGAAGCACTACACATAGAAAGGAGCATCCAGTACCAGCCACTGCAAAAACAAACCAAATTGTAAAGACCATCGACACTATGAAGGAACTGCATCAACTAATGGGCAAAATAACCAGCTAGCATCATAATGACAGGCTCAAATTCGCACATAACAATATTAACCTTAAATGTAACAGGGCTAAATGACCCAATTAAAAGACACACAATGGCACATTGCATAGAGTCAAGACCCATCAATGTGCTGTATTCAGGAGACCCATCTCATATGCAAAGACACACATAGGCTCAAAATAAAGGGATGCAGGAATATTTACCAAGCAAATGGAAAGCCAAAAAAAAAAAAAAAAAAAAAAAAAAAAAAAAAAAAAAAAAGCAGGAGTTGCAATCCTAATGTCTGATCAAACAGACTTTAAACCAACAAAGATCAAAAGAGACAAAAAGGGCATTACATAAGGGTAAAGGGATCAATGCAACAAGAAGAGCTAACTATACTAAATATATACGCACCCAGGACAGGAGCACCCAGATTCATAAAGAAAGTTCTTAGAGACTTACAAAGAGACTTAAACTCCCACACAATATTAGTGGGAGAATTTAACACCCCACTGTCAATATTAGACAGATCAACAAGACAGAAAGTTAACAAGGATATTCAGGACTTGAACTCAGCTCTGGACCAAGCAGACCTAATAGACATCTACACAACTCTCCACCCCAAATCAACAGAATATACATTCTTCTCAGCACTACATCACACTTATTCTAAAATTGACCACATAATTGGAAGTAAAACACCCTTAGCAAATGCAAAAGAACAGAAATAATAACAAACAGTCTCTCAGACCACAGTGCAATCAAATTAGTACGCAGGATTAAGAAACTCACTCAAAACTGAACAATTACATGAAAACTGAACAATGTGCTCCTGAATGACTACTGGATAAATAACAAAATGAGGGCAGAAATAAAGATGTTCTTTGAAACCAAAGAGAACAAAGACACGATGTACCAGAATTTCTGGGACACATTTAAAGCAGCGTGTAGAGGGAAATTTATAGCACTAGAAGCCCACAAGAAAAAGCAGGAAAGATCCAAAATCAACACCCTAACATCACAATTAAAAGAACTAGAGAAACAAGAACAAATAAATTCAAAAGCCAGCAGAAGGCAAGAAATAACTAAGATCAGAGCGGAACTGAAGGAGATAGAAACACGAAAAACCCTTCAAAAAATCAATGAATCCAGGAGCTGTTTTTTCGAAAAGATCAACAAAATAGATAGACCGCTAGCCAGATTAATAAAGAAGAAGACAGAGAAGAATCAAATAGATGCAATAAAAAATGATACAGGGGATATCACAACTGATCCCAAAGAAATACAAACTACCATCAGAGAACAGTATAAACACTCCTACACAAATAAACTAGAAAATCTAGAATAAATGGATAAATTCCTGGGCATATACACCCGTCCAAATCTAAACCAGGAAAAGTCGAATCTCTGCATAGAACAATAACAAGTTCTGAAATTGATGAATAGTTAATAGCCTACCAACCAAAGAAAGTCCAGGACCAGAAAAATTGACAGCTGAATTCTACCAGAGGTACAAACAGTAGCTGGTACCATTCCTTCTGAAACTATTCCAAGCAATAGAAAAAGACAGAATCCTCCCTAACTCATTTTATGAGGCCAGCATCATCCTGACACCAAAACCCGGCAGAGACATAACAAAAAAAATTTCAGGCCAATATCCCTGATAAATATTAATGTGCAAGTCCTCAATAAAATACTGGCAAACCAAATCCAGCAGCACATCAAAAAGTTTATCCACTACGATCAAGTCGGCTTCATACCTGGGAGGCAAGGCTGGTTCAACATACACAAATCAATATACATAATCCATCACATAAACAGAACCAATGACAAAAACCACATGATTATCTCAATAGATGTAGAGAAGGCCTTCGACAAAATTCAACACCCCTTCATGCTAAAAACTCTCAATAAACTAGATATCGATGGAACATATTTCAAAATAATAAGAGCTATTTATGATAAACCCACAGCCAATATCATACCGAATGGGCAAAAACTGGAAGCATTCCCTTTGAAAACCGGCATAAGACAAGGATGCCCTCTCTCACCACTCCTATTCAACATAATACTGGAAGTTCTGGCCAGGGCAATCAGGCAGGAGAAAGAAATAAAGGATACTCAAATAGGTAAAGAAGAAGTCAAATTATCTCTGTTTGCGGATGACATGATCGTATATTTAGAAAACTCCATCATCTCAGCCCAAAATCTCCTTAAGCAGATAAACAACTTCAGCAAAATCTCAGGATACAAAATCAATGTGCAAAAATCACAAGCGTTCCTGTACACCAATAACAAACAGAGAGCCAAATCATGATTGAACTCTCATTCACAATTGCTACTAAGATAATAAAATACCTAGGAATACGACTTACAAGGGATACGAAGGACCTCTTCAAGAACTACAAACCACTGATCAAGGAAATAAGAGAGGATGAAAACAAATGGAAAAAGTTTGCATGCTCATGGATAGGAAGAACCAATATCGTGAAAATGCCTATACTGCCCGAAGTGGTTTATAGAGTTAATGCTATCCCCATCAAGCTACCATTGACTTTCTTCATAGAATAGGAGAAAACTGCTTTAAACTTCATATGGAACCAAAAAAGAGCCCGCATAGCCAAGAGAATTCTAAGCAAAAAGAACAAAGCTGGAGACATTACCCTACCTGACTTCAAACTATACTACAAGGCTGTAGTAACCAGAACAGCATAGTACTGGTACCAAAAGAGATATATAGACCAATGGAACAGAACAGAGCCCTCAGAAATAAAACAACACATCTACAGCCATCTGATCTTTGACAAACTTGACACAAAGAAGCAATGGGAAAAGGATTCCCTATTTAATAAGTGGTGGTGGGAAAACTGGCTAGCTATATGCAGAAAACTGAAACTGGACCCCTTTCTTACACCTTATACAAAAATTAACTCAAAAATGGACTAAATACTTAAACATAAGACCTAAAACCATAAAAATTCTAGAAGAAAAGCTAGGCAATACCATTCAGGACATAGGCATGGGCAAAGAATTTATGTCCAAAACACCAAAAGCCATGGCAACAAAAGCCAAAATTGACAAATGGTATCTAATTAAACTAAAGACCTTCTGCACAGCAAAAGAAACTATCATCAGAGGGAACAGGCAACCTACAGAATGGGAGAAAATTTTTGTAATCTATCCATCTGACAAAAGGCTAATATCCAGAATCTACAAAGAACTTAAACAAATTTACAAGAAAAAAACAACCCCATCAAAAATGGGCAAAGGATATGAACAGACACTTCTCAAAAGGAGACATTTATGCAGCCAAGAAACATATGAAAAAATGCTCATCACTGGTCATTAGAGAAATGCAAATCAAAACCGCAATGAGATACCATCTCACGCCAGTCAGAATGGCAATCATTAAAAAGTCAGGAAACAACAGATGCTGGAGAGGATGTGGAGAAATAGGAACACTTACACTGTTGGTGGGAGTATAAATTAGTTCAACCACTGTGGAAAACAGTGTGACAATTCCTCAAGGATCTAGAACCAGAAATACCATTTGATCCAGCAATCCCATTATTGGGTATATACCCCAAGGATTATAAATCATTCAACTATAAAGACACAAGCACACATATGTTTACTGTGGCACTATTCACAATAGCAAAGACTTGGAACCAACCCAAATGTCCATCAATGATAGACTAGATAAAGAAAATGTGGCCATAAAAAAGGATGAGTTCATGTCCTTTGCAGGGACATGGATGAAGCTGGAAACCATCATTCTCAGCAAACTAACACAGGAACAGAAAACCAAACACCGCATGTTCTCACTCATACGTGGGAGTTGAACAATGAGAACACATGGACACAGGGAGTGAACATCACACATCGCGGCCTGTCGGGTGGTGGAGGGCTAGGAGAGGGATAGCATTAGGAGAAATACCTAATGTAAGTGACGGGTTGATGGGTGCAGCAAACCACCATGTCACGTGTATACCTATGTAACAAAACTGCACGTTCTGCCCATGTATCCCAGAACTTAAAGTATAATAATAATAATAATAATAATAATAATAATAAAAGCAGACGTCCACCTAAAATGTACAACAAATATGGTGGCATTTTATCTACCAGACTCAGGTTATGGAAAAACAGAATTTAACGTTTTACCAGAACACAGAGATTCAAGACCTGTGTGACAGCATTGCAGGACACATATCCACTTTTAAAGAAACAAAAGGCATTCAATTAAAAAACTTCTTTACTTACCTTTTTGAAACAAAATTGAGAACACCTGAATTTGTGATGATCAAATAAGCAATAGAAACCCTACAACTTTCTGAGAACCTACAGTATACATCAGTTGCTTTTCCAAGGTTAGTGCAGTTAATTCTTACAGCATCAAAACAAGTTATGTATTTTTGCCACTTTACAGGTGAGAAAGTGTGGTCAGGAGCTTCCCCAATGTACTCAGCTAGTGAGGGGCAGAGGAGATTCAAGTCGTTCAAATCTTGGTTCAAATATTACCTTCCTAATGAGGCCCACTCCTGCAAGCCGGCTCACCCCTACACAGCTTTGCAGTCATGGCACTTATTATATTCTAACATTTTGTATACTTCATGTATTGATTATATTTTTTGTATAATAACTGGCGCTTCCTAAGAAAATGTAAATTATTTGAGCACAGCTATCTTTCTTTGTTTTGTTCACTGATTCACCTCTAGTGTCTGGAACAGTGTTTGGAGCATGGCAGAATTCAGCACATATGCAAGGAACCTACTAGTGAAATATTTAAATGTCTTCACTGTCTATGCTCTTAACTATTGTTCTGTAATGCCTGTATTCTGAGTACAGAAATAAAAATCTTATTTCATTTCATGCTGAGCCACTCTCTTTGGCAAAGATTAAGGAAGGGTGAGCAAGAGGTCTTCTACCATTCTGGTTTTACTGATGGCAAAAATCAAAGTTACAAGGATTCAAGTATTCCTTACACCTTGAGGCATAAAGACATATAAGCAACGAAAATTTTAAAAACAATAAAACCCTAAAATCAATTTGCTTATTAAGGCATCTTTCTTTAAATATTGATTTGCTAGTCTTTGGCTAAAAGGCCCTCATTCAAGCTATTTTAAGATTAAGAAGCAACATTTATTTTATAACCCACAGTGAAAATGGATTATCTTCCCACTCCACCGTCTTTAAAGATAAAACTGTCATTTCTACAAGCAGTGGAAGGCAGTGTGACTTAAGGACTTTGGCAATCTTATCAACTCTGAGGAACTCCACTAGAATTGAGGTTTCTCTCTCCCCACAAGGTACTTTAAAGATAAGGTTTGGGCTCACCCAGTGACTTACTAGACTGGGTTTCTGTAATCTCTCAGAATCTAATCTTGAATTGGGCTGTCAATTGACTAGGTGGAAAATCTGGCTCAAAAAGAAAATGAGAGGTTTAGAAAGACAGCAAAAGCCCAGAAAGCTAGGGCAAAAAAGAGAGAATACCTTAATAACCCAGGGGGATGACATCCACTCAGGAAATCTGCCAGAAACTAGGCCTACAGTTCTAACTCAGCTCCTTGTATCTAGAAAGGGATTAATTGTATAACCTGTTTGAAATAAATCACCAGATGACTTTTTATTAAATTCCCTCCTGCTGGAATGCAGGAGCAACCTACTCCAGACCTGCTTTCACAATGCACGGACTTCATTCATCCATTTATTCATTCTTCCTTCACTCACTTATCTTTTAATTACTACAACACTCCCTGCTAAATAATAGAATGCTACCATCTAACTTTGTTTTCCTAGTGCAACTAACGTTGGATTATACAAACTACACACATTATCTCATTTAAGAACAACCTCCCGAAGAGACAGACACACGCATCCAGGGATTTGACCATGGTCTTTCACCTAATAGGCACAAGAAGTTGGAGTGAAACTGAACAACCTGACCACAGAGCATAGGATCAAAATCATTTCTCAGCACTATACCAGCGATGACTCTGAAAAGCCTGCCATCTAAAAACACAGATGAGCCTTAACCACAAACATCTGACCTGGAATCTGAAACAGTTCCCCAAAGGGGAAAAGACGATGCCCAACTATGCTCTCCAACATTGTCTGGGCAAAAGAACTATGTGGGAAGCTTTTGCACATTTTTAAGCCATTTTAAAAGAATACATTTATTATCCTTGTAAATGCAGAGATATCCAAACAACTGAAAAAAAATGGTTCATAATCCATTGCCAGATAACTAACCCTTGATGAGAAAAAAATAATAATAATTCCACATACAGTTTAGAGCATCTACTAAGTGTCAGGCACTGTCTAATGCTAACGATAGAGCAGTGAACAAAGGAGATCTAAACCCCTGACCCAGGGGCACATTCTATCTGCACAAAATGATGTAAAAGAAAAAAAGTGTAATTCCTGCTTCCAAGTCTAACAACTGCTCATGAGTTCTTATGTTTCTTTTTAGAAATGTACTTGCTTATAGTAGTGTAGCTATCAAAAAGCCTTCTTAAATTTTTTCTCCCCAGAGGATTCTTTTTATCCTTTTGGGCCTTACTTTCATTATTTGCTGTTATAGTGTAGATTTCTTCCCACATCACAAAATACAGATATGCTTATTTTGGTCATGGCTGCACCCTATTCCAGCATTTTGGATGCATCATAATTTTACTTAATGCTTTTCCTACTGAGGCTCACTTTTGTTGTTTCCAGTTTGTGCTTTAAAAACTAACATTGCATTAATATCTTTAATGATATGTCTAAGTAAACTTTTGGGAATATACAGTATATTCCTATTAAAAAGCTTATTAGGGCAAAGAGTACATGCTGTAAAATATATATGCATATTTAAATATGATCATTTTGTGCAGAGTTTGCAAAAATGTATTCCCTTCACATATTTGTACTTAAGAATGGCCCTTCCCACACCTAATACTTAAACATGTGTTCAATTCTTAAACATTTACCAATCCATTAAGTGAAGGACTAGATATAGTCTATTATTTTTATTTACATTTTGTTATTATGAAGTGCATTTTCATTGGCAATGCATATTTCTTTATATGTAAGGTGTTTGTTCATTTTCTTTTTTTAATAGACTATTTTTTAGAGCAGTTTTAGGCTCACAGCCATATTGAATGGGTAAGCACAGAGTTCTCATATACCCACTGCCTTCACACACTCATAGCCTGTCCCGTTACCAACATCCTCCACCACAGTGGTACATTTGTTTCAATTGATGAACCTACATTAACATGTCATAACTACCCAGAGTTTATGGAGTACGTTAACATTAAGGTTCACTCTTGGTGTTGTACATTATGTAGGTTTGGACAAATGTGTAATGTCATATCCCTCATTACAGTAACATACAGAATAGTTTCATTGTGCTAAAAATCCTCTGTGTTCTACCTATTAATCCCTTGTCCTATAACCCCTGGCAATCCCACTAATACTGTATTTTGAATATGAATTTGATAGAAAAAAAGCCACACATAAATGAACCCACACAGTTCAAACTCATGTCATTCAAGGGTCAAATGTAGTTGGAATAGTACAGTATGCAGCCTTTTCAGACTGGATTCTTTCACTTGCTAATATGCATTTAATGTCCCACCATGCCTTTTCATCACTTGGTAGTTCATTTATTTTTAGTGCTTAATAATATAGCATCATGTAGATATACCACAGTAAATCCATTTATCTACTGAAGAGCATCTTAGTTGCTTCCAAGTTTTGGCACTTATGAATAAAGCTTCTATTCAGGGTTTTTTTCTTTTTTCGGGGTTTTTTTTTTTTTTTTTTTTTTTTTTTTTTTTTTTTTTTGAGAACGGAGTTTTGCTCTTTGTTGCCCAGGCTTGAGTGCAGTGGCGCGAGCTCACTGCAACCTCCGCCTCCCAGGTTCAAGTGATTCTCCTGCCTCAGCCTCCCGAGTAGCTGGGATTACAGGTGCCTGCCACCACACCCGGCTAATTTTTTTGTATTTTTAGTAGACACGGGGTTTCACCATGTTGGCCAGTCTGGTCTGGAACTCCTGACCTCAGGTGATCTGCCTGCCTTGGCCTCTCAAAGTGCTGGGATTACAGGCGTGAGCCACCGTGCCTGGCCATGTTCAGGTTTTGGTGTAGACTCAAGTTCTCAGTTTCTTCAGGGTAAATACCAAGAAAGATGATTCCTGGATCATATGGTAAAAAGAAGTTTAGTTTTGTAAGAAACTGCCAAACTGTCTTCTAACGTGCCTGTAGCATTTTGTATTCTCAGCAGCAATGAATGAGAGTTCCTGTTGCTCCAAACTCAAGCCAGCATTTTGTGTTGTCAGTGTTCTGGATTTTGACTATTATGATAGCTGTGTAGTAATATCTCATTGTTGTTTTAATTTGCATATCTCTAATGATACATGATGTGGAACACCTTTTCATATGCCTATTTTCTATCTGTATATCTTCTTTGGTAAAGTATCTGCTAAAGTCTTTGGCCCACTTTTTAATCAGGTTGTTTGTTTTCTTATTCTTGACCTTGAAGTGTTCTCTGTATATTTTGGATGACAGTCCTTTATCAGAAATATTTTTTTGCAAACATTTTCTCCCTGTCTGTGGCTTGACTCTTATGCTCTTTGTAGTGTCTTTCACAGCAGAATGTTTAAAATTTTGATGAAGTCCCGCTTATCAATTCCGTCTTTCGTGGATCATGGCTTGGCATTGCATCTAAAAGGTCATCACCAAATCCAAGGTCCTCTAGATTTTCTTCTATGTTATTTTCCAGGAGTTTTATAGTTTTGCATTTTACATTTATGTGTGTGATCCATTTTGAATTACTTTTTGTGAAGAGTATAAGGTCTTTGTCTAAATTCATTTTTTTTTCAAGTGGATGTCCGTTGGTTTCAGCACCATTTTTTGAAAAGACTTTTTCCATTATATTTTCTTTGCTCTTTTGTCAAAGACCAGTTGCTTATCTTTACATCAGTCTATTTCTGAACTTTCTCTTCTGTTCTATTGACCTATTGTTTATTCTTTCACCAATACCACAATATCTTGATTATTGTAGCTTTATAGTAAGCTCTGAAGTAGGGTAGTGTCAGTCCTTCAACTTTGTCCTCCTTCAATATTATGTTGGCTCTCTAGGTCTTTTGCCTCTCCACAGAAACTTTAGAATAAGCTTGTCAATGTTTGTTCATATTCTTCATCAATTTTTCTTAGTTGTTTATCTTTCTTTATTGATTCTTATAAGCTCTTTGTTAATGAATGAAATTAGCCATGTGTCTGACATTGGTGTTGTAAATACTGTTTTCTAACTTTGTCTCTTTTTTAAACTTAATTTATGAATTATTTTTCCAAGCACAAGTTATTAATTTTATGTAGTTAAATTTGTCATTTTTCTCTTTTGTGATTCTGGGTTTGTGTCCTGATTACAAAGACTTTCCACTGCAAGTGTATAAATTTATTCACCCTTGCTTTCTTCTATGTATTTATAGCTTAAATTTTTATGTTTGAATCTTTGTTCAATCTGCAATTTATTTCAGTGTAAGAAGTGAAATAGGAATCCACTTTACTTATTTGTCTAAATGTGTATCCAGTTGTCCCCTATTTATTTAAGAGTTTCTGTTTTACCAGTGAATTGAAATATCAGTTTTATCATAGCCTAAATCCCCATATATAAAAGTATTGAGATTTACTTTTTAATGTCCTAATATGGTTTTCATATTTGTCTATTATTCAAGACCAAATTATTTAATTATTATGTTTTTTTGGTATATTTTAGAATATGCTTCCCCGTCAGAACACTCTTTTTTCATAATTTCAGAGAATATTCACTTATGTTTCTTCTTTCAGATAAATTATAGTATCACTCTGCCTAGTTCAAGATCAAATACTATTAGTATTTTGAATGCAATTGCATTATGCTTATACATTAACTTATAGAGAGCCAACAATCTTGTGATATTAGCGAAGAGTTTGTGAAAATACTGATTCCTGGGCTCTATCCATGAAGATTCTGATTGCGTAGATCCAGACTAGGCAGTAGGAAACCCAGAACACTCAGGGTTTTTTTTTTCAGATATGTTGGAGAAACACGGGAATTCAGAGAAAAGAATAATTACTTTTTGTAAAGATTTTTTTTGTTTTTCTTTTTTAAAAAACTTTTATTTTAGATGGTCATCCTAAAGAAGGTGCCATTTGCAATGAACCTTATTGATGAATTTGTGAGATTTATATGCTCTTATATAAGATATTTCAAAGACAGAAGAGACTAACAGTGAATAAAAATGAGCGTTTACATTTTTGGAAATACAGTGGGGAAAAAAAAAACTATGCATCAAGTAAGATGGACAACATGAGGTAAAGACACAGAAGGTTAAGAAATGAGGAGTGATTCTGCAGGGCTGGACCTCAGGATGAGGTAAGGAGAGTTTCGTAAAAATAAAACTTCAAGGTAAATTTGAGCCAAAACCTGGGCTGCACTGATCACCTAGATAAGAAATTTGGACCCCACGTGTCAGGAAATAAGAACCTTTGGAGGCATTTTCATATGTGTCTCTGTGTTGTGGGATTAGCTTGTCTGTAGCTATACCATGGGACAGCCAAGTTTTGTTTGAGGTGGAAGCATAAGAGAATCAAGTCAGGAAACTCATTAGGGATGATTATTGCATTTACTAGAGATAAATGATGCACACTGCTGACAGTGAGGAATGGAATGAGGGAGACTTGATCATGCCTTTGGGACTCGTGTGGGCTGCAGTGATTTATTGCTCCAACAAGTTCCACCCTTTTATCCCCACAGCTATGTAGGATCAGAAAATTTTAGGGCCGGGAGGGATCTTTGAATTCATTTAGACTCTGCCGAGTGCAGAGATCTACCCACATTCAATCCTAATGCAAATAATGGCAGGCTGGAGGTTTGAATTCAGTAAGCAAAGAGTCACCTTCTTGTTCCTCCACACTCTATATGACATTGGAAAAGTAACTTAATGTCAGTTTTTTAAATCTGTAAAATGAAAAGGATAATACTCATCTCCTAGAAGTGTGGTGAAGAAATAACAAGACGATGAACCAATGACCATCCCTTATATCCCTAGGAGAACAAACAATACTAGGAAGTAGTCAACAGATCTGAATTCTAGGCGGCCCTATTTGTGCCACTCACTACTGGTTGCTTATTCGGGCTAGGCAATTAAATTTGTTAATCTTCATTTTTCTTATCTTAAACATAAGGTGAAGTATATAAGGTGACATCCTTACATATAAAGATGTCAGATGTGATTCCAAGGTGCCATGTATATATAAAATTCTTCTATTGGATATTACAAAATGCCTACACAGTCACCAGGATGGGGGAGAATGTTAAATGGCTCAATGAACAGAGGGGATGTAAATTAGGACGCTAGACTGATTTCTACACAGCATTCCTAATTAGCATATCATTAAGTGCAGTGATTGACCGCTTTCCTTCACTTAATTTTTGTTGCTTCGACATCTCTGGGAACTGCAAGGCATAGTACAAAGAGACAGCAGGTAATTGGAGAATATCTCTCCAACACAAGAGAAAAGCTGATTGGTTGCCTTGTCCTCCTCACAGTCTTTCTTGTAGGATTGGGCTTTGAGTATTGTTCATACTTTAGCAGGGATTGCTATGATTGTCCTGAAGACTCTAACAGCAAGGGCTGGGAAAATGAGCACCTCTACTTTACATAAATGTCCCTACTACCAAGATTCCACAGAAGTGGCCCAAGAATTGTGTGCTGGACAGAAAATAACAAAGGGTAGTGCCAGTATTTTGGCACTCAAGTTGTCTACTCAGAAAGTCTTGGACTGAATCCTTTGCATGACATTTTCAATCTATTTCCCTCTTCCTTGGTGGGAAACTTAACCTTCTTAAGCTTCCTGAAATTGCCTTTTTTGTAAAATAGAGATAATGACATCTAGTCATTAAAACAACAGCCTTGCTTTAAGGAGTAAATGAGTGCATGTTTGTAAACAGCTCAAGAGCTCAATAGATGGTGACATCATCGCTGCTTGGAAATTTTGTTTCCTTGATAAAGGTGACATCTTCCTTTTTTTACCATAAAGACATGCTATAGATACTCCAGTTTATTTCTAAGCCTATTGTGTGCTAAATAAAAATTATTTTTTTAAAAAGTATGGAATTAGAAATATAAGAAAGAATCACTGAAATGTGGAATAATATAAATGTGGTTTTGCCTCTTAATGCCCACCGACTGTTTAAAGAAAATTTCTAACCGTATTTAAAACTACCTTTGGTTTTATAACTACCTTCAGAGATCTTTCAAGGATCAACCTTCTGGTTTTGAAGCAGAAGGGTAAAATTTCACTTACAAAGTGCGTTCTCCTTGTTGCATTTATCCCCATTTGTAAAGCACAGGACGTCTTTCAACTTTATGGCACCACTGCCTTTTTGAATAACCAGACTAACATCCATATGGAATTAGCAGAATAGAAGTGAAATAGAGAAGTAGACTGGGGAGGGGAGAGCAAGGACAAAAAAGCAGAAGCTGTTTCATGCTGTTCTATCCTACAAATCCATGCTCTAAGAGGTCTTCAAGGCAGTTTGTCAGTTTAAAAGCAATTATTCTACTTTTTAATGATAGAAATATATGTAGAAATTCATCAATAAAAAATTTCCATAGGGCATTTTGGCAATAAGCGTAAGGATTAAATATGCCTTTTCCCAGCAATCCCATTTCTTTTTTTCTTTTTTTGAGGCGGAGTCTCGCTCCGTCGCCCAGGCTGGAGTACAGTGGCACAATCTCGGCTCACTGCAACCTCTGCCTCCTGGGTTCAAGTGAATCTTCTGCCTCAGCCTCCCGAGTAACTGGGATAACAGGCGCTTGCCACCACGCCTGGATAATTTTTGTATTTTTAGTAGGAACGGAGTTTCACCATGTTGGCCAGGCTGGTCTTGAACTCCTGACCTCAAGTGATCCGCCTGCCTTGGCCTCCTAAAGTGCTGGGACAGCAATCCTACTTCTATAGATAGATACATGTGTCCATGTAACAAAGAATTATTATGCACTATGATAGTCATTGTTTTTACTAGTAAAATAATAGAAATAACTTATTTTTTGAAGGCCAGCAAAATAAATCATTAGATACCATGTAGCCATAAAATAAAAAGAATGAGAATCAGTATACGATACATAAAACAATATGCAAAACAAGGTACACAGGTTACTTCCATTATATGTATAAACAAGAGGGGGATATATATACACACACACACACACACACACATACACATAAGATAGATAGATACGTATGTATACGAAATATATACACACACTCCCTTCCATAGAATTTAGTCTCTCAAATACAACAAAATGCACCTATGGTGGTTGGTGGGGGGGATTTAGTTTTCACTATTTATACTTTTATAATTCTCAATTTAAAAACTGTACTGTATTACTTTTTCAAAAAGTACAAAAATATTCTATTGAACATATTCAAAGAGTACATGTTCTCTCTCAGTTCCTGGGTCTAAAAGGGTCTAAAAGGTGTTTGGATTACTATCTGATAGGAAGGATCACTGCACATGTGGCACATTGCCTGATGTGCCCAGGAAGAAGAGAGCAAGAAAGAAGACTGTTGCTCCATTTGGAAGAGTATGGTTCTTCTATCAGGCACAAACTCACACAGGTAAAGGCCATAGCACATCTCCTAGCTCACAGCACTCACGTAAAGATAGACGGCCATCACTGTGATTAGCGTTATGTGTAAGTCACAATTTTGGAGAATTACAGGGGTTGGTGCTGTATGTTCCATGAACAGGATTTTATATCTCCAGCCCTGTGCAGACTTCCTGAAAGGGACCTGGAGTCTTTCCCTGATCTCAGCCTCAGGCCCCACCTGCCAGGGGGCTGCTTGGCTTGTACACTGAGAGGAGTTTTGTTTGTGCATTGGTTCTCTTGTGAGTTTGTTGCCTTCTTCAAACAACTGCTGCTCTATTGGAATGGTGAGAATACGCTCCTAGGTTTGAGTTGTCAGAGACTGGAATTTATTCAAGGTCACATAGAAAGGTGTGGTGAGGAGGTCTGTGTTATGCAGCCAGACATCTTGGGTATGATCTGACTTGGCCACTGATTTTAGTCTCATTTTAATCTCACTGTACCTTGGTCTTCCCATTTAAAAACAGGAATACTGATAATTCTTCCATAACAGGGCTGTTGTGAAGACTGTTTGGGTTGCCATACTTACAAAAGTGGCTGTCAGGGACTAAGCACTTACTAAATCTTAGCTATTATTAGTAAGTTACACCTCTGCCTTGTGAAGTAGGGTGAGTTGCCATTATTATCTCAACTGATTCGGAAGCTGAGGCTCAGGACAATTCACCCAAATTCACATCCCTATCTCAGGACCTGGGTTTTAATGTTTGAGTATTAATAAGAGCCAAATATGAACATTTACTAATCACTTGGCCTCTATTTTTCTGTCCATGAAATGGAGACTTTTGGCCCCTTATGTTTAATCCCCTTTCAGAAGGCTTTAACTACAGTAAGCAGTGTTGAAAATAGAGACAAAAATCTCCCAATTTTACCTCTAAAATGGAAATAAACAAAAGTGTGATTATGTTGGGTCCTTTCTGCAATTGCATTTTATACTTAAAGAAAGCAAGAGTAGCTTCTGCTTTGTTGTTCATTTGTTTTCTTGTTTAAAATACTAGTCAGCAGCAGTTTGGGCTGAGTAACCTCTATTGTGGAATAATCGACTGCTTGTAGCTTCCCCACTTACCAGTGATAATAGAAAAACAAAAGTGCACTTTGCTTCCCAACTAATCATCACATATCTAGCCGACTAAATGCTCTCAGAAGCGTATGGCATTTGACAGGAGGTGAGGGAATCGGCTTTCCTGGGTAGTGACTGGCAAAGCCAGCCTCATTCTCTCAACACCATCCAACTGAGCAAGGGGAAGTAGAGGTCTAAGTGGTAGACTCTAGTCACTACCGAAAAGTCACTTGCATCAGAGACAGATTCCCACAGCTTGCTATCACACTCCATAAACATTTACGAATCCGATGTTCTTGTGCCAGGCTCTGTGCTAGGAAGTGCATGAGTTAAACATTTTTCTCTCTTTCTCTCCACGGACATTTTTAATGGAAGCTGCGGTGGAGGAGCTGCCTTGACTGTGTGTGTTGTTTTAAGGATATCGATTGTTAACACAATGACGGGTCAGGAGATGGAAGGCACAGTCATTAGCTGCAGCCGCCCTCATAAGTTGTTACAGAGCTCAGAGAAACACTAATGGATAAACAAGGTCGACAGGAACATGAGGGGCCAGATCAGAATGTCCCAAGGTGGTAAAGTCTTAGCCAGGCATTTCTTTCCCTAAGCAGCGAACAAAAAAACATTAGTATTGATGTTCGGGGTAGGCAAAGTGTACAATGAAGAATGACTTCATTCCAGCTTGCCCATCATAACAAGGGCAGGAGATGATTTAAAAGCTGCCCTCCTTGTACAGAGATGATGCAATAAAGATGATCCATGGTCACCTGCAATTGATCTTTGGGGTATTTCTTCTTCTTTTCAGTAATGGAAGGGAGTACCGAGTCAGGTCTATAAGCAGCAATAACCACTGTGAACATTTACTGAAAGTGAACCTGGTGACAGTGTTTCCAGTGCTTTCCATATGCCATCTAAGTTAATCCTTACAAACACTCTATAGAGTATCATTTATTATTCCTGCTTCACAGATTAAGAAACGGAGGCTCAAAGAGATCAAGTTGCTTGCCCAACTTCTCCCCAGTCTTGAGAGTTGAATCTAAGGTTCAAATTCAGTCTACAGAAACTAGAGTGACCAGTTCATCCCAGTACACATGAAACTTTCTGTTTTGACACGGGAAGTCCAACATCCTGAAAACCCTCTAAGTCCCAGGCAACATGGAATCATTTGTCACCGTAATTGGAGCTCAAACCATGGACCATGCGGTGTCTTGTAGAATAGAAATAAGTATACTAAGGTTGGAAACTTAGACCTGATTTCCCACATGTGCATAAAGTGGTAGCTCATCTAACTGGCCTCTACAGCATAACTACTCAAAGTGTGACCAGTGGGTGGACCAGGAACATTTAACGTCTGGGAGCTTGTTAGAAAGGCAGAATCTCAGGCCACATCTCAGACCCACTGAGTCAGGATCTATATTATAATATAATCTTCAGGTAATTTGTACAAACACTAAGTTTTGGGAAGCAAGATTTCAAAATCCTTTCCAGAACTATATTACTGTGATCCTGAATCAACTACTGTAATATGGACTTCTTTTGGGTACCAGCTCTATAAAGGATCCCAAGTAGAAAGGAAGGGTTCCCAGCCATTAGGGATGTTCACTGTGGAAACCAGGGATGGGCAGCACAGGCAATGTGTAATCAGGCCCACACGTCATGCCATACACTGATTTCCGTGAGAGGAGACAATGTGTCGTGGGGAAAGAACCCAGGCTTTGAACTCAGACTGACTTGGGCTGGAATCCTGACCCAGCCAACTGCTGCCTAGGTGACCTGGGGCAATGTGGAACTTCCCAGGGCCTCAGGATGCTTACTGTAAAATGGTTAAAATTTCCCATCTCAGTGGTTCTTAATTCTGGCTGTCCTTCATAATTAACTGAGGGGTATTAAATGAAAATGCAGATGCCTGACTCCACCTTCAGAGAATTTGGTTATACTGGACCGGGATAGCGCTTTGACATTAGTATCATTTCAAAGTTCCCCAGGTGATTCTTTTGTACAGCCAGGGTTTAGATCCACTGATGTTCCCCTTAAGGCTGGTGGTGAGGTGCCAATGGAATAACTCATGGCAGTGCCTGGCACAGCAGGCATTCATCCCATATTCAATTCTTCTTCTGTGAGCAGTGGCCACATCACCTGTTATCACCTATCGGCATCAGGGCTGTTCACAAAGGGAAGCTGAGAATTCTCAAAGGAAACCAAGAGGTCCATAAAGCTCATGCCTTAAGCTTCTCACTACAGTATTTGTACTTATTGATTTAAAAGTGAGAAAAAAACCAGATGGGTGCCATAAACGAAGTGATTCACCAGGTTAGTATTTAGGATCCTACACAACTTTTCTTTTAAAGGAAAAAAATTAATCAATCTGCCTTCCAATTTACCTTTTAACTGATACATTTTCCTTAGTATACAAATCCTAAGAATGCCCACAGACCTCTAAGCTATAGCCCACCATTCCTCAGGGCAGCTAATTAAAACACGTGATGGTAACGGTGACTTCCTTATTGTGTGCTGCAAGGGAAACACTTCCCAGCAGTTACCATGGTGGTACCTCAAAACAAGAGCGTCATAAGTTGTAAATTGTCACAGGACTTTACAAGCAGACCTTGGGAGAAATCCTAATAATTCTATACAGGAAGGGCAGAATATTTTGCCTTGTTTTTTTTTTTAAATAGTAGGTCCATTCAGCCAAAGAAATCTGTCTTTAAAAGTCCAGCAACACATGGAGGAATAGATAAAAATCAATACCGAATTCCTCTTCAATTCCTAAGCAATTATTAATAAACTCTCTCAGTTTTCAATATGTCCATCCCCATTAGAGTCTTGCAGGGGAAAGAGTATGGGGCATGGAATCTCAGGGTTCCTGCCCTGCTCGCTTTCTCTTCCTGCCTCTAAGTCTGAACTCTCCCATTGGTATAGAAAAATGACAAAGAATAGATTAGATGTGGCCTCTAAGGTATATTGAAACCACAATACAAGAGGCTATTTGATGAAGTAACGAAATGCTTCTTCCCTCAATGTCCTCAGAAATCTCTGCTGGAATGTTAAACTGCATAGCTGAACATTTATTTCCAAGTTGTTATTTTTCAAACTCCCCACTTCTTTTACTAATTCACTTGGCTTTTCACACCTTCATAACAAGGTCCATTTATACAGTGCTTTGGAGATTATAAAGTTTGTATTCAAATTTCATTACACTTCACTGTCAGACTTTTCAACTGATTGTATTAAGTACTGATGCAAAGAAAGATTCACTAATTTGTCCAAAGCCGTGCTACCAGAAAGTGACAAAGTACATACTTGAACCAGGAGGATTGGTGAAGAGCTGCCAAAAGCTCTTGAACCATACTTCCTTTCCCTCTTAAGTGTATCTTCCCCAACCAAACTCTTACTGATACTTGAGGTGGCTTTGCAGAAATACTCTCCCATTTAAATTGCTACTTATAGATCAGGGGCAAGATCTCTCTGCAGGTCTTTGGCCAATTTGTCCTGAGATCTATTCTTGCTCTTCCTCTAAGCTACAGACGTAGAGGCTAAAGCCTGCAGGATACATTTCCCAGGCCACCTCAGTCGGCCTCGGCTCAGTTCTACCAATGAGCGGCAGAAGGCAATGGATTGGAGGGCAAGAGAAAGGGAGAAACCAGGGTATTTTTCTGTCTCTCTCTGAGTGTAATGTGGGATCCCCTCTATGATTCCTGCTCCTGCCAGGAGGCCCTGGGCCCTGGCCTTCAGGAGTCTCTCTTGTGTTTCCATCTATAACTACCAGTTTCTTGCGATTGCTACTCTATGAATTGTCTCACCATTCCCCATGTGGCTTTTCAGCTCTTCTATCACCTATATACCAAATTATCTACATTAAATTATTTCTATGTAATTTACTAAGCATGGTTCCTAGTTTGACCCCAACAGGCAAAATCACTTTTCTCAATTTTCATACATTTGTATATGAGTTGGAGAAAAAGAAATAAAGAATTAAGCTTAACTGTTTACCATGTACTTTCCAGTGCTAGGCACTTTTATGTGTATAGCATATTTTAGTTCTCCAAATAGAACCGTGAGAAACATTATTATATTATTATTATTCTCCTTTTACAAAGAAACAAAACTTTACAAATGTGAGATGACTTTCCCAAGGACACAGCACTACTGAATGGAAGAGATACAACTGTAAAGTAGGCCATTTTTCCTACTTATCAGTCATGGAACAAAGACTAGACTGGGATTCCATCTTGAACAAATGGTAGAGATGGGGTCACTGTAAATATCAAAGAGATCGTAGCACAGCTAATTTGGACTTTTTTTATAAGCATTGAGTTAAATAGTGAGACAGCAAAAACATACAGTATACAATTAATATAAGCTTTACTATCTACACTAAATATAGACACTAGAGGAACTGAGGCAGTAGAGAAAGCCTGGATCCTTCCTGCCTGAGGCCAACTGTCTTAATCTGTTCTGGCTGCCATGACAAAAAACCACAGACTGGAGGGCTTAAACAACTGACATTTATTTCTCACGGTTCTGGAGGCTGGGCAGTCCAAGTTCAAGGCGTAGGCCTGGTTTGGTTTTGGTTAGGCTTTCTTCCTGGCTTGCAGCAGTTACGTTCTTGCTACAGCCTCAAATGGTGGAAAGAGGAAGCTCTCACATCTTCCTTTTCTTATAAGGACACTAATCCCATCCTGAGGGTTCCACCCAAATGGCTTCATCTAAACTTAATTACCTCCCACAGGCCCCACCTCCATACTATCATATTAGGAATTAGGGCTTCAATTTATACGTTTGGGAAACAGGGACACAAACATTCAGTCCATAACACCGATGCATGCCTTCTAAGCAGAATTCATATTTTCTGACTATTAATGATTTGATGTAAAAAGACAAGGCAGAATAAAATTATAAATTATGTTCAGATTTCTGTTATGAATTGTAATTTCACAAAGTCAAGTCAAAACACAAACGCATATTGGATCCCAATTATTTGACTCATTTCTCAAGCTATTGGCTGGAGAATGTTTTCAAGTATTACTGTTACAAATAATCTTCCATTCATAAAAATATCTCCCTACCCCCATTCTCCATTGTAAAGAGCACTGAAGTAAGTCTCAGAAGTATTGACATAGAGTCTACACCTTAACAGTCACTAGCTTTGTGACCTTGAGAAAGTTGTTTCAGTCATCTGTGGCTCAAATTCCTCATCTAAAAATAGGAATAATTATATTTTGTCTACTTCCCACAATGGGTCATTTTGAAGATAAAAAAAGCAAAATGTTGACACACTTTGAAAAATACAAATTGCTATACAAGTGTAAGGGATCATGTTTATTAAAGTACATTTACATTCCTTATTGCGTTTTTATCCTCAGAGCAATCTGCTACAACCACTTTCCCTCATCAGCAAAATCCATGAATATGAAAAAAGGTAAGTGTGAAGAGCAACTTTACTAAAGCCCTGCAAATTGTAGGCAAAATTGTATTCATTTTCTTCTGCCATCATAAATGACAACCTTCAAAACTGGAGACCTTCCTAAACATTTTCAGCTACTTGTGCATATAGGGTCTTTTATGCCCATCCCAGCCTGCTGGCAAGGGAATGCCAACATCTGGAGAAAATTCACTTAAGCAAAGTGAAAGCTGAAAACTGAAATTGTATCAGGTGAGTTGCTATTAACTATAATTTTGCTATCTTATATAATTTTAAGTATTTTTCAGACATTTTTGTACATTGGCCTTAATATTCTATAGAGTTAACACCGGCTTTACACTGCAGAGTCCTATGAAAGAAGCAACTAGAAACAGAAAAAAAGATTATGGAATTTATCACATTTAATTTAAAATTTAATTTCTATGGCCTTGTCCTTACTAGGACTTGGGTTAAAAAAAATAAAAAAAATAATAATAAAAAAAGCTAGTGTTTCAGCAGCAAAAGGGACTGTTTCTCTTGTCAATGCCCGAGTACTAGCTTTCATAGGGAATATCAGCCTTAGGGAATGCGTGGAGGAAGTGGATTCCCTTCCTCTCTGCTCTCCCACACCCATTCAGTCTTGCACATCCAACACATATTTCTAAGTGCCTGGCACTAACAAGAGTGCTGAGGACATAGATTAAACAACATTTATCCATTAAAAACTCTCAGCCTACCAACCCCATTCCTGCCCCCATAGCACCCATCTTCCTGTGGGGCAGACAGCATTTTCTGTGAGCATCAATCCTGATACTGCTGCGAATTTCCTTTCTGACCTTGGCCAGGTTACTTTTCTTTTTCCTCTCCACTTACAGAAATGTGATATTACATGTGGGCAAAAAAAGAAAAAACTGAAAGATTGATAAGAAAGAAAAGAGATTCACTACATCCCAGCCAATGCCCTAATACAGGTTCATATGCATTTGAGGTTTTGGAATCAAGAGGGTTTCATGAAAATACCTTCCGTTTCAAGGGCTGTGTAAGCCTGGAGTTCATATGCAATCAGGGCTGACTTCCAGCTGCTTCATAACGATTTTAACGCTGCGACAGAGCAAAGCATCTTCCTATTTTCAATCCTAGCAATTTGGTTCAAGCATGATCTCAACCACTTTAAGCTTTGATATTTCTAGCCACCTCTTATGCTGTATTTTCTCTTAATGCCACCAATCATGTGTGAAATTCTGTTGCAAAACTAATCTTTTTGGGAAATGATATGTAATGGCTTCTCTAAAGAGAGACAGACAGAAAGAGAGAGGGCAGGGACTATGACCTTTGTTGTTTTTTGACATGTTTTTCCTAGTGCAATACAAATGGAAACATCCCTTTCTCAAGGTCAAAGTAGAAATAGGCTTCTGCTTATACAAGCATCATGCTTTCTTAGGCAGGAAAAGCTTTGAAAATGATCCTTATGACTTGATTTTTAAAACCTCTAATGTATATAATGGTTGCTAAACTTGAAAGCCAGCTGTGCTTAAAAAGTACTTTAATGTCTATCTTATTAAGTCAATACTTAATGTATTACATTTCAAATGATGTGAAAAGATCCAGGAATACATAAATGCTATGACTGAAGTACAATATTAAGTCTATATATATAACAAGGAACTATTTGACATTCCAGTATTAAACACACACACACCAACCAACACATCTTGTCTTATCAACGGAGCGTTCAGTCAAAAGCAACTGTGACCGAATCTTCCGGAATGGAAGTCAGAAACCACTAATTTAAATTTGTCATTTGTTTTTTGGAACAACTATGTCATCCACGAAAGCGTAACTTTGCAAGTCATCATTAGCTCATGAATTTTGGAACTTATCCCTTAAATAAGCATACCTCATTTCCATATAATTACAACAACTGTGGAGGTCCTTTTAAAAAACTAGCTTAAAATTTAAGGATGTGATAAGGAATCCATGTCACTGGCATGTTGATCAAATTTGGAATTTGGCTTTTAAAATAGGAACTTCATATGAGATTAAAAAGAGAATAGTCTTGAGGAAGAAATCTTTATGGCTTTTAAAGTTATCTTAGATTTCAGGTTCTTATTCATGACCCTTTCTGATAGTATTCACCTGTTAACATTCTCCAGCCCTGTTTTGTAGTAATTTATTGCATGTAATTTAGATGTATTTGTAATAAGACATAATGGTCAGGACTTCACGCTTTAAAAGGGGGACTTTAGACATAGAAGTTTCTTCCTGAATTATTCTCACCCCTGTCAGCTTCGGGGAGATAGAAACAGTGGCTGAGTGTTTAGAAATAGTCGAGTGGACCTAATTCCTCATAACAGATCACTCAGTACAAACTAATTAGAAGGAGTTAAATGTTTCCACTGAAACCACTAAAAAGGAATGTTTTTCTCTGCTGCCTGCTGCTTTCTGATCGTTTCCTTCCTCATAACCTTGCCATTTAAATATTTTTCTAACACACTAGTTTGGAGGTGAACTTGATGGTCCAGCTACAACCAAAAGTGTAAGTGCTGACATGAGAATGTTCTAAACATCCCAGGGGAAAAAAGTCCTTCCTAAGACAATGTACAAATGCGTCTATTATAGGCAGGGGAATAGGGTTCTGTCCTAGAATTTTCCTACTAGATTTTCTTTTTTTTTTTTTTTTAGCTGTTGTATTAAAAGCTTCCTCAGTGAGGTTTTTGTTTTGTTTTGTTTTTATTATAGGCATGCCACCAAATGTTTTTCCTATTTTCCTTAGGCATTTTAATGAAGAGAGTTGATCCACAACTAACACCAAGGCGAACTTGAATGATTCATTCACACTTTCTAAATTTTGCCTGCCCTTTTCTCTAGGTTTAATTAATATGCCATTAATAGGAACATTTAGGGAGAGCTCTAATATTTGCCTCTTAATTCTGTTTAAAGTGTATCATTTCATTTTTTTTAGGAGTATTCTCATGGGGGCAAGCCCCAGATCCTTCTTGGCTATAAGCTTACCACAGTCTCTACCTGCTTGACTCAGAACTGAAAGCTTCCTGATATGCAGCCACACAGAATTTCTTCAGCACAATCAGCCTCCCATTTTCTCTCCTGATGGCAAAGGGTGAGACATGGCATCTCTCTGGCCAACCATGGGGAATCTGTGTGGTTGACATGACCACTGGCAACGACTCACCTATCCAGCAGTGGAGAAATGTGTCAGGCCAGATGGAAATGGGGAGACAATTCAAACATACGGTGCTTAGAGCTGGAGACAGTGCACAGTTACAACCTTCTGCCAGGCGCTGAGCAATTGCTGGGGTGCACTCAAGCAAATAACCTGCCCTTCATACCAGCACAGTCCTCTTAACCAAACTGTAACTGGGCAGCTCAGTCCATTGTACTGACAACCACCCACAGCCTCTCTTCCTTAATCTAGGGAGAAGTCTCCCAGCTGCCTTGCTTTTATTTCTGGATAAATTATTAATGGCTATTCATCTTTGGCACATGTAATTTTTAACTATCTAAAACATTGATGGGGGTGGGAGGGTAAATTTATAAGTATTTATTATTTTCCCTTGCTTTTACAGTAAATCCCACTCAGGTTGCTGACTGAGATTTTCCCTGCTTCCTTCTCCCATGTGAACCTTATATTTAACTCCAAATGGTGAATGCAAGATCCAAGATTGATAGAATAAGTAACAAAAGTGTCCACGGTGACTGAACAGCAAACTCTGAAATCACAGCACAGGAAGTACAAATGAACGATTATTGAAAACACTGCACTAAAATCTCAATAGGAGATAAGAGTGAGGCTTAAGTCATTAGAAAGCTCTATTATTCTGGCAAGTCTGAGACAGCACACTACAAACATGAGCTGTTCTTGAGATCTGAAAATATTACATCTTCCACCAACTTGCACACACACACAACTGACTCCAACTAAGCAAGGGCAGGGTCCAGTTGTCCAGTCCCAAGGGGAAGGAGGAATGAATTGAAGCAGATAGGCTGAGCCAGGCTATTCAGGTAGTGATTCTTCAGCTATATTTGAAGGGGTGGGGGTGGGGGGCAACACTGACAAATCAGATGATTTATAAAGGAAGTAAATATCCCGCTTTCATATCAATTCACCCGTACCATAGCATCACCATGCTCTTCATCACGCTCTGCTGGGGACACAAATAAAGGATTTGTGACATCTCTACCCCATTCTCACAAGTCACCAGAAAAGCCTAAGAATGCAGCATTGCTTTCCCTTTGTCCCTGTTCTCCCTGACTTGATAAACCATTTGCAGTTGAAAAATGAAGAAGAAAGTAATGGCCAACCAATTTGCAAAGTGAAAGCATTGCTTGGAAAAATTACCTGAAATCGCTACAATTTTGAACACGCACACACATTAAGATACATACACATGTACACATATATGTGTGTGCGTACATACATACATATATAAATACATAGTCTTCAGC
This sequence comes from Homo sapiens, assembly GCF_000001405.40. Taxonomy (NCBI): domain Eukaryota; kingdom Metazoa; phylum Chordata; class Mammalia; order Primates; family Hominidae; genus Homo; species Homo sapiens. The sequence continues at coordinate 21,748,840 of NC_000003.12, forward strand.
ATTTTCAAACATTAGGATGCTATTGAATTTTAACATGCCTGAAGTGTACTGCTCAATTCTTTTTGCCCTCGCTCTTGTACCACACATTTTTTTTTTAGAGACAGGTGGGCTCCCAAAGTTGTGGATATCTAACAGCTTGTACGAGAAGCTGCATAGCATAACCCGAAAGAAACAGCATTCCTGAATACATAGGATTTCCTCTGGGAGCAGAAAAACATTTCTTATACCAAAATTATGGTAAGACAATGTTCAAGACACTGAGGGCAACTTTAGCCTTGCCTTTCAAAGAGTAGAGTTTCATCTAAAGTAAGTAGGACATCACATTTCAATTCGTACTATTAAAAACTTGCATTACACAATGAAATTGATTACCCTATGAATCACTCTGCTTTACAAGAGGCTGAACTAGCATACAGTTAATAACACAAGCTAGCCCACTGAACATTTCTCCAATAGTCACACGATAATCCAGTCCAGCATGGATGGCCTTTGACCAGTACTTTTAGACTCTACTGCTATTCTAATTGGCCCTACTTCCTCACGACGATCACATAAGGAATTGTTTCAAGAGGGTGAAAATATAAACTAAAATTATAATCTGTTTCATCATCCTTCAGTATCATTACTGATGCTGAAATTGTATTTTGTCCAAAAGACCTATTATCTTTACAAGCTTTTCCATTTATGAAAATATATGCATGATAAACTCTGTTAGTGGCCAATAAACAAGCTTACCACCTCCATTACTACCCACTGGAAAGAGATGGTTTTTAACTACAGATTCTGCTTAAATTTGGCAATGCAATGAAATTGTTTCTTCCAAATCATTTTCAGCTATTTTAAGACTTCTCTTCTAATATGATACAAATTATAGGCAAATCAAAACTGTCAAGACAACTAAAGGCATTTAGCTTTTGGAACTTAGATTCCTTCCACACACTCTCAAGTGTCTCAAAGCCTAAAGGAAACAAAACAGAGCAAATAGTACATACAGAAATAAATTTCCAACAAACTAATAGTGCCCCAACCTAAGTTTATCTAAATACCTCTTTAATCTGAAAGAAGACGCTAGATTTAATATTTAAAGCAAACCAAGAAATCAGAGCATTTGCATCTTGGATACATTTCCTAGCCCCTCTCCAGTTGCTCTATCAAACCTTTTAATATCGCATAGATGCCCTTAAATGATGACGCCAGATAGGACTTACAGAAGGAAAGCATAACTTCAGAGAGGAGGAACAAATATTCAGTCCTTATCTTTGACTTCTTCTTATTTAGTGAAGGGGCTTGCCTCCTGTACTAGCAGTAAGTTGCGGCGTTAGAGTGCAAATGCACAGCTCCAAGCCCACTTCCAGTGCTCAACTGATAGCTCGGATCCAAGCCTCAACATGCTTTCTGGAAATGCAGGCAGCTCAACTGAAAACCTAACTGAGGTTTCTACCGTGGCACAAAACTGACCTGCACAAATATTTGACATCTCCGAGACCTCTAAAGGTTTCAAATAATATGCATTTTGTGCTAGGCTGCTCCTAGCTAGACAGAGCACTGAGATGATATAGAGAAGTGTTCTCAGCTGCTCAACCACACTGCTCACTAGACAATGTTTTCCTTTTCCGCCTCAGAACAAGAAAAACCAGCAAATACTGAATGAAATGCTCATATTGACTAAGCTTTCACAGCATCAATTGTATAGAAACTTTGTTTCACATTCCATTAAGTTAGCTCATGACTTCCCACGCTGCACTATTTCTCCTTCACCTAGCTAAAAGAGCCAACTTCATTCAGGCAAATCAAGGCAAAGTTTACCCCCCCGCCCCCTCCACATGTCCCTGTCTCTTTTCTTTTCCAACTTAAACTCATCCACGGCTAAATTAACAGCCCCAGTTGTGGCACAAAGGAAGCTTTGAAGGCTGCACCGGCTTGGTCCTCCAGTTGCCAACTGGAGGTAGGTTTAATGTAACATATTCTTGCTGCTTAAAGAATTTTTTAAGGGCTTGTCTGCACGGATGAAGAGCCGGACACCCCCAGAATTACATCATCAGAGTGAACACTCACCAAAATACATTATGTTTCTCATTAATCAGACAGCTGGAATCCCACCGCGGTGTCTTCAGCATCAGCTCTCACCCAAGGCTGGCACGTAGAGCAGAGCCCTTTCATGCTACATTCGGTGGAAATGTCCCCGGCGTGGAGAGCAGTGAGCGCCGAGAGCGTGCCTCCTCCGCGGGATGAGCGCCTTGCAGGCTGCCTTTCCAGGGCTAAGATCCCCGGCGGCTGGAGAGTGCGCTCGGGCTGCCTGCTGCACTGCCCATCCTTACTGTAATCCGACTCCTCCTTGCGATGTCCTTGCCGCGCCTGTGACATCAGGACTGAGAGTACTACAAGCAGACCCCTCCACCCCACCCCACCCCACCCTGGGTTAGCAGCCGCTCCACGAGGTGCTCCGACTGCCTGCCTGGACCAACCATGGCTCTCGGGAAGCTTTGACGAGCCCAGAGACTTGGGAAGGGGCGGAGTGAGGGGCGCGGGAGGCTCTCTTAAAGCGAGAAGAGTGTCGGGATCCACACAGGAACACACAGGAGAAATTCACCACTGTGCAGGAGGGACGTGGTTAAGGCGAGTTCTGCCATTAACGTGTAATTAGACAACACTTTTACCCCGCCCCTCCTGTGAATGCCACCATTCTCTCCAAAATTTAACCTCCTCTACCAAGTTAAAACGGCAGTACGAAGAGGGATGGTGCCGTGCTTGCATTCTCTTTGCTGTGGGCTTGAGGGTTTGTTGTTATTTTTTGTGATGTTTATATATAAGAGGAATAAAAGGAACGCCAGGGACCACTGCTAGGGTAATAGAGGTTCACACTTAGAAGTGATCACATCCCAGAAAGCTAGTACTTGGTGAAGTGTAATTTTTTATTTCTTGAGTGTTCCCTGAGCTATTATGTTGATAGAAAGATGTGAAGAAAAATAACTGGTGATAAAAGTCACCTCTCAGTTGCCCAGGACCAAATTTGCTGCCTCCCTTAGTAGGCAGGTAGAAAGCACACTGAGGCTGAAATGATCTTTGACCTCCTGAAACGGAGAGACGATTAGCCTGAAAGGCAACCAACATTGTGCCATAGTTAGAGTCCAGTCACCAATATAATATAGCCACACACACACACACCCACCCCCCTCCCCCCCCCACCACACACACACACAACGCTCTCATTAAATTTGAGATGAACGGTCAAGAAAGGCAAAGCTTAGCAAAGCCTCTGGCTCCTCCAATGGTATAATGAATTGCAGTCCTTATCTTACATAGAAAAGGATATTAGAAAGAAATCCCTGAAAGCTGTGCTGATTAATACTTAAATGCACAGCATGGAAAAAATAAACTCATACAGCAAGTTCCGTTTCCTAAGGACTCATCACTTTGGGAACCAATTTACGTACTGGAACATTTGAACTTATAAATTTCTATAGACATTTATGAAATTAAGAACCAAATATAAACAAAGAACTGTAGTCTATGGAAGAATGCAATTGATATATTTTTAATCTGGGCTTTTATAAAAGTGTGATAGCAAAGATTTCTACATTTTGATATTAAAATATTCTATAGCATTTCCTTACGCGATTCTATATCTCTTGGTGGATTTAATGTGCATAGAAACTAGGGGGCTGAAGCTCATAATAACGGCTTTCTGTGCAATCTTGCATAAAAGCTTAACTGTATTCTACCTCTGTGAAGAGTGCAATGAACAATATCCTCTCTCACGCTAGATTATAAAGAATTTGGTGAGTGAAAGTAGGTAAGCAAATATAAATCAGAAACATCACAGTGAATCTTAAGATAAATCTAGGGCTGTTCTTTTAGAAATACTCTTAATTTAAAGCCACCAGAGGAAAATTTACATAGTAAAGGATATTAACTTTTTTACTCCCTTTTAAAAATTAAAATAAAAACAATGTTACGGGAAAGTATTGAAGAAAATGCGTAAATGTTTTTTCCTTTTGGACAAATGGAAATTGTCCAAAAGTACAATTAGTAGTTCTTCCCTCAGGCAAAAGAACCATCTGTGGTAGAGCTTATTCATGAAGCCTGTAAGCTGCCTTGACCTCCTACATGTGCTAGGGGGCACTGTAGTTTAATGTTAGTGCTTTGGGTCCATTTGAGTTCCTGTAGTTGGAAGATGCAAGCATTGAGAGTTGAGTTTCAAATAGGAGATTTGAAACATTAAAGGACTACCTTAATCATTAATAACACGCTTGCATTTGCATGACATTTTACAGTTAAAAGGCACTTTCACATGTCATCTTTATTACTAACAAATTGAGATATAGAAAGGTGGATATTACAGATGTCACAAATGAAGAACCTGAGGCTCAGAGATGTTAAGCAACTTTCTTAATGATGTGATGAGTAAGAAACAGTTGTCTTACTATTTGTTTGTTGAATTTATATTACAGTTCTCCAACAGGTTTCCTTCTTCAAATAAATGTGCTATTTATAATGGCTCAGGTAAAAGTCACCCCCAATAAAACAATGTCACTGCATGTTCTAGAAACAAATATATCTATATGGTCACAAATACATCAGCAGGGAGCATCTGGTAATAGAACATGCCAATCTTTGCCTGGTAGTATACCCCAAAAAACAGCATGTAGCCTTTGAAAGAATATGGCATTCCAGAAACAATTGAGTGTAATATCTATACAATGTAATTCTGTTCAAACAGAAAAGGAAGATGCCCTTTTAAATTAAAGATATGTGCCCCTCTTCCCTGCAATTAAGGCTTATCTGGAATGTAGAAGCTTAAGATACAAAGTTGTTTATCTCTGGATGGAAAACAAGTGATGTTTGTTTTAATTGTATACTTTTTCCTGTTTTACATAAAACTATTTTATTTATTTGTATACATTTATTAAAAAATGCAACTTTGGTGGTTGTTGTTGTTGTTGTTGTTGTTGTGTGTGTGTGTGTGTGTATTTGCGTTTTGTACTTTGAGCAACATCTCCCTAATACTCTCACCCTGCAGCTCTGGTAACCATTTTATTCCTGTTTCTATAGAGTTTGACCTTTTTACACTCTACATATAAGTGAAATCATTGGGTATTTGTTTTTATGTACCTGGCTTATTTCACTTAAGACAACAATGTCCTCCAGGTTTATCCATATTGTCACAAATGAGAGGATCTTCCTCTTTTAAAAGGTTGAATAGTATTCCATTATGTATATATGCGACATCTTTGTTATCCATTCATCCACTAGTGGAAACCTTGCTTGATTCCTGTGAGTAATACTGCAATGAACATGGTAGTACACACATTTCTTCAACATATTATTTTTTTTAATTTTGAAGCATAATAATTTCCAAATGAAACCACAGCTGATCTTGGCTAGATAGAGGATTGTGAACATGCCAGCTGTGCCTGAGAGATGCTTTCATATGTCATCTCAAGGGAGCGACTTAGCAGCTTCTAGGGAAGAATCTGGTTCACACCCTGACCTTTACCTGTCTCTAAGAATCTGTGAGAACCTAGGAGCTTCTGAAGGTGAATTAAGTCAGTTCATCTGGGGTCAGCTGTAGCACCAACCTGCTTGCCAGATAAAATTATACCTAGCACTATTAAAACAAAGGATGCCTTCAAACCACTTACATATTTTGTATTAAAATATCATGGTTGGGTGAAAATTTTTTCTGTGTTCTAAGATCCGGGTAGCTGCCTGCCTTGACTCCTCATCTCATTCAAATATTGCTCAAAGGTTTATCAGTGTACTAATTCACTGTCTTTTTTTTTTCCAGTTTTAAAATGCCTTTGTCCCTCCCCTGACATTTCTTAACCTCCTTTCCTCCCTTATTTTTCTCCATGGCAACTATCATCATCTGACACACTATTTTAGACGTCTGTTTATTTTTGATTTCTCCTCACTGGAATATAATCTCAGTGAGGGCAGGGATTTTATCTGTTCAATGCTATATCTACAGTTCTTAGAAAGGTACCTGCTACTTGTCATTATACAATAAATATTTGTGAATGAGGGAATGAATGAATGAGCATCCTAAGTACAGCTGTATTGTGTGTAAGACATCATACTTTTCTATGTGCCTGAAGTCAGTTCTTTGAGGTTGGTTGTGTTTTGTGCAAAGTGTTCACACAAATTGAATTTGTCCATGCTTAGCAGCAGCTGCTCTTAAATTCCATTCAGTACAGATGCCAGATGGTACTGCAGGCCACAGTTTGTGAGTGTGTTTGTCCTTTCAAATTCTCATAGCTGCATGGAGCAGAGACTTAGATTCAGCATGAGTTAGCATAGCTCAGTTGTGTCTTCCATTGCCTCGCCCTTGGCTTTAGTTTAGTCCACCTTTATCTTTTATCTATATTGTAGCAATAAAATTGTATCCAGTGTTCCTGATTTCAGACTTGCCCATGTCCAATTCATTCTCCATATTAGATCCATTATCATCTTTAAAAATGGTATGATCATGCCACTCCTTTGCTCAGTATTCTTCACTGTTTCCGTATTTTATCCACCAAGGTCGTTAAGGTTTTCGACAACCAAGTCCCTATTCGCTTCTCCATTTGTAAATACTTTGTCCTTCACACTCTTCACTGTGTGAAACCTAAAGTATGGCTATAATTCACCTGAAGACTACATTCCCTTTCACCTGCTCTCTCTACTGAAGCAATCTGTAATCAATCTTTGGGTGTCTGTTTAAATATTATGTCTTCTGAGAACATTTTTCTCACCAAAAGACTAAATGAGGTGTTGTTTGTATTCTTTTTCACATAGCACACTGTACTAATTCCTACTATAGCATTTAAACTTAGTGTGGGAATTTGCCTTTACTTGTATGTAACCCAAATGAAAGAGGATTTTCTTTTTTAACTCCATGACCTCATACAAATCCATCGTTTAATGAACAAATTCATTATTTATCTATGAATTCATTCAACATTTTTGAATAAATTTAACATCTTATGAATGCCTATCATGTGCCAGGCATTACTCCAGGTGCTGGATGAAGAACGCTGCAGAAAGTGCAAAGGATAAATGGGGAATACACCTTATGAGTGCCAGGAAGAACAACAAGGCCAATATGCTAGAGTAGAGTAGATCTTAAAAAGCAAACCAAGAGTTGACTTCAAATAGGTAAGATGGAGCCAAATTCAGTAGAACTTTTTAGGCCATTAGAAATACTTTGACTTTTATTATGACTTACATGATATAACTTTGGAGCAACGTGATTTGACATGCTTCAACAAGTTCACTATGACTGACGTATGAAGAATTGACTAAAGCGAGCAAGGACAGATGTAAGGTGACGGGTTAGGAAGCCTTTGTAGTAATCCAGGAAAGAGAACATGGCTTGGACCAGGGAAGAAACAGTGGCGGTAGAAAAAGTGGTCAGATTCTCTACATGTACCAAAATGGGTCCACAGAATTCTCTGGTAGGTTAGATAAGCAATTTAAGATTTTTTTTAAAGTAGTGGAGTATTCACAATTTGAGGACTGAGCAAATGGAAGGACAGAATTTCCACTAATTCAGGAAAAAACTTTGAGAGAACTTGCTTTAGGGGAGGTTAGAAGGTGGTCAGTGTAGGGGCATGTCTGGTTTGTCATTCTTATTATATCCAAGTAGAAATGTTTCATAGTAGTTTGGCTATATGGGTCTGGAGCTCAAAGGAGATGTTTGGGATTCATATTTAAATTTGGAAGTCATGATTTTATAAATGATAATAAAATCCATGAGATCAGATAGTATCTTTTAGGAAGTATAGATTGAAAAAGGAGAAGAGGGTTAACACTAAACACTGAGTCGTGGGACATTATAAGAGCAAAAGCACAAGTATATGGGGAGTTAGTGATGAATATTTGTTGAAAGTATAATAACTTTTGAATGCATATGTGTTGACATATGAATGACATGTGCTGGAAGGCTACTTTAAGCCTGAGTTGGCCTATAGTATACCACTACTCAATGTCAAAACAGTTTGAAAATTAAATAAATAAGCTGTCCATACGGAAACAAATACCTAATTCAATTTATCTGTGTAGTGTTTTAATCAGAATTTTTTAAGTTGTGTAGACACTGCTATAAACTCCTAAATCAATTTTATGACCAAATTCTTACTTGATGTTTCCATACAAATTAAATGCCTGGGGTCATTATTGAAAATTAATTGCCTACAAGAAAAAAGTACTAACATTGTGCTAAGAATAAAAGTTCTAAAAATACCATAATATTCCAAAATTCTAGATTTCACTGACTTTGGAGACATATGATAAATTTCTCTTTTTTTTTTTTTTTTTTTGTTTTCTTGAGATGGTGTCTCACTCTCTCACCCAGGCCCCAGGCTGGAGTGGCGCAATCTCAGCTCACCACAACCTCTGCCTCCTGGGTTCAAGCGATTCTCGTGCCTCAGCCTCACTATAGTCACAGCTTCAGCTGGGACTACAGGAGCATGCCACCATGCCAGGCTAATTTTTGTATTTTTGGTAGAGATAGGGTTTTGCCATGTTGGCCAGGCTGGTCTTGAATTCCTGACCTCAGGTGATCTGACCACCTTGGCCTCCCAAAGTGCTGGGATTACAGGCGTGAGCCACCACACCTGGCCTAAATTTATTATATATGTGACTCTTTCTAATTTGATAGACAGCTAATAGGAGCTTTTTATTATATTTAATAACCAGCATTGAGAGCCAGAAATCTTAACCTTGGAGGTGGTTGTGGAATAGCAATGTTTATTGACTCAAAAAAAATAGTTGTTGAGTACTCCCGTGCCAAGTACTGTCCTAGGCGCTAAAGGTATATTAATGAAATTACAGACACCTCTGTATACATGGAGCTTACATTCTAGAATTCTTTATATTTCAACATATACATTAGGATTTGGAACCTCTTTCACCTTTATCTCATACAGAGGAAATGACCTAAAGCATCTTTCAACTCATTCATTCACTGGTTACAGTTTATTGCTTCTTTCTCCAACAACAGACTAGACATAAAGGCAGAGACATGTATATCATGTTCATGCTATAACCAATGCCTCAGATGGTGTCTGAAACATAGGAGACATGCCATAAATATATGTTGAGTGAATAAATCTATTGAAAGTCTTCTACCTCTGGATGGTGCTTCCTACTGTTCCTACTGAGAATATAAAGTTATATTCTACCAAGAATGCCCTTTTCTGTTCCCCTTTATTTGTCTTACAAGTTTTATTCACTACCTGAATCTCAGATACTTTGTTTTCTGAGATATTTTCCCCAGGCTTATGTCAAATTCACGTGTTCCCTTAATGAGCTCCCAAACACTGTTTGTATAACCTTATTACAGTATTTATTAGATGGCATTTCCGTGATCTGTTAAGTTGTTGCTATCCCTCCAGAAGAATGAAGGCTCTTATGAGTCAAGGAAAATATTAGATGTTAATTCCTTGGCGGTTTCAACATATCCTAGAACATAGCAGAAATGCATCCCATAGGCATGGCCTATGAGGTTAGTGATTGGAACATGCCATTAACATCAGACATTGCCTATGATTTAGGAAGCAGCAACTCTTGTTGTGGAAGGAGACAATGGTCAGAATTACATGTATTTAGGCTAAAGAGAGAAATCCCAAGTCTCTGAAGGAAACCCAGCTAGGAACCAGAGGGCCAGTCAACCATCAGGCAAGAGACACATCAGAAATTTTGTGGATGGAGCAGGTGAGGAACCTAATATGGGAGCCAAAAAACAGAACGTTCAGGCAGAAAGTGATTCAGGGGAAATTAATGAGACCCCTAGCTACACTCTTAGAGGCTTTTGTTTGTACATTTGCCCTGATTAATTGATAGTCCTGATCCCCTTGCAGTAAGAAGCGTTACACACTTCCTTTCTGATGGTTCTCAGATTCTCTCTCTCATGCCTCTCTTTCTTTTTCTTCTATTTTTTCCTTCACAAAGCCCTTCAGAAAGTTGTGTATATTTTCACCTAGTTTTGTATGAGGCAGAGGCAGACACTGGCCTCTCACTTTAAATGTATGTATAATAGATATTATAACCAAAAATAGATGGACACCATGTCATAACTTTGGTAGTCCCAGACCACCTAGTATGGTGCCTCACTCATAGAAAGCCAAATCATTATAACCATCATCATCACTGGCAAAAAAAAAAAAAAAAAAAAAAAAAAAAAAACAGTGGTGATGCTATTGTAACAAGTCCTGAACTCGAATGTTCAAGTTACTTACCTCCCTGTTTTTCAAAGCACTTAGTATCTCAGTTGAGGAAATGAAGCATATATCCAAAAATATAACTAAAAACAAAGGTAACATAAATTAACAAATGAATACTCTAGGACATGTGTATAAGGGTCTGGTAAAAGATGATATTATGAAGGGGTTCAGGCAATCCTGAGAAGCTACAGGTGGTGGAACTTAAGCCCTGTCTTTAATATTGACCCGGACTGATATAATGCAGAAAGAGCTGACAGAGGAACAAGAATGGGATTGTGAATGATGTGTCTGGGAGACCAAGGACAAATTATTATTAAAGAGTAAGTTTCTCAAAAGATCTTCAAGCAATGTAAGGTTGGAGAAGAAAACACAGATGCCATATTGGATGAGATCTCCCATTCAAGGAAAAAGGCTTAAATTTTATTTGACAGACAGTGTAGGAAGTGTTTGCTGAATGAATACATAAATGTACTTCCAAGTATTTCCAAGGACAGAAATATAATAATATGCCTCCAAAGACATTTGGTGACACAATAACATGAGTTAATACATCTTGTGTAGCAGGCTGAAAGATCTTATACACTTCAGAGGTTTCCAATTTTTCTTAAAATAAAATTCATTTATGGTTCCTGGGCAGCTATTTCAGAATCAGCCCTCCCAGACCCAGAGACCCACCTCAAATATGTTTGCAAACAAAATGAAGGAAGTAAACAGCGTTATATTGAATTTCTTATTTTGCCTTTAAAAAAAGAGATTCTTCATGATAAATTGAGTGCAGCTCCAGTAAATTTGGATGCTTTAGGTCATGAACATTCCATTTTTATATATACTGTGATAACAACTATCTAGAGTGAGCAGAGAGACAGTGCAACTGAGCCCCAATGTTGCAAGAATTCACAAAGTAATTGAAAGTGTTTCCAAGTGTGCATAATTCTGTGCCTCCAGTCAAATACAGTAGGTGGAAATTTGTTTGGCTTCCTCTGTCAAAATGTCTGAAATACATAAAGGAAGTGTGTAATGGGAAAACAAAATATTACAGTTTCAACATTCTTTTCATTATCTCTCAATCTCGTCTTTGCTATGCTCAAACATACTAATAATCCTAAAGGCTCATCTCTGATCCTTTTGGTGGATAAAATGACCGGATGCCATTTTCACCCTTGACTCAAAAGTGTCAGTTCTGGAAATCTGCAGTATTCGCCACCACGAATACCATTTAACTGCAGCGTTACCCAAAGGAACTCTGCACAGCCATACGTGAATACAACTGGAGGAACTTAATTCATCTTGCTGTCACTTCCATGATGCTTTTCATTAGTTTTGCTGCTATATGATCAACTGGATTTCTCTGTACTGGTAATGCTACCCATAGCCTCTTATAAAGTATCTTCAAAAGGTAAACAAAGATTCACCTTTGTGGTAGTGAACTTTTATGCAGTGGGACGTTATTACTGCTACTTATATGAAGGTAACCCTCACATTTCATATTTAAAATTATAAAATCATGGGAAACATAAATATCTAATCCATCTCCAACTGAGAAACTGTTTTAAACTCTATGCACAGATTAGGTATTTGAAATAAAAGGTCATACTTTTCTTTATATTATTTTCATGAATACTGATGCTTAGTGCACTATCAAGAGCAGTACTGACTAAATATAGAATACAATTCATAAGAAATCTGGGCTTTTTCACTGACTACTAGAAAGCAGCTTAGCAAAAATTACATTTAACTGAGAGAACAAAGCAAATGATAATTCAATGGTAGTATTGGTCCTCTCTGTGAGTCATATTTTTGAAAGATTGGTTTAATGTGTGTGTATTTTAAATATAATTTATTTATATTTAGCGTCATTTTTAAATGTTATCCATAGTTTAGGGCTGATCCGTGTAAACAGTAGAACATTATGAAATGACTGAGTGTGACTTTAATGGTTAGGTCATAAAAGACAAAGTGGCTTTTGCTTCTCTCTTTTGTATCATACACTTTAGGAATAGCCACCTGCCATGCTATGAGGACACTCAAGAAGCCCTGTGAAGAGGTACACATGGCAAGGAAGTGAAAACTCCAGCCAAAGCCAGTACCAACTTGCCATGTATGTGAATGAGCTACCTTGGAAGGGGATTCTTCAAACTGGGCCAAGCCTTCACACACCTGCAGCCATGATCGATATTTTAGTGCAAATTCATGAGAGACTCCTAGTCAGCACCATCAGCTGAGCAACTCCCAAATTCCCAACCTACAACAACTGTGTGAGATGTTAAACCTTTATTGTTGTTTTAGACCTCTAAATTTGGGGTAATATTTTTTACACATCAATAGATGGCTAATACATGATGGAACTTTATAGTCTAGATTTAACAATGAAATTTCTGAAGAGTATTACTTAAAGTGATGGCAAGGTGGTCTAGAATTCAGCTAAGACAGATATAGGATCCTGGAAGCCTGTATCCCATTTGGGGCTTGTTTCCTTACCCATGAAGTGATAATGTGAGAATGAGTGAAGGTCATCAATCAATGCAAGAACCAACATAGAGAGGTGAGAGAAGTAATACAGTCTCATAGGATGGGCTCATTATATATCTATAGAGAGGATAAGACACTTTGGAGGAGTGAAGAGTGCATGTCAACTCTCAAGGGGGTGTCTGTCACTTAGCTTCAACCAATAATAGTCATGAGAGAATGCAGATCCAATTTTCTCATTGGATTCTTCCTTTTTTTTCTAGCTTTTTTCAGGTATTACCCAAGTGATAAAAATTGTATCTCACTTAAATTTAAAGTCATAATGGCTTAAAATTATGATTTCAAGAGCATTTTCTTCCTTTTTTTTTTTTTTTTTTTTTTTTTTTTGAGACGGAGTCTCGCTCTGTCACCAGGTTGGAGTGCAGTGGCGCGATCTCGGCTCACTGCAACCTCTGACTTCCTGGTTCAAGCAATTCTCCTGCCTCAGCCTCCCGAGTAGCCGAGATTACAAGCATGCACCACCATGCCCAGCTAATTTTTATATTTTTAGTAGAGACAGGGTTTCACCATATTGGCCAGGATGGTCTCGATCTCCTGACCTCGTGATCTGCCTGCCTCAGCCTCCTAAAGTGCTGGGATTACAGGCGTGAGTCGCTGTGCTCAGTCTGTCTTCCCTTTTTTATTTTCTAATATCTTGAGGATAATATTCGAAGTTCTCTCCTGTTGGATTCAGCTGCTCCGTCCATTCTTCCTTTCCACTACTATCTCTATCCTTCTCTTTGCTTCATAATCAAACTTCTACAATTCATCTACCAATACCATTTCTCTATGCCTGGTATCATGCTTTCTCTTTACCCGGTAAAGCTCTTTTCCACTGTCTCAACCGTCTGAAATGCTGCTCATCCTCAAGTGATCCACTCATGGCACCTCCTCTCAGAAGCTTTCCTTGAGTGCCATACTCATCATTAGTGACTACTTTCCTTAGGCCTCAAGACTAATGCCCTTTATCACTTGGATCTTACTAGTTCTCTTTTCTTGTTTTTAATGTAAAACCTCATTTGGCAAAATTAATATGTCTCATCTATTTTATTGCCACTTATCATCTCATCTCATAATGTCGGCCTATAATACACTGTCCAGATCTCTCTAAAATGACAGACATGTTGCTAAGGTGCTAAAAGTTATAGACAGACAGCCTTTCACTGTCAACCCCTAGAGGTATCATCTCAGCTGTGGAGAGCTGCCTTGTCAAGGTTTTGGCCCTTGGTCGTGGACCATATCCAGTGATCAATATGGGATTGAAAAGGCCTATTCATCTTGGACCAACTTGGGGCACCTTTTTACAAGCTGGATCATTCAAACTCTAGAACACAGAAAGATGCTTTTGGTTCTACGTCACAGCTCAACTTCCTCTTCTCCCTTCCACAGTGCTGACCTAGAGCCCTCCCTCATAAACATCCTGCATGCTAATCTCCATCAGTGTCTGTGACACTGTCATTGAGTAGGTACTCAACAAATGCTTGGTAGGATAAAATTAAGTCCCAAGTACCTGTAAACAAATAAGACAAATTTCCCAAAGACAAGAATATGGTAACTCCCCCAAAAGCTCTTGAAATTGATGGACAGTTTAGAGAAAAAAATTCACCTTCTCTCCAGAGACCTGTTGATTTTGCAATTAGTCTGAGGAAAGAAAAACCCAAGATTTAAATGGACACCCTGGTCTGTGTACTCTGTCTGAGTAACAGTGATGGCTCCGAGCTGTCAGGTCTCCCCGGAGATATTCAATCATGATGTTCTTCTCTTTCTCTATAACAAAGGTAATAACTCAGCATTTTATCTTTTCTAGGGGTGTCATTACTTCGAAAAGAAAATAAAAGCCTCACAAGGGTTTCTATAAAGTGAAAAGTTTTCTAAAGGAGAAAAAGACCCTAATTAATTTGAGGATGAACAAATACATCAGCTTTGAGAAACTTCCATAGTATTGGTGTTTAAAACTTCTTGAGAAATCCTTTCAAATGAATATCGTGTGCTTTAGGCCTATAATATATAACATTATATATTACAGGCAATAAATGTCCAGGGATGATTAAGCCCTGTGTATTTCATATGAAGTAGGCACTTCCTATAAATAAAACAATAAAGTGCATTGTTTTAGTTAAATAAAATCATACTCTCTGGAGGAAAAAACAATAACTTTGCCTTGGAAAAATCTGTGATGCTGAGAAATATGTAGCATCTACCCTTCAGAAACTGTGAACAGTAAGTCCATTTTAATCTCTGCTTTGGTATTACCAAGTGGTTTGCCACCTGCTTTCAAGTCCAACACTTAATTTGGAAGACATTAAAATGTTTTCATTAATTCACTATTCTAACATATAGTCATTGAACATCCATTTGTCAAGAACTGTGAGAGGGGCCAGGGATACTGGAGTAACTAAGACAGATTTTTGGCCTCCTGGAGCTTACAGTTTCCCAAAGAATGAGATACTGCAATGGAAGGTGGATCAATGGCTACAACAATCTGTTGAAAATGGTCAGAAAAGTAGGGAAAGATGGATAATCAGGGAGATTAGAGAAGGGCTTTTGAGAATTTGACGTCTAATATAAAGAACGCGGTTGATTTGAGATTCATCAGAAATTAGTCAGACAAAGATAAGGGAAGAGTATTCTGGGCATGGTTAACAGCTTATGCAAAGACCCAGAGGATAAAGCAGTGTGGAGACAAGAGCTAGAAGATGCTCAATAAGGAAAGGCAGGGGAGAGTGGTATAGTATTAGTTAGGAGAAGTAGTTTGAAAGAAACTGTGAACTGCAACAAATATTTGAAAAACCACAAAGGATTTTCAGGGAAGTAATGGGCCTCATAGTTATGGATTCAAAATGTAGAATGGTTAACTAATAAGCATCCAGTGGAAATAAAGCTCTCGTATAACCAGGTGATTTTCAGATAAACATATGCAATAATGCTGTAATCTCTGGTACAAGCCACAGTTTTCCTTGCTCAGGTTTGCTGTCTACATGCCAGCCAATGAAACATAGCAAGCAAGAACGAAAAAGATATTTTGCATGGCTGGGCTTGTCTAGTTGGAAATCACCAATCCAACCACTTTTAGAGTAAATTAATGTTTTTAGCTGTCATGGAAGCTGAGCATTGAATACAAGAATGAAAACTAAACAGTTGAGTGTTTGACAATTGACCCAGTTTAGCCCTCAAATGATGGAGTCAGCATGCTGTGTGCACTGAATTCTATGTCACACACAGAGTGGCACTGAAGCATGGAAGAAATGACACTTTGAGGAAAATACCATAAGTTTTTACATTTATATGCAAGTTGCGGTATAAGTTTACATTTCTGGCTCCCAAGCTTATTTTTTTTCCAATTGTCCACTTCTCTCCTGCCTACAACTTTCCTGAATAATTTCTGTCACATTATGGATGCCCTTGCTTTTAAAGATCTTCTAGCATTGAGACGTATCCTTAGACTGAGATTACCCATAGCTGTCTCAAGTAAATAAAGTCTTGGATATCTGCAGTGGCCAGAAATGTTTTCTTTTTTCTCTGAAGTTTCCAAAATGAGAGTCTTTATAAGTACAGTAGTATTTTCATTAAATAAGTTGGTTCTAATGTTTTAGAATACAAAAGCAGCAATTTCCAAAAGGATACGCATGTATAATCTCCTCATACACATAAAATCTGTGTGTGTGTGTGAGAGAGAGAGAGAGAGAGAGCATTTGAGTGTGTGTGTTATAGATTTTACTGACTTATTTTGCTAGAAATAAAAGTAAGGGATCAATACTGATGGAAAAATATAGGTAACTTTGATGTATTTCAGAGCAGCTGCCAAGCCATTCTCCTCTCTGGGGAAATGCTTATTTCATATGAAATACACAGGGCTTTCTCACTCCTGGACATAACTGATTTGATTAGGATGGCTTCTAAATGGGATTTTCTGAGACCCATGACTTGTGTGGCCTAGCTTGAAAAGATGAACTGAGACAATCATGTTTGTTCTCAAAAACATAAACTAAGAGATGGAGAAGGAACGTGTCAATTGGTGATGGGCCCCGGAGCCAGTAGGTAGTAGAGACTCAGGTAATACAGATTCATGTGCAAGATGGATAAGCAACAACAACAAAAAAAAAATAGAAAGAGGAAGAAATAGAGATACATATAAGTGCGTGCGTGCATGCACACGCACACACATACACACACAGAGAGAGAAAGAGAGAGAGACAGAGAGAGAGAGAATGTGCTCTGGAGAGAAAGACAGAAAGGAACATCTTACATGTAGGCTAGGTAGGCTTTGGTTAATTCAAAAGTTTCTTTTCATATGTACCTTTTTAATTATCTCGTGTTTTCCCTGTGGCAACTTTAATATGTGTCTGTTCCTCCCATAGTAGTATCTTCTTTTACACCTTTAATTAATTGGAAGGGATTCAGTAGACTGAAACTAGTAAGAGCCATGGTCAAGTATTGTATACCAGCTTTTTGACTACATGTAAACAAGAGAAAAGAAGGTAGCAGCATTGTGAAGAAAGGAAAGATAGTGGCCGAAAGGAAAAAAGGAAAGTCAGTCATACTGGGAGAATCCAGGGCATTTGGGAAATGAACTAATAGTAGTTATGGGATTGATAACAATGGTTTCTGCAGGAAACAAATAATGACTTTCAGATCTCCAGATGAGAGACCTGTTTTCTTTTAATGTCTATCCTCCACTGATAATTTGTGAAGATTTACATAGAAAGATGAGAGTAATGTATTCCTTATGTTTTTAGTGTATGTTTTGATGGTCAAACGTTTTATTATTAGAGTAATGAAGAACATTTACTTTTGACACATACCACAATTACTGCCTATCTGTTATGGGTACAGGACATGGGCTTATTGATGTGATAGAACCTGAAATGATGACTTTGGTTCATGTATTAAAGCACGGTCAGAACACATTTTAAGGATGAGTTTGTGTTTGAGGAAAGAGTACGATCATGCCATAGCAATGTGGACTCACTGATTTTGTCCTTTATTTCAATTTCTGGTAACTCACTATATATCTGCTTTAAGATGCAAATCTTGAGGGAGATATTGCAGTAGAATAGAGAACATTTATTAAACCAGTATTCAAGGCCCACTATGGAAGCAGTTATGGCATGGAGAATAGAGATAAATAAGGAAGGTCAAGAAGAGTAAGATAGAATAGCTGAAAGTGAAAAGAAGGTATTTCAGATGGAGCAAAGGGAGAATAAGAGGATATAATTAGTTAGAAGGAGAAATAAAGTAGTGGAGATCCTTGAAGTCAAGAGCACCTAGTTAAAATTGTATTTACTGGAAACACTGTTTGTAGGTGAACCAGTGTACTGGAAAGGATTTGTGGCTATGGGTAAAGAAGACAGCCAGATGAGGTTCAATTAATATAAAATCTTACCTAATCCGACACTTGACTCAAGTTGTGAGCTCAATGGCCATATTTAGTGTAGCTATAAAATATAAGGTCTTTTCAAATGTAATTCGTTCCTTTCATTCATGAAAAGTGGTTAAATAATGTGCGTACAACCCCCCCACCCACCCTCACACACACATGTGCACACTCTAGCTATTTCTGTCTCAGCCTAAATTGAAACAGAATTTGGTAGCAAATATTGTCAATTGAGAGTCTTATGGAAATCACAGATCTTAGAGAAATGCAAGGACAGTGTGAGATAGCCACCTTTAAACAAGACTGAAGCTATACATACGTCTTAGGTTTGTGTAATCATCCTACAAAATACATTTGTCTTTTTAGCTCAACTGCCACTTGTCTTTGACAAATTTTACTCATTCTTTCTCCTTTTAGCTCAACTGCCACTTGTCTCTGACAAATTTTACTCATTCTTTTTTTTCCAAGATTGAACACTATTTCTTCTATAGCATTTCATTTTGTTGCTGATAACTCTTTTACATGCTTCCTTAGCACACCCTTCTTACCAATAATACCATTTGTTATCATTGACTCCATACTTGCCAGTTCCTTTCTAGACTAAGACTCCTGAAGACAGAGCCAGAGTCACCACTACATCTCCAGGATCTCGTGACCTTGATTCACAGTAGGTGCCCAATATATACCTGGTATATAGATGAGTGGGTGGATGGATGAATGAATTGATGAGTGGTGAATGGGAAGAGAGTTAAGGTGGGGGGTGGGAGAGGAAGAGAGGGTAGAGAGGATTGAGAGAGAAAGAAGAGAAAGGATTATATATTGTGATATGAATTTATGAAATGGTAGTTGACAATATTTAGATAAAAGACAAATATGACCGTTCTTTTGGAACGCTTTAGTAATTAAAGAAGTTAAATTTCTTTATAATAATAAAGCACAAGAATGCATGTAGTATTTTATATTATCTTGAACATTCATAGCATATCCAAATGATGTATCCTTTATCATAAATTCTAGCCAAAAATTAAAAGAATTATCTTATTTTTACATTGTCCTAATTTGTTGTAATTATTCACATAAGTACATCCTAAGCATGAGGGAACTGTAACAACATGCACTCATTTTGTACATTTCTGGCCTTGTTGTATGTAATAACAGATATTAGGAGATAACTTAGTGGGATAGAGACACAAATGAATGCACTAAATGAGAGAATCCCCAGGCCATTCCTGTCATGGGACTTAATGCCTGCATTTTGATTATGAAAAAGGACAAAGGACTTTCTTAAAGATAGAGTTATTACCTATTTTATAATCAGAATAAAATGTTAAGAAAAAGAGCATTACATTATTATTAATCATACCTTAACAGCATAATGTTAACTTCTATATATTTAAAGTAATTACATTAACATAAGAAATAAATTTGTTACTGAGGATCCTGGGAAGTAGCAGAGTAGAAAGCACCAGGAGTCTCTTTCCCCACCTAGACAACAATCACACTAGCAGAATCTGTTTGATATAACTCTTTTGGAACTCTGGAGTCTATTGAAGGCTTCAAACTTCCAGGAGAATGCTTGGACAGTAAAGTGGAGGGAATTTTTATCAATTTTAGCTCTTAGAGTAGCAGCAACCCCTCCCCAACACAGCCCTATGACAGGCAGCTGTGCACCTGCTCCTGAAATAAATTGCACATAGCTCATAGGAACCAGGGTAGAAAAAAAGACTTTGTCTTCCAAATATTGGGAATATGTGCTTTGATCACTGACTGTTTCTGATCACAGAGTTACAGACCAAGAGGTGGGTAGTTACTGCTGTTGTACTTCCCTCCATTGTTACGAACCCACCGTCCCCCATTGAAATGAGTTTCAGCTGGGGACGAACGCCCCATCCCCAGTTGAAATAACAAATCAGCAACCATTTTTTCCCTCCTTTGATTATTCTATATTTCTTCTTTTTGGAGTCAGACATTAAAGACTAGGAAAACTACTAAATAAATGGGAAATTTAGAAAGTTGACTGTGCATTCCCAGGGAAAGTCACAGGCTCAGGAAAACAAAAACAAAAACAAAAACCGGGATTGTTATAAATAGCTCTTATTATTTTTAGTTACGTCCCATCAATACCTAATTTATTGAGAGTTTTTAGCATGAAGGGCTGTTGAATTTTGTCAAAGGCCCTTTCTGCATCTATTGAGATAATATCATACTGAATGGGCAAAAACTGGAAACATTCCCTTTGAAAACTGGCACAAGACAGGGATGCCCTCTCTCTCCACTCCTATTCAACATGGTGTTGGAAGTTCTGGCCAGGGCAATCAGGCAGGAGAAAGAAATAAAGGGTATTCAATTAGGAAAAGAGGAAGTCAAATTGTCCCTGTTTTGCAGATGACATGATTGTATATCTAGAAAACCCCGTCGTCTCAGCCCAAAATCTCCTTAAGCCGATAAGCAACTTCGGCAAAGTCTCAGGATACAAAATCAGTGTGCAAAAATCACATGCATTCTTATACACCAATAACAGACACACAAGAGAGCCAAATCATGAGTGAACTCCCATTCACAATTGCTTCAAAGAGAATAAAATACCTAGGAATCCAACTTACAAGGGATGTGAAGGACCTCTTCAAGGAGAACTATAAACCACTGCTCAAGGAAATAAAAGAGGATACAAACAAATGGAAGAACATTCCATGCTCATGGATAGGAAGAATCAATATCATGAAAATGGCCATACTGCCCAAGGTAATTTATAGATTCAATGCCATCCCCATCAAGCTCCCAATGACTTTCTTCACAGAATTGGAAAAAACTACTTTAAAGTTCATATGGAACCAAAAAAGAGCCCGCATTGCCAAGTCAATCCTAAGCCAAAAGAAAAAAGCTGGAGGCATCACACTACCTGACTTCAAACTATACTACAAGGCTATAGTAACCAAAACAGCATGGTACTGGTACCAAAACAGAGATATAGACCAATGGAACAGAACAGAGCCCTCAGAAATAATACCACACATCTACAACTATCTGATCTTTGACAAAACTGACAAAAACAAGCAATGGGGAACGGATTCCCTATTTTACAAATGGTGCTGGGAAAACTGGCTTGCCATATGGAGAAAGCGGAAACTGGATCCCTTCCTTATACCTTATACAAAAATTAATTCAAGATGGATTAAAGACTTACATGTTAGACCTAAAACCATACAAACCCTAGAAGAAAACCTAGGCAATATCATTCAGGACATAGGCATGCGCAAGGACTTCATGTCTAAAACACCAAAAGCAATGGCAACAAAAGCCAAAAATTGACAAATGGGATCTAATTAAACTAAAGAGCTTCTGCACAGCAAAAGAAACTACCATCAGAGTGAACAGGCAACCTACAGAATGGAAGAAAATTGTTGTAATCAACTCATCTGACAAAGGGCTAATATCCAGAATCTACAAAGAACTCAAACAAATTTACAAGAAAAAAACAAGGAACCCCATCAAAAAGTGGGCAAAGTATATGAACAGACACTTCTCAAAAGAAGACATTTATGCAGCCAAAAGACACATGAAAAAATGCTCACCATCACTGGCCATCAGATAAATGCAAATCAAAACCACAATGAGATACCATCTCACACCAGTTAGAATGGCGATCATTAAAAAGTGAGGAAACAACAGGTGCTGGAGAGGATGTGGAGAAATAGGGACACTTTTACACTGTTGGTGGGACTGTAAACTAGTTCGACCATTGCGGAAGACAGTGTGGTTATTCCTCAGGGATCTAGAACTAGAAATACCATTTGACCCAGCCATCCCATTACTGGGTATATTCCCAAATGATTATAAATCATGCTGCTATAAAGACACATGCACACGTATGTTTATTGCGGTACTACTCACAATAGCAAAGACTTGGAACCAACCCAAATGTCCAACAATGATAGATTGGATTAAGAAAATGTGGCACATATACACCATGGAATACAATGCAGCCATAAAAAAGGATGAGTTCATGTCCTTTGTAGGGACATGGATGAAGCTGGAAACCATCATTCTCAGCAAACTGTTGCAAGGACAAAAAAGCCAAACACCACATGTTCTCACTCATAGGTGGGAATTGAACAATGAAAACACTTGGACACAGGAAGGGGAACATCACACACTGGGGCCTGTTGTGGGGTCGGGGGAGGGGAGAGGGATAGCATTAGGAGATATACCTAATGTAAATGACGAGTTAATGGGTGCAGCACACCAACATGGCACATGTATACATATGTGACAAACCTGCACGTTGTGGACATGTACCCTAGAACTTAAAGTATAATAATAAAAAAAAAAACCTGAGGAAGCCTTAAATGTACACCTCTGGTTGATCCTTGGCACAGGCACAGCCTAAAACAATCAACAAAACAAAAACAATAAGAAATAAATATATAATACAGAAAGCCCTGGGGAAAGGGGTAATAGAATTTTCAGAGTTACCACATTATTAGATTTAAATGTCCAGTTTTTAGCAAGAAAATAAAATCGCAAGACATAAAAAGGAATAGAAATGTATGGAACATTCAAAAGGAAAAAATAAGTCAACAGAAATTGTTCCTAAAAAAGACTTGATGACAACTCTACCAGACAAAAACTTCAACACAATTACCTTAAAGATGCTCGAACAGTTGAAGAAAGATGTGAAAAAAAATCAAGAAAGTAGAATGTGAATAAAATAGAGATAGCAAGAAGAGCCAAGATGGGTGACTACATACAGCCAGGAAGAGCATCTTCCCGAGACCAAGAGACAAGACCATCAAGATGGGGGAGGGAGGGGAAGCAATGGTTAATAAACTAAGTAAGACCATAAATAGCAAATACAATCTTGAAAATAAATAACAAAGATGGAGGACTCACACTTACTGATTTTAAAACATACTGCAAAGCTACAGTATTCAAAATAGGGTGATACTGGCATTGAGGCATATAAACCAATGGAATAGAATAGAAAGCCCAGAAATAAACCCTCATACAGATGGTCAAATTACTTTTGACAAGGGTGGTAAGACAATTCAATGAGGAACAAGTAATCTCTTCAACAAACAGTTCTGGGAAAACTGGATATCTACAAGCAAAAGAATGTAAATGGACTGTTATCTAAAACCATGTAAAAAATTAAGTCACAATGGATTAAAGGCTTAAATATAAGAACGAGAAATATAACGCTTCTAGAAGAAAACATAGGACAAAATTTGATCACATTGGATTTAGCCATGATTTCTTGGATATCACAGAAAAGGCATAGGAAATTAAAGAAAAACTAGCCAAACACAACTTTATAAAAATTTTTTAAAAATGTTCTCCAAAAGATACTATCAGCAGAGTAGAAAGGCAATTCACAGAATGGAAGACAATATTTGCAAATCAAGTATCTGATAACAGATTAATAGCCAGAATATAGAGAGAACTCCTAAAACTTAACAACAACAACAAAAAAACAAGCTGATTAGAAAATGGACAAAGAACTTGAATAAATATTTTTCCAAAGATAATATGCAAATGGTGAATAAGCATATGAAAAGATGCTCACAAACATTAGAGAAATGCACATCAAAACAAAATGAGATATTTCACATGCATTACAGTGGGAAAAAAGAAAATAACGTATTGATGAAGAGGAGGAGAAATTGAAACACTTGTGCATTGTTGGTGGGAATGTAAAACAGTATAGTCATTGTGGAAAACGGTATGGTGATACTTCAAAAATTAAAAATGGGATTACCATATGATTGAGCAATTTCACTTTCAATTCAGTTTCTAAAAGAAATGAAATAGAGTTGCAAAGAGATATTTGAACACCTACGTTCATAACAGTGTTATTCACAATTGCTAAAATCTGGAAGCAACCCAAGTGTCCACTGACAGATGACCGGATAACCAAAATGTAGCATACATATGCACAATGGAATATCATTCAGCCTTAAAAATGAAGAAAATTTTGATGTGCTGCAACATAGAAGAATCTTGAGAACATGCTAAGTGAAATAGCCAATCACTAAAAGACAAATACTGTATGATTCCACTTTTATGAGGTACTTAGAGTAGTCAAAATCATAGAGACAGTAAGTAGAATGGTGGTTGCTGGAGATGGGGGAGAGAAAAATGGGGAGATCTTATTTAATGGGGATTTTATTTCAGTTTTACAAGATGAAAAGAGTTAAGGTGATAAAGGTGGTAATGGTTGCACAACATTATGAATACGTTTAATACCATTGAACTGTACAGTGAAAAGTGGTTAAGATGGTAAATTTTGTTATAATGTATTTTAACACAACAAAAATAAAATTGGAAAGAGAAAATAAAAGATATTTACCATTTTGTGCTTTTATACCTGGAAAGTTCAAGCCTCTTAGTCTTCTCTTTGGAATAGGTTTCTCTTTTAAAAACAGGAGTCTTTGCCCATGAAAGATTTTATGATGAAGACTCCAAAAGCAATTGCAGCAAAAGCAAAAATTGACAAATGGAATCTCATTAAACTAAAGAGCTTCTGCACGGCAAAGGAAACTACATCAGAGTAAACAGACAACCTAAAGAATCAGAGAAATTTTTTTGCAATCTATCCATCTGACAAAAGTCTAATATCCAGAATCTACAAGGAACTTAAATGAATTTACAAGAAAAAAAACAAACAATCCCATTAAAAAGTGGGCAAAGAACACAAACAGACACTTCTCAAAAGACTACATACATGCAGCCCACAAACATATGTTAACAAGCCCACCATCCCTGATCATTAGAGAAATGAAAATCAAAACTACAATAGATACCATCTCATGCCAGTCAGAATGGATATTATTAAAAAGTCAAAAAAAAAACAACTGCTGGTGAGGTTGTGGAGAAAAAGGAATGCTTTTACACTTGGTGGGAGTGTAAATTAGTTCAACCATTGTGGAAGATGCTGTGGCAATTCCTCAAAGACCTAGAGGCAGAAATACCATTTGACCCAGCAATCACATTACTGGGTGTACACCCAAAGGATTATAAATCATTCTATTGTAAAGATACATGCACACATATGTTCATTGCAGCACTATTCACAATAGTCAAGACATGGAGTCAACCCAAATGCCCATCAATGATAGACTGCGTAAAGAAAATGTGGTACATATACACCATGGAATACTATACAGCCTTAAAAAGGAACAAGATAATGTCCTTTTCAGGGACATGGATGGAGCTGGATGCTACTCTCCTCAGCAAACTAATGCAGGAACAGAAATCAAATAGTGCATGTCCTCACTTATAAGTGGGAGCTGAATGATGAGAAGACATGGACACATAGTGGGGAAACAACACACACGGGGGCCTGTCAGAGGGTGGGGGTGGTGAGAGGAGGGAGAGCATCAGGGAGAATAGCTAATGGATGCTGGGATTAATCCTAGGTGATGGGATGATCTGTGCAGCAAACCACCATGGCACACATTGACCTATGTAACAAACATGCACATCCTACACATGTACCCCCAAATTTAAAATAAAAGTTGGAATCAAAAACAAAACAAAACAGGAGTCAAATGAAGACATCTTTAAAAATGGAGGCCAATGGGATGCTCTGATGGAAACAGGAGATGGGAAATAGGGAGTAGAGTCTCTATTCCATGGAATCACAAAGCCCAAAGATTAGTCACAGAGAAGTAAAAATGTTCAGGAAAAATATTATGGTAGGTGCAGAGATAGAGAGAAGTGATTAGAGACATATTTAAGAGATTTTGTTGACTAGATAAATGATGATGGGCTGTGATGGGGTTGATGAAGGAGTAGATGTAATTAAGAATAACATGATTTTGGCTTTCCCAGTTCAGTACCTGTCACTGAAATGGGTACTTAGAGAACTTTAAAGATGTCCAGCTTAGGGGAAAAGTTAACAAATTTGGATATGATGTTTATAATATTTTTGAAACAGGGAAATAGAATGACATGAGGCAGTCAAACTAAGGGTCTAAAACTGAGAGGATAGGTCCAGGTAATAGTATGCTGGTAAAAACCAACTGGCTTTCTAGAGAGGCAAAGCCCTGACTTGTATCATTTGTCAACCACTGCAGTTAAAATACTCCCACCAACACATCAATTTCATGGTATAAGTACAAATGACATAACCTGAGAAGAGATGAGCATAATTTACTCTTGCAAGAGAGTGTAAGCCAGCTCCATCACATAAGGAGTGACTCAAGAAGCAGGAAATCATCAAAACTGTAAAGTACTCATGGAAAATCAAGTAAATTCATCTGGATGAAGGGTGGGCTTTGAGTATCTTTTGCTTCTGTGTCACTTATGTTTCCTTTTTTATTAACTCTTTAATGCAGGGTTGCAAAGTATTTGCAGCAAGAATTGGCACCTGTTTCCTAAATCAGCCTAGAGCTTTCATTCTTGGCACCATCACCTGCTACTTACCAAGGTCATTTGAAAGTTATGACCAGTGAGGAATTGCCTCTGCTAGCTAAAAAAAATTAAAAATAAAAATAAAAAAAGGAAGAAAGTGGGGGATAAAGGAGGGCTTGGAAAGTACTGCTTTTATTGCTCTATTACTCCAAAAATAGTCTAAACTCTCAGTGAACCTATTTACAGCTCTGAGAAGTTGAACTCCTCCTGGCTATTTCTTTAGCAATTAAGACCCTATATTGTATCTAATTTCAAAATCGAAGTCTTCCGTAACTTATCATGATGATTTCGGTTATTTGTACATTATTTCCTCCTTCATAGATGTTTGTTGTTTTTGTATTCCCCCAAATTAAATTTTATACTGAAATATACAAAGTATTCGATGACAGGAAATAATTAATCATTTTCTTATTGATTTAAGAATATCCTTCTAGAGTAAATTTTTAGATTGTCTGAGCTATAGTTAGTACACATTTCTTTCTAGAGCTCATTTGTATAAATAGCGTTTTCCAGTAATTATAAAATTAAGACATGCTCTTTTTTAAATATTAGAAAAATTTTAAAAAATAATGTAAAGAAGAAAATAAGTACTCATAATTCCTTACACAAATACTGCTAATAGTATTTTCTTTCAGATACTCAATTATATAGTTTAATATATTGTGATGTCCATTTTTTACATATTAAAATTTTATAGTATTTCTTTGTATTTCAAATTTTTTGTATATTATACAATCAAAATCTTCTGTCATTAAAATTATGCAAAATATGTTAATTATTTAATTATATCCTATATTATGAGTGTGTCATATTTACATACACATTCTTTTATTTTGGACACTTAGATATTTTCCAAATTTTCATTGTTAAATATAGAATGGCAAAGGACATCCTCCTCCATTAGTTTTTGTGCTTATTACTTATTGTTTCCTTGGATAAAGCCTTGAAATGTAATACTAGGTTAAAGGGTAAAATTGCTGCAAATAATTTTGGTACATACTGTTCAATTGCTCTCTCAAAAGATCGTGCCAATTTACAATCACATCACATGAGCGCCGTGTGTGACGGCTCAGTTTTACTCCACCATAACCAGCACTGAATATCCTTTAAAAAAGAACGACGTATGTGTGTGTTAAATCTGATACACAACAACTAGCATTCTGTCATTATTTGTATTTATCATTCTTTTATTAAGATAAGTTAATGACTGAAGTAATTTTGTGAATTTGTCTTCCTATCCCTTGATTATTTTTCTATTGATGATCATGTTTACCTTACCTAAGGTACTTAATGTAATTTAGAGATAACTAAAAAATAAACTTTATATGAGATTCTGGAAATATAATGTCTAAGTGTAGCATCAGCAATTATCATAAAAAGGAAAGTAAAGTTGAACAAAGAATATATACAAGTGATGTTTACAAATCATAATTACACAAAGCAAAAAGAAACATTATTCTTTACGGCTACCAGAACTCCATGAGAAAGGCACATTTGCTATTCCTGTGGGCAGAAACTGAAACTTTTTCTCCTGTCCAAAGACACAGATAGGTTTTAGAGTGAATACTAGTTCCAGAAAAGTTCCCAGTTCTCTCCCCATAGCTGCTGAACGGTGCTAAAGAGGAATCCCTGCAAACAATTGCTGTGAGCTTTAGATATGATTTTCTAACTTTCTCTTGGCCCCCAAACATGCTACTTACTTCCTCAGCCTTTTCCCCACATGGGACCGTGTTGCCAATAATGTCTGTGGGATACATTTGAAATCATCAGGCTTGAATTTAATTACATTATGTAAACTAGAAAATGTCCCCAGTAGGTTTTGAGGGACTAGCTTCTGTATGCAATTGCAAAGTTCTGTTTTGTTTAAAATAATTGCATTTTGATAAATCCACTCTGACTCAAACCATTTTTTGATCTTTGTCAAGAACTCATTTTCATCACATCAGCCTGAATTTACCTTTTAAAAAAATAAATATTTATAAAATTCTGCATAAAAGCCTTTCCTCTACTCCACATCCTCCCTAAATGCCCTCTCTCTCTACCGAGGTTGGGGCAGGATGGTGAGAGGAGATGGGCAAAGCATCATGTTCATGGGTTATCTCAGCACCAACTTAGTTGACAGATAGTCACCAAGTTCTGAATGCAGCCTATTCTCTGACGGTGCATTGGGAAGAAAGGCTTTCAACATGATCAGACAGAGAGAGAAGAATCATTTGAAACACTGTATGAACTTCATACTTAAATTCATTATAACATTTGTGAAGTTGCTTACATAGATCTTCCCATTGGAGACTGCGTCTTTGGGCCTGATTTTTCACCCTTCTTCATATCCATGCCCTCTGCCATGCAACTTTGCAATTCTTTTCCCTAATAAGGCATATTATATTTCAACTACTGCCTTATTTTGTACTTGGTTTTGTGACCAGTTTGACTAATAGAATGAGCTCTGCCATATTTTAGCCTAGCTTTCTTATGTCTCTGGCATCACGATGAGAAAAACCTACCCTGCTGAGTCTCTTGGTCCAAGGAAAAAGAGAGACATGTGGAACAGAGACACCCTAGCTAGCTTAAAACCTGACATAAGAAGCGGAATTGTCCAGCTGAAGCAAACCCATCCAGCTGAGCCAAGCCTTGATCAAACAGACCCCAGATGATATGCAGTGTGTCTCCAGTAATAGACATAATAAGTAACTGCTGTTTTAAGTTAATGAGTTCTAGGGTGGTTTGTTAAACAGCAATGGCAAACTAATATAATTCCCTTAGAAGTTTTAGCAACTTACAACATACACACTCAATGCAAAAATTTAAACACTCCACAGTTAGAAAGAAAGCCAATCAGTGCCCCTCATTTAGAAACAGTGATACCCAATTTTCTCAGGCTCTTGTTTACCACTTCTGAGACGTGCCTCTCACTGGAAGCATTTTCATTTACTGGCTTTTAAAGAAACATTTCTCACCACAAACACACTTATTTCTTTCCCCAACACACCTAGCCATCTGTCTTCAAAGCTCCTCCCAACTACTTCATTTTATCCCTACCCGCAGAGATACAAAGAGCCTGAGCGAAAGGTGGCACGGCTGAGTTCAGAAATAAGGCAAGTCCCATTTCCTATTCATCTCACAGGGGTAATCTAAACATCGAAGCACCCTGTAGTCTATCAGGCAAGCTATCACTGACAGCTCTTGAAAATTCAGAGAAACAATTCTGATTCAGAGCATGGTTCGCGAAAAACAAAATCTACAATCAGAAATATACACATATATATATACCTGTCTCAACTGAGGCAGAAAAATCACATCACATATCTTTATATCACTTCTGATTTCTCACAATACAAAAAGAGGACTATATTTAATTTTATAATTTAATTAAAATAATTTAAAAAATCCAAATAGAAATTCCCCAAATGATCTCGTTATGAGTCAGTTTTACCCAAATCAATAAGCCACTGTGGTTAAGTGTTTGATAAACAGCCACAAACTCAAGGAAAAATATTGTGATGAAAAGACTATTTTAATGAAACAAAATCACTGTCTGGCACATAGTCTGGAACATTACTATATGAGGACCAGGTCCTATTAATATCCCTGCTTTTCTAAAGACAACAAACCTAGCCTGTTACAGCAGTGAGAACTAAATTTTGCCCCATGGAGAACCAGGTTGGAAAAGGAGATATTCTTCCAAGAAACTCTCAGAAAGTGGTTATCTGGTGGCTGACATAAAGGTACACTGTTCTTAGGCTGGAGGTGGCAAAAATCAACCACAGTCAGAGCTGGGACGTGGAAAATGCCTAGGGATAAACCACCTGAAAACATTACTTTCTCAGCTCCAAAGACAAAGCCACAGACATCAGTGTCATTAAGACCACTGGGCATTTCAGGATATAAACCTGCCAAATGCAATATACTCTGCAAAACAAAATTGAGCAGATTATTCAGGTCAAATTGACTTCTAACTCAGTGATCATAAGCCCCAAATAGTTCAAGCATTTGTATTCTGAAACATGTCTAAATAGCCCATGTGGAAAGATAATATATATATATATACTTTTGTCTGCTTTATAAAAATGTGAGGAAAAAAACATTAAAGAGAGCGGATTGTTGCCTTTATATAAATTGTATGGCCAAAAGCATAATGTTTAATTTACTATATTTTGGATGTAATAAAAAGGCAATTCAAATATCTATCATAATTAGTGACTTCAGCACATGGAGTTTATACAATAGGTGTTTCTGAACATTAGAAATAAAAATACTTTTTTGACTTGAGTTCTATCTTAGAGAAAAAGAAGGGGGTAAGAAATTAACATTTACTGAGCGCCTTCTCAATGCCACTCACTTTACAAATGTAAGTTCATTTACTATGGTACAGTAAAGATCTATGACAAAAGAATAAGGAGGATGAAACACATTTCTATTTAGAACTCCAAGTTCCCAGATATCTAGACATGTTTATATTAGTTGCTGAGTATGGCTTTAGATTTAGGGAGGATCTACCAACTCATTTATTCCAAATAATTTATTCTTTTTGTGGTCCTCACTATATTTCCTCATACTTAGTCCGAAAATTAAATTTTCATTAAAAAAATCAATTCAGAAGAAATTCTGTCTCCAAATGTAATATCCAGGCATTGTCTTACAAGGCTGCCTTGCTCACTGCAAAGAATAAAGCAAGATGGGAACATCTATTGTGTTACATGAAAGTGACTTTCAGGATTTGACTAGCAAATTAGTGAATAGTCCACACCCACACAGAAACACACACAACCATCTGCACAGGAAATAAACACTCTGGAGAGCCAACAATAATAGTAGGAATATCAACAAACCCTTACATAACATTTACTGTGTGCCAGGCACTGATCTAACTACTTTACTAATATTACCTACTTCAACCTCTTTAACAATCCTATGAGACGAGTTTCACACATTTCAAAAGAAAGTAATAGATTAATACAGTGCTCATGGCCAAAGTGAATACTAGATGTAGGGCATACTATCATTGCAACTACCACCAGGGGATTCATGTCACAGTTTACTGAGTTTTCCCCTGACATTTTCCTCTTCCTCACCTACTTTTGTTTCTACTGCGCAGCCCTCACGTTCTTTCTCAATATCTTCCTTATGTGGATACGACATGCATCTGTACTACTTATTGGTTTTACTAATTTACTGAAAAATATGAATACATTTTCTTTCTTAATTTTCAGAGTGAGTTTGTTGAGCATTTGCTTTTTCCTTTCTCTTAGAACACTTAAGATATGTTAGGGACCAACAGTAGTTCACATATGGAAGTGCTACTAAAGCATGAAGTATCTTTCAATGGACTAATTGTATTTTACATTAGACTAATGACATTCTAATAGGGTAACCCACAGAACCTGCATGGGGCTACTGAAATGTCCTCAAATCATTTTTGTTCAACTTTCACCTGAGGAATACTTCTCCATCAGTTGATCAATAAGAATGTTCAGATACCAGCAACAACAAAAGCAAGGATTTTCTGTAAGATCCACTTAGTAAAACAGCTTTGGTTGTCCAAAATGGTTGACATTTAGTAGCGCCAGCCAAGTGGAGGACACGATGTGGGCAGGTGTCTTCATAAGGCATCAACATAAAATCTCCAAGTTTAGAGCTGACATAGCAACTACTTAAATCATCAACATTTGAAGTAAGTCAGTTTTGGATCCCCCATAATTGAGAAATTTCAAGGCAATAATTTTAGTGGATTCCCCCAGGCTGAGATGGAGAAGCTAGGAGATAATAAGCAAGAGAGGTAACCCGGAAGAGATATGTAAGGTCAGCTATAGTGTTCCTTTAGAAAATGAAAAGTATAAGACAAATGTAAATCTGGAAAAAGTATCTCTTTATTTCAAAGCGAGAAAAGGGAAAGGAAAAGAAGGAGCTTTAGGAAAGAAAAAATAATATTTTCAGAGGATACATAGTCAGGAAGAGTAAGCGGTAGCAATCTAAACCTCTTGCCTATGTAGGACCTTCCATACCCTTCCATATCTACAATGTATAAAATATATAAAATATGCCCCAAATTCCTAAAATATTTCAACTCCTCCTTACACTTCATCTGAAAGTAAATCTGGCACAGCAAACATTAAATGTATCAAAGATGGTGCCAAGAAGTGTCAAAGTCTTGAGTTCTCATACCATGTGTCATATTTTGAGAAAACAAATAATTCTTTATGGAAAGCTTTTTTGAATAATGGTTCCTTTGCCAGCTATTTCAGATAAGTGTTTCATGAATGTTGACTCTAATAATACCTCATATAAAATCAGGCCAAAGAATGAGTAAGATTCCTTGCTGTTCTTGACGACATGAGCCAGACACCTTAAACAAACACGTAAGTCTTGTTATTATTATTATGACACTCAAGCTCATAATATTAAAGAGTATAAATATAAGCAGATATTTGGAGGCTCATCCCTTTACCAGACAAAGAAAAATTCTTACAAGTAGATTTCTGGCCCATAGGTCAAGGTGAATCAAATAATTGACCACTCTAGCAATGGCATTCAACCCAAAAAGGAGTTTTAGTATTTAAGTGAAAGCTCAAAGGGCTAAATGGGGATGGAACAACTAGCAACTTTCATCACTCCTCAAGCTGATAAAAATGGCCTCTATGAATCAAACAGCACTTCACTTTCATGGCTTTCCCGCCTCCACTAGGGCGAGGACTCCTCTGCACCCTATATGCTTTGTTCCTCCTCTGTGGAAAGGGACTCATTTTATGACTTGGAAGCCCTCTCATCATCTGATGCACTTTTAGCATAATTCATTCAGAGACAATGCTGCATTGCTTTTCATGGTGGTCAATCTCTGCTCCTGTGAGAGTTGTGCCTATGTGCCTGTCAGTATTCAGTTGCCCCAGCAAGGAAGAAGACAGCTGATACTTAGTAGTGCCGGCCAAGTGGAGGTCACAATGTGAGCACTTGTCTTCATGAGGTATCAACATAAAATCTCCAAGTTTAGAACTGAGGGAAATGACCTGCTACCTGGAGGAAATTCAGGAGTCAGAGAGTTTAAATATTTCTTTTATAAATTAGGAAACTGAGGCATGGAGAGACTTAGGATGTTCGTTTAAGGTCACCAGTTAACTCAAGACAAATGAGCTTCTAATTCAGGGTTGTTTTATCTAGAATTTGATCATTTTAATTGTCACACTGTGCATAGATAATTAATGTCATTTGTGTCTCCTTTTCCAAACTGTATTTACCTTTAAACCTCTCCAGATTTGCTATCTCCGTGCTTTGAACAGGTTACTTAACGTCTCTGAAATTGTTTCAAGTAAAAAACACGCCTAATATACATAACAAATGTAACTCTATTTTTCTTAGGATTATTTGGAGAATTAAATTGGACAAGATTTTTGGAAAATATGTTCTACTACTTTTAGAATGTGTCTGATATGTGTTAGTTCTCTACCATTACTCTTAGGGTGAGAGTGATAAAATGCATTGAAATAATAAAAATGTAGGTCATGGTATGTTTTATCAGAGGATGAGCGGGGAGGAAGAACAGAAATGTAACTTAACCTGGTTATATCACATCCTGGACAATTAGGCTTACTTATATGAAAATTCGTTATGCAATTATAATTGCATTCCAACTCGAAGAAGCTAACTATTAACTAAAATAGTCACACCTCGATTGCAATTTCTACTTATAGCCCTGACCCTTACCCTGCTATTCTTGCTAGATCTTCACGATTGGTAACTGATCACTACTCTCCTGATTTTTGGATCAATATTTCAAGATCAACATAGGAGGCTAATACAATATTTCTTTGATAAATTCTATTTATGAACTTTCACGTCTTGGAATTTTCAGATTGTAAATACATGGCATCTGAAACAACTTGAAAAATGAAGAGCCTGGATAGGTAATGAATAAGCCATTAATAAATACAAGGGTTTATGTGCAATGGGTTTAGTTTGGTCAGGGCTTCCATTAAATTATATTCAAAATTGGGCTCTCCCAGGGAGTCTCAAATATTTCCAGTGGAACAGAGGGAAAAAGGAGAGCCAGAGTAGAGACCTTCAATGAAATCTTTGGAGTAGGAGAAGGGAAACAGCACCTTCTCCTACGAAGACATTTAAATGCTACTGTATGTTACCATTTGATATAATATTTTTGGAGAGACCTTATTTTTTATCGACTGCCTACCTAGAGCATAAATTCAGAAAATCACCCTCAAACACCTGGGACACTCTAACAGCATTGTTTAATGTAATAGCACTGAGCCCTTAAGAGAGCCCATTCAGTCTCATTGCATTCAGAACCAGCAATTTCTCCGTCCTTGTTCCCACCATGTCTGGCTCCTTACCTGACTTCTCTGCATGCACGAAGAACACCGTAACAGAAGCACAAAGGCACCAGGTAAAAGATGCTCTTTACAAATAATAATAAAATAAAATAGCAGCTTCAGGCAAAGTCAACTGATTTTTTTCCCTTTACAAATGTGGGGACATTATTTGAAAAAGGAAACATTAAACAGCTCACAATATAGCGAGGGAAAGTCAAGCGTTTCCTAAAATATCTTGATCGACACCCACTTCCTATGACAAGACTAAAAATACAGTATGTAAGCAAGTCTTCCAGAAAGAAAGTTGTGGCAGAGATTTCTTTTTTCTTTTCCTTTTTTTCAATCAGGACTCACAGACTGCAGTACAGTGTTATCAGCATTGCCAGACTAATTCAGCAGGCAGTCAGGTTCTCTCACACACGTGCTTATCAGTCTCCTGTAAGAAGTTTGTCATTTAGTGAACTATGGGTATTAGGAACAAGTTACTGGAAGAGAAGTCTGCCAAGAATAAAACTTTAAAACCAGCCTATAAAGCAGGAGAATGTTATTAAGGCTTCAAAATCCATGTTTAAAGCAAACTATAATTGGCCATTGGGTAGATATTCTTAAAAACAGAAGGTCTCTTCCTAGCCAGCTCTCAATGTGGGCCACTTATTTACTTACCTTTTGGTGTTACTCTGAAAAATATGAGCACAATCACTTTAACCATCTTTTTTTTGGCACCAAGAATTTCTAAGGTTGATGCACTTCTCTTTTGTGTGCTTTAAGTGTGTTAATATATAGATTTCAGATAAATGGAAGCGATAAAGAAATTCAAATAGTCTACTTTTAAGTAACGTGTAAAGTTACACTAATATATATTTAGATAGAGAAAAATTATGCCTGATTAGGGCATAGACTAGGTGAGGGCAGTAAGGAACTGCACTTGGACACAAAATTTAGAGGGCACTAAACATCTCAGTGGTCAAGATAAATAGTACTTTAATTAATTAATTAATGTATTTTTAAATTGTATATATATTTAAGTATATAACATGATGTTTTAGACATTTCCTATTTTAAGATATTTTAAAAAGTCATAATTAATGCAAAAAAGAACCTATAACAAAGAAAATATCAAAATTTTAAATAAGGACAGGGTCAATTTTAGTGATGTCTCTCCCTGCCTTAGGCTCCAACATGGCTCCACATGGCACTGTTACTGATTGTGATTTTTATTTCAAAATTTGATCTTTAATTTATCATGGACTTTTTTGCATTTTAATTTTTTTAAATGTTGCATTCAAATATTATTTATCTTGATTACTGTTGTTTTTGGTGACCCCTTAAATGCTATCTGAGGCAGGTACTCACTCACCTCTTCCTAGTTTAGCTCTAACATAGATGCACACACACAATCCATGCATGCACTTCACAGTGGCGTCACCCCTGGTTCCCTGCACTGACCGGGGAGGTTGGACTTGTGAAAATGGAGGATAAAAGCTTTTTAATAATTTGCCCCCAAATCACGTAACTATTAAGAGAGCAGCTAGAATGGAAACCCTGGTCGGTGGTATATCTGAGCCCCATATATTTTCTAGCTTTATTGAGGAATAATTGACCATTAAAAATTATATATATATATGGTTCATAACTTGATGATTTCATATACATGCACATTGAGAAATAATCACAGTTAAGCTTATTCACATATTCATCATTTCCTACAGTTACCATCATTTTTTTTGTGTGTATATATATGTGTGTGTGAGAACACTTAAGAATGTTCTCACCAAATATTTGCCCTCTTAGCAAATTTTCAGTACACTATGCAATATTAATAACTACAGGTACAGTGTTGTGCATTCGATGTCCAGAAACTTGAATAGCTAAAGCTTTGTACCCTTTAACCATCACTCACCTTCCTGGTATCTCCTCAGCCTCTGGCAACCACCATCCTACTCACTGATTCTATAAATTTCACTACTTTAGATTTCACATATAAGTGACATTTTGAAGTATTTTAACCATTTTGCTACATTGTTTCTCCCTTTCTGTTCATAGTTATCATAACACAATAACAAACTCAATTCAACAAACACCTGTTAAGTATCTATTTCATCCCTTGTGACACTTTGCTGGAAAATTTGAAGGTAAATAGGACACTTTTGTTTCATGACCCATGGAGAAATATATAAACCTATTTGACTAACTGTACTGAATGTGGCAATTGCTTTTCCCCACTGATTAGCCTGCAATCACATAAACTCAATACTTCATTTCCATAGAGGCTGCACTGGCAACCAAGCTTGACCTTGGTGTGAGAAAGCGAGAAACAAAAGCAGGAAGTGTGGAGCATGTGACTTATCCCAAGTGCTGTTACTTTACCCTTTTTTTTTTTACCATGTGACTTCATTTAACCTTCATAAAAATCATGTGTGATATTGATGCTTTTATTATCCTAATGGAGAGGTTCTCAGAGGTTCATAAACTGTTCAACATCACAAACGTAAACAGAACTGGGACTCAAACTCAGCTTTCTTTGACACTCCTTTTCTAGGATTCCTCACGAAGGACTTTATAAGCTTCTCTAAGTGCTAATACTTCCCTACTGCCTGTATTGGGAAAAGACAGGTCACTGTGTCCTACGCACGGCATGCCAGTAAATGTCCTTACTAGAAATGTTTTTGACCGTCCCAGTCCAAGAAAAAGCCAAGAAAGGTTTGAGAACACAGTACTCCTTTAGGGAAGTCGGCATTTTTTTTTTCTTCGTTGTTTGCTTTGGCATATTTCAGATTTTAAACATACACAATTCACAGCAAATGGGATATAGTGCCTCCAGAAAGAATTATTCAGAAGTCTTTAATCAGAAATTTTGTTCTCATTTTCAGTGCCCTGAAACCACGTAGCTTTTCTTAGTACATTATCTTTGAATCAATCTATGCTAGGCCATCAGTAAGAAAAACAACTTTCAAATATCTCCCATTGTGCAAAAACTGTGATCTGGAACAGTACAGCATTAGTGGTGACAGAATAATAAGGCCATTTATACTTTTCTGCTTGGTAATTCATAAAACCAAGTTGCATCTAAGTAATTTTTTTAGCATTATGCTTTTGCCATGTCCGTGAACATATGCTAATGAATGAAATCAACAGATTTCTTTTTTTGTATAAACAAACCTTATCTTTTAAACCAGAAACGAATTCCCAAGCTAAGTGTCCAAATATACTTTCCTAAGCCCATGTGAAGTAGTCCATTATATTATTTGGGGAATTATGCTACAAAGAAAAAGATGAAAATTTTATATTTATTTAAACCTAATAAGAAAATAGTGTGAATTGAACACGTGTTTATCTTCATTCTTGCCTGAAACCACACTTAAATGACAAGGAATTTTAAAAAGTATTAATCAATGAGAGCATAGTAATAAGAGAGCAAACAATAATAGATAAGTGATATCAAATCATTTTTGGAAGATAAAGAGAATGGAGGAAAAAACACCTGATAAAGCAAAGTAGTGGAGGCTTCAAGTAACTATCTGGGGGGTTACTGATGAAAGATCAGCTCACTGAACTCTCAGATCCTCTAATCGCTCAATGATAGAAGGTGTGAGGTACCTCAGGTGTGGGTGCAAACAGAGAGCATACCTCCTTCCCCTCCTCTCCTCTTTCTCCAACTGAGAAAATGGACTTCGAAGACTCACTAAGTGGGAACATGGGCACAAAGAAAAGAAGTGGTGAGAAGTGAAGAGCTAAAACAAAAATAGATGTATTTAGTTAAAGTCTAAAAACTAAATGGGAATACCCACCCCTAAGCCCCGTGCCCCTACTCCTTATCCAGATGCTAATATCCAGCACACCACTAACCACACACACTGTCCTATGGAAGAGTAGAAGCCCTTTCTTAGGAGAAACAGTAAGATTCCAGAGAAAGGCCGTTCAGACACTGACATTTTGGAGGCTGTCAAGGAAAAGCCAGCTTCCTACCCAATCACCCTGCAATGAAAATCACCAGGCCACAAGCACTGCCATCAATTCATTAACATGCCATTCTTAAATATGAACGGACAGGAAGATCACAACATATTTGAGGAAAGCCTCCATCATGAAAAGCAGAGGCCAAAACAATTGAGGATAAAATTCAGAGAGGCAATGTTAGGGGAAGAAGAGCGTACTTTTTTAAAAAAAGAGAGCAATAACTCGGGAGGCTGAGGCAGGAGAATGGCGTGAACCCGGGAGGCGGAGCTTGCAGAGAGGCGAGATCGAGCCACTGCACTCCAGCCTGGGCGACAGAGCGAGACTTCGTCTCAACAAAAAAAAAAAAAAAAAAAAAAAAAAAAAAAAAAAAAAGAGAGAGAGAGAGCAATAGTTAATAACCTCAGAGAAGCAGAAATTAATATTGTGCCCATTAAAAAAACCCAAAAGAATGATGTGATGCAAATGAGCTAAGAAGAGCTCTACGAAATTAAAATTATGATAGGAATAATTACATTATCAATAGAACTATTAGAAGGTTAAGTTAAAGGTATCTTCCATCGAGTAGAAATAGAAAGATAGTAAGATGGGGCGGGCGCAGTGGCTCACGCCTGTTATCTCAGCACTTCGGGAGGCCGAGGTGAGTGAATCACCTGAGGTCAGGAGTTGGAGACCAGCCTGGCCAATGCGGGGAAACCCCGTTTCTACTAAAAATACAAAATTAGCCGGGCTTGGTGGCAGGCGCCTGTAATCCCAGCTACTTGGGGGGCTGAGGCATGAGAATCGTTTAAACCTGGGAGGCAGAGGTTGCAGTGAGCTGAGACTGCACCCACTGCACTCCAGCCTGGGGGATAGAGCGAGACTCTGAATTACCTAGAGACAAATGTGACATGTGTCTCTGTCTTTAATCAGAAATTTTGTTCTCATTTTCAGTGTCCTGAAACCACGTAGCTTTTCTTAGTACATTGTCTTTGAATCAATCCATGTTAGGCCATCAGTAAGAAAAACAACTTTCAAATTTTTGAGACACTACATTTTTATTTTTCTGTTGCTTTTTTAAATTTTTGATTCGGGGGCATATGTGCATTTTTAAAAGAATAAACTCCTCCATGCTCTTCCTCTCCACTGTAAGACATGCTTCATTCAAAGGAGGCAACAGTCTTGCTAGGGACAACATGAAATACGGGACACAGGAATCTTGGGATCCAACAACTGTAGAAGTTCAGAAATGTCCAAGGCACTGGCCAATGTGGCCAATGAGACGCTGTGCTATAACAGCTGCACAGAAAGCCTTGAGACCTGCTGGTCTGGATTAGGGCAGGAGGTCAGAGAGCATGAGGACAGAAGAACAAAAAAAGAATGGAGCAGATAGATTTTCTGACAGATGAGACCATGTGCTATTGGAAGTTGTGGAAAAAAGTATCTTCCCAACCATAAGCAAGAAAAAAAAATTAAGACAATATTTAACTCCTAGAAAAATAAAAAGAAATTGTTCAATAAAGCAAAAGTAATTGTAGGCCATTACTTGGTTCCACCATGAACAGTGGATTCAAAGGCATAATAAAGAAAACATAAAATACTGATTTAATTAAATCTATAATATAATTATCTTTGGAGAATGGGGGAGGGTATGTGTGGCATTCTAATTTAGAAATTTGAGAT
Source organism: Homo sapiens (assembly GCF_000001405.40). NCBI lineage: Eukaryota > Metazoa > Chordata > Mammalia > Primates > Hominidae > Homo > Homo sapiens. Next base: position 21,789,270 of record NC_000003.12, read on the forward strand.
ATACTGCCTACAATGATAAATCAACCAAGAGCAAGACACTCCTGTTATTAGTAAGAAAAATATAAACCCCAGAAGAAATATATAGGAGAATTCAAAGTGGCAGCTTCCACTGATCAGTACTTGGGAGTGGGGAGATCTAGGGCAGAATGTTGGTTTTGTTGTTGTTGCTCTAAACCTTAAAGCACTATCTGACTTTCACTCAACTATGGGCATGTGTTCATTTGTTAAATGCACACACACAGACACACACACATATACACATGTGTAAGCACACACACATATATACAGATTAATAAAAAGCAAAAACCTTAATAGATTCCTTTTAACTGCCTTACTGCAAATACCTCTTTCTGAAGAATAAAGGTAGACATCACTGATTTACATGGTCAGAAAAGAGCCTCATTTGCCTGTATTTAGAAAATTCCTGATTTGCATGTTTATGTAAAAAAAGATAAATCAAGGAAAGAAATTAAATACTAAACAAAGATGTAAAATGCTTAAAATATTCAGCAAGATAGCTGCATCATCACTTATACCGTAACCAATTTGGGGCCATAATAAATGAATATTCTACAACCTTTGTGTATGTGGCTTCTTGGGTTCTTTCAACTTGTCACTGTTGTCAGATTATGACAAGAATATTGGGTAAGGGGATGAAAAGCTCTTAACAGGAAATTGGCTAACACAGTCAGACTTCAAAATGAAACACTTTCAAGCTGTTACTAGCCTCAGATAGATGTACATGAAATCTTCAGTAACTATTAAATGAAAGGGCCAAGATGTAGAGCATAGCACATATACTCTACAAGACACAAACACACACATAACTATCTATGCTCATGGATAAAAAGACTTTGGGAGGACATGTATTAAACTGCTAACAATGTTGGCCTCTGAGGAAGAAGTCTCGGGGGACAGATTCAGATTGCATTCAAAACTCTTTCAATATTCTGAGCTTTAAAAATCGATGCATATGTGGCTTTTTTTCAATTAAAAAAGTGGCTCATAAAGATACATTAGATGCCAATTCTCATCATACTCCTGCTAAAATAGATGGTGTTGAGGAAGAATGGAAAGATTGATCAAATTATACAAAAGGGAAAGGAGTATGATTTTACTTATGTAGAACTAACACACAGAGTTATCTGTTGGTGATAAGATTTGGGGTGATTGCTGTTTCTTTGTAATTTTTTTGAAGTTTAAATATTTTCTATAGTTATACTTGTATTTCTTTTAAAATGAAAAAAGATTACTGAAAAAAATAAAGAGAAGAAAATGTCATTCCTTTATCAGTTCTCTAGGGCACAGAAGATGTGCAGTCAGAATGCAGCTTTTTTGGAAGGGGAGGGTGAGCATCTGGGTATTACATTTGCAGATGGACTTCATACCCAGCATATGGGAAATTTTCTCAAGGAAAATCATTTCTGCAGAGGCACAAGTTGCTATTTAAACCTTGGCAGACTAGGTCTTTTTATGTTTGACTTTTCTCTCTCCATATGAGAATTAAGCATATGCTCAGATTTTCTTAAGGAGTTTCCTTATTATTGAAGTTAATTTGTTTCTTCGTAAAGATTGTAAATTTATAGAATGTGAAATTTGATAGCTAGATTTTTTTGCTTGTCCTTTAGGACTATTTATTTTCTCTTCCTGCTTCCTAAGTTGTCACATATGTTACAACAAGGGGTAAGGAAACAAAAAAACAGCATAAACCAATGCGAAGAAATACACAGAACTAGTGGCACTTGAACCAAGCAGGCATAGCGCCATTTCAGAATAACAAGCAACTTTATTCTCAATTTACCAGAGGTTATAGCTCTAAAAATCACAAGTACTTTTCATGAGAAGTAAATGCCTTTATAAAGGTCAATGCAGCATTTATAAGCTTTATTGCATGTTTTCTGTCCTTTTCTGAGGTATGTAAAAAGAACACAATGGACATTTTTTTTAATCAGTCTGCTGCAACGTGACTAGTTTGCCTCCAACTAAGTAAGCTGTTTTGATGTGGGGCCATTTTTAACAACAACAATAACCCAAAAAACAAATTCCTTCAGTGGCTCAAAGTAAGAAACAAACATAAAATATGCAGTGGCATGTGATATTAGGGGACAAATGAAAAACATTTAACTATGAGCAATAGTGACAAGAAGCAGGAGGTATCCCAAAAATGTCTTCACTTCAGATAATTTGCCCCTTAAAATCAGAGGATTTAAGGAGGAACTCCTTTCCCCAAGAAGAAATCTGGCTCCTTCAATTTCCTGTCCTGCTTTGGAGACAAAAGTCTGAAATTCTGCCAGTGCTTAGAGACTTGAGTTCCCCAGTGAACATTTTACAAAACATTAGCAGCTCTAACGGTTTTCACTATTTAATGGCCTCTAACATTATGAATCAAAATGAAAACTAATACAAAGTTTAGAAAGTTTAAGTAATAGTTACTCACAGTCTACATATTAAGCCTGGATCTAATCGTTTTTTTTGGTTGTTGTTGAGATGGCATCTCACTCTGTCATCAGGCTGGAGTGTAGTGGCGCGATCTCGGCTCACTGCAACCTCCGACTCCCTGGTTCAAGCAATTCTCCTGCCTCAGCCTCCCGAGTAGCTGGGATTACAGGCACGTGCCACCACGCCCAGCTAATTTTTGTTTATTTAGTAGAGACGGGGTTTCACCATCTTGGCTAGGATGGTCTCGATCTCCTGACCTCGTGATCCACCTACCTCAGCCTCCCAAAGTGCTGGGATTCCAGGCGTGAGCCACTGTGCCCGGCCCTAATCATTTTTATATTCTATTTGGTCTTTTCTGCAAAAGACATTTGAGAATCAAAAGATGGAGGGCCCAAACTTTGGGACTTCTTTCATCAATAAATTATATTGTTTTGAGCAATTAGTTTTTCTGGGGCATAATTTCCATATCTATAAATGAAGTGATGGGGCAGATACATTCTGATGCCCCTCTTGATTTTAATATTCAATGACAAAGACATGCTGTTCTTTCATAGAGCACTTTGTTCCCTCCATTAAAAGAAGAACCTGGAGATTTATTGAGTTGTGACAACCACTCTTTGTCTCTAGGGAAGTAAACATTTCCCCTACCCCACTACAGCCCTCAGACTAAATCTGGCCTGCCACCTGTTTTTCTAAATAACTTTTTATTGGAAGATAGCCACACCTATTTGTTTGCTTATTGTCTATGGTGGCTTTCAGGCTACAATGGCACAGTTGAGTATTCCGCTGGAGACCATCTGCCATGGAATACCTAAAATAGTTAGTAGCTGGCTCTTTAGAGAAAGAATCTTTACATCCTTGGTCTATAGGATCTTTGAACTGCTAAAGACTTTCTTAGCCCCTAGGAGTTGTGGGAACCCGAAGCAGATGTCCAGGGGGCCATGCAGGAGACTTGCACACACAGCAAAAAGCAGGCCCTAGACCCCCTTTTAGTCATTTCCCGTCCTGCTCACTCCTCAAAAGAGGACCCTTACTCCCAATTGCATAAAGTTCAATGTCCAGATTCTTAAGATTAAAAGAATAGCTTTCATCTAGAGCATCCAGCTATTTTGTGCCAAATGATTGTTTTGATTTTTTTAAAAAGAGCTTAATTCTTCTGGTTTTGTGCATTTTTATTAATCTCTGACCAGTATTCAAAATTTTGGGTTGGTCACTGACTTTTGTGTAAATATGATTAAAGCAATGGACCCTCCTCAGGAAAATGTGCCTACATAATGCAAATAACATTTTATACCCAACTTTTGAGGGCTGTAGGGAGTAGACAACATTAAGATTTCAGAACACATAGCCACCATAGTTTCTAAATGAGATAATTTGTGAAATAATCTTACTACAAAAGTTAGCATTATTATATAGAATTCAATGCCAATGTAACACAGCAGAAAGAATGTCAAATGAGGAGTTGAAAGAATAAAGTTATGCATCATCTCTGCTGCTAGCTAGCCATGAGAGCCACTGAAGCACTCTATGCTTTGGGTTCCTCGTTTATTAATAGTGAAAATAATAAATGTCCTGTATACTCCACAGGCTGTGATAAGAATCAAATGAGGTATTGTTAAGGAAATATTTTATAAACCAGAAAAGTCAGCTCATTTGAGTAGTAATTTTGACTACCCATTTTGCAGATAGAGGGAACAAAGAACAACAGATCCTTTGTATTCAGAATGTATTTGAAATGCAGATTCTCAGGGACTGAACTAGACCTAGTGAATTAGAATTTGCATTTTAACAAGATCCCTCTGTGATTTGTGTGCATGTTAAAATTTGAGGAGCATTTCCATAGAAAGTTCTCTCTGCAAAGTGCAAACCACTTCCTAAGGCTGATCTTCAGGTAAAAAAACTGAGGCCTGCAGAGCCTACAGGACATGCTGAGATTTTGTACAAGTCAAGTTGTAAAGCGATGGGAGCAAAACAAACATTAGATTTTAGAAATGATTTTTAAATAGTTCTGTGCTCGGGTCACTCACTGCCCAGTGAAAGAAAAGCACATTAAAGAAGCAAAACATTCTGTAAGGAACCTTAAAAACAGCTTGACCAGGATGCTGAAATCCACAAAAAGTTAGATCTATTGTCATGAGTTTAGGGAACCATTCTCAGGACAAGTCAGATTTCTAGACCTTCTCTTCTTCTGCAAAACTGTCAAATGATGAACAGTATCTATTTTTCTGTAATACCTCATTAAGATGGAGTAAAATCAGTTATGAAAACTAGGCTTTGCTGACTACTCTCCATACCACTCATCAAGGATCAGGGACATAAGATGGAAGAAGATATGGAGAGAGCACAAAGAATGACCAGGGATGTAAAAAACTACTGCTGACAGTGTCATCAAGAAAAACAAATGAGAGCCTTATGTGCGTAGCAAAATTTCTTTTCGTGACCAAGGAAGGCACCTGATCTCTACCTTTGCGTTCTCCGCCACCATATGCAACTTGCTGCTTGGGGAGTAGGAGTGTAGTCATGAGAATTAAAAGAGAAGAAAAGAGAAGTTTTAAACCTAAGAGCTTAAATAGAGAGCTTAGACCATTGGGAGCTTCTGATCTAGTAAGGTGACTGGACATTCCTGAGGACTTCTGGCCTCTGAGCCACCTCTCCTCTTGAAAGCTAGAGTTGCCAGAGTGTCATTGAAACGACAGAAAACACAGTGGATTAGAAAGTTTCTGAAACTGTTTAGGTTGCTACAACAAAACACCATAGACTGGGTAGCTTATACACAACAGGAAGTTATTTCTCACAGTTCTAAAGAATGGATGCCCAAGATCCAGATGCAAGGAGATTTGATATGCGGTGGGGGCTTGTTTCCTGGTTCATAGACAATGCCTTCTTGTGGTGTTCTCACAGGATGGAAGGGGCTAGCTAACTTTGGGGGTCTCTTTTATAAGCATGAACCCTGAGCATGTTAGATTGGGATGGGAGGAAGAGTCATCCAGGAGGCGATTACATTTTAATAATGGTAAATTTTAAAGCTGCTGCTGCTTACACACCAGGAGTGTAATGGGAAAAGAGTTTGTAAGAAAAAGGCTCAATCTGAAACCCTAGTTCTGTCACTTACCACTGCTGTGTGACCTCCTGTTCTACAGCCTACCTCTCTGAGCTTCATCTGAACATTGCAAATATTGTCACATATCATACAATGCTATTATGACAATTAAGTAAAATAATGATCAGCAAATATTGACAAATCATAGGTGCCTATCTACCTTTTATAATAAAGCTTAATATTTTTACTAATACTCTCATAGTCAGTGTCCGCTGTAGGTTCAGTGTTGTATCAAATTATTTGTACCTGATCCTTAATTAAATCAAATTGAAGAAGTTTTAATATAAAAGAATTAAATGCTTAAGTTAGAGTGTTCCAGCCCTGGTTGTCCTCAGCTCACCCTTCAGGCTTAGTTATCTAACAACAGTATTTGCCTGCTCTAAGATCACCCAGTGTGAATGGAAAAGCCATCTAAGTCTTTTTCATGTAATTATGTACACAGTTGCTGTAGGCCTCAGGGGCCCCATTGGACCTCTAATAACGAAGAAGCCTGGAAAGTCTGTGCCTCCCCAGATCACAGCAGTGACAGGCTATGGACTCACCCCAGTAACAGATGGTTTTATTAGTGGCCACTGCCAGACACTTGGCTGAGGGCGGGGCACATAGCCATTAGCGTCTGCTCCACTTTGGTGGAATGGTAGCCGTGTGCAAAAGAAAAGCTGGGTCTAAAAATAATTGACAGTGAGGGAGACAATGTACTTTTTATGTCACCCGGGGAGAAAACAAGCTAAAATAAAAATTTTTAAAAATCCTTTCCCTTGGCTCCTGAAACAGGAAAGATAAGCTCAAGTAATTGTGATATTTCCATGGAAGAGAAGGTTAGGATGTCTCCTAGTGGGAGAAAAATAAAGAAGGGGACAGAATGTCATAGGTGCCTAACACTCAGTGAATTTGTGGGAAGAAATTCTGACTCTGGCTACTTGGCAAACAAATTAAAAAATAAAATAAAAAGCTTTTCTCCCACTAATGCCACTTCAGATTATAGGCACTCAGTATGACTATCAAATAGCACAGAAGAAGAATGACAGGCGCTATTCTCAATGGCAAACAGAAAATATGATTTTTAACAAACAAAAGAATATTAATTCAAGACCTAGCATGTAAAAGCTAATAATTTGCTACAAAGGTAAGTAAAAGAACTTAAGGCATACATTTGAAAGATCTAATAGTCTAGGGTAATTTTCTCAAATAGAAATGACTATGTGGCAATACTATCATAGCAGAGTCCAGAAAACTCTCAGTTTCTTCTCCCACTTGGCATTTGGATCTCGACACTATGAACAGTTGCTTTTCCTGTTTATTTTTTTTGTAATCAAGTTCTGGTAGATTTTCCTGTTTCCTTGGAGCTAAGCCAGAGTCGGAGCATATTAGAGAACCTCACTGCTGCAGTAACTAATTATCAGTCTTAACTTTGCACTGCTGTGTCACAAGCTACCACACATCTAGCAGCTTAAACCACACACATTTCCTAAATTGTTCTATTAAGACCAGCATTATCCTTATACTAAAACCCAACAAGAACACCACAAGAAAACTACAAATCAATATCTCTCATAAATATAAATGCAAAAATCCTCAACAAAATATTGGCAAATCTAATCCAAAAATGCGTAAAAAATTAGACATCACTACCAAGTGGGATTTATCCTAGGTAGGCAAGGCTAGTTCAAAATTTGAGAATTATTTAATGTAATTCATCACATCAACAAAAGCTGGAACAACTGGATATCCACATGCAAAAAAAATTTTTTTTTAAAAAGGAATCTACACACAGACCTTCAGACCTTACACTTTCACAAAAATAAACTAAAGGTGGATCACAGACATAAATGTAAAATACAAAACTATAAAAATCATGGAAGGTAACACAGGAACACATCTACATGACATTTGGGTTTGATGATGGCCATTTTGTTGATAAGGAAAATGAGGCTCAAAGAGTGACTTACTCAAGGTGACACATCTAGTTAGTGCCAGAGCTAGATTTGAACCCAGATCTGGCTGACCAAAAGTCCTTGCTCACAGACACTGAACTCAGTCCACAAGGCACTGGTAACTTGTTGACAGGTACACAGTGGGTGATACAGGACTCTGAGTTCCCACCTCCTGCTTCGGGATCCTTCCCCCTGCCCATACTTAGCTCAGCTGAGTCTCTTGGAGTGGGTGGCATGATCCATGCAAGAAAGGCTTGACAAACTGAACTTCATTAAAATTAAGAATTCCTCTCCTTGAAAGACATCGTCAAGAGAAAAATAAGTCAAGACGTATTTGCAAAACACATATCTGATAAAGGACTCTCATCCAAAATATACAAAGAACTATTCAAGCTCAACAATTAGAGAACACAATTTAAAAATGGGCCAAATACCTTGCCAGACACCTCAGCAAAGAATACATACAAATGACAAATAAGCCAATGAAAAGATTCTTCACATTATATGTCATCAGGAAAATGCAAGTTAAAACAATTGTGAGATGGATGTCACTACACACATATTAAAATGACCAAAATCCAGAACACTAACAACATGAAACATTGGCTAGGATGTGAAGCAACTGGAACTCTGATTCATTGCTAGTGGAAACAAAATCCTAGAGCCACTTTGGAAGACAGTTTGGTGGTTTCTTACAAAACTAAACATATTCTTATTTTATGAGGCAGTAATCACACTCCTTGATATCTACCCAAAGGAGTTGAAAAGTTATGTCCACAGAAAATTCTACAAACAACTGTTTAAAGCAGCTTTATTCTTTATTCATAATTGCCCAAACTTTGAAGCAACCAAGCTGTTTTTACATAGGTGAATAGATAAATAAACTGTGGTACATCCAGGCAATGGAATATCAGTCAAAGCCAAAAATAATTGAACCATCTATTAAGTCATAAAGAGATATGAAGAAACCCTAAATCCATATTATCAAGTGAAACGAGCAAATTTGAAGAGGCCCCATGCTATATGATTTCAACTATATGACAAAATGGAAAAGGAAAAACTATGGAGATAGTGAAAGATCAGTGGTTTCCAGGAATTTGGGGGTAGGAGTGGGGGATGCATAGGCAGAACACAGAGATTGTTTAGGGCAGTGAAAATACCCCATATAATGCCATAACCATGGAAATATACCATTATACATTTGTCTAAATATTAGAAGTGTATTCAAACCCATAAAATGTACAACACCAACAGTGAACCCTAGTGCTGTAGTGTAAACTATGGACACTGGCAACAATGATGTGTCAATGCAAGTTCATGGATTGTAACAAATGTACCTCTCTGGTGGGGGATTTTGATAATGGGGAAGACTATGCGTTAGTTGGGGTATAGGAATATGGGAAATCTCTGTACCTGCCTTTTAATTTTCCTGTGAACCAATAACTGCTCTAAAAAATCATCACACAAAAAATAAAAATACACACAACTCTCTCATGACACAGGTTGTCTGGTTCTTCGGCGCATGGCCTCACTCGGCTGAAATCAAGATGTCAGCTAGAACTGCTCTCTCCTGGAGGCTCAGGACCCTTTTCGAAGTTCACTGGTTTTAGCATCATTCAAATCCAGAGGTCTGTACGACTGAAGTCTTTGTGCTTTTTGTATCTCTAGACGCGGGACCACACTCAACTCCTAGAGACATCCTTGGGTCCTTACCATTGGTCCCCTTTTCTCACAGCATGGAAGCTTGCTTCTTCAAGGATAGCAGGGGAAGCGTCTGCTGCAGTTTCTTGTCTCTTCAATTGGCTCATCTAATTAGGTCAGTCCCACCAGGATAATCTCCTTTTTGATTAACTCAGCGTCAACTAATTAGAAACCTTATTTATATCTGTAAAATTTTTTCATCTATGCCACATAATGTAATCTAAGCAGGGATGTGACAGCTCATCATAGTCACAGGTATCCCAGCCACTCAAAGAAGGGGGAGCTGATCATATAAACCATGCACATCAGAGAGTGAGAATCTTGGGGGCTACTTTAGAATTCTCAGTGATACTTTATTTTATAAAGTAAAATTTGCATAAGATTAACAATTTTAAAATGTACAATTCAGTAGCATTTACTAAATTCACAATGTTGTGCAATAATAACGTCTATATAGTTAAAAAATATTTTCATCCTCAAAAGAAAATCCCATGCCCAGTAAGCAGACACTCTCCATTACCTCTCCCTTTGGCCTCTGACAAACATTAATCTGCTTTACAGGTCTATGGATTCACCTATCCTGAATATTCCATATAAGCGGAACTATACAGTACGTGACCTTTTGTGTCTGACGTAATTCACTTAGCATGTTTTCAAGGTTCATCCACACTGTAGCATGTACTTGATTTTCATTCATTTTTGTGGCAGAAACATACTCTGCTGCATGGATGCACCACCATTTATTTACCTATTAAGCAGTTGATGGATGTTGTTTCCACCTTTTGGCAGTTGGGAATAGTGCTGCTATAAATATTCCCATACATGTTTTTTGGAATGCTTGTTTTCTTTTGGGGATCTACCTAAGAGTGGAATTGCCAAGTCATATGGTAACTGCCCAACTATTTTCCACAGTGACTGCACCATTTTATATTCCCACCAGCAATGTGTAAGCGTTCCAGTTTCTCTACATCCTCATTAACACTTGTTTTGTAAATTATAGGCATCCTAGTGGGTATGGAGTATTTGTGGTTTCCGTCTTCATTTGTATTTACCTAAAAACTATTGGTATTAAGTATATTTTCACGTGATTTTTGACTTTTCATATTGTGGCCATTTATATATCTTCTTTGGAGGAAAGGCTATTCAAGTCTGTTGTTTATTTTTCAATTGGATTGTTTTTCCTTTTGTCATCGAGTTCTAAGAGTCCTTTTCATATTCTGAGTATTAGACCTTAACAGGCATTTGATTCCAGATACTTTCTCCCTTTCTGTAGGTTGTATTTCACTTATTTATAATACATGCAAATTTGAATTTTGAAGTCCATTTTATATATTTTTTCTTGTTACTTTTACTTTTGAAACGATATGTAAAAATTCATTGCCATATCTAAGACAATGAAGATTTTCCTCTATGTTTTCTTCTAAGAGTTTTATAACTTTAGAATGCACATAGAGGCCTTTGATCCATTTTGAGTTAAATTTTGAATAATGTGTGAGATAGGAATCCAATTCATTTTTTCGCATGTAGATACCCAGTTGTCTCAGAAATATTGGTTGAAAAGACCATTATTTCCAAAGATTATTCTTTATTCTTGTTAAAAATCAGCCAAAGATTTATGGATTTATTTCTGGACTATCACTTCTAATCTAATTATCTCTATGCCTAGCCTATGGCAGTACCATACTGCTTTGATTTTTATAGCTTTGTAGTAAGTTTTGAAACTAGAATGTATGAAATATTCAACTTTATTTTCCCTTTTCAAGATTGTTTTGACTATTTTGAATGCCTTACAATTTCACATAAATTATAAGATCTATGTGTTCATTTACACAAAAAATGTTTATTGGGCTTTTGATAGGGATGGCATTGAATCTTTAGATTGCCTTGGGTAGTAGTACCAACCTTAGCAATATTAAATCTATCCAATCCATTAACATGGAATTTCCTTTCATTTACTTAAGTCTTCTTTAAATTTTAGCAATGTTGTAGTTTTCAGAGTTTTCAGAATAAAAGTTGAACATCTAGTAGGTTAATTTTTTTTCCTAAAAGCTGGTCATACTGGCACAAGCCTGTAGTCTCAGCCACTACGGAGGCTAAGGCAGGAGCATTGCTTGAATCAAGGAATTTAAGGCCAGCTCAGGCAACAGAGTGAGACCTTGCTATTTTTTATTTAATTATTCTATTAAAAAACAATTTATTTCCAAGTGTTTTTATTCTATTGTAAGTGGAATTGCTTTTCTAAGTTCCTCTTTGAATTGTTCAATTATTGCTGGTGTATAAAAATACAGTTGTCTTTTGTTTGTTGATCTTGTTTATTGGCTCTAAGAGTTTTTTTGTGGATTCCTTAAGATTTTCTACATAAAATATTATGTTATCTGCACATAGTTTCGCTTCTTTTTCAATTTGTATACTTTTGTTTCTTTTTCTTGCCTAATTGCTATGTCTAGAACTTCCAGTAGCAGCAACCTTTTTGTTCCTGATTTTAGGAAGAAAGCTCTTACTCTTTCACCATTAAGTGTACTATTTATTAGCTGTGAGTTTTTCTTAAATGCCCTTTACCATATTGAAAAAGTCTCCTTTTATTCTTAATTTGAATTTTGTTTTGTCAAGTAATTTTTCTGCATCAATTTAGATGGCCATGTATTTTTCCCTTCATTCTATTAATATTCTTTATTACATTGATTCATTGATTTCATATGTTGAATCACTCTTACATTTCTGGAATAAATCCTACTTGGTCCTGATTATAATCCTCTAAATAAGCTGTTGGATTTGGTTTACTAGTACTTTCTTGAGGATTTTTGTGTGTGTCAGTATTCATTAGACATATTAGTCTATAGTTTTCTTTTGATGTCTTTATCTGGTTTTGATATCAGGGTAATACTGGACCCATAGAATGAGTTAGGAAGTGTTAGCTCCTCTGCCATGTTTGAAGAGTTTTGGGAAGATAAGTGTTAATTATTCTTTTAAGTGTTTGGTAAAATTCATCAGTGAAAACATCTGGTCTTGAGCTTGGCTTGTTGGAGATGTTTGATTAACAAGTCAATCTCTTTATCTTTTTATCTATCTATTTTTAATTGTAAACTTCCAGTTTATGTAACCAGAACTTAGATGAGGCACTGTTACCTTTTTCTCTCTGGCCAAAACGTTCACATTCTTAATCTACTGTAGCAGAGCCATTACTTTATTTAATAGGAAAACTACAAAGGAATAAAATGGGAGCTAAACTCACGCAGCTGATATGGCTTAGGGAACTACTGCAGCCCCTGGGTGCCCACAGAAACATCTTGGCTTCCAGCTGAAAACTCATAATGCTCTGAGGCTGGGATTTTCAGTGAGAATCTCTATATTTAGAGTGCCCGTCCTGACCAATTTGGGTTTCAGGATGCTCAGTGATTACTTACTCTCTGTCTGTGTAATACCATCTGTTTTGTATATTCCAGAAATTACTGAAGCTTTCTGGCCCATTGATTGTTTTTTCCCGTTTCTAATGAAGCCATGGGTGTTTTTTCCTGCTGTATTAAAACATAAACAATTCATAAATGGCACCATTTCACAAAATGGACAGAATACAGTTTTCAACTTTTATAGGAGACGGGGCAGATTTCTTAAACTACATCTCACAGTGGACAATAACAGACTACAGAAATGCCTAAAATCTATACATTTCCATAAAGATGGAGACATTTTGCATAAAATCTAATTAATGGCTCATCAAATTAATGTACATTAGCTAATGTAGATTGCAATTCCAATATTATCTAAGATCTTACACTTGTGAATAATTTAGTATATATTTAAATGCTGTTTCCAAAAAAAGTGGGGAATAAGTAAAGCTTACAGCTTTAATCATGATCATGGGGTAATTTCTTTGATAAATCCAAATATCAAATGGATTTAATATTACCCTTTTGGAGAGGATTTTTCATTGTTTCCAGAACAACTTGTTTTTTCTTTAAGACCCCTGAAAGAGAAGGCTATGAGTGCCTTCAAAAGCATAGAATAAAGCACTGTGTAAGTAACAGACATCTCCAAGTAAATAATACACTTGAACCAGTACCTTATCTTGCAGAAAAGAAATTTCATTTTCAGAATGGATCTACATTGATTTAAAAAAAAATAGCATCTGCAATGTAAACTATATGTGCATATGTGGCAGGCAGGGCACTTCAGACAGGCCAACTGTATAAGATGATGATTTTCTTACCCTGGACGTAGAAATACACTCAATAGAACACTTGTCCTGGTAGTACAATCTCACTATCTGTGTGAACTTGGCAGTTAGTCTCTGAGCCTTTGTCTTTGACTCTTAAATATAAGCATAAAAATGCTTACCTGTCCACCTGTCTGCCTGTCTAACTGGGCAGGTTAATAACAAAGTGTTTGTGAAATGCTTAGAAAGCTACCAGGCCTAAACAGATGTAAGTGCTCAAGGTTTTGCGTGCAAGTGATTGGGCAAATGCTCCCAGGAGGAACAAGGAAAGATGTTGGGAAGTAGGACAAGGAATGGGGAGAAGAGAAGAACGAGTGGAAATTTGGATAAATTCCAAGTCTCAGGCTGATCCTTCAGGGAATTTTGGGATTTTAATTATGTTAAGAGTTTGTCTAACTTCAAGGCAAGATGGCTGCAAGTTATTGTTACCCCTCCCCGCCACCTGACACCCAGGGGTTTGGGAGGGAGTTATATAAGCCTCCCAGGCATTTCCAGCTCTCTGTATCTGTCAGTAAAGCAGCTCCAGGAACCTAAGGGTAGTCATCACAGAGAGTGGCAGGTATAGGTGGCACCTTAGAATCAAAGCACAAAAGATAAAGGAAGGAAAACTGGTGTGCCCAAAATGAGAAGACAGCATTTGGGTGGAATGACAAGAGTGTTCACTATTATCATCTTCCTTAAAATTTCATTTTCTTTCCAGATTTGTATTTTTTACATAGTTTTCTAGAAAATCATCTGGACACCATGTTTTCTTCTGTATAGGAGTCATTGATATTTAAAATCAAAGTTTTAAATAACTGCAAACTAATATGATTGTATAACTAAGCCTAAATATTCTGTAATAAAATATTATTTCAAAATGTTTCACATTTCAGCTTAATTTTACAGTGAAAAAATATATTTTCTTTAAAATTACATAGAATAGACATGAAAACTGGATGAAATATCCATATTTGTAATAGGACATAAAAGCTATATATATCATCCCTGTCATAATTCAAATGAAATGTAACTTCTCAAGACAGCACATCAAGGAACAAAAGCATTTTTCTCAGTCTTCATCATTGTTTAGGCTTCCTTAAATGTGGCAAATCTAAGTACTTACTGAATATCTCCATATGAGATATAATTTTCAAGGAACCATTTGTTCCAAGTATCTTGGAAAGCAAACTGGTGGATGAGGAAAATGCTTTCACAGGTTCCCATGGGATAATTAATCATTGCTCATTTTGGAACTGCATTCAATGTCTGTGGCGCTGTCACTTGCAAATAAGAAATTGTGTATTCTTCAAACTTTAATAGGAACATTGTAAAATTCTGTAGTTTCATATCATGTTTACACAATGAAGAAACCTTTGCTGGGAAATTATCTCAACTCATCCAAAACCAAAGTTAAAGGATTTTATAGAGGTGTAAATTATTTCAGTTGAGAAATCAGTGCTGCCACAAGGAAAAATAAAAGTGTGTAAATTTCTTGTGCATATGTTTTATCCACAAGAAAACTATTTGGGCACAAGTATGATGAAATGAAAACATATTTTATGTGGTTGTTTTAGTAAAAAGAACAGTATTTTTATATCACATTCTTTTTGTTCACAATTATTGCCCTTTATAAATTTTGTTTTCTTATATGATAAAAAGTAAGTGCCATCTAGAATTGAAAAGGCTAAATATATCTCTATTTACAAGTTGTAATTAAAATGAACAGGGGTGGTGGTAGCAGTTACCAGTGGACAGTAACGTTTTCAAGAAATTAATCACGTGAAAAATTGAGTAAATATCACAAGGAAGTGCCTTGACTTCTCCAGGGCATGCAGAATTCCTATGAACAAGAGATGATTCAAAAGCAGAGGGAGTGATATTTCTTTTTCATTTGTCAAGCCTTGCCTAAGGAGAAAGTTCCTCCCTCCCCCAGAGTGTGCAGAAAGTACATTTATGCAAGAAAACAAGGGTTTGAATCCTTCCTTCTACTTAAGAGCTATTTACCTCTGGGCAATTCATTTTAGTCTCTCTTGTCCTCAGATTCTGTATTATTTACCTAATTTAAACAGTTTTTAATTTTTACTTACATTATTTACTTAATTTTACAGATGAAGACACTAAATGTCAGAGAGGTTAAGTAATTTGTTCAAGATCACAAATAATGAAGGTTAGTTCAAAGGCTATTTAATATGTTGTTTCTACTGTTTTCCCTTATATACTTTACCACTATTATAAGAAAGAACGTTGCTTGGAAAATCAATTTTAAAAATGAAAATTTAACCATGATCATTATTTCTTATGACTAGAAAAGCATTCAAATATCCTTGCCCTGGGCAGAAGCAAGATTGATTCCTATTGAACCCTGGAGGTGGGGTGGAAAAGAACCAACCTGATAATGGTGAGAGGGGCTTATACCACTAGGTGGGTTTCCGCTTTCAAACTATTAAGGAAAGTGACTCTAATTACCGGCTTTTTGCTGCTGGGACCATCTCCTCCCATTTGTATGAATGGTGTGAGAAAACAGTACTAGATGCAGTTAATTTAAGAGAAGGTTGTCTGTTGTATAGCATTGAAAAACTGGGTGATCTATTTAAATTAGATTAATTCAAATTAGGGTAGTGAGAGAGAATATATATGTGTAAATAGTGTGTAGATTTCTTGTAAATGTGGGTGTTTAGTGTGGAAATAGGTTGTAAATCTGGGTGCTTAGGTATAGAAACAAGTCAATTGCAGTTTTCACCATGTGGACTCATAAATTAGGCTCTAAAAATGAATGCTGTTTATCCTCAACGATTCATAGTCATATAAAACAAATGCATAAGTGAATCATGTCCATTCAATCCAATTCAAGTCTAACACTTCCCTTGTGATTTAGGAGAAAGAACAAAAGACCACTCTACTTAAGATTCAGAGATTTGGCTCTGACCATATGACCTTTACCTGTAGCTCTTCTGAGGACCAATTTTGTCATTTGTGAAATAAAAAAGCAGAGCAGTCTTTGATCATCCACCTCTGACATTCGGGTTTCTCCTTATCCTGTCCTAATTTTCCTCAGAGTTGCCAAGAGTATAGCAACACTGACAAGACTGGATTTCACTATTTCCTCTCCTGTCCATCAAGTAGAGATGCTAGTGAGCAGTGAAACGGTCATAATGCAATCCTAGTGAAAGAATGGGAAGCTGCTTGGAGCTTCGAGCATGGGATCTCATAGAAAATGAACCATTTTTCCCTGGATAATTAGCACTTGGCCAAAATGACTGCTTCATGTCCCTTCTACTTACCTGCAATAGACTACAAGATGGCAATCTGGGAGAGGTCACTTTCAGAGTGCTTTGGATACTGTAAAAATACAATGTCTATAAAAGGATATTTGAATAAACAGCCAGGCATACAGCCTTGTTCTCATTTGCTCTGGGAAATTCATATGCATGTTAGCTAAACAGCAAAGCAGGCTTATTTGTCTGGTACTCAAGTGGTGCTTGCCTGCCGGACTACCTGCCTTCTTCCTTTCTCCCCCTCTCTTTCACTTCTGCATTCCTTCTTTCCTTTCTTTTTTTTTTTAAATTTCTTATTTTTTTTTTTTGTGAGGGGGCAGGGGGAGGTTATACCAATCTAAACTCTTTTTGTATTTGGTACCTGAAAAAAGAATGAATGCTCATGGGTTCACGCCATTCTACTGCCTCAGTCTCCCGAGCAGCTGGGACTACAGGCGCCTGTCACCACGCCCGACTAATTTGTTGTTATTTTTAGTAGAGACGGGGTTTCACCGTGTGAGCCAGGATGGTCTCGATCTCCTGACCTCGTGATGCACCCACCTCGGCCTCCCAGAGTGCTGGGATTACAGGCGTGAGCCACCGCGCCTGGCCAATAGAGCTCGTTTTATAGTTAATTGGGGTCACAGAACATGTATACGTGAAACCAGTGCAATTTTTATATAAAGAAATAGAGTAGAATGTCATTCTAGAACTTCTTCCTTAAAACTACACAGACCTAATTTTTTGGGAGATTTTGTTGCCAGTACAAGAAAACATATGTTATATAGTAATAAAATTTAGTTTTCAAATAAATTCATAAAAAGTTGTATCTCCTTCTGTGACTGGTTTACAAACTACCCTAGTCAGAAAACTCACTTGTGGCTCCCGCTAAGAATACAAACTCCTGAACCTTCTTGACCTGGGAGAAGACTCTCAAAGAGTGAAACTTCAGACTTTGTGAATCAAAAAAACAAAGCAAAGCAAAACATTAGCAGTAATTCTTATAACCAGAGCCAAGTTTGGAAAACACATATTTATCTCCAAACAGAAATTTCATTGCCCATGGGGGCTTTTTCTGAAGTGAATGCCAACTTCCCTCTTATTTTTCTGATTTGAATCCAGTTCATTTCATATTTCACACTATTATGGGAAACCAGAAGAGAGAAAGAAGGAGGAAATGAATTTAGAACAGTGCCATCCAGTAAAAATATAATGTGAATCAGATGTGTAATTTTCAATCTTCTAAAAGTTGAAATTAGAAAAGAATAGCTAAAATTAAGTTTAATAGTATACTTTATATAAACTAAAATATCCAAATCATTATTGAGATATTTTGCATTTTTTATAAGCAAAGTCTGAGAAATCTGATTTACATCTAGAGCATATCTCTATTTCAACTTGCTATTTTTCAAGTGTTTTAATACTACCACAGCCAGTGCAGATTTAGAAAATTTTGGTTTATGACACTATGAAGATAAAGTTACTCTAATTTGTCTCACCTGTTTATGGTGTAAACAATTGCAATCATTTATGGGTATTCTAGTTGTGATTTGACTCGCCAAGTTTAAAAGTAAAGAGAAAACCAACAACAGAAACTACAAAATTAAGACCTGGCTTTGGAGTTTTTTGAAGATAATATTTTATTTTCAGCTTATTAAAAATATTGTTGAACTAAGAAATACAATAGTGAATATATTCTCATTATCCTTAGTAGGCCAATAACAAATTTTACTTAAAATATATTTAAATAACTTAGTTTAGTAATAATAAAATGGAATTATGGTGAAAATGTTTCTTAGAAACTTTGTTTAAAACTTAACAAAATAGGAGCATCATTTGTATAATTTCTTGAGCTTTTCAGAACATCAACTTCTATTTTTCAATGGCATCTTCAAATATGGCAGGATTTGAAAAGGCCCCACTTTTGAGATTTGAAAAAGTCTCTGAGATGGAGTGTCATAGTTACCTAGTTGCTTACCCTAAATTCAAAGTCTGCATTATTTTTAGTATGTAAGCTAAATTTATAGAAGGAAATTGTTTCTCTGATATTTGCATTGTCTCAATAATTCAGATTTTAATTTTGTGTTAGCTCTAACCTCATGTATGACCAAATATGTCTGAAAATAGAATTGCTAAGTAGTATAGATTTTACTGTTATCATTGCTCTGTGATACTATAATGAAAAGTGATCAAGAGACCGGAAGCCAAAGCATGGTTGGAGGAAAAGTCATATACAAAATAGTAGTGACACAGGATAAGAAAATCCTTTAGTATAGGATAAGAAAATTAGTATCAAAACTGTTACAAATATATTTTAAAAATCAAATTTAAAGATGTTTGAATAATTAAATTACATAAATAACAACTCAAACATATTTTAGGAAAAGTCCCCTTCTAACACACACTCTCTTTACAAAGAGACCTGTAGTATAACACCTTCTTGAATTTACCTTCCCTCCTCCAGGAAAACACTAGAAGCTATGACTCCAGATTCTTTGCTCTGTGCTGTGGCCCCAGAGACTATGAAAAGGAGAACTGCTGACCATCTCTGCTCTGCATTAAGTGAATCCAAGCAGAGATGACACCCATCCACTTACCACTGGGCATGGCCATTGCAGAGACTGGGAAGAAAAAGAACGCTGTTGACCCTCTTTGCCTTGCAAGTGCTTGTGCCTCCTCTCCTTTGTGCCAGTGCTGTGGCCATAGAGCTACTGGGTGGACTGTTGTCAATTATTCCTCTCCTGCCGGAAGGTAATGACAGCAAAGGGGCAAATCACCTCTTTTCCCAACTAGAGAGTAGGGGAAGGGTTATGGACAGGAGTGATCTGAATGAAGAAATGTTTTAAATCAGTGTTCAGAGTCCCAGGGGAAACCCTAGAGCAGCCAATACATGAATCCAACCAGAATCCACACAGCAAAGCTCTGAGAATTGAACAATGATGTGGAACACTGCTTAAGTCTCAGATTGACCTCTGGGTAGCACCAAAGTAGGACAGATTAAAATAGTACCACAAAGACTTTGAAAACTAAATTGACATTTGAACTACAGTTCTCGAAGGGCAACCAGGAAGGGCATGCATTCTAAACATCAATGGGTTGCCCGCATGCTATAAGAAAAGATAAGGAAACCAGAGTCTTATAACATAAAATATATGGAATATAATGATAAATTGCTCATCTTATATAGAACTAGAAAAATGTCAACAGGATTTGAGAAAAGATTCTCAAAAACACACAAAGTACCAAGATGACATAGATGTTGAAATTAGCTAAGAAGGATTTTAAAGTAGCTATTATTAAAATGCTCCAGCATGCAATAATAACTACTCTTGAAAAAATGGAAAAATGGAATCTAAGCAAAGAAAAAGAAATAGAAACTAAGGAGCTTTCAAGAATGGAAAAAGCAACAAAAGTGGTAAATACCTAGGTAAATATAAAAGACTATTCTTGCACTCTTGGGTTTTTAAAATTATGTTTGATAACTGAAAACAAAAAATATATAATATTGTCTAATGCGGTTTTCAACATATGTAGGTAGCATCAAAGATAACTGTATCATAAAGGGGAGAAGAAAAGGGATCTATAATGTGGTAAGGCTTTTAGATTCTTTTTGAAATAAGGTATTGAAACAAGTAGATTGTGATAATTTAAGAATGTATATAACCCCTACAACAAACCCTATAATCAATATACAATGATATATATATACACATATATATACATATATACATACACACATATATACACATATACATATACATATACATATATACACATATATACACACATATATACCTATATACATATATACACATATATACATATATATACACACACATATATATATACACACATACTGAAAAATACTAGGTACATTAAAATTGAATACTAAAAAATGTGCAAGAAGGCAAGGAAAGAGAGAGGTACAAAAAACCAGAATATAAACCAAAAGCTAACAGATAACCTGAATTGAGGTATAACTAAAAAAGAAATTAAATTTGTGATAAAAATAACCTGAAAACAAAATCTCTAGGCATAAATTGTTTCACTGGAGAGTTCTCACAAACATTTCAAGAAAAATTTACATGGATTCCATACAATATCTTCCAGAAAATAGGAGAGAAGGGAAACTTTCCAATTTGTTATAACACCAGCATGTCCTTGATACCAGAACCAAAGATAGCAAAAGTAAATAGACAAATACATTACAAGCCAATATACCTCATGAAAACTGACACACAAATAATCAATAAAATATTAACAAATCAAATCTACAATGTATAAAAAGAAAAATACATCATGATCAATTAGGGTTTCTTCTAGGAATTCAAGGCCAATGTAATATTTAAAAATCAGTGAATCTAAAGACAGAAACTACATGATCATATTAATTGATATAGAAAAGCACTTACCATTCACGATAAAAAGAAAGATATCACCATTACTTAAAAAAAACTATACATGTGTGTCTGGGGCCTGTCGGGGGTGGGGGCTGGGGGAGGGATAGCATTAGGAGATAAACCTAATGTAAATGACTAGTTGATGGGTGCAGCACACCAACATGGCACATGTATACATATGTATCAAACCTGCATGTTGTGCACATGTACCCTAGAACTTAAAGTATAATAAAAAAACTATATATGTGTGTGTATGTATGTATGTATATGTTTATTTATTTTTATTAATAAAATATAAACCAAAACTAATAAAATTAGTTACTTTTAGAGAAGGAATGAATCAGATGGAGAGTACTGAGATTAAAGCTGGATTGTTTGAAATGTACCTTGTTTTAAAGTTTGATTTTGGATCTGTATAAACATTTTATGTAATTATTAAACAAAATGAATCAAATGGGATTAGATGCATATGAAGCTGGAGACATCCCTACACAATATTTATATTGAATGAGTTAATTTAAACATAGGACTTTGAGTATACATTCCTGGTAGATATTCTTAGGATAAAATAAGTTGTAAAGATAAATTAAATGGTAAATTGTTTATATATGTACATATATAATGAAAACATATATACACACACAGCACATCACACACACACACATATGTGTGTGTATACGTGTGTGTGTGTGTGTGTGTGTGTGTGTATATATATATACATTTTAAGTAAGTAATTAATGTAATTAATGTCTTTAGCAACCAGGATTTCCACATAGGAAATATAAAGAAAAGAGATACAAATGCAAAGAATCAAAGAATTTAATAAAAATAATCTCAAATCTTAAATCAGAATTGAAAATATCCGTATAAACTCATTGTATTCTGTTTAGCATGAATCCTATTTCTTAGCTTATTCTATTAGAAATTCTATAAGCAAGACAAGCACAGCAGCAATGAACACCCTGATCGCTCAAAATAGTGGTATTTAAATAACATTTCCCACGTAGAGAAACCAGAACTTTTTGGGAAAATTGCTGAATTTCAGGACTGGGAGAGGAAATATTCAAGAGACCAGAATATAGGAAGCAAGAAGTTTATCAAAGACTATTATAGTCAGGTCAAAAGAAAGTAGAAAGTTTTTCTACTTCCCAAGAGGGGACAATGTTAACAACAAAAAGAATGATGAATGTAACTGATGGAATACAAAATATGTTAAAATGTGAGAATTCATAATGATAGTAAAAAAATACAAAACAAAATGGAGCTCAGATGTATTTGGAGGTTTCCAATGTATGGCGATAACTAACTTCTCTGAAACTTGTGAAGAAATAAAAGCAGCTAGCATTTATTTATCCTATACTGTATAAACTGTATAGTTTACAAAAACTATAAAATCATTATCAAATCAAACACTTGATGAGGAAAATTACCTATTTATAAAAGAATTAATTCAGAAAGTAATTCATGGAGAAGAGGAGAACAGCACCATTTTGCAAGCCCTAATAAAATAAGGTGCCTAGGCAATCATCATGAATTTTTCCAAAATCATGTTAAATGGCTCATGGATGGTGAATTGCATAATGAATAGATTAGGGTAACAAAACCTGATCCATTGATCAATCTTAACAACACACAAATAGAGACAACAGACATTTTGTGCCTTCAAAATTCTAAAGAAAGTATATAGAACCACCTACAAAACATTTTTGCCAAAAAAATCAAATTTGAATATTTTCAAATCTCTAAATATAAATATCAGTTTATAGAAAA
Source organism: Homo sapiens (assembly GCF_000001405.40). Taxonomy (NCBI): domain Eukaryota; kingdom Metazoa; phylum Chordata; class Mammalia; order Primates; family Hominidae; genus Homo; species Homo sapiens. Next base: position 21,812,063 of record NC_000003.12, read on the forward strand.
CACAAGGAATTTAAGAGGAAGTTAAGTGCCACCAAAAAGATATAATTGGTCAAATTCAGAACATGGAATATTCTACAGGAAAAAATAATTTGATTTCCTCAATTAAAAAAATAGGAAGGGGAAGATCTTACAGATTAAATATTCCTTTAAAAGATACTTAAGGATCCGGTTCCAAGATGGTCGAATAGGAACAGCTCCAGTCTACAGCTCCCAGCATGAGTGACGCAGAAGATGGGTGATTTCTGAATTTCCAACTGAGGTACCTGGTTCATCTCACTGGGGCTTGTTGGACAGTGGGGGCAGCCCATGGAGTGTGAGCTGAAGCAGGGCGGGGCACCGCCTCACCTCAGAAGTGCAAGAGGTTGGGGAATTCCCTTTCCCAGCCAAGGGAAGCCGTGATAGACGCTACCTGGAAAACTGGGACACTCCCACCCTAGTACTGCGCTTTTCCAACAGTCTTAGCAAATGGCACACCAGGAGGTTATATCCCATGCCTGGCTTGGAGGGTCCCACGCCCACGGAGCCTTGCTCACTGCTAGCACAGCAGTCCGAGATCGAACTGCAAGGTGGCAGCAAGGCTGGGGGAGGGGAGTGCGCCATTGCTGAGGCTTGAGTAAGTAAACAAAGCAGCTGGGAAGCTCGAACTGCGTGGAGCCCACCACAGCTCAAGGAGGCCTGCCTGCCTCTGTAGACTCCACCTCTGGGGGCAGGGAATAGCTGAACAAAAGGCGTCAGAAACCTGCAGAATTAAACGTCCCTGTCTGACAGCTTTGAAGAGAGTAGTAGTTCTCCCAGCATGGAGTTTGAGATCTGAGAATGGACAGAGTGCCTCCTCAAGTGGGTCCCTGACCCCTGAGTAGCCCAACTGGGAGACACCTCCCAGTACGGGCCAACTGACACCTCATACAGCTGGGTGCGCCTCTGAGATGAAGCTTCCAGAGGAAGCATCAGGCAGCAACATTTGCTGTTCTGCAATATTTGCTGTTCTGCAGCCTCCGCTGGTGATACCCAGGCAAACAGGGTCTGGAGTGGACCTCCAGCATACTCCAACAGACCTGCAGCTGAGGGTCCTGACTGTTAGAAGGAAAACTAACAAACAGAAAGGACATCCATACCAAAACCCCATCTGTAGGTCACCATCATCAGAGACCAAAGGTAAATAAAACCACAAAGATGGGGAGAAACCAGCACAGAAAAGCTGAAAATTCTAAGAATCAGAGCACCTCTTCTCCTCTAAAGGAACACAGCTCCTCGCCAGCAATGGAACAAAGCTGGACAAAGAATGACTTTGACGAGTTGACAGAAGTAGGCCTCAGAAGAGTGGTAATAACAAACTTCTCCGAGCTAAAGGAGGATGTCTGAACCCATCGCAAAGAAGCGAAAAACCTTCAAAAAAGATTAGGTGAATGGCTAACTAGAATCAACAGTGTACAGAAGACCTTAAATGACCTGATGGAGCTGAAAACCATGGCACGAGAATTATGCGACTCATGCACAAGCTTCAGTAGCTGATTTGATCAAGTGGAAGAAAGGGTATCGATGATTGAAGATCAAATGAATGAAATGAAGTGAGAAGAGAAGTTTAGAGAAAAAAGAGTAAAAAGAAATGAACAAAGCCTCCAAGAAATATGGGACTCTGTGAAAAGACCAAATCTACGTCTGATTGGTGTACCTGACAGTGACGGGGAGAATGGAACCAAGTTGGAAAACAGTCTGCAGGATATTATCCAGGAGAACCTCCCCAATCTAGCAAGGCAGGCCAACATTGAAATTCAGGAAATACAGAGAATGCCACAAAGATAGTCCTCGAGAAGAGCAACTCCAAGACACATAATTGTCAGATTCACCAAAGTTGAAATGAAGGTAAAAATGTTAAGGGCAGCCAGAGAGAAAGGTCGGGTTACCCACAAAGGGAAGCCCATCAGACTAACAGCAGATCTCTCGGCAGAAACCATACAAGCCAGAAGAGAGTGGGGGCCAATATTCAACATTCTTAAAAAGAATTTTCAACCCAGAATTTCATATCCAGCCAAACTAAGCTTCATAAGTGAAGGAGAAATAAAATCCTTTACAGACAAGCAAATGCTGAGAGATTTTGTCACCAACAGGCCTGTCTTGCAAGAGCTCCTGAAGGAAGCACTAAACATGGAAAGGAACAACTGGTACCAGCCACTGCAAAAATATGCCAAATTGTAAAGACCATCGATGTTAGGAAGAAACTGCATCAACTAACGTGCAAAATAACCAGCTAACATCATAATGATAGGATCAAATTCACACATAACAATATTAACCTTACATGTAAATGGGCTAAATGCTCCAATTAAAAGACACAGACTGGTCAAGACCCATCAGTGTGCTGTATTCAGGAGACCCATCTCATGTGCAGAGACACAGATAGGCTCAAAATAAAGGGATGGAGGAAGATCTACCAAGCAAATGGAAAACAAAAAAAGCAGGGGTGGCAATCCTAGTCTCTGATAAAACAGACTTTAAACCAACAAAGATCAAAAGAGACAAAGAAGGCCATTACATAATGGTAAAGGGATGATTTCAACAAGAAGAGCTAACTATCCTAAATATATATGCACCCAATACAGGAGCACCCAGATTCATAAAGCAAGTCCCTAGCGACCTCCAAAGAGACTTAGACTCCCACAAAATAATAATGGGAGACTTTAACACCCCACTGTCAACATTAGACAGATCAATGAGACAGAAAGTTAACAAGGATATCCAGGAATTGAACTCAGCTCTGCACCAAACAGACCTAATAGACATCTACAGAGCTCTCCACCCCAAATCAACAGAATATACATTCTTCTCAGCACTACATCACACTTATTCCAAAACTGACCACATAGTTGGAAGTAAAGCACTCCTCAGCAAATGTAAAAAAACAGAAATTATAACAAACTGTCTCTCAGACCACAGTGTAGTCAAATTAGAACTCAGAATTAAGAAGCTCACTCAAAACTGCACAACTACATGGAAACTGAACAACCTGCTCCTGAATGGCTACTGGGTACGTAACGAAATGAAGGCAGAAATAAAGATGTTCTTTGAAACCAATGAGAACAAAGACACAACATACCAGAATCTCTGGGACACATTTAAAGCAGTGTGTAGAGGGGAATTTATGGCACTAAAATGCCCACAAGAGAAAGCAGGAAAGATCTAAAATTGACACCCTAACATCACAATTAAAAGAACTAGAGAAGCAAGAGCAAACAGATTCAAAAGCTAGCAGAAGGCAAGAAATAACTAAGATCAGAGCAGAACTGAAGGAGATAGAGACACAAAATACCCTTCAAAAAATCAATGAATCAAGGAGCTGTTTTTTGAAAAGATCAACAAAAGTGATAGACCACTAGCAAGACTAATAAAGAAGAAAAGAGAGAAGAATCAGACGCAATAAAAAATGATAAAGGGGATATCACCACTGATCCCACAGAAATACAAACTACCATCAGAGAATACTATAAACACCTCTCCACAAATAAACTAGCAAATCTAGAAGAAATGGAAAAACTTCTGGACACACACACCATCCCAAGACTAAACCAGGAAGAAGTTGAATCCCTGAATAGACCAATAGCAGGCTCTGAAATTGAGATAATAATTAATAGCCTACCAACCAAAACCAGTACCGGACCAGACGGATTCACAGCTGAATTCTACCAGAGGTACAAAGCGGAGCTGGTACCATTCCTTCTGAAACTATTCCAATCAATAGAAAAAGAGGAAATCCTCCCTAACTCATTTTATGAGGCCAGCATCATTCTGATACCAACGCCTGGCAGAGACACAACAAAAAAAAGAGAATTTTAGACCAATATCCCTGATGAACATCGATGCAAAAATCCTCAATAAAATACTGGCAAACCGAATCCAGTAGCACATTAAAAAGCTTAACTGCCATGATCAAGTGGGCTTCATCCCAGGGATGCAAGGCGGGTTCAACATATGAAAATCAATAAATGTAATCCAGCATATAAACAGAACCAAAGACAAAAACCACGATTATCTCCATAGATGCAGAAAAGGCCTTTGACAAAATTCAACAGCCCTTCATGCTAAAAACTCTCAATAAACTAGGTATTGATGGGACGTATCTCAAAATAATAAGAGCTATTTATGACAAATCCACAGCCAATATCATACCGAATGAGCAAAAACTGGAAGCATTCCCTTTGAAAACTGGCACAAGACAGGGATGCCCTCTCTCACCACTCCTATGCAAAATAGTGTTGGAAGTTTGGGCCAGGGCAATCAGGCAGGAGAAAAAAATAAAGGGTATTCAATTAAGAAAAGAGGAAGTCAAATTGTTCCTGTGTGCAGATGACATGATTGTATATCTAGAAAACCCCATTGTCTCAGCCCAAAATCTCCTTAAGCTGTTAAGCAACTTCAGCAAAGTCTCAAGATACAAAATCAATATGCAAATATCACAAGCATTCCTATGCACCAATAACAGACAGAGAGCCAAATCATGAAATCATGAGTGAACTCCCATTCACAATTGCTTCAAGGAGAATAAGATACCTAGGAATCCAACTTACAAGGGATGTGAAGGACCTCTTCAAGGAGAACTACAAACCACTGCTCAATGAAATAAAAGAGAACACAAAAAAATGGAAGAACATTCCATGCTCATAGATAGGAAGAATCAATATCATGAAAATGGCCATACTGCCCAAGGTAATTTATAGATTCAATGCCATCCCCATCAAGCTCCCAATGACTTTCTTCACAGAATTGGAAAAAACTGCTTGAAAGTGCATATGGAGCAAAAAAGAGCCTCCATTGCCAAGACAATCCTAAGCCAAAAGAACAAAGCTGGAGGCATCACACTACCTGACTTCAAACTATAGTACAAGGCTACAGTAACCAAAACAGCATGGTACTGGTACCAAAACAGACATATAGACCAATGGAACAGAACAGAGCCCTCAGAAATAATACCACACATGTATAACCATCTGATCTTTGACAAACCTGACAAAAACAAGAAATGGGGAAAGGATTCCCTATTTAATAAATGGTGCTGGGAAAACTGGCTAGCCATATATAGAAATGTGAACTTGGATCCCTTCTTGACACCTTATACAAAAATTAATTCAAGATGGATTAAAGACTTAAATGTTAGATGTAAAACCATAAAAACTCTAGAAGAAAACCTAGGCAATACCATTCAGGACATAGGCATGGGCAAGGACTTCATGACTATAACACCAAAAGCAATGGCAACAAAAGCCAAAATAGACAAATGGGATCTAATTAAATAAAGAGTTTCTGCACAGCAAAAGAAACTACCATCAGAGTGAACAGGCAACCTACAGAATGGGAGAAAATTGTTGCAATCTACCCATCTGACAAAGGGCTAATATCCAGAATCTACAAAGAAGTTAAACAAATTTACAAGAAAAAATTGAACAACAAGTGGGTGAAGGATATGAACAGACACTTCTCAAAATAAGACATTTATGCAGCCAACAGACACATGAAAAAATGCTCATCATCACTGGCCATCAGAGAAATGCAAATCAAAGCCACAATGAGATACCATCTCACACCAGTTAGAATGGAGATCATTAAAAAGTTGGGAAACAACAGGTGCTGGAGAGGATGTGGAGAAATAGGAACACTTTTACACTGTTGGTGGGACTGTAAACTAGTTCAACCATGTGGAAGGCAGTGTGGTGATTCCTCTGGGATCTAGAACTAGAAATACCATTTGACCCAGCCATCCCATTACTGGGTATATATCCAAAGGATTATACGTAAATCATGCTGCTATAAAGACACATGCACAGGTATGTTTATTGTGGCACTACTCACAATAGCAAAGACTTGGAACCAACCCAAATGTCCATCAGTGACAGACTGGATTAAGAAAATTTGGCACATATACACCATGGAATTCTATGCAGCCATAAAAAAGGATGAGTTCATGTCCTTTGTAGGGACATGGATGAAGCTGGAAACCATCATTCTCAGCAAACTATCACAAGGACAGAAAACGAAACACCGCATGTTCTCACTCATAGGTGGGAATTCAACAATGAGAATACTTGGACACATGGTGGGGAACACCACACACGGGGGCCTGTCGTGATGGGGGTGGGGATGGGGGAGGGATAGCACTAGGAGAAATACCTAATGTAAATGACGAATTAATGGGTGCATCACACCAACATGGCACATGTATACATATGTAACAAACATGCACGTTGTGCATATGTACTCTAGAACATAAGGTATAATAATAACAAAAGATACTTAAGAGACCTATTGACTAAATGCCATCTTTTCCCCTGTTTGCAACTTGATTTAAATAATCAATGGAAAAATATATTAATGAGACAGTGTGGGGAAATCTGAACACTAACTGGTTATTAGATGATATTAAGAAATTATTAATTTGGGTGTTATCATAATAGTGTGTTAATTTTTAAATAAAAAGCCTATTTCTCAGAGAGATATCCCAAAATATTTCTAGATAAAAATATAATTACTAGGATTTGCTTGCAACTACACATTAGAGCATGGGCGTATGGAGGAAATGAGAAAGGGTAATAAGATATATGGCCTCACACTCCATGGGCATATGGAGGAAATGAGAAAGGTAAAGAAATAAGATATATGGCCTCTATTAGGTCATATGTTGATAATTGTGGAGGTAGGTAATGAACATTCATTATCCAAATATATTTTTGTATTTTTTAATATATTTTAAATTTTCCTATATTAATGAAACATCATTTCAGGTTGAAGAAAATGTCAAAAGGAGGATGAGAGATTAAAGATGAAGAAATGAGCAAAGAAACTGAGAAACACGTGAATGAATCTAAACCAACTTTGATAACATCAAATAATAACATAGCTATTTAATTTTCATATTCAAAATTAAACAAAAGTAAAATTATGGTAGAAAACTGCATATAAATTATTATGAAGCAATTGACAGAAAAGTGTTCTTGTTATTAACAGGGCCTTGTAATTTTCTGGAATAAAAATACATTATTTAAATTAATACTTGGTTATAAATATACTGTTAAGTGCTTTAATCACTAAAAATAGTCATGAAATGGTGAAAAAGTAACAAGAAAGAAGGCAAAAATAGAAAAGAAAAAAGAAACATAAAGAAAGCAGAACAAATAAAAGGCACACAATAAGATGTTAGAAATGAATTTAACATATCATTAATCACAATCAATGTAAATAGACTAAGCTCTAGAATTAATGAAAAAGATTGTCAGATGAGACTGGAAAATAGAATAGTTATATGCTCTTTGCCAGAAGCTCGAACCTAAAACAAGGTAACAGAAAAAAATCTGAAAGTAAAACGGTGAGAAAGTACATACCACCCAAAACCTGACTATTACAAAAAAAATCTAGGGCTGTTAATTAACACAATAAAAATTATGTTTTAAGAAAAAATTTAGTATGGCTAAAAATGTTCTAAATAATAATAGTCTTAATTTGCTAGGAAAATACAAATTAATTATATGTACACATATGTGCTACATATGTGTGTATATATGTTATATATGTATGTATTATATAATTATATATTCTATATTATATATTTATGTGTATTAATTATATATAATTATCTATGTGTACGTGTGTATATATATACACGTATATATATACACATGTACGTGTGTATATATACACACACGTACACATAATTATATATAATTAATACACATAAATATAATATACATATATACATAAATATAATATACATAAATATGATACAAATATAATACACATATATACATAAATATACACATATATACACACATAATTAGGTTATACTTCATATATTTATATACAGATATATACATACATATACAAATATTATAACATTACTTCAAAATTATAAAGCAAATTTAAATTTAACTACAGGGAGAAATCAATGAATCATCATAATACACACAAAGCATTTTAGTAATAGATTAAGCATATAAAAAACAGTAAGAATATAAAATATGTGAATAAAATATTGAATATATTTTATCTAATGAGCATTTAATAAGCTTTATCTAATGGACATTTTCATTACACTTTATTTTTAAACAGGAGAATATACTTCTTTTAAAGCCCAGTTGGAACATTTATACAGATTGATATTTATTCTAGTCAATAAAATCGTCTCAATACGTTTCAGAGAATTAGTAACATACAGCTCACATTCTGTGACCACAAGGCAAGACAATTAAAAATAAATGGAGATAAATAAAAAGAAGAACCAACATAAGAAAATGAAAAGAAAAACAACACATCTAAATAATTCATGAATTATGAATAAATCAATGTAAATTATAAAAGGCTTAAAATCAAATTATGCAAATACTTCATAGCAATAGTTAAGGGGTACAACAAAATCAGATCCGAGAGGAAAATTTGTCGCAGAAATGCTTGTATTTTAAAAAACTAAATAAGCTATGATTTAGATAATTATATTAGATCAATAAATTAATAATTTATGAATAGAAAAATAGAATAAATCAAAATGTTCCAAACTAGGCATAATAAAGATACATGAAAAATACAATAGAAAACAAAGCTTGGTTTCTTGAGGAGACTAATAAATTTTAAAAATTTCTCGAAAGAAAAATAGAGGGACTGTATAAATAAGTAATTTCAGGAATGAATAAAAAAGGGATATAATTATAGCTTCAACTTCTATTAAAAGAAAAACACAGAAAACCCCAAGAAGTCTGAGGACATTGTGTGTGTCAAGAAAATAAGAACCAGAAGTCACCGAGACAGTAAAGACATTTAACAAAGAAATCTAAGTGGGAAAAATACAGTAAAGTTAGTTTTGTGATTAAAAAAAAGAAAACAAAAAGAAATTTGAAACTTCATTTAAAAATTCTAGAAAAATATTAATTACAAAACCGATTAAAAAAATTAAAACCCTCAATAATCCTGCAAGAATACACTAAATGGAGTCAATAATTAAAAATATCCAACAGGTAAAAATATTTTTTCAGGGGTGTTTTACCAAACTTCAAGAAATTGATAATTGTAATTTTATGTAAACTCCATTCTTACATAAAATCTTACAGGTAAATGTTTCTAAGTTATTTTATGAGACAAGAATAGTAGAAGGTGGTAAAATTACAGAAAAGTCTCACTCATAAATTTAGATGAAAAAAAAAATCTCCACCAAGCGTTGAGCACACTAAATGCAGCAGAAAGTTAAGAAATGTAAATAGTCATAAATAAATTGTCCTTATCTCAATAGTAGAAAATATGCGTGATTATCCTAATACTGGAAATTAAGCATTTGACAAATTTTTAAAGGCTTTTATGATAAATACTCCCACCTAATAAAAGTTTAAGAGAATTCTTCTTGACAAATACATGATACTTAGAATTAAAAAATACAGCAAACATATTTAATCATGTAATGTAAAATCTATTTAAATTCAGAAATAAGAATGATTAACTAAACAAAAAATTGGGCAATGGCTTGCATGCACATCTCACATCAGAAAGAAAAAATTTATTGTACTTATGCAAAGATATTTGACTTCATTGATAACCAGAAAAATGTAAATTAAAATCACAAGGGGACTTGATTGCAAAAACTAAAAAGTTGGCTAGGTGTGGTGGCTCGCGCCTGTAATCAGCACTTTGGAAGTTCAAGGCAGGAGGACCATGTCAGCTCAGGAGTTCGAGACCAGACTGAGCAACACAATGAGAACCCATCTCTACAAAATTTTTTTTAAATTAACCAGGCACGGTAGCACGTTCCTGCCTGCAGTCCCAGGTACTCGGGAGGCTGAGACAGGAGGATCACTAGAGCCTGGGAGGTTGAGGCTGCAGTGAGCCATCATCACGCCACTGTACTCCAGCCTGAATGACAGAGGAAGACCTTGTCTCAAAAAAAAAAAAAAAAAAAATTTAAAAAGCTGGTTTAGCCAACTTTTTTATTGCTCCAAAAGGAGCAATCCAATATTTCTCCACCATTGGTTTAGTCAAGTTAAAATAATTTTTTTTCTTTTTTGACACGGAATCTCACTCTGTTGCCCAGGTTGGAGTGCAGTCGTGTGATCTTGGCTCACTGTAAGCTCTGCCTCCTGGATTCACGCCATTCTCATGCCTCAGCCTCCCTAGTAGCTGGGACTACAGGCAGCCACCACCACGCCTGGCTAATTTTTTTGTATTTATAGTAGAGGCGGGGTTTCACCGTGTTAGCCAGGATGGTCTCTATCTCCTGACCTTGTGATTCACCCGCCTCAGCCTCCCAAAGTGCTGGGAGTACAGGTGTGAATCACCGCGCCCAGCCTGGCTAAACCAACTTTGAAATGAAAAGAAAACTTTTCAAAAATTAAAAAGTTGGCTAAACCTCAGCACTGATTAATTAATTGACAGGCACGCATGATACTTTGCTGGTGGACATGTAAAATCGTACAACAATTTTGCAAAATGATTTGTCATTACCTAGAAAATTTAGACATATGTATCCTACAACTCACTGATTCTAGTAGTAGGTATATACTACATAGAAACTTCTGGAATGGAAACCGAAAAAGAATGACATGCACAAGAAAGTTGATACTGGCATTATTAAAGATCATACCCTGGAAAGAAGCCAAATGCATAGTTACAGTATACCAGTTTAAATAACTGTGGAATACTTATAGATTGGAACATAGCAGGAAAAGAAATAAAGTATAATGATATTCATCAACATAAATAAATCTCGAAAACAATGTTGAGTGAAAAAAAAACAAGTGACAAATTAATGCATGTGGAATCTTACTGTTATATAAAGATCAACAGCAAGCAAGTAATACTGCATAAAATTTTGTTCAGAGATATGGGCATATAGTATAAAACTGTAAATTAAAAAAAGCAAATGAATTACTCAAAATTCAGAAGAGTAAGTTACCTGATGGGGGGACAAGAACAAAGATGCAATCAAAACAGTAATACAAGAGAATTCAAAAATATCATAATTTTCTATTTGTTAAGCTGCAGAGTGGATACTCAGGAGTTTTTATTGTCATACTGTATACATATTATACAGTATACATATATTACAATATGTGTACATATATGTTTATTGATATTAATGATATGCTCCATAAAAACTTTAAAAGACTGTGTAATTAGAGAGTAGGTAGTCCAGCATCTTACTTTATGTAGTTGGTTATTCATACTAAATTTGGTAAGTTAAAATTAGTCACATATCATCTTGGACAATTTTAGGTTTAAATCACTGTAGCCAAATCTTCACTATGATAATTATTTGGGTTTTGGCAATTGTTATTTGTATCCTAAACACTGATTTACTGGACTTTGCATTCATTACATGTCCAGTGCATGTGTATGCCTGTAAGCCCCCCAAACACACACACACACATGCACATACACACACGGACGCAGCACACTCACCGTGTATATAGTATATAAACACATTTTGTTTTAATTCACTTCTCTTTTCATCAGACATTACAGCCTCTCTCTGGGGATGAAGTCAAGCGTTGCTATGTTCAGATGAATTTTCTGGCCCAAGGTGATAATTTTGCACACAGTCAATAGCAATATCTCAGAAGTGAACTAGAAAACTCAACCAGTGAAACAAAATTCAATAGCAGTATCAGAGCAGAAAACTCCTTAACCACAGAAGGTATGTTTCCAAAGAATACACAGTAAATGCAAATGGAGCACGTACTACCTACATATGATCAAAGCAGATTGTGCCGCATTGTCAGATAAGGTTACAACAGAAAAAAGAAAAAATCTGCCTGTATAACTCCCAAGGAGTTCCCATTGCTTAGGTTTATTGAACGTCAATGTATGCTAATGAATTGCACAGAGCTGTACATCAAATCTCAGGTGAAGTTGTCACTTTATTGAGAAATCATTAAATTATTACACTATTTAATGATGCATGAAAATAAAATGCAATTGTGAAGAAAAGTATTTTGGGTATAGACTGAGCATTTTCTTAATATAAAAGTAAATTCTAACAGTTCCCCAAACACATTATGGCCATCTGTGCAAACGTACAACTGAAAAGAGATGACAAAAGGTGATTAATTAAAACATGACTTCTTTCAAAATTCATTATATCATAGTAGAGTGCACCACTGGAGGCCCTGAGACTTCTGAGCAAAACAGTGAAGGCCTGCCCCTCACATTGTTTAAATTAACGTTATATTCAAAACGACATATCTACGTGTTTGATAATTCTTTTTTAAAAGGCTATGTAGTAATGGTGCTTTTTATAAAAAACAACTGTTGAGACACATTTGTCCATATACATGAATACAACTGTGTAACACTATGCATACCTATAAAATCACTTCTATCTCAAAATAATAAAAAACAAAATCTTCTTCTTTAAAAGGTCTCTCCCTTTCTCTCTCACACACAAATATGTCTATATGCATATGTACATACATTTATGTACATATGTCTGTACATATATGCCTCATCTTTTCTTGTATAGCTAATGTATCCTCATCATATATCAAAAACTTCATATATCTAGTTTTATTTGTACAGTTACGTGGTTGTATCCATAGCCTAGATTTTCTTTTAAGAACCTGATAAAGAAGGGTGATGAAGTTGAATAGAAACTAAGTAGGAAATGAAATTATTCCATGTGATGGCATCCCCATCATACTGGAGTTCCAGTATGAAAAAAAATTAGTTACACTTAAAATGGAATAGTTTAATATTTTGATAAATATTTTAGAGCATTTAAGGTAAACTACAAATTATTCTGAAGTTCCTTGATGACTGTTTTTACACCATAGGGAAATGGTGGAGAAATATTGAATTGCTCCTTTTGCACTCTAATGCTGATTGTAACTATAATATGATAATGTGGCATTTCAAACAAAATTACTTTTGTTAAAAATGTGATGTGTAAATGCTTTTTAGGAAATTAATATGTTCAGACTTCATGATGGTTACAGAAACTCCCATATCATTTAAATATTGATCCAGTTGTGTAAGATTTTTCAGTTTGTAATTATCAGTACCATATAAGTCACTCACAAAGAACAATTATTTCTAATGTTAAATATTTTTCTCACGCCAATATTTTAGTGAATGCACATACAAACGCAAACCAGAAAAAAATTCTGATTATTTTTTCACCAAACAGTGTTCTAAAATGACAAGCACCAAAGGGACTTGAGATCCAGGTGAAACCCCCTTGGCTCTATGAAGCTTGCATCTAACTCATGTATCACTTGTTTTCTTACCTACAGTATTTATTACCAGAACTATCTGTCACTTGAATACACGGTATTTTGTATTCCTCTCAAATTACTTTTAGTGTTTGTGTTTTGTCTCCCTACATCAGTCAAATTGCTTTTAGCTTCAAAAAACAGATTATAAAACTAAAATTGGCTTAAATATTTTATGTTGTTTGCAAATAAAAAAAAAAGTGTAGAGTTAGGTGGTTCCGGGGTTCTTTCAGTGGCTTACAAGCCTTGTGAATGACATAGGCCCTAAATTTTCACTCTGCATTCTTCATTTCATTGGCATTGTCTTTCCTCATGGTCACAAAGTGACTTCAATAAACAAGTTTTCACACGGCAATGTTTAAAAGCAAGACAGAAGAGAGGGACGCTGTGGAAAAGGAGAATGAAATTTTCTTGTCTCTTTCTCTGTGTTTGTCTCTCTCTCAAATTATGAAGGTTAATTTTTCCCACAAACGCTAGCCCAGGGGTCCCCAGCCTCCGGGCTGCGGACCAGAACCAGTCCCTCGCTTGTTAGGAACCAGGCTAGGCTGTACAGCAGGAGGTGAGCGCCGGGAAAGCCAAAGGTTACGGCCTGAGCTCCGCTCCTTTCCCACCAGCGGGGGCATTAGATTGTTTTAGGAGCGCAAAACCCTGTTGTGAACTGTGCATGCGAGGGATCTAGGTTGGGGCTAGAGAATCTAATGCCTGATGATTTGAGGTGGAACAGTTTCATCCCCTTCTTCCCCTCAACCCCCCACCAGTCCGTGGGTAAAATGTCTTCCACAAAACTGGTCCCTAGTGCCAAAAACGTTGGGGACGGCTGCTCTAGCCAACTTTCTCTTAAGTTGCTTTGACCAGAAGTAGTCACCTGTGCATTTCCAGGAGCAAACGAAGCTGGGAAAATAAATAGCTGGCCACTATAGACTAAACTGTTGAAGGCTGACTACAAATTAGAATATGGGAGAGGGGAATGGCTGGTACGTAGGAGAGAACAACGTTTACCGCAATCCCCAACCTGATTGTGAATTATCCGATAACTTGGGCTGCATAGAATATTACTTACGTTTCCAGCACAGTGGCCCTGTTCAGTGCTAGTAGCTGAACAGCCCTTATTTCACTGGTCCAATTCCCCTAGGTGACACTAGTTGGAAGAAATATTTGGTAAGGCAACACAGAGGGTGATAGAGTTGTTGATGTCTAAACAATGGCAAGGGGTGGAGAAGAAGAGGTTCAGGAAGGAGTCCACTTGAAAGTCATTCCTTTTTTTAGAAAGTGTGAATGATAGTAACTTTTGCCACCGTTCACACAGACAGGAAAAGAAGCAAGGATGTGGTCAGAGACAGCAGCTATTTCACAGAGCAGGCACTCTAAGGGTGGTGGGGGATACATTCCTTAAGTTCCAGCATTTTACAAATAATTGGAGTCTTCCTGCAGTAATGAACATTAAATGACAGCAGAAGGAAAGCTAGAGAATTCTCTACTGTTCACATAAACAGAGAAAACATTGGAGGGTTGATAAAGAATCAGAAAATTAAAAAAAAAAAAAAAAAACTCTCCTGTAGAACAAGGTTGTGAGTGGTCCCAGGGTCCTCTCTTGGAGGTACCTGAAGGAACAGTGAAGAGTATGGACTTCAAGGTCAAAGTGCCTGAGGACAGAGCTTGGTTCTGCCATCTACTCAGCCATACAGCTTTCATCAGCTCACTTCCTCTCTGTGCCTCTGCTTCTCTATAGGTTGTGCAAAAGTAATTTTGCCATTAAAAGTAATGGCAAAAGTGGAGAGTCTAATAAATACCTATTTTACATAGTTTCAGTGAAGATGAAATTAGGTCATACATGCAATATACTTTGAACATTAACTAACACACTGAAAGTATTCAATATTTCTTAGCTTCTTTTACCACCATCAATATTTATGTCACACCTCCCTCAGGAATTGACAGTCCTTCATGAAGACATTTGAAATAAATACTACAGCTTCCCTGGATATTGTTTATTTTATATTAATGCATCTTTAATACAGTTATGGACAAGTATTCATAAACACATACACACATATACACACGCATATATATTAACTGTATATATACAGTTAAATAGATTATTTTAAGCCTTTTACATGTTTCTTAGCATCCTGACTCAAAGATTCCTTCAAATACTTATCGAGACATCAATTGACACTTGTGGACAAGCAACATCTCTTATAGTAGGTTACTGGTTTAAGTTTACTTATACGTCAAGATGCCACATGCTATACTAGAATGGTAAAAATCACTTGTTGAACTAAATTCACATACCAGCTAGTTCATGTTTCATCCTGATTTCATATAGGGAGGAGATTAGTAGCCACAGCATCTTACATTAATATATTGGAGTGCCTCTATTTTGAAGCATTACAAGGAGTCTTGGAACGTGGAAGGAAAAGGCATATTACAAAAAGAGTAATTCTCTCAGGAATTACAGCTCTAGAAAAGAATTCTGCAAAATGTGCGTGACATTTGGTTCTTCATTCAAATGCAGTTTTTGATCCCTTTGAAGTTTGCCTTTCATTAAATACATAGTTCAGAAAGAAACATGCTGAATTTGTAGCATATGTTTCTATATTCAAAGAGTGTTGGTAGAGGGCTTAACATATTGTGAGCAATTAATCTTCAACTAGGAATCTACCTGGATAAATGTTACTATGAGTCAGTTGTGTTGGATATTAAGGAAAACTTGACTCAGAGTTTATGCATTTTCTTCTGATTATGGTTTTCCTCCCTGCCCTGTACTTACAACTAAATCTATGGGAATATTATGTCTGTAAGCATAAATATAAACCATGAATTAACAAAATGTATTTTATGGAAGAACAAATCCACGCAGACTAGGGTTGGTTATAATTTCTAAAAACCAGAGCTATATTTCCCAGATAAAATATTCCTTTTAAACTAATATGTTTATCCGTGTTGAGAAGTTCGTGGTCATGTAGTCACATATATTCATTTTGAACAGGAAATCTTTGAATGTCAGTTTCAGGGAAATAGGTGTTCATAGCTTTCAGTAAAAGTAGAAGTTAAAATAAGTCATATTTTAAACATCTTCTGAATGATATAATAAATATATGTTTTACTACATTTTGGTGCCCATTAGAGAAATAAACAAAAGAAATGGGGGGAGGGGATTTTGTAGGTTTTAAAATAAGTGGGAGTTATAATTGCAGTTTTACTCACCTATAACCTACATCATTTTGACATTTATGTCTTTCCATAAGGACACTTTGGCATGTGCTTTATCATTTGTTCTACAAATATTTATTGGCTACCTACTGTGTGTCAGGCAGGTATGGATAGTATGGATTCAGCAGAGAACAGAAATAAACCATCTTTGTTAGTTTCTTTTTGCTACCCCAACAAATTACTACAACCTTAGTGGCTTAAAACAATGCAAATTTTTTATCTTACAGTTCTGAGAGTCAGAAGTCTGAAATTAGTTTTACTGCACTGAATTCAACGTACTGGCAAGGCTGGTTTTTCTGTAGGCTTTAGCGGACAATTAATTTCTTTGCCTTTTACAGCATCTATAGACCACCTCTGGTCCTTGGCTTACTTCCCCTCTCTCCATTTTCAAAGCACATCAGTACAAACTCTGGTTCCATCTTCATGTCTCCTTTCACTGACTTTGTCCCTCTTGTCTCCCTCTTACAAGGACCCTTAAGGAAGGGCCCATCTGGATAATCCAGAATAATCTTTCCATCTCATGGTCCTTAATTTAATCACATCTTCAAAGCCCCTGTTGCCAATAATATACTAGCTGTTTGCAAGGATTAGAATGTTGACATTTTTCTGGAGGAGGCATGATCCTTCTAGGGGGAAGGAAGTTTACCTTTTCCAGGGATGACAATGAATATGTAAACAAATTAATTGTATAATTTCAGGAATAAATATTATAGAACATTTTTAAAGGGCAAAGGAGAGTGAGTAATTGGGTATGGGAAGGAGTGGCTATTTCATTAGAGGTGGCCAGAAAAAGTCTCTGAGATATGAGACTTGAGATCCAAATAATGAGAAGGAGGCAAAGAGCTTTCTCAGGGAAGGGATCAGCAAGTGCAAAGGCCCAGCATTATTAACAAGCTTGGCTATTTTAGGACAGAAAAAGGCCATTGTAGTAGTGGCTTAGAGTGGCAGAGACAGGGTCAGAGAGAAGGGATGGGCCCTGACCATGCACTTTTGTGCAGGTCATGATAAAAAGCTTGAATTTTATCCAAATTAGAAGAGAAAGCAAAGGAGAATTTTAAGCAAGGGGAAGATATGATACGATTTAGCCTTCGAGAAGATGACTTTTCTTGTTAAAATGGTGAACTGTAAGGGGTCAAGCTGGTGGTAGTGAGACAAGTTGGGAGGAGCAGCTGCAGTAGCCCAGGTAGGTTAATGGTGTCATGAATTAGGCTTTCCATGTGGGAGATGCTAAATTATTGAAATATATACGGTTGGTGCAAAAGTAATTGTGGTCTTTGCCATTACTTTCAATGGCAAAAGCTGTAATTACTTTTGCACCAACCTAATATTTTAGAGTTTGGCCTGACATGGGGCTTACGCCTGTCATCTCAACACTTTGGGAGGTCGAGGCAGGAGGATCACTTGAAGTCAGGAGTTCAAGAGCGGCCTGGCCAACATGGTGAAACCCCATCTCTACTAAAAATGCAAAAATTAGCTGTGCCTGATGGCAGGCGCCTTTAATCCCAGCTGCTCGGGAGGCTGAGGCAGGAGAATTGCTTGAACTCAGGAGGCAGAGGTTGCAGTGGCCCGAGATATCACTACTGCATTCCAGCCTGGGTGACAGAGTGACACTCTGTCAAAAAAAATAAAAGAGGCATTTTAGAGTTATCTAAGAAAAAGACTTGCATTTAAGCTTCTAATTACTCTAGTAAAAATTCATCTCTGTATTCACCAAACTGACACTCTGTCTGTTATGCACATGTATTACTGGCATGAGTATTTCGGGATTGTATCCTAGTTTACTTGTTTAAGCAGTTTCTTTGACTGATATTTGATTAACTGAGTTGATGAGCTGTTTGGATGAATTGATTACATTGATCTGTTATGTTACCAGTGTTGACATAGCTGTCACCATCCTAGAGTAGACATGCATAGATTTATATTCCTCTGGTATAAAACTCCTGCAACCATCTTATTTGATGCCATATTAGGTGCGCTGGGAAAGCCTCTACGTATTGTTTGTACTGTTGGTTGTTTGCTATTAAATTGATTCTGTAGCCAGGACTGGTATGCTTAGCAATTCTTACTTGGTATTTGTTTTCTTTCCTTCTTTCCTTCCCTTCCCTTGTCTGTCGAAGATGAGATTGACCTCTAGACCACATCTTCCTCACAGTATCTTTATTAGTAGAGTTGCGGAATGTGCCTGTCAAATGTTAAATAAGTGTTCCTTGTTGTGATTTCCTTGGCAAATGTTTGTGCCTGGAAATTTTGCTTGCAGTGTACAAAGAAACCTTGTAGTCTTGAGAAAAACAGAAAATAAGCATGTCCATGTTTGCCATTGCCTTGGGGTAGACAGAAACTCTGGAGTGTATCCAGAGGAAAACATTTATGCCATTGATCCAATTTATTCACCCAAGTTCACTGAAGGGTGTCATACCATAAGTTGGCTTTAAAAGTTGGTGAATAAGATATTCTGTTAAAAACTAGTATTTGGGTTTCTAAAGTAAAGTGAAGAAAACCAAATGAGTCAGGTTCCAGGGCTTCAGAGTTTATGTACCCAGCGAGACTGGAGACTGAATATAAGCATGAGAGGAAATGTTTTCTTAGCATGTCTCATTGAAACAAATCAACACTCAAGGTTGTTTTTAGAGGCACAATTCAATAATTTTGTAAAAATATTTTACTTAAAAATTTTTTCTTTTTTGTTACCTGGAACGTCCTTTTTCTTATATTCTATCATTCCCTTCAAAATTTAACTGTTCCAGTACTCTGCTTTTATGAACCTCATTTGAAGGGAAGAGGAGCAGAAATCACACTTACCTCACGGGAATGCTATGGTGGAAGAGAAAATATATACAAAGTATTGTGGCAAGAACATAGTAGGTAATCAAAAGTATTATTTCTTTTCTATTTGTTCAACCCTTTCATAGTTAATTGATTCAGTGACAAATTACTCTTGACAAATGATCCCTAGACTGGGAATAAGAAATCCTTAGCTTTGTTCCAAGCTAGTGGCGGTGCTCGAACTTAAACTCAGACCTTTCTACACTTCATTCAAAGGTTATCCATACCACTTAGCTTCTCATTCATTCAATCAATATTTACTGAGTTTAAATCTGGTTTAAATCACCCCTACTACATCCATGAACTCAACTTGTAGAAGCATAGATAATTGGAACCCTCCCACTGTTCTTCTGAGCACTGGGGAGTTAGATCGCTTTGCCTTCTATTGGATATAAACATTCATAGCACTCCTTCAAAAGCCACAGTTGACTGGGGCCAGACAACTGAGTCTGATCAATTCTGGATTGTTAGGATGTATTTTGTTACCCTGTATTTTGGCTATTTTATCTTTAAAATTACATGACTTTGTACTGATATCAAAATAAGCTGCAGTTTGAAAATATTAAAAGAAGCTTAGAGACATATTTATACTTAAACATCTTATGAGAAATGGGCTAATAAATGTGCTTTTAAAATATAAACATTTGACATTATAATGCACTATCCCTTTAATTAGCTTGCATACCACTCCAGATTTACTTATAGAAACATTAAAAATTGACTCAATAAATTTTCTAGACAATGTTGTTAAAATAATTTGTTCACGTATTTCTCTCATCTCTCCTTAAAGTTCATATTTTTTAAATCTTTTTATTTGTAACAAATTTTACAATACTCACTATGTTAATAAACTGTGTGCCTTATTTGTTTTTCTTCACATCTACTTTCATTTTTAAAAGATCCAATAAAAATAAAAAAAGATTATAGCATTTCCTCAACTGCAACAAGTCTTACAGAAAATAAGCACATCTCTATATTGTCATCTGCCCGTTAAGTATTTTATTTGTTAGACTCATTCACATTGTGTTAAAGGTTTGTAATAAATAATGAACATTTTTAAACAAATAATTTGAAAATTGCTAGGGCTTGCTGTGTGTTTATGAGTAGAAATTCCTTTCTAGCTAATAGGGTGTCATACATTCTCATGGATCAGCAAAGCAGGTGCTTCCTCATGATTACAGAAAGTTGTACTATGGGGAGTTGCTCTCCCTTTTCTAGGAACATCTCCCAAACTTTAAGGTCACGGCTGCTCCAGACAATGCCCTGTGTAACCGGTAAATACATTTGAAATTTGCATTATTCAACTTCACATTCTTGGATCAGTTCAATGACAAAACGGGCTGAATGGTAAGGTCATGCCATCCTCAGCACTGTTGGGCATTTAAATGGAAACTGTCACTGTTTCACAAGTGTGATCATCTGTTGTTGGGTGTGAAGTTGTACTAGACATTTCAGGTCCTTCCAGATTTGAAGTTTACCTGATTCTATGAGCTCTACTCTTTTTCATATTTTCTTCTGCTTAACACCCAAAAGGAAAAAGATCCATGCACCAGATATTCAGTTCATTCACTGATTCCCCTTAATGATATACTTGTGGTCAAAAACTTTTTATGAGAATATCTAAATATTATATAAAAATCAATCTTATTTCTCAACTATGCTCTTCACCCACAGCTTCTTTCCAATGGTAGCGCACATCCTACTTGTATCATGACACTTTCCACTCTCACATCATGATGCATTTATTCATTCATCAATCAACGAATATTTATTGAGTACCTACTGTACCAGATACTGTGTTGTGTTGGGTACTAGGAACACTGCAGAGATCAAGAAAGGCAAGAATCCTGTATTATTGAGTTTTCTTTTAATCAGATTTTTAGAATGGTATACTTAGTGGGCTGAAAGTTGGCCCCAAAGTTATGTATACATCAGAGTCTCTGAAATCTGCTATTATTACTTCATATGGCAAAAGTATTAATATTACCTTGTATGGCAAAAGATACAAATAAATTAAGGATCTTAAGAGAAAAAGGTTACCCTGCATTATCCAGATGGACCCTAAATGCAATCACATGTATCTTGTAAGAGAGGTGGGAAGGCTGAATGCCACGCACGTGGAGAGGATTGTGGCCATAAGCCAAAAATTGTCAACAGTCATCAGAATCTAGAAGAGGCCAGGAGTGGTTTTCCCATAAAAACCTTCCTGGTTTCCCACTCCAGAGAAAGTGTGGCCCTGCCACCGCTTGATTTTGGACTTCTGACCCTCAGAACTATGAGAAAGTAAATTTCTGTTGTTTTAAGACGTTCACTTTGGAATAACTCATATGACAGCTCCAGGAAACAAAATAATTTAGAAAATCAGGCTTAAGAGCAGGAGACTTGGAATCAAATGCTACGCTCTATAACTTAGAAATGAAGGACAATAACCCAATCAATTAATCTCCCTGGCTCATTTTATTCATCTGTAAAATGGGAAAACACAATCTATCTTCCATGTAATTATTGGCTTAAACAATGGTTTGTATTTGCTAAGCCCAGACTAAGGGAAGCATACAATAATGATATGCATTAGAATATGCTAGCTAGTATAGCCATTTTTGAAATGATTTAAAAGATAAAGTTATTTTAGAAGAGTTCTTTAATTGAAAATGTTAAAAAGTCCTTTTAGCATTATTTTATGGTGATAACTAAATTAATACACGTAAAATATTTTATATATGTGACCTTTGATAGTTAAACAAAAAAAGTGGACAATAAGAAAAAAAGGGAATAGGTGGTTCTACAAGATCAAATTTTCATTATATTTCACACACATATAGCTGGCTGAAGTAGACACTGATGTTTGCTTACCTCCATTCATTCCCTTCTCCTTCTTTTCTGAAGTATCCTAGTTATATTCAAATACCCACCCAGTCCACGAGACTCAGAGCTGACCTCAGGTCCTCACATGCAGCTCCAAGTCTAAACAGCAAAACTCCATCCCCCTAAGAAAGATGTGGCTCAGGAATAGACATGTGCCACAATTTGACCAAGGAAACCATTTGTTCAAGCCTTCTTAGAAAGTTCTGTTTTGCTTATCTGGAAAAGACTTTAGGTGTATCCTCTTTCTTTCACAAAATTTGAATAAGGAAGAATCCTACAGCTCTGATTCTCTGATATTTCAGGATAAAGGTGGCAGTTAGGACTGCAGATTAGAGACATGGTTATCATTGACCTGTTGAATTAAATAACACTGAGCCTTACCCTACCTTTGTACTCCCAGCTAAGTGAGCCAATGAAAAGCTTCATTTTTTAAAAGGACAATTTGTATTCATCTTTTCTGTTACTTAACGCATATCCTAAGTGACAGACTGATGATGTTTGGCTCTGTGTCCCCACCCAAATCTCATCTTGGACTGTAATCCCCACGTGTCGACAGTGGGATCTCGTGGGAGATGAATGGATCTTGGGGCAGTTCCCCCATGCTGTTTTTGGGATAGTGAGTGAGTTCTCACGACATCTGGTGGTTTAAAAGTGTGGTACTTCCCCCTTGTGAAGAAGGTGCTTGCTTCTCCTTCACCTTCCACCATGATAGTAAGTTTCCTGAAGCTTTCCCAGTCATGTAGAATGGTGAGTCAATTGAATCTCTTTTCTTTATAAATTACCCAGTCTCAGGTAGTTCTTTATAACAGTGTGGAAATTGACTAATACATACACTGACCTAGCAAGTGCTAGGAACAGCTCTAGCCCTAAATAAACTCACTTGTTTATTGGTATACAGTCATGACCCTAAATGAACACACATTCATCAACATTTAGTTATTATTTAAATTCAAATCTACTAAAGGTACTATCATATGTGAGAATCAATCAAAAACCAAGAGATGCTCAACAGCTAAGAAGGAAAGAAAAAAACTAGTGAGGCTATGTATAGTTTGCTTACTTTTTTTTTAAGTTGGAGAAAAGCAGCAAAAATAAATATAGTTCTTAGTACCAAATAGGTACTATGCAAGTATGTAGCAAATGGCTCACGATCCTTCCATTGTAAAATTTGCTTAGGATGAGTTTTCCCTCCAGAAAATTGTTATGAGAACATATGTTGCCTCCAAAATTCTCCAGTTGGACAATGTTCCCTGCTGAAATACTCATAGTCTTCTCAGGAATGTGGTAAACACATGTGATTCACAGGGTGGATCAAAGTGATACTACTTAAAAAAAAAAAAACTAAACCAAATACGTATGTTCACTAAGGATAAAGGCACAAATAATAAATCTTAGCATATGTTCTAATAGAAAATAGCTTTAAAAATGGAGAAAGAGGCATGTAGCCTAAAAGAGGGAAGATTTTATATTTACTTGAAAAGGTTCTTGGTAAACCAGAAATTATACTTGGAACTGTATTGTTATGGGGAAAGATGATACCTTTTACATTCCTCCATTTCATAACTAATGGTGTGTCATTTCCAGAAAAACAAAAAATATTATTCTAGGCCTACCAATAATTGTCCCTCCAACTAAATGTCTCTGTCAATTTGGGATCCTGAGATTATATTCCATAATCCCTCATTTGTTGTAGAGGCAAAGTATATTAATATATTCCAAATATGATTTTTAAAAATCATGAAGTGCCTTAATAAGAACACCATTTTGAGTTGAGGTGAGGAGTGAATAGTCTATAGATGTCTGGGTGCCTATGAAGATCAGACAGGTAAAGAAAATTATGCCCAGCACTTTCACAGTTTATCTACTGTTAGGTACACTGTTACAATAACTTCTTTTGCAGAACTTTTAATTGCAGATTATGGAAGCAAATTTTGGGGAAAAAAAGTTATTTTTAGGGCTAATGCTGTTCATTGTTTAGTCTTCTGACTCTTCAAAAACTGCTTTGGTCTATAAACAAAAGTTATTAGAAAGAGATATCAAGAGAAAAACATAAATATGGAGGCGCATTAAATCATTTTCGTGTCACTTTTTCGATTAAAGTATCATCAAACACTTACTCTGATCTACTGTTCTCTAGCTCTCTCTTCCCCTCATCTCTTACCCTAAGCAAACTTAGGACATAGATACCTTTACACTTCTGCATATTCAACAAACAAGATATGAAGACTGTGAGAGTGAGGTTGAGACAGTCAGCTGGGTGTGTTTATTTATGGATTCACAAACACTGCCATGGGATATAACACATTACAGAGACCTAAAAGAAAATTCTCAAATCTCCATCCTAGAACAAAAGTTGCCAAACTTTTTCTGTAAGGAGCCAGATAGATAGTAAGCACGTTAGACTTGCACACAGCCTCTATCACAGCCACTCAACTCTACTATTGTAGCCAAAAAGAAACCATAGTATGTAAACGAAGGAGCACAGCTGTGTTCTCATAAAACTTTACTTATAGACACTAAGATTTGAATTTTATATACATTTTACATATATAAAATATTATTTTTATTTTCTATTTTGGCCATTAAACAAATGTAAAAAACATTCTCGGCTCACAATGTACAAAAATATAAGGTAGTTTGCAGACGCTGCCGTAGACCCACCCCAGCTTAAATATCTTAGAATGGTGAGAACCGGGAATAATCATTTGGCTTATTCCACTCTTCTTCTCTTCCCTCCTTGAGCTGATCCTGTCACCTCCATATGTCACAATATGAGAAATTTTTAAGGAGAAACATGAAACTTGTTTGAAATGCACTTTCTGATGGCTTCATAAAAGGGCTGTAAAAAATTCAAGGTATGTATCCTTAAAGCTCTTTAAAGTATAAATTTTTTCATATGATGCTAGCATTGGAGTGACAGAAACAAAGCTAAGTGAAATTTTTTTTATATGTCATTGCCAAATTTCTCTCTACAGGCCTCCCTCCTTCTTTCAGACTCTAATTCAGAGAAATCTATTCTAGCAGTTGAAAGCCTTTGACTTCTTTCAGTCATCAGTCCATGTATAAAAACCATTCAAAATTTAGTGTCTTCAAACAACAGCAATTTACTATGTCCAGAAGTATGGTGGGTTGTCTGCAAGGTCCTTGTGCTAATCTGGCCTGTGTTTTCTCATGTAGCTGTTTTCAGCTGGGAGGTAGATAGGGGTCTGGAATCAGATGGTTCAGTTGGGATGGCTAGGCCTCTCTTTCTACATCCCAGGCTTCTTCATGGTATGGTGGGTTCAGGGTAGTGCTCCAAGTGAGTACAGGTGCATGGCTTTGGAATTTAGATGACATGTTTTCTGCAACTTATTGTTCAGAGCAAGTCAGAATACCAGCTTGGATTTAAAAGGTTGGAGAGGCCAGGTGCAGTGGCTCACACCTGTAATCTTGACACTTTGGGAGGCTGAGGCAGGCAGATCACGAGGTTAAGAGATCAAGGTCATCCTGGCCAACATGGTGAAACTTCGTCTCTACTAAAAATATAAAAATTAGCTGGGTGTGGTGGCGTGCGCCTGTAGTCCCAGCTACTCAGGAGGCTGAGACAAGAGAATTGCTTGAACCCGAGAGGTGGAGGTTGCAGTGAGCCAAGATAGCACCACTGCATTCCAGCCTGGTAACAGTGTGAGACTCCATCTCAAAAAAAAAAAAAAAATTGGAGAAATAGACTCCACCTCTGGAGTAGTAAAATAATATTGCAAATGACGGTGAGTAGAGGAAGGGAAAAATTTGTGGCCACCATGCAGTCTACCATTTCATACTTCTCTCAGGGTTTGTGGAGCCTATGGGCCTACATTATCCCTTTTATTTCAAAGCATTTAGATCTTCATAACTGCACATTAACAGTAGCAATCTTAATGGCATGATTATAAAGATTAACAATGAATTCCCAGAGTAACACAGAAGAACAGTGTTTGGAAGAACAGGTATTGTTACAAAATTGGTTTGTGTTGGCTCTCATCATTTTGGTAATATGGAAAATTCAAGAAGATTGCCTGGGGAGACAATGCAGGTGATAAGCATGAGTAAAATGCTATTGAGAAGCTCAAATATGTAAGGGAAAGTTTTCAAGACAGGTACTTGGAGGATCTGGGAGATAAGTATAGTTATGTATGGTATATATGCTAAAAACAAAGGTGATGGTCAGTCAGAATCTTGTTTGTGAACAGCTTCCAGCACTTCTCATAATGAATTTAGATGCGAATCAACAATGAAGAGGCCAGCCTTCCTGTTTGAGTGTTTTTAATTCAGCTATAAGACCTTTTTGCCTAGAATATCACACCGACACTCTAAGGCACTAGGAAGAAAATTCCCAACAGCCACTAAAAAACAATAGCGGCTTTGAGTGTCAATTGTCAAAGTGATGGAAAAGAGAAGTTCTGGAAGGTCACGGTTTTTTATGTTTAAAGGATAGCAAACTGGCCTTATCCATCTATGATGCTCAAATGAGCCCTAGCTAGAAACCCTGTTAATAATATGATCACAACCCTGTCTCTTCAAATCTAAGATGCCATCTATTGTAAGTTACATGCTAACTTATATATCATCCAGTAACTATAATTATAAAATATCACCAATTTTAATAGGTGTCTTGATTTCAGAGATGTTAAAGTGTGAGAAAAGATGCTTCTTAGAGGTGATATAACTTGCTCATAATAATAACACCACAAACTAAACAATAACCGTGGGAACATATAAAACATTTTTCATATTTTTTCTGTCGATGCTTACAGCAGTCTATGAAGTACTTTCTATTATTACAATTCACATTGGATGAATGAGGCAACTGTGGCTAAAAAGATAAAAATATTTTTAATAATAATTAAAGGTTATTAGAAGATAATCTTTGATTAACATAATTAACGATTATCAAATGGCTATAAATGCAAAGTCAAAATTCTGTCCTTGGTCTTTCTAACTCCAAGCCTTAATCATTAAGCCCTATGGCCTTTTCTGAAAACTAGTCACTTCCATTTTTTTGGTAACATTTTTTTAGTATCATCACATAATTTTTAACAACCAGTTAATCAACCAACCACATTTTAAAATCTCATATTATGAAATTCTCAGGAGTAGCTAGCTAAGTGAAACACCAGCCACAAAAATGGTTTTGACTTCACAGTCCAAAAGCTCATCATCTGTTACAAACTCATCATAAAAGATGACTAAACCAGTATAGCCAGTCTTTGGCGCCTAGCTTCTTCTCTAAAATCTCTCACTTTCCTAAACTATGTCCAGTTCCAAGGTACAATTAAAAGCCAATTGATGTAATTAAATAGCTCCCAAGAAAAACTCAAATAGCAGAAACTCTATTAGGCAAGAGAGGCTAGCTTTTTCTATGATAACTAAGAGGCCGACAATTTCAGTTGCTTACAAGAGTAAAGATGTATTTCTTGCCCCACACAATGATCTTTATGGGTCAGCTCTGACTCCAGACCACATCACTTTGCCTTCACTTTAAGACTCAGCTGACAGAACAGCCATTATTTGGAACATTTCCCAGATGCTGTAGCAGTGGAAAAAGTGATCCCTGGAGAGTCACATACCAGCAATCAAATGCCTGACCTGCACTTGACCCTCATTACTCCCACATGTATTACTGGCCAGAACTGATCTCCAGGTCTCCCTCTACTGGAGGGGTCAGAAATTGCCTCCCACTGTGCACCTAAAGACCGAGAGCGCACAGCCTTACACCGGACTGCAAATCTCTCTCAATTATGTTCAGATAAACATGTTGTTTGATGCTTGTGCCTATACTGCTTTATATTTAGGTAATTATTTTTCAACGTTTTTGGGTGTGAGGACCCTGTTATAAGTGGAAAAAAGAAGAATGTGATAACCTCTTTTGATAATAATTTGCTTTTTATACGCATATTTTTGAGAAGGTACAGATAATCAAAAGCCTAAATAAATTCAATGATGTTTTAAACTGAATTTGTATTTCAGTGACAACAGAGGGTATACATGCATTCAAAAGTAGTATGTAAGTATTACACATGCAAGACATGGGGTAAGATGTGGCTCACTTAACCCTCACAGAAACAAACAATTAAGACAAATTCAGACTTCAAAGACCTAAAATTAAAACAGAATAGAGAAGAGCTGGAGGCAAGTGGTATCACTTTTACTTTTCTACCCCTCAGAGGGCTTTGTAAGGGATATAACCGTTCTTTTAAAGATAGCATGCTTCCTATTCCCTGATATCTTCATATCGACATTGCACTCCTTCCTTTTGTCTAGTTGAATAGTGCTCAACCTTTAGCAAACACAAGAATAACGGTATGCCCAATACTAAAGATTTTGTGCTTTATGGGCAACTGGGAATTTTCAAGAAAAGTTTTGTTTTTAATCCAACGTTGGCATATGAATGCATTTGGGATTTGGCGACCCATAAGCTGGAAACCGTTGCTTCGGTATTAAAACTCTTAGCAAATGACACTCTTCAGTATTTGGTGATGTTTCCATCCAGTTCTAATACTCTACCATTATTTATTTATACATTTGCTTTTGGAATGTGGTTGGACCGCACTTTTTTTCATTCATTCAAAAAAGTTTGATAAATTACCCCCTTATGTCAATCACTACATATACTTATTATATTGAAAATGCTGAGAGGAGATCAATCATCCCTGGCTTCAAAGAGTTTGCTGTCTAAAAGAAACCAAGAGTTGAATAAATGTCTATGACTGAGACCTGCTCAGGATAAACTGAAGGCACAGGTAGTGGACATGTATCCAATCTGGGTTGGTCAATTTAGCTTCCCTGACAAACTGAGGCTCCTGGTGAATATGAATGTGAAAGAAGAATTAGACATACAGATGGTAAGAGACTGTTAGCAAGTTTCATGAGAAAAGAATCGTCAAAGGCAATGAAGCAAGGACATTCAGAGCAATGATGGCACCTACTATGTATATTACTCTGCAGCTTGTGTTTTTTACTAAACTGCATATCGTGGGCATCCCTACAGACCAGTGATAACAGACGTAACTCATTCTCTTTAATAGCTTCATAGTAATACCAAAAATAGATGCACATTATTTATTCAATTATTCCTGCACTGATGGGTGTTCAGATTACTTCCAAGGTTTTTCTACTACAGTGTTGCTATAAATATCCATTTATGTATAATTGTAAGCTGAGATCCTTTGAATTCTCCTGAGATCAATTCCCAGAATTGACATTGTTGAATTAAAGAACATTTCATTTTAAAAAAAGTCAGACTACTGTATTAATTTATCTTCCCACGGAGCATTCTAGGTTACAAGTCGTAAGTTTTGCTAATTTTATGAGCACAATGATAATAGCTCTTCGTTTTAATTGTATTATCCTGACCACTGATAAGGCTGAAAATTTTCCATTTTTGTGAATAGCCTGTTTATGTCCATTCAATCGCTTCCATTTTATTTTTCTTGTCATTTTTAGGGGTTCTTTGGAATACTTAAGTTATTAAACACAAGTATAAGTATGCATAATTCTTCCAAATTACACACACTTTTCATTTTGCTTAAATTTTTACTTAATTTAGGAAGACCTTGACTTTATTGGTTTAATTTTTGATGTATTTTGTTATAACATTTTTTAAGTTTGTAAATTCGCAATTCATACATATTTTTCTGTGCCTTTATACTTTTTTTGTTTCTATTCTTTCTCTAACAAGTCACGCCTCAGAAATACATACATATATGTATATATACACATATATACATATATATACACACATACACAAACACACATATATAATTGAATCTATATAATTGAAAATGTATTTGTATAATATATAAAATGGAATATATAATTGAAAATGTATTTGTATAATTTTTATCATTTCTAAAATTTAGATTTTTTGTTAAATTTAAAACTATATGTTATTTTAAAGCTGCTTTCTCTTTCAGATGAAAAACCAATGACAGATAACTGGTTATCAATAATAATTCAATATGTAATCTTTTCTCAATGTTGCAAGTCACCTTGGATTCTGCTCTGCTCTGCTCTGAATCCCAGGCTGATAGAGCAGCTACTCTCTGGAACAATAGAAATGCAATTTAAAATACCTCTCATTTTGAATATATGTGCTATTAGGGTTTTGGGAGAAAAAGGAGCAAGATGGGAAGGGAAGGAGAATGAATTTTGGCCTGAGATTTGATTTCTATCAGATCTGATTCCTATTGCCTATGTGAATTTCCCCTACCTTGAATCCAGCCGTTATGAATTGAATTTGACTCATATGTGAAAGGCCAGTGATTGGTAATCATGAAAGATGACTTCAAGCCCCATTTGGTCGACACAGGCTCTCTAGGGCCATCACAGATACTCATGGCAATGCTTTTAAATATTAACCCTGTAATTAGATCTTTGGGATGGTTGTTTACATACTGGTCTGAGGATGTGAATTTATATCCAAATTTCTGTTTTCCAGTTGTAAAACTCTGTAAGTGGAATGAAAGCCTTTTCTTATTTCATTCAGTGATGCAGTCAATCCATCACCTTTTGAATGCCACAATGGTAGAGAAGTACAATACTTTCAGCTTTGGTTAATTCTACCTTTGATTTGCTATCAAACAGCAGTTAAGCTAATGCAGAAAAATTATTTTGATAAGGACATTTCTAAAAACAGAATTCAAAATAAGATCATTTTGGTCTCTTCCATTTATGTCAAATAAATGGTAATCTGCCAGACATGGTTGGCGCACTTCTGAAAATCTATTCTCTTTCAAATTGCACTGCATTACATGCAGAATGCTTGGTCCTTATTTGAAATAGTTTAGAGCAAAAGCTTGGTCCTTATTTGAAATAGTTTAGCATAAAAGCTTTTAAGAAGAGATCCTTTAGAAGCTAGAGTTGGCTTTTATTGGAAACTATTTATCCTGGAGAGTAGTTCTTAGATAATTGCAAGAGAATGTTCTTGTCTCATTTCAAGACAAGCTGAACAGGACAATCATTGTGTGGGGCTCTCTGAGCAGTTAGAAGAT
The DNA here is from genome assembly GCF_000001405.40 of Homo sapiens. Classification (NCBI taxonomy): domain Eukaryota; kingdom Metazoa; phylum Chordata; class Mammalia; order Primates; family Hominidae; genus Homo; species Homo sapiens. The sequence goes on from NC_000003.12 coordinate 21,843,201, forward strand.
AGTATAAAGACACTGAACTTTTGGGTTGGGGAAAAAGGTTTAAGAACCAGCAGGTAGAAGCACTCAGGGGATTAACCGTAGCTCCTTTATCACTTTGCTCTTTGTTGGGGGACTTATCATCGGCCTAGTCAAGAAGGTCACCAATGTGACATTAGTGGACCAGGGGAATTATCCTGACCATTTGAATTATCCCTGAGGATATGTTTCAGCCTAAGAGAAATGCGAGCCTGTTGTCCACTTTAGAAAAGTGAGCTCAGGAGATACAAAGTCATATTTATCATGCTCTGTAGCCCAAGCACGTGAGAGGTAGACTCTGATTCAAGGTTGGAACAATTACTAACATCTATTTATATGTTAATCCAACCAAAATGTATTAATATATTGAGCTATTAAAATATAGAGGATACTGTACTAGGCACTTCAAGAATACAAAAATGAATAGAACCAAGCAGTTATCAATAGCAGGCATGTATTAAAGTCAGAAGATGATAAAGGGGAATAATCAAGTCATTACCAATTTTGAAAAGAAATGAAACCCAGCAGATGGTGAATTCTTAATGAAAGAGTTATTTCAATATGAACTTTGACAGAAACAATTCAAAGGGTCCCAGGTGGTAGCATGGTATCTTCCAGATGAGGGGAGAACATTTCATTCTTTTATTCTAATCATCAACCACTCCATTCAAAGCATCTCATTTCCTGCTGGGGAACAAAGTTGAAACAGACATAGAATGTGCACAAAAGGAACTCTAGTAGGGAGATAAGATACATTCATAAATAAATATAAAATAACATAGCAAGTAATGCGTCACACAAAAAGTAGAAAGTCTTGTTCTAGGAATTGTGTTGGAATTTACAAGGATGATATCTGGCAGAGATGGGAGATTTGGAGATATTTAACATATATTTTACGGGATTTTCACTATCTTATGTAATTTAACCTTAAAACAACCCTGAGAGGTAGACAGTACAGGACAAGTAAGATTTAGTACATTTGTTTTACAAATTAGGAAATTCGTGCCAAGAGAGGAGGGTTTTTGTTATTATTTTTTATTGTGGTTTTGTTTCATTCTTCAAAATACAATATCATAAGAGTGTTTTTATTAAAGGAAATTTATCCTCAATTGAGAACAGAGGATCACTGGCTTTATTCTAGCTTACCAGCTGATTAGACATTATAGATGGTGCTTTCTTGGGGATTTTGATGATTAGCCATTATAGATGGTGCTTTCTTGGGGATTTTGATAGGCAACCTGGATGCTAAAGTTGTCCGAAGCTCACTTTCCCTATGTGTCAAGTGGAGGATAACATTCTCTGATTAGAAAACATTCTCTGATTACAAAAATCAAATAGGAAAGCCTTTTAAAAATGATAAATCACCAAACCAAAAGGAAAGATGTTAAGTTTTGCATGGTAAACATTCAATCCAAATTCAGTGCATGACATCATTTTTAAAGTTCACCTGGTGCAAGATGCTTAAAATCTGAAATATTGAGGCCTATGGGAATTTGTTACAATCAGCAAAATTGCACTGTCACTAAATTGTTCACATTCTACCTGATGCTAGTATTTTCATTTAGTTTTGGAAGGCAAAAAAATGATCAATTTTACTGAAATTTTTCAGAGTTGCCTTGTTCAACCTCACAAATACAAGTATCAGTATATAGCATACACTGAGATAATTTAAGAGATCTTGGTGGACTTTAGAATTGGTTTTATAGATGTAGGTTTCACTTACAGAGCTATTGTTTTTCTAACACTTTAAAACATGTGTTGATGTACTGCCAAATCATGAACGAAGGCAAACATGTAAATAAATAAGAGAAGAAAAAGAAAAAAGAGAAAAGAAATGTTAACGCAGGTCTTAAAGTTGCTTTGCGACATTTTTATTCAAGAGAATAACTTAAGAGTTAAAATGTCAGAATTATGGTTAGTCATTTATTCTCTAGTCTACTTCTACGAATGCCAGATTATAGGTTGCATGTCTGTGCTGCAAATTTGCTGCCTCTTATAGAATAGAGCTTCCTGAGATTAAACATAAAGAAGAAAAACAGTATTGAGATTTAAATTTGCCTGGAGGAAACTGCATAAATGTGACTTTTGGTCTAATGGAATATAATAGCAATGATAATTTTGGTTGTAGCATAAACTCAGGCATAAAAGCACGAAGTACACAGTAGCTCCTACGACTAACGCTATTATATTTTCTCTCTCTTCTTCTCCTTCTCTTTCTTCTCTTTAAATCCCTTTTCAGATATGAAATCTACTCCCTCAGCTGATACAAAGATATTTCTAAGTAAAAATAAATTTTCTCTGTGTTATATTTTAGAAAGATAAACTGAACAAACCACACCAGTTTCCACTTAATCTAGAAAACCTCTCAACATTGCAATCCCTCCTAGAAGGACTTTCTTTTTTACAGTCCTGTAAGTTCTTTCTGATGTATAAATATATCCCCTGAAGAAACACCCAAATAACCTCAGCCACATTTGCCATATTATAACATCAGGATCTTCAGTGAGAAGGCTTAAAAGTCTTGATTACTAGAAATGCGATTTTCGTGGTTAATGAGAGCTTCTAAGAATCAACGTCTTTAACTTGTAAAGGAGAGGCTTGACTGCAATTTCTACATCAATGTCAGATTAAGAAAATACGCCTGAATATGGAAAAATATTTAGAGATTCACACAAAAAAGAGGCTCCCAGAGCAAAAATAAATTAATCTTGTTGATAATAACTGTGAAGTAGCTTTACACAATATGTAAAGTACTTAAAGCATGCTCACCCTGAGACCTACGCTACACTTCTGAAGGCTGAGGAGCCTGCTAGTAACATACAGAAAACATTTCTTCCCCAAAGTCTGAATGAACACTTAGGCTGTGTCCATCGGGGTCACAGGAGTTGGAAAAATAATTGCAATTACATATTAGTCTTTGCTGTGGAAAGATGTCTTAGATATAACTGTACAGCTAGGGAAACAGGCCAACATGGTAGAGTGAGGAATTTGAAAAAGCATTTGAAAGGTGATTCTGTTTGGAATTTCTCTAGTTGCTCAGTTCTAATAAAAATATACTATAGCTTTTCACATTTTTAGACTTGCACATCTGCCCAGTCTTTCAGTGGTACAGGCCATACCTTAATTACTCAAAAGTTCCTTAAGTTTGGGGTAGGAATAGTGCTTTTAAAAAGCACTTTCTCATAAACTAATACAGTAGGGAAATTACTGAATTATTAAATTGTGTGCTCCTGATCTTTTCTATGGTCTTGGAGTTCAAGCAGGTACCCAGAGTTTGCAATTATTGCTTTAGGGCTTTTTGCCATAGCTGAGAGGTGAAGCAGTCTTTTCCTCCAGGCATATGAGAAATCAGAAATTGATTGAGAAGTCTATGACATGTTGCTGAAAAGAAGGAAGCAGCAGAGTACTACTGCGGTGGAGGGGCGATCTAAGAGAATGGAAAATGACTGAGGTTTTCCAGAGTCTGATTCCTAGGAATTAACTATCCCCAGCACAAGCCCTAGCTTTAGAGAGAGAGGATGGGAAAGGCTCAAAGAAGTGGCTTTCTAGCGGCTTAATGGTGCGCCCAGGAGAAGCACCTCTAAGAAGCTAGAATCTGGTGTAAATCACAGCCCAAAGCTGCAGACACTTGGAACCTTGCTGACCAAAATATAGTATCTGTCCTTGACAAAGCTTAATAAAGAGAACTGATAACCTATTAGTGGTTTGCCTGATTTCCTTAATCCTATGAAGCTATGGCATAAAAAGGTCATGTAACTAGTCAGAGGTAAAGTAAAAGCAAAACCCAGGCCTTCTCAAGCCCCAACCAGGTACTTTTGTGTTACAGGGCTTCAACCTGAACTTTTTCAGTTGAAGTTATTTCTAAATTCTAATCCCCTACCAGCTGTCAAAGATTTCACCTCTGGAAATCCAGATGCTAAAGCAATTTTTCAGCAGTAGAAACATGGAAGAATTTATATTTTGATGAGTCATATATTTTATGAGTCATGGTACCAAAAAACCCTGAATGAATAAAAGAGGTGCTACATGCAAAGGACTTTTTTAGTTATTTGAATGCATCACATTATGTATATTCAAAACAGTCGTTGCTGGAGTTCCACTGTTTAAGAAAGTTTGAAAATGTGACAAAAAAGAGGCACTGATCTACTATCACGATATCAAAAAATTAAAATAAGAAATATATCCATTGATAAGGCTGCACCAATAACTGAACAATTGCATTTCTATGTTTTTGATAGGAACAATAGCAAAATATTCTAATGATCCAATTGTTTTATGCTGATTAGGATCTTCTTAACCTCTTGACAAATTTTAGATTACTAAAAAAGAGGGGAATTAAATAATTACATCATGGGTGTAGTTGATTGAATGTAACAATATTTTTGCAGTTTCCTCTCCTTTGGGTGTGTCTGTGTGCCAATGTTATTGAGAAATTTTTTATATCCTCCAAAATTAAGTGCATACTTTTATGAGTTTTGGTAAGTAGAATCATGAAATACCACCATAGTCATGATACAGAACATTTCCATCATCCTAGAAAGTTCCCTCTTATTCCTTTGCAATCAGTATTCTCTCATATCCTGACATTTGGCAGCCACTAATCTGTTTATTTTTTTGTGGTAGGAATATTTAACATGAGACCACACTTTCACAATGTTTCAGTGTACAGTAAAACATTGCTGACTATAGGCACCATGTCGTGCAGCAGATACCTAGGACATTTTCATCTTGTATATCTCAATTTTTATATCTGTTGATTAGCAACTCCTCATTTCTCCTTCTCAGCCTCTGGTGACTAACATTCTACTCCCTGCTTCTATAAGTGTGACTATTTAAATACCTTATATAAGTGAATTATTCAGTCCCACTGTGACTGACTTATTTCACTTAGCCCAATTGACTTATTTCTCTTAGCATAATATCCTCAAAGCTCATCCATGATGTAGAATATTGCAGGATTTCCTTTTTTTTAAAAAAGGACAAATAATATTTCGATCTATGTGTATACCACATTTTCTTTATTCATTTGTTTGTCCATGAAAACTTAGGTTGTTTCCACATTTTGGCTAGTCAGTAGTGCTACAGTGAACATGGGAGTGGTCATATCTCTTTGAGATCGTGATTTCAATTACTTCGGATAAATATTTAGAAATAGGATTTCTGGAGTATGTGGTAGGAAATAATAAAGATTAGAAGAATAAATGAAATAGAAAATAGAAAAACAACAAATATATAAATAAAATTGAGTTGGTTTTTTAAAAGATAAAATTGATAATCTACCTAAAATAAGAAAAAAAGAGAAGATTCAAATAAGTAATATCAGAAGTAAAAAGGAGACATTAAAATCAATGCTACAGAAATACAAAGAATCAAAAGAGACTAATGTGAATGATTACACATCAACAAATTGGACAATCTAAAAGAAATAAACAAATTCCTAGGAACTTACAACCTACCAAGACAGAATCGTAAAGAAATAGAATGCCTGAATAGTCGTATAACTAGTAAGGAAACTGAAGCAGTAATCAAAAGCCTCCCAACAAAGAAAAGTCCAGGACCATATGGCTTCACTGGTGAATTCCACCAAACATATAAAGAAGGGGAATGCTACTTTTATCTCGTCTTACATAGACTCTAAACGTGCTGGCAGACATCACATGTATTTGTTGTGAATAGATAATTAGAGATCATAGTCTTCTATCTTAGAACATAGCCATCATTCCATAAACATGAACATTATCTTCTATTAAATTTTCATTACTTAAACCTATTTGAGACTTCTTTCTTAAAGTTTTATCAACAGTGTAAGCACTACTTCTACGTGGTCACTCTCACTATGTCTGAATTACATAACACACTCAAACATCATATCTGTTGTTGCCTATAATATTGGTACTTGGGTTATACACATGCATGTAACTGTCACATCCCCTTTCTAATTCAACGCATTTTACTATTGCTACATATTATAAGTCTTGAAAACACTAACATCAAAGTAAATTTTTTTCTTCATATGTAACTCTACTTCATGCATCTTACATATTCAGTGTAATAGTGCCACTTCTTATATGGTAAGAAAGAGAATTCTAAATTGATTCAAAAGAATGAGCTAATACTTAAAGAGTTTGTGAATTGCTAATTTAAATATTTATACAAGTTATTACATAGCATGCTTTTCTGGTTCTTTAACACAGGAGAATGTGACATCTGAATATTCCACATGTCCTTTCTCTAACATCCATTGCCTATTTTTAATTAAAAGAATAAAATATAAAAGAAAGCTTCTAACATGGGACATCACAATAATTAAAGAATATTCTATTCTGTTCTTCCATTCACACCACAAATAGAATTTGGTTATATTTCCAAACTGTATGTGAAACCCATTTCTTTTTTTTTTTTTTTTTTTTTTCTACCACCATCGCTCTACACATCATTACCTCTGGTCTGAATCACTCTCATATCTTCTAATGCAGATGTCCTCAAAATTTTTTCTTCTATGACCTAAAAGATTTGAGAAACTTATGTTTTTTTCTAATTGAATATTATTGAGTAGAGGTCTAAACTTTTTTTTTGTTTTTTGCGGGGGACAAGATCATAACTCACTGTAACATCAAACTCCTGGCCTCAAGCAATTCTCCTGCCTCTGCCTTCAAAGTAGCTGGGACTACAGGTTTGCACCACATCCAGCAAATTTTTAAATTGTTTTGTAGGGATAGGGTCTCACTATGTTGCCCATGCTAGTCTCGAACTCCTGGACTCCAGAGGTCCTCCCACCTCAGCCTGCCAAAGCGTTGGAATCACAGGCGTGAGCCACCACACTCAGCCTAAAATTGTTTATTGAGTTTAAATAGTTGCAAATTATGGCAACTTATAATTTATTATCAATATGGACATGTAAAATTAAGCTGTTATATCTCTCTTTCAAAGGCTTAATGGATAATAGATATAAAAATGTATACTCACTTTATCAAACATTTGCACATGATGGAAAAACTTGTTCCACATTAGCCCTTCTGCCACAAAGAACTAGGAAAGTGGATAATTCTTTAAACAATTATTTTCCAACATTGCACAGAAAGAAATATGGGATTATGATCCCTGAGACAAAGAAAACAAAGTAAGCCCTACAATCACGACAGCTTTGTGCTTGTCAGTATTTACAGAAGATGGGATAGTGAAGGAAGGCCAAGTGAAGTGCAGTAGTCTCTTTGAGCTGTAGACACAAAAATCAGAGATTGACATGAAGTAGCCTGGAATTTGTGAGGCAAAAGATACAAAAGAAGGGATTTACTTAGATAAAATGATTTACAATCTGTATAGTAGTTTCCTTGAGCATTTGGCTGAATGCTAAATTAAATGATTAAGGTAAGACTTCCCCAAGCCAGAAAAGATCAATTAATGGAGACAGGACAAGTATCCGGGAGCTAAAAGTTAGAAATTGAACAGAACTCACACGTGGTTGAGAGATGTTAAAACTCTGACCAGCCAAAGGGAGAAACATTGTTGAACACTTGGGATACTTCGTTAAGATTCCAGAAGGACAATGCCTTAAAAGAAAGAATAAACTGGCCTTAGGTAAAGGCTATACTATACCTTTCCTAGTGGGCCTTAAAAATGTGCCTAAAAATTACAGAACAGATCCACAACTAAATTAATTGCCTGCCAAAACAAAACTGAACATTCTTTAAAGAAAAATAAAAAATTCCAGAAAAACCATTATGTATCATTCAAATATTTGGCATCCAATAAAAATAATTAACATGTAAAGAAGCCAGAAAATATAACTCATAACTAGGCAATAAAAACAAATCTAGAAATGAGAAAGATAAAATCAAAGGACAAGGATTTTAAAACAGCTAATATTATTACCATGTTTAAAATTTTAAGAAAACATAAAAACAATGAAAAGACAAATGGAAAGTACATTAAAAAAGAACCAAATAAAAACTATAGAAGTAAAAACAAAAAGTAAGTGAAATAAAAAATTCACTAGATGGCCTTGATAGCTGATCAGGCATTACAGAAGAAAAGATTGTGAATTTGATGAAAGCAACTACAGGCATACCTTGGAGACATGGAGCAACCAGAACTCTCACATTGCTAGTAAGAGTGTGAAAGTTACAGTTGCTTTAGTTTGGCAACTTCTTGGAAAGTTAAATATACACTCAATATATGTCCAGCAATTCCACTCCTAAGTGTTTTTACAATAGAAACGAAAATATATTCTCCACAAAACAAAAACTTGTACATGAATGTTCACAGAACCTTTATTTAAAATACTAAAAACTAAAAATCTCTCGTGTCCTTAAATAGCCAATGAATAAACAAATTATAGTATATTCACTTAAAAAACACTCAACAGCAATAAAAAGCAAAAAAGAAAATATCTTGTGGTCATGACTCCATATGTTAATATTTTCATGTGATTAATAATAGCTGATTAAAAGAACATAAAATGATAAATTTTATGAAATATTTTCAATGACATACAATTCAAAACCCTCCTACACGTCCCCACTGCATTTAAAAAGGTGCCAACTCAACTATGAGGCCAGTCAGTCTGTAGTCTCTCATTTTATCCTTCTACTTCTTCTCTAATATTGGGGTCCAGATATAGACAACATTCTATTTTTCAAGCATAAGAAATTCACACCTACCTTGGCCTTTGTCTCCTGGTTGCTCAACCTAACACAGTCCCTGTTGACACTCCTTGTCTTGTTGCCCTGTTACAATTTCCAATCATTTATTACTGTCTGATATTGTTACTTATCTTTCTCTTCTAAAATGCTTCATGACAGCAAAATCAAAACTTCTTATCTTTTTTATTTTCTTTCCAATGTCTAGACTCTGTTTGGTAGATTCTCAAAATGTATTTTCTGAATGGATGAGTGAATGAATGAATGCCAAATAGTTTTTATGAGCATCGGGTTTTTAGTTTTCGTTGTTAAACAATTAAAAATTGCTCTGTTTTTCAATGTGAATTTATTGTTTCCTAAAGCTACAGGATACACTTTATATGTCTCTCATTGGGTTGCACATCTCTAAGGAATAAGATTCCTTATTCCTTAAGGAATGAGAGGCAATTTAGAGAAGGTAGAAATTCCAACAAGCTCAATTAATTGCATAGTACTTTCCCTCAGGACATTTCCAACACTAATCCTAGGTCTTAGTCATAAAAGAGGCTCCCCAAGTGACTGTAATAGACAGCATTCATTTAAAAACTGTCACCTCTAGACCTGTGGCTTTATTGATTTTACATTACTTTTACTTTTGAGGCATCAAAATCAGGAACACGATGAATATCATGCTAAATGTGTGATTGGTAGGGAATTACTTTATCAAAAGAATTCTGAAAAAATGTTGCTATACCACATAGCATGAGATTAGGCAGTAATTACTATCCTGAGCATAGCAGTAAATTATATTTCTACAGTACTACTTAGGACAAGATGATTATGTCATTACTAAAAAATTGACAAAGAATAAAATTGGGGGTAAGATGAAAAGTTATGAATTGATGAGTTACCTCAAGGGATAAAGGTCAGTACAAAATATATGAAACTTAATGGAAGGGAGAAGGGAAGACGGATTAGGATATTGAAAAAGAGTGAGACTTGAAGAAAATTGTATTCAAAGAAATAATGTTCTCTCTAAAGCCCCTGGTTAAGTCATCATGAAATACAGAATAATCCCGTGAGGAAAATATGTTAAACATCCAAGTCTAGAAATCAGTTTCAATTTCTTCCACTTGTTCCCTCCACACTAATAAAACATCCCTCTGGACCTATTTTTGAGATTTCCTTTGCATGTAGTAAAAGCCAATTAAAGTTCTCCATACATTTCCATTTCAAAAAACTGACTTCAAAGAAATTGAAAAGAGTGTGTGATCAAACTAAACATATAGCAAAAAGATACATTTAGAGTAGGGTTTAAAAAAACAGCAAATATACATTAAAATCAAGTGTGATTGGTGTTATATATTCTTACCTACTTAAGAGAATAAAGATTTTCTTATTGTTGGCAAGAGTGCCTATAATCACTTTCCATAAAAGGACAGTAAAAGGTCTGGAAAAGTCTGTCTTCTTTTATAAATATTTTCCTGTATCGTGGTTTTAAAACATTTTTTAGGAAGAAAAGTGGTAATATCTATTAGATCAGAAATAATATGTTCAGTAAGTCAATCCACTTTAATATTTATAGCATGATGGTGATCAAGGTCATTACAATTAGTAACAATAATGCTAAAGGTTTCAAGTGTTTTAGAGTTTAATTGTTTAAAATTGCAGTCCTTTTTTTTTTTTTTTTAGTTCAAGAATGTCACTTTATCATATCATAAATGCCTCAGTACGTAATTGTGGGGAAAAAAATGAAGTGGACCCGAACAAAAGGGAAGCTAGAAAAAAATATGGAGGATAAATTTAACTTAGACTTGGAAGAATGAATTTTGAGCCTCGATTTTATTACGTGTTAATGTGACTCTTGACATGTCATTTCATCACGATGAGTGAATTTCCTCATCTGTAAAAAAGAGGGCCAAGAATAATTTCTTCATGGATTACAGTAAGGATTAACTGAAAATATGACTGTGATGTTATTCATTAAAATATAAAGCTGAAAACAAAAGGAAGATTATATACTGTATAATTCCATGTATATGAAGTTCAAGAAAGGCAATATAAATATATAATAATAGAAATGAGAAGAGTGATTATGGCAGATTGGACTATTGACGGAAAAGGAAAATAATTTAATATTCTGGGATGATAAAATATTCTATACCTTTAGGTGGTGATTAAAAGGGCATATACAAATATAAAAAGTAATTCAGATGCATATTTAAGGTTTGTACATTTTGGAAATTAAACTGCAATAAAATAAACAAGAAAGATAGTACTGCTGTGATATTTACCCATATTACTTAGCATGCACAAAAGGGCAGTCTTAACTTTCCTTATCTATTTTTCTATTCTCATCTTGGGCCGCTCCATTCATCCTTAAAGGAGAGCTTTTGAACCGGTTATCATTTCCTGGCTACAATATTTGCTTTTTAACCATAGAAAAGAAAACTTTCAATGCCCACCTCCACTTATTTACATCCTATTCCAACCTTGCCTAGGAAACTTAAAGTATCTCTTAAAACGGAGCTCATATGCCACTTATTCAAAAAGCCCTTCCAAAAATATTCTATGCAGATGGAGAGAATCAGATAATTCTTTGCCGGATTAGCTTCATGGGCACGCAACCTTGGCAATAATATAGGCCTTGCACTTGGTTTAATGATCTTCTGTAGACATCTTAAAATTCTTAACAACTTTTCAACAAGGGACCAGGCATTTTATTTTACTCTGTGCCCTGAAATTACGTACCCAGTCCTATTCTTATGAGTTTTTGCTGTACCTGTAGCAGCATCTTTTTGTTGTTGTTGTTGGGATTTATTATTTCTTATCTGTCTCTTTGACTTACCAAAAATACCTTTAATCCTGACTATGGCTTTTCCATTTCAGTTCCCAGGGTCTGTCATAACTTTTGGCATTTAATAGGCACTTAATAAATATTTGTTGACTGATAGATTAACTGACCTATTAATTGAATGAACTAAATAATAACTGAGTAAATTAATTAATGTCATTGGGTAACAGTGATATGGCCAGCTAAGGAATGATGACAGGTTTGAGTAGTAAATTGAAAATTATAATTAATGTCTTCATTAATCTGATCTGTAAATTCACTCAGCAAACATTAAGTACCTACTTTGTACCAGAAAGATGTGACTGGCTGGCACTCACATCTATACAACATGATTTTTACCCATATCCAAACTCCACCAGAATTCTTACTTGGCTTTTCTCAGTGGCTTCTCAGACTTCTTTTAATAAATGGGCAATGTTGTTATCAAAAGCTACATTACTACTCCCCACACCCATTCCCATACCTATCTCTGAAAGTAACAGCATATTGTTATTTTCTCTGAGAAATCGCTAGCAATCTAGTCCTTGCATACTGTCTCAAAATAATTTGTTTGCTTTCCCTTAAGAATTTTTTAGCTGATAAAAAAAATTTTACTCTTCGGCATCCCAAATTGCTTACTCAAGCTGATATTGCACCTGGACCACACAGGGAATTAATCATTGTGTGGTGTGTGAAAAGATGCATACTGTACAGACTGCTGAGAAGTTGCATCTCTTCATGGAGATAAGGTATTACAGCCTCCACATTTGCCCTCTTCTGTGGCTATAAGATCTTCCTCGGCATCTCTACTGTTTTAATCCAGTGAGTCTAGATTCCATTGCTTTCCTATTTGCAAAGAAAGTTAGAATCACTGCATTAATCAGAATCCATTAAAAGTACAGTTTTTAGTTTTCCTCACCATACTAATCAGAAAAGATCATCCAAATAAGATATATACCAATATAGACCTGGAGCTCTTCTGTTTGCAGAATCTCCATTTAGTCTACCCCCAAAATGTTTACTTAACTGTTTGTGCTAAAAGGTACAGAATGAGAAGGTGATATTAAAGTAAATTTAAAGTAATAACTTAAGTAAACTCCTCTTCACTGTAGATACAGTTTAAGGGTTATGAGCTGATCTAGATCATGCTTGACTCTTCATAATAATGAATTGTGGTGACAACTATAATATCCTATGATTTTTTTTTTAGTTTATTTACATCTTGCTGAGGTTTTTAGAGGTGGTAGCTAATAACAACATGCTGCCACCAAACACAGAACTGGATGAAATCTGTCTATCAATCACTTATCTATCCTCTAAGTTTATGTGTAAAGATATACATATATAGTATTCATGTGTGTGTCTGTGTGTGTAACTTGGTTTTAAGAGTTTCACTAGCTGAAGCATAAGTCAACAAATATAAGTTACAGAATGCTCATTATCTGAGAGGAGAAATTTTTTTCTTGCTATAATCTCCAAGATAAATTTTTCACATGAGGTATTTTATAGCATTGGTTGATATTGATCTCTCCTACTTCCTTGATCACCGGTCATTTCTTCACAGACTTCTTTGATGGATCTATTTCAACAACTAAAGTGCAGACACTGGAATGTCCAGGATTACATCCATGGACCCCTCTACTTTTCTGCTTGCATTCACTCTCTCTGTAATGTCATCCAGTCAATCCCTTGGCTTTAAATAACATTCCTAATATTTTCTCGTCTTTCTGAACCCCTTCTCTCAACTTCAGACTCAACTGCCTCTAGGGCGTCTCCATTTTAATATCAATAAACACTTCAAAATTAACATGTAAAATATGCAACTCTTGATCTTTTCAAAATCGGCTGTAATCCTTTCAGCTACTCAGGCCAGAAATCTTGGAATTTTCCCCCTTATTTTCTTTCTTTCTTCTTTTTCATATAAACTAGTAGGAATTCTGTTGGGTCCACATTCAGAATAAATCCAGAATCTGACCACACACTCTTTCCACCATCGATACCCAGTCCAAGCCACCATCATCTCTTGCCTGAATTATTGCAGGGTATTTCTAACTAGTTGACCTGATTTTTCTCTTATCCCTCAACCTCTGAGAAGACACGTGAGGAACAACCAGCTCATAGGTGCTCAATAATGACCTATTCAACAAATAAATGCAAGGCAATGTCCTTAAATTACGGATCAAAGGAGATTTTAGAAGGTGATTCCAAATCACTGTCTTAGAAATCTTTTTAAAAACGTCCAAGGCATGAAATCAAAACAAAATGCAGAAGAGGCCAATCTAAGTGGAGGTAAGGTAAATAGGTAACCTTCTCATGTTTAACCATGTTCCACCTAAGAAGGGTTCTATTCGAAGCAGAAATGCAATTTCTAGGTCCTTTCTCACATGTCACTTTCTCATTTAGGCCTTTCCTCACCGCAGTATTTAAAACTGTAGTAACCTGATCTCAGCCCTCACCAACTCTCCCGATCCTCTTGGTCTTTTTAATGTCACTCTACAGCCCTATCAAATAGTATATATTTAGTTAGGTCATTTCATGGCACCAACAACAAAGTTAGTTATTTTTTCTATATTTTTATTGATGGTTTCTGTGATAGTTAATATTGTGTGTCAACATGATTGGATTGAAGGATGCAAAAGAGGGCAAGGTTTCTTGATGTTTTGCTCATAGTGTATCCTCAGGCCTAGAACAGTGCCTAGCACATAGTAAGTTGTATTCCTTAGGTGCCAGGGGAAACATAACTCTATTTAAGTAGTTTTAAGAGATTTTTTGTTGTTGTTGCTGTTCCTACAGGGAGTACACAGGGTGTGTGGTTGGAATTAAGGAAATTAACAAGGGATTTGTGGTACCCAGAAATTAGCAACCACGGGGCCTCATAATTCTGAGGCCCAAAGAGGAAGTCGTGGGACTAAAGAAGTCCTGGAGCTCAGTGAGAGCTGAAGTAATGGAGGAGGAGTTGCAGCCTCAGAGGGAAAGAAAATGGCCCCAGTCACACAACCAGAGGAGCCAGGGAATGGGGTTTATACCCTGAAGTCTGTTGCCTCCTGCCCTTGACTCTCTTACTGATGCTGTTAATTGACCAAACACAACGGGAAGCAGAGGTCAATGGAACACAGCAATTCAGAGAGGAGTCACCTTTTCAAGGCATAGAGCCAAGCAGAGGAGGATGAAACGATCTGAGGGACAACTGGAGAACAATCAGCACATAGGGACTTAATAAATAGCCATGGAACAAATGCAAGGCAGTGTCCTTTAAATACAGTTTCAAAGGAATCCTAGAAATGCAATCCAGGGCCAGGCATGGTGGTTCACACCTGTAATCCCATCTCTACTAAAAATACAAAATTTAGTTGGTCATGGTGGCACAAGCCTGTAGCTCCAGCTACTCGGGAGGCTGAGGTAGGAGAATCACTTGAACCCAGGAGGTAGAGGTTGCAGTGGGCCAAGATGGTGCTACTGCACTCATGCCTGGGACACAGCAAGAGTCTATCAAAAAAAAAAAAAAAAGGGAAATACAATCCAATGTACTGTTTATCTCAGAAACGTCAGAAAAAGTCAAGGTCACAAAATCAAAATAAAACTCAGAAGAGGCAATTCTGAGGGGTGTTAAGGTAGGGAGGTAGCTTCAAATGTTCTAACATCGGCCACCAAGGAACAGTTATATGCACAGTGGACTCTGGTCAAATTTCAAAGGTTCACATGTGCTATGGTCTGAATGTTTATGTCCCCCCTACCCCCAGATTCACATGTTTAAACCTAATCCCCAGTGTGATAGTATTAAAAGGTGGGGCCTTCAAAGGTTAATTAGCTCATGAGAGTAGAGTCCTCATGAATGGATTAGTGTCCTTATAAAAGAGGACCCAAAGAATTTGTTTGCCCCTTTCCACCCTGTAAAGACACAGTGAGAAGGCACCGAATATGAGGAATAGTCTCTCAGGAGACACTGCATCTGCTGGGCCCTTAATCTTGGACTTCCCAGCATTTAAAACTGTGGGAAATAAATGTTTGTCATATATAAACTACTCAGTTTTATGATAGTTTTGTTAAAGCTGTCTGAACAGACTAAGACAGCACGAATGATTGGATATCCATGTTCCCGAATTTTATAGTTCTACATAAGTTCTCCACGTAACTCCTCCATTGAGGTGGTATTCATGGATTGCATCATTAATTCAATATCCTGCCATGGTGCAGTTCTATGCTGCTCACTCACCTCACAGTGCCAGTGAATCCGATAACAGGTCCAATCTGTAAATGCCACATGGTTCCTGTTTCCCCTCACTGCTTTATCTCAAGATATATAGAAACTGATTTGATATCATGAAGCTAGAATAGCAGATATCACAATCATCCTCATACATATAACGGGGGGAAGTAGGCGGGGAGAGAAAAGGTAAAACTCAGCTTTCATATCTGAGGTTTGAGGAAGGGATTCTTTCAAGTAGAAATGCCATCTGGAAATAAAATTTGTCATTTCTGTAAATAGTAAGGAAACACAGGTAAGAGATGAAAACCAAAAAACAGCTCCTGAGCCTTTCTGCTCCAGGGGATGGTGAAAGCTCAAAGAACGTCCCTCAGCAAAACTGCGCTTTATACCCTGCCCGCAGATTCACTTCTGCTTCAGGAAGAAAGCTTGGAACAAAAGGAGCCTGTGGCGGCCCAGAAGTTGGAGAGTCTGGGGTTATGCATGTGTGGCTTTATCTTTCCTCTTAAGTAGTTAGTTGTCTTTGGAAAGTAACAGAAAAAAAAAAAAACTGAAAACAATAAAGGGAAAACCACACTTGCCCTGTTTTCATGGTCATGTAGATGAAAACAACATTCTGCCTCCACTCTCTTTGCTCTGATCAGAGGCCCGTGGAATAGAGAGTTCAGGAAAAAGAGAGAAAACAGCATGTCTCATGCCATGTCAAGGTGCAGGCCCATCAATTCAGCTGCCTGCAGACCTCTCCTCCCTGTGAAGAGCCTGCTGCTGAAACAACATTATTGCTGGCTGTGACTCCAAAGGCATTTTTTTTTTTTTCCTGTAGTTGTGAGGTGCTGACCTCACTGCTGGAATTGAAAGATAAGAAAAATGTTTTAATCCTTATGTTAATTATTGAAATTAGAACTGCAAACAAATATTTTGGGAAACTTCAAGTTGCTTCCAAACGTGGCACTTTCCATTTGAAGCCCAAAGTGTAATTGTGTATTCAAAGGCTCAGATCTTCCCGAAGATTCATGCATTATGTATGCCGTAACTTCCCCGGGACAGGGAGGATGTCACGCTCTGCATCCTGCTGAAATGGGGAAATAATTTCAGACACAATTTGACTTGAAAAGTATCAGAAATTAAAAAAGAAAAGAAAAGGAAAACTTGGAACCCACTTTTTTGGGACTAGAATTTTTCACTAAATCACAGGCTCTTTTAGGGTTAAAAAAGTACAAAATTAGGATGAATGTTGAAATAGCAAATTAACAACTACAGAAGTATATTCTTTTATGCAAAAAAAGTATTTCTAAAAGAGGTTGTTTTTGACCAAGGTTGAGCACGTTTGCTGTAAAGAGACAGATATTAATGTTTTCAGTTTTGTGCTGACATGATCACTGTCATAACTACTCAACTGTCTCACTGCAATTCAAAACAGTCATCTGTAAACAAATGGGTGGGACTGCATTACTATTAAGCCTTATTTGCAAAGACAAGCAGTCAAAAAGATTTGGTCTCAGGCAGTAGTTTGACAACCCCCATATATCTACATGTTTACAGATTAATCAATATGTTTGCCAAGCAAGTTAAATACTTAAAAACTCACAATATTGACTACTTTTATAAGCTGATTATTAATACTTGGCCTCTTTCATCAGTGAGATAAGTACAGATATCCCCACATCAACATCAGTTAAAAAGGGAGACACTGCCACTGCCAACATGAAAGTGCTCCTGGGACAGGAAACAGATCAAGCATCCTGACTGCATTAGACTTAGCATGTCCATTGTCAGGTTTAATAAAATCCTTTCAATAGTTTTCAAAGTCAGGCCTCCAAACATTTTCTCTAACTTCTGCCTCAAAATCATATATTAATTTCAGCCACTGATACCTGAGGCAGTTTCATGGCAAAGGCTTTCTGCTGCTCCAGGGAAGGCCAGGATAAGGAATCTGAACATATGCCTGTAGCAACTCCACCAGAGTCTCTACTTGGAGATTCCTGTCAAACCAAATGAAAAGGGGCAGACTGTAATAACATCCATTTAGATTCGATGTCTGATTCTCATTTAGTTGCCCTGATTTCTTTTAGTCTCTAGGCACATCTGCCAGTGCTTATTTTTTATGGCTGATATATGGTAAAGGTTTGATTAAGTTACCTCTATACCTTGCAATACTTAAAATATACAGCATAGAGCAGACAAAGAACAGTTTAAGCGTTATCCACTCAAGGTCAAACAAAAATATTTTAGTCCATCCAGCCAAGCCAATGAGGTTGGCCAACTCACTGGTCTACTCACAGGACAGTCCCCGCTTCAGCTTTGGTGTATCTGGGAAGCCAAATGAACAGACTGCTCTCAAAACAAGTTCTATTTTTTTCGTGCCATAGTCCAGGTGTTTTGGCTGTATCAATACAGTCTGCCACTATAAACTGGAAAATTCAGAATAATTACAATTTTGCTGTGTTCAGAAGTTAGTGGAATTTTTTATTTAGGGGCATCCATTGTTGCTCATAAACATGCATTTATCTAATTGCCTTCACTCATCTCACTTAATGTGCTGTACTCTGAAGACATTTCTAATGTGACCTTGAAACAGGTAAGCTCTCTCTTGTGTGAGGAGTGCAAATTTAGATAAATACAATTAATGGAAAATGTCTACGGGGAGAATTTTACCAATATATAACTGATCTGAAACTGTTGAACACTAAAATCACTGAGTCACAGGCAGCATTGATTTTCAAACCCTTGTTGAGAAAGCCAGATGGCATATAGGGAGAATCCTTTTAATAGCCATAGGTGGATGTGGTCTTAATAGTATAAGAGCATGTAGTAAATACTGTGGTTGTCTCCCCAGGAGCAATTCTTTCCCTTTTATGAGAAGTATGAAAATTTGGAGATGGAATCTGCTTTGTCTTACCCAATCAGGGCAATTTCATCTCTCTCACTCAGTGTCTTTGGTTGAAGTAACCTGCTCTATGCCAATGAGTACCTAGCATTCCCTTGAGACTTTGACACACACAGTCACAACCAGTGAGACATGAAGGTCTAGTTCTAGCAGCTATACAAAAATGAAGCTACTCACACTTCAGGAAAACCATGCCATGCCTTGAAGACGTAATCACATAAATCAAGTGAGCCCTAACACTAACGCTCTATCATCTGGTCATATGAGCTAAATAATCCCTTTATGGTTTTATAAGTATATATTTTAAAATTATGGAATATTTCAAATGTACAAAAAAAGTAGAGTAGGTAGTAGGACAAACAGCCGAGTACCTTGCTTATATGATCACTTTTCCATATTGATATCAAATTCTTTTGATAAGATATTGTAGAATACCTTAACTCATAGTTCCACATTTAAGTGATTAGGGATAGAAACAGCCCTACTACAGAAGCATCATTGATGAATTCTAAGTACTTGAGGCAGGATATCTCTACTTTTTTTTTTTTTTAATCAAGCTCAGGTTAAGAAATATGCAGTAAGTATAACACCTTTGAAACTGAGAACATACTCAAAGTGATATAAATCAGCATGGAATGTCGACCAGCCTGAGATTCTTATATCACAGTACGATTGTAAGAAATAGGAAAAGTAACAGAAATAGGACAAAATGTCTTCCATAGTCATTCCTGGCCATGGATTTGCCAAAACTTAAATAAGGAAGCCATGGCAACTCCCACCATTGCCAACTTGTGGCACATTTGAATGAAGGCTTCTTTTCATATTGCCATTATATTATGTGTATAGCATTCCAGCATAAAGACGTATGCTAAAGAGAGCTAACTGAATTAGAGAGAACCAATGGGCCTGGGAGGCCATCATCCTGCAGCCCAGATGAAGATGTCCAGGCCAGCAGCTAGCTGTGCCTCCCCAAGGGCTCCTTATAGAAGTTCTTTTTCTGTTAGCACGGTCCCTGTTACATCTGCTGCCACAGATCTGAGATTGTTTTGCCAACAGCTCTTTGACCTAAGAAAGACCTAACTTCAAGTCAAACTGAACTGTTAGCTCAGTTACAAGTGGTCTCAGCTGTTTCAGAATTTCTGGAGCTTAATAAAGGCAGACTAATGTCATCCTACATCCCACTCCACTTGATTTAGTCTGAAAAGTCCACTTACCCCTCCTTTTCTGACTTTATCTCACTTTGTGTACAAATATGTGAAAATATATGCAAATACTATGCTTGTAAAGAGGGATAGATATTTGAAAATACACACATAAATATTTATAAAGTCCACTATCCTCAAAATCCTAGAGGCCAGTAGCATAAAATCATGTTGGTAAAACATATTAGAGTTCATATCCAAGCAAAATAATTTACTGATATTGAACTAGAAGTTTCATTAAAAAGAGCTAAAACAATATACTGATAGCTTCATTTCTTTTATTTCTTGATTTCATCATTTGTCTCATTCGTTTAAATTTTATCAAATTAGATATCCAAAATTGTTGACATTCTTTTAAAAATAAGTGTAAGCATTTCATTATAACTTGTAATATATTTTCTCTTTTTCTGAGCCACTGTAGGCAGTCATTATTTGTTGACTGCATGGAAAGATGAATAATTAACAAATGTCAAAATGCTCATATCGAAAGTTTGTCTTCATTCTTTGAGCAACCTTATTGACTATGAGAAATAGAAATAGAATGTAAATTTAATACACACAGAATGGTCATCAAAGGAAAGGTTTTAAACCTATGTTTCCCAGGGCTAGCTAGTAGTTAACCTAATTGCACTTAAGGGTTGGGGAAATTTAATAATGAGAGAGAAGATAAGAAACTATGGAAGGTCTACTGAATAGTGGAAGAAAGTTATTCTGCAGTGATATAATTTCGAAAAGAACAAGAACTTGCAAAGAAAGACAGTTGAATTATGTCAGTACGATTGATACAGAAAAGCTGGAATTTTAAGGCAGGACTCATGTTGCCAGTAAAGAAAGAAAACTAACTCTATTAGTGTATCTGTGCATGCAGAGGGAAGTGGCCAATGCCAACCCAGGCCTCTATAAAATATGAACATAATGAGTTTTTCAAACATTAATGCGCACATGAATCACCAGGAATCTTGTTCAAAATGCAGATTCTGATTCAGCAAATCTGGGGAAGATGCTACATTTCCAACAAGCTTTCAGATGATACTCATGATGCCGGTTCATGGATTATACGTTGTGTAACCAAAAAAGTAGTTTCCTCACAATAAAGGAAGATCCAGGTAAGGAGTGTGCCTCTACCGATGAATATAGTTGTGTATTCAGTTTGTTTTTGTGTGTACATGCATACACAAAGGGTTCATTTTACAGTTGAATTCTCAACCAGTCCTTTTGTTGCCATTTTAAAACCCTGAGTTCACTACCTGAGATATTTTAAAGAAAAGGCATGTGACATTTGATCCTTATCATGAAGTTCATGAAGTCTGATAGCTTAACCAGGTAAGCAACCTTTTCATATCAACCCCATTTACGGTAAAAAGGGAATGCAGCGGATGCAAAGTCTTAGGAAAATTACAAATTCTCTGAGTACCAACTACATACTCTATGAATTGTGACTATTTGCCTTGCCTCTCTTGAATCCTTGTTCCTCTAATTCTAGCAGTGTAACTGGAAAAGTTCCTTAATCACTATGAACCTCAGTTTCTCTTTTAAATTATGGACAGAATGCACACTTTTGAGAATTAAACTGGCTAACATACATCAAACATACCTCACAATCTTTGGCACAGTATGGGTTTTGACTAAATGACAGTGTTTTAAATACTAATAAAATAATCAAATATGATCATTTTCTCAGGGACTAGACAAGTTTCTACTATTGTTATAACTCTAAAGTGAGTCTTTTTGCTATGGGTTTGCCTGAAGATAACTACAAAGCTCTCCATTCCAATATTTATTCTTATCTGTCACCTTGTTTAATTCTATTCATTGTCTCTTCTTACTAAGAGGTTTACTATTCAAGCCTAAAAATGTCCTTATAAAATATCATTCTTTATTATTCCAATAACTCAGAAATGTAGGTCAAGTAAATACAAGTGGTGTGTGAAATGAAGCCTTGAGAGTTTATAGTGCTACTTACCAAATAGTCAAACATCGTTAGTGTGATCATAATGGCCTGGAGCAGCCAACCTACGTTTGGAACAATGCTTTTTTTTTTTTTCTTCCACTTTGCAGCAATTACTCTGTGGGGTACAGGGAAGACTTTTTTTTTTTTTTTTTTTTTTTTTTTTTTTTGAGAGGAGGAGCCTACCACTTGCCGTATCTACTTTCATGTGGTATAATTTGGTTGTTTTTCTTCTGGTCATTATTGTAAGATAAGGCTATAATAGAACTACAAGTAATTAGAGTATTTGCTATGCATTATGGGCTTCCGGATCCCTTAAGAAATATAATGAATCTGCTATACACACTTACAAATAGATGGAATCAATACACAGTGGAATCTCAAAACTCATTTCATGCTAGTTTTGTTTAGAATTTGTGACTTATTGGATACAGGTCTGACTGAAGTTTGCTTTTGCATCATTCGTGAAAGATAAAATCCTTGTTCAGCAATTTAACAAAGTCACTTACCTTCCTTAAAAACCATATTATTATTAAGGCATTTTGAATGGGTCCAGGGGGATAGAGTATGTTTATCACCAACACTGCTATCAGTTTGCTCCAGCAGAACTTGCAGATCTTCCTTAACTATATTGTCAATGTGCATTCTTGAATATTACAAAATAAATTTCAAAGCGTCATACATTGTATCTTTATCAAGAACTTGCTTTGGGAGAGCAGAGAGCTGAACACTGCTGGGTAATCTGTTAAATTAGGTGATCTTATAGTTTGAGGAACTTAGTTTATGGAAGAACTTGAGCTTTCATTTACACAAACAGAATTTTGTTCCCATTAAAATTATTTTGTGAAATACCAACATACCTGAAATTCAAGCACCAGTAATTGATCTAGTTACTATATTCAAATGTACTCTTTACTACTTCAATACAACCAAAAGATTAAATGCAATATAAATATTGTATTTGCAGCTTAAAGCTATCACTTATCCTGTTTGGGTTGACAGATGCTGTGATAATGCGAAGGACACTCATGAAATTTACATTATTGTGTTTGTAGTGACTGAACATTATCTTAGGAAATACTAGATTATATTATCATTTAATATTATGAATATTAATATTACATTCATGTGTATCTATTTATAACATTAGTATGTGTATGTACAAATATACATATATACACTGTTAATTTAACAGGTTGTAAACATATGTAGAAAAATAGTTTTATTTTGATTTTATAAATCTGGTATTAAAAAAAAACACTGGGCTGGGCGCAGTGGCTCACGCCTATAATCCCAGCACTTTGAGAGGCCGAGGCAGGCAGATCATCTGAGGTCAGGAGTTCGAGACCATTCTGGCTAACATGGTGAAACCCCGTCTCTTCTAAAAATACAAAAAATTAGCTGGGCATGGTGGCGTGCACCTGTAATCGCAGCTACTTGGGAGGCTGAGGAAGGAGAATCACTTGAACCCAGGAGGTGGAGGTTGCAGTGAGCCAAGATCGCACGATTGCACTCTCTGTCTTGGGCAACAGGAGTGAAACTCCATCTTAAAAAAGAAATACTCGCCAGGTTTTATGAGGGCACCGCTATTGATCTACGGATATTGTTCTCAAACTGGTTTGCATCATACTCAACTGGAGCAAGGGCTCATTAAAGGTTTCGGGACCTCAGTTTCTGATTCAGTAGGTATGGGGTGGAACCCAAGACATCTGCATTTTCAACAAGTCCCAGGTAATGCTGATGCTGCTGGTCCTACCACCACACTTGAGATCCACTGCTATAGAGTAACTTGTTTTGGCATAAATAGTAGCTAGATGTTATTTTGCCTCTTTTCCCTCCATTTTAGCAAATATTTACAGAATTTAATGCCGTGCTTTTATCAATATATTCTTTAAATCAATAATTAGAATCATCAGGTAGTGATTAAAATACAAAGGCCTGCCTAGGGCCCACATCTTTGGGCTTAAGATAGGTCCAAAAATTTCTTATCAGTGCCTATTAGAATGAAATGAGGAGACTTAAAAAATACCAAGGCCAGGCTGCACCCAATACCCATTATCTTAGTCGATTTGTGCTACATAACAGAACACCTGACACTTGGTCACTTATAAAGAAAACTACCTTGAGGTTGGAGAGAAGTCTGGAGGCTGAAAAGTCCAAGACACTGAGATACGGTGTCTAGTGAGGGCCTTGCTGCATCATTACATGTTAGAAGGGAGGGGGGCAAAATGGAGATAAACACTGTGTCCTCACATCACAGAGAGCAGAAGAGAGTGCACCCACTCCCACAATCCCTTTTATAGTGGCATTAATCCATTATTGAGGTCAAGAAGCCTCATGACCTAATCATCTCCCATTAGGCCTCGTCTCCTGACACTGTTGCATTGGAAATTGATTTTTTAACACATGAATTTGGAGGGATACATTCAGACCTTAGCACCCATTAAATCAAAATCTCCAGAGGTGGGACTCAGGCCTCACCTCTCCAGGTGATTCCATTGTGCAGCCAAGGCTGAGAACTAATCAGTAGATTTGGGAACTGCTACTTTAGGAGTCTGTATTTCAAAGCAGGTTCTCCTGCTCTCTACCTGTGAGGAGTGCAGTAATCATGAAAATCATCTGTCTCTGTCAAGATTGCGTCTTGATTTACTCTATTTGCATCTTGTATTTACTCTATTTATGTTTACATTTCTAGTTTTTAACTGTTTATAAATGTTGCCCTGGGAATACATACATTTTGATGACTACTTTTAAATGATTTGCCATTTTATTAGCTTATATTAATGCCTTTCAATGTCTCAATGCCAAGAGGCAATATGTTTTAGTAGGAAAAGTAAAAAAAAAAAAAACCTCAACCAGTCTTTTTAGTCAGTTTTGAGACCTTAAGCCAGAGCTGTCCAACAAAGCATTCTAAGATGATAGAAATGTTCTCTATCTAGTCACATGTCACTCTTGAACACTTAAAATGTGGCTGGTGCACCTCAGAAACTGAACTTTATATTTTGTTTACTTCTAATTTAAATTTACACAACCACATATGGGTAGTGGCCACTATATTGACCAGTACAGCCTTAAACAAGAAACTGAACCTAGCACAAAACTGGCCTGCAATAGTAACAGTAACTAAAATATATGCATATATGTATGTATGTGAAGATTTAGTATTTGCTAGGTTCTGTGTTAAGAAATGTACAAGCATTTTTTCATTTCACTATCATGAGCAGCAGTTGGCAAACATTTTCTGTAGAGTCAGAGAGTATTTTAAGCTCGTGCACGATGCAGTCTCTGTTGCAATTTTTCAACTCACTTATTGCACTGAAAGCATCCATAGACAATCCATATACAAATGGCTATGGCTGTGTACTAATAAACATATATTTACAAAAGAGGCAACAGGAAAAATTTTGCCTATGGGCCATATTTAAAGACCCCTGCTCATGATAATTCTATGATTTTATGAATGAGAAAATAATAGGGGAATGTGAGTATATAGCTACTCTAAGCAAGGGTCTCACTGCTACTACAAGCACTTGCTTTAACATTCCCCTTTCCACTTCTGGTTAACATTTTATTTGAACCAAAGCAGGCATCTTCTTCACATGAATCATCCTTAATAAGAAATTCCTTCCTTCCATTTTCTTCCTCGTCATCTATTCAGAGACAAATGTTTTTGTACTATTACCATATCTACCAGTTTAATGTGCTGGTCAGCTGAGACACTGTGGGACAATTCTTGGTTCCAACCATTGGACACAGTGGAGAGTTATTACACAGCAATTAAACATGTAAAGCGTATTAGTTCACATATGTAAATTAGATAGAAAGTAAAAACTATTTTCCAGCATCTAAATAAGTTAGAAGATAATATGTTTGTACCTGAACAGAGCACAGTATTTTCAATTACAATAATACTTTCTTTGACTGAATTCTTATTGCATTGTGGACATGTTATCCATCTGTTACATGGACACTCGAGGCAAATTGTGCCTTCCTGAATTAGACCCTATTTTCAGAGGTGAAATTTTATGCTCTCTCATATTCTACAGATTGCCTAAAACACAGAACATTATAATGCTGCAACATCAGCTGGCAGGAATTACGGAAAAAACAACATTCATTTTGTTTCTGTTTCACTGGGAGTTTATTTTTTAAACTTACAGCGTCGGTTTTCCCTTCTACAAAAGTTGTATGCTGCATAACAATGTTTCGAGGGACCAAGAAACAACGTTATACAAACTCATTAGCACGTAGATTAAGCCAATAGAAAGAGATCATTTTATCATTTCATTTAAAAACTATCTTCCATGGCTAATGTGTTGGTATATTTTGACAGGGCAGAGATACAATGTCAAATAGCATAACATTGGGATGGGACCGAAAATCCTCTTCAGAGGCGGACATAGGTATTCCAATAGAGTTATCAAAATAAGTTTTTGTAGCAGTATATGTATTAACTAATGTCCCACACCAAACTTCAAATGTAATATCTTACAACATGTGATCCCCACCGCTCATCAGCACATCTTTCCTAAAGTGGGAATATATATTGCATTTAGAGAGTAACCTTGATACTGTCAGGCTTCAATAAATGCTGCTGAGAGCAGAAGGTCAGTAAAGCCCACTAAGTTGAACAGGCACCATTAAACTATTTCTGAGGGATCAATAATGAAAAATTGACAAGCTAAATACAGGCTTAAAATGTATTACATGTTCTAAGTGATGCAGTTAGAGGAACTCTAAGAGAAAAAATAGCGTAACACAGTTAGCTTTTACTGCAACATAAGATGAAAAATAAAATATTTTATGAACTGTATTAATTAGTTAATGCCACCTATTTGGAGTACAGATTAGAATCTTATACTATAAGACAGAAAATTAAGCCTGGAGCCAATCTAAGATAGCATTTAAATAAGCTTCTTGCAAAAGTGGTATTAGAAGTAGTTCAATAAAGTAGGTGTGGTTCTCTTAAACATAGAATTGCAAATTAACAATAGGGCATTCTTTTAACTTAAAACTGGTAAGATTAAAATTGATTAAAGAAGGTTTTTTAAGTAGATAAAACTCATAAAAAGATATATTTTTATATCCCACTGTGGATTTTTTTTTAAAAAACAACTTTCTCAAATCTGCAAAATCCTCATTCTCATTGTTAAATTTGAACAGTAATTCCAAAAATATACACTAATATATACACTAAAAATGTATAACTGCAGATTTAAGGAAAAAATTGTATATAAATGCTTCAGGAATTATTTTTCCCACACAGAATGTCTATGTTCTTCCTGACCAATATCATAATTGTCAACAAGCATGGCTTGACTGTTTTAACCTGTTTTGATCAGCTATAATTTAAAACATCCAGGCATTCAAGGCAGGGAATACAGAGATTGAGCAGTTGTTCCCCAACATGTCTTTTTATTTAGATGTTAGCCCTAAGGTAAAGGGCAGGCCCTAGCTGTGGTTTCACCATACTAACAGTAAGATGTGATTCCAGACATGGATGCTCTTCTACCCAGTGTGGCTCATTTGAATTATCCGTGAACAAATCAATCCTTGCGGCTACTTATCTTCAACATGTACGTAAACGTGATTCATGTAAGAAGCAGTAGTATTACAATGTATCTGATCTCTGATTTTAAAATACAAGCTGAGATTCATATTTATGATCAATAAATGTCTTACTGTATGGTATCTTAATTTCTATGGCCCAATCAGCCACGCAAACCTTGTATTCAAATGGCCAACTGTTATCAATCTTTGGTATGCATGATAATTTTATAAACACTTTTATAGATAGGTAGATAGGCGTGCGTGTGTGCGTGTATATGTATGTACACCCCATTTCTGCTCTGTGAACTGGCTGTTAGCATGTTCTAGCATACCACTGCTCTGAGTGATTCTGATGTCTGCTCTTTCTTTTGCAATTTTTACATTCAGAATCTGATCAGATCTCATTTATCCATCACTACCATTCTTATCCAAGCCACAGCTCTCAACTCCAGACATGTCTTCCTAGTTGCACTCTTGCTCTCCTTATTTGAAGAGTAGTCAGAAGTAGATTTTTCAGATGTAAAATGAATCATGCCACTTATCTGCTAAAAACTAATAGCTTGTTCTTACAAGCAGAATAACTGCTGCTATCAGGACCTCAAGTTATCTGCCTGAAGACTCTCCCCAACTCTGTGACCTCATCTCTCAGTACAACTCTCTTGCTTGCTTTATTCTGGCAGTATCGGGTCATCTCTAGTCTTTGAGTCACCAGACATGCTGTTGTACCAGGTCCTGTGCACACAGTGCTCCCTCTACCTAGAACATTCTTCCCCACTGTATTTCCCTCACTTTCTCCAGAGATCTGCTCCAATGTCACATTGTCAAAATGATGATCTTTAACCTTGCACTCTCATCACACAGCAATCCATGCAGACACTCCTATCATTTAGACCTTGCTTAATTCTTTACTATAGCACTTGCAACTACCCGAAATATTAATACTATTGAAAATTTAAAATTATGTTTATTGTCTGGTCAGTCCACTAAAGTGTAAACTTCTTGAAGGCAGTAACTTTGTTATATTAATTGCTCCATTTCCATGGTTTTGAAAAGTGACTGGCATATAGTAGGTACTCAATAAATAACTGTTGAACAAATCAATGTATAAAGGAATGATTATCATGATTTAGTAATTTTGTCAATGGTTACACCTTCTATTCTATCTATGCCTCTTTGTGAGAGATTTAATTTGATTAAGATAGCATCCTGAACCAAGTGTTTTCTTTAAGAAAACTGAACTTAGGAACAGTTTTAAAAATTACTCCAGGCCGGGCGCAGTGGCTCACACCTTTAATCCCAGCACTTTCGGAGGCTGAGGCAGGTGGATCACCTGAGGTCAGGAGTTTGAGACCAGCATGGCCAACATGATGAAACCCCGTCTCTACTAAAAATACAAAAATTAGCCGACAGGCGCCTGTAATCCCAGCTACTCAGGAGGCTGAGACAGGAGAATCACTTGAACCCAGGAGGTGGAGGTTGCAGTGAGCCAAGATTGCACCACTGCACTCCAGCCTGGGCAACAAAGAGCGAAACTCTGTCTCAGAAAAAAAAATACCCCATCATTTTATTTAATAATTTTTAAAAAAAGATTTTCTTGTTTAATAAATATACGTATTTTAAAATATGGTTTATATTTTATATCATCCTATTTAAGGTCTTCATTTGTAGAAGTCTTTGTACTTCATATTAGAACAGATCATTTATAAGTTAAAAACACACAAATTACACACAAAAACAGAACAGAAATTTATTGATGCTCGAGTAATATATGTGGCGACAACTGCCTTTAGCAGTACAGACTTAGTAAGGTTTGTTTCCATTTGAGCATGTTTGAAGTTGCATTTTCTCATAGTGCATGCTACATTATGTTGTAAAGACTTTGAGGTCAAGAACCATCTTTTCTATTATTCTTATATTCCTAGCACTATGCATAACTGGAACTCCATATACACACTTTTTGAAAAATGAAAATCTATTGAATTGAAGATACTGAAGGCATTTTGGATAAGCAAATAAAAACATATTGTTGGTCTTATGTAATAACAACACATTCCTGGTGACAGGAGTTTTAAAATTACAGCCCTTAATCTAGAAGTCTTTGAATTAGATAAGTTTTATATCACTCTTGTACACTTCAATGGTTACCATTAGGTCAGTGAAGTCTTACTATTTAGATGCTGAGACCATAATGAAATGGTTGCCATTTACAATGTGGCAAAATGGCCTGAAAGAAATAGAGTTTGCTGAGCTTGCAAACCTAAACTTCTGAAGGGATAAAAGCATCAAAAAACATAACAATCTGTCTTCAGCAAATTTCCCAGCCGCTACAATGCTGTTTTGATAACACACTCCCTCTAAAGATGTAATTGTATACATACAATTTAGAGTATTAAGGGTATACAGTTGATAATGTTACCATTAATAAAAGAGGTGCCACAAAAACAGTTTTAACTAGTATTTATAGTTCAATGGCTTTGGTGTGCATCCAAGACAGGATGACACAACTGTTACCACTATTTCGTGCCAGTCGATTTATGTACAAAGAAAGCACATACCCAGATCAAGTCAAGGTTCGGCATCATATAATAAAATTTAATTCTCTCTTTTAAGGTTTATCTTTATTGGTACAAGTGGATTTTATAAACTTTAAATATTTTTTGAATGATAAAGAATATATGTTACAGGTAGATAGCTAGATGATGGAAAGATAAAGCTATGGATTTGATATATGAACATAGATATATAAGTGTATAAGTGTGTTCATGCAGCATACAATGTACTATTAAGTGGTTAACATACAGAATCATATGTTATAACATTCAACATCACAGTGACCACATGGGCGGTATATTTTTAAAGTTAGTTTACAGATAAATAAATCTCATCAATTTAAATGGATTATCCAAAGGCACACAGGAAGTGGCATAGCCATGATATAGTCTCAGCTCTTTTCCTGTTCTCACATATAATACTCTACATTTTTTCTATGTATCTACTTATTGCCATATTTTCTCTTTCTTATTGTGGTAAAAACACATAACTTGATATCCACCTTCTTTCCTTTTTAGGTGTACAGTATGGTATTCTTAACTATAAGCACTATGTTACACAGCTGATCTGCAGAACTTTTGCATCCTGTGTGACTGAAATTGTATACCTATTGAACAGAAACTTCCCATTTCTGCCTCCGCTTAGGACCTGGAAACTGCCATTTTACTTTCTACTTTGATGAGTTTGACCACTTTAGATAACTTCTGTATGTAGAATCATGCCGTATTTGTCCTTTTGTGACTGGTTTATTTCACTTAGCATAACGTTTTCAAGGTCCATCTATGATGTCACATATTACAATATTTCCTTCTTTTGAATGGCCAAATAATACTTCATTGTATGTGTATACCAGATTTTCTTTAACTATTTTTCTCTCCATGAATGTTTAGGTTGTTTGCACTTCTTGGCTATTGTGAATAATGCTATTATAAAATCAACATGAGTAAGCAAGTATCTCTTCAAGATCCTGATTTCATTTTTTTTTTTGTATAAATACCCAGAATTAGAATTGTTAAATCATATGGTAGTTCTATTTTTAACTATTTTGGTGAAACCTCTATACTATTTTTGACAGAAGATGCACCATTATACATTCTCACCAACAGCACACAAGGGTTCCATTTTTTCCATATTCTTGCTATCACTTCTTCCTTTTTGCTTTTCTTTTTTTAAATAATGGCCATCCTAACAAGTGTAAACAATATTTCATTGTGGTTATGATTTGCATTTTTCTGATGTTTAATGATGTTGAGCATCTTTTAATATACTTACTGGCAATTTGTATGTCTTCTTTGGAAAAATGTTTAATCAAATCCTTTGCCCATTTCTTAACCAGGTTATTTGTTTTGAATTTTTGTTATTGAGTTGTAGGAATTTCTTAAATTTTTTAGATATTAACTCCTTATCAAATATATGGTTTGCAAATATTTTCTCCCACTCTGTATTGCCTCTTCATCTGTTGATTGCTTTACTTGGTATGCAAAAGCTTTTTAGTTAGATGTATTCCCACTTGATCATATGTATGTGGGCTTTCTATTCCTTTCCACTGATCCATGTGTCTGTCTTTAAAATGGCACCATACTCTTTTGATTACTGTAGCTTTGTAATATGTTTCAAAATCAGGAAATGTAGCTTTGTAATATGTTTCAAAATCAGGAAATGTGAGGTCTCTAGCTTTGTTCTTTTTCAAGATATTTTATGGCTATTTGTGGTCCTTTGTGATTCTTTTGAAATTTTATAATTTTGATTTTCTATTTCCGTAAAAAATGTTATTGAGATTTTAATTGAGATTGCACTGGATCTGCTTTGGGAAGTGTGGACATTTTAACAATATTAAGTATTTCAATTCATGAACATGAGATGCATTTCCACTTGTTTGTTTGTTCTTTAATTTCTTTTAGCAAAGCTTTATAGTTTTCAGCATATAAGGCTTTGTGTTCTTAATTAAGTTTATTCATAAGTATTTTATTATTTTGATGCCTTTTTTTATTTTGATGTTATTTAAAATGGGATTATTTTCTTAATTTCCTTTTAGGGTTATTCATTGTTTAGTGTACAGAAACACAACTGATTTTTGTATGTTAATTTTATGCCCTGCAACTTTACTAAATTTACTTATTAGTTCTAACAGTTTTCTTTGGTGTGAAGTACGTATGGTTTTCTACATATTAGACCATGTCATCTAGAAACAGAGATAATTTTACTTTCTCCTTTCCAATATGAATGTCTTTTTATTTCTTTTTTTTAACCTAATTTCTTTGGTCAGAACTTCCAGTGTTTATTTTCATGGTTGCAAAATCTTCCACTGTTTTCCTCATTCCCCTAAATGTAAATTAGATCATAGCCTCCATCAGTTCTTCTTTCATTGTTTTTCTGGCACCCATTTGCTTTGGATCCCACTTTAGTCACCCTTTTATCCTCATATCTTGAATATTAATCTACATTGCTGCTTCAGTTTATACCTTCTGAAGTCACTAAATGTAGCATCTCTAAATACCACTTCAAGCTTCTCTTTACCTGCTAATCCCCCATGTCTTTCAAAAAGTCACTCTACAGTCTTCTTTTCAAAATATATCTGATACTCCAGTGCAAAATGGTCTTAGTGCTGCCATTTGAGTCTCATCTTTCCTTTGCTCAGGTTTTCTCATGTATGCAATACACTCACTTCTCCCTCAACCAGCTCAAACCCAGGCCAGCCTTTGATATCAAACTCCGAGGCCACTCCAAGTAGTGGCAGCCGTGTCATTGCCACCACTGTTGTCATCTTCATTGTGATCATCATCATTCCAGCTCTATTTGTACAGCTCTTATGGAAGCACTACTCAAAGAGTAGATCTGGCAGACCCAGGCTGGTCAGCAAACAATTTCCTACATCCATAGAATAAGATAAGAATTGAAATTGCAACTAGGCATTTAGAAACCTTAATATCAATTTAGGATTGCTGTGACATTCACATGTGGAGATTTAAAAACATCAGTTCTCAATGGATTAGAAATTTAAAATCCAGAAAGAAAAACGAGTTACTTCATCATAGTTGGTTTGAGAAGTACTGCTTTACAGTCTCCCAAAGTATTTTCACACATAATATAATATTCAGTTTAAGCTGTGATATCAGGAATGATATTGTTTGCATCTTGTAAGTGTAAAGCAAGCAAGCAAACAAACAAACAAACAAAAAACCTGAGGGATAGAAAATGTTTGGAATTTTTCAAAACACATATCTTGTAAGTGGTAGAACTTTTTATTCCAAATCTGGTGTGTTTTTTTTTTCTGTCCTATTGCTTATCTATTAGGGGTGCCTCAGAGTAACTGTCTTCATTCAGCCTGGTCAAAACGGTATGGATATAATCATTTTGGGATGATTTAGGGATCACTAGAGAGCCACTGACTGCCTGTGAGTTTTATCTGTTAACACAACTTAATCTAGTATTTGTCTTCAAGAAAATGAAAAATTATATATAATATATATATTCTTTTGACTAAGAATGACACTAAAGGCTGACTTACTTTCTCATGTTTTCATTTAACCCTTCAATCAACTGACATTTATTACGTTTATTGAGCACCTACTATGTCTCATGCCTTGTGCTCAGTGCTGGGTAAATATGAAGAACAGAACAGCTTTTCCATAATGATTTCATGGATAGAAAATAGTACAGGGGTTAGAACAAGTTTTCTTATATTTTTGATT
This sequence comes from Homo sapiens, assembly GCF_000001405.40. Lineage (NCBI taxonomy): Eukaryota > Metazoa > Chordata > Mammalia > Primates > Hominidae > Homo > Homo sapiens. Next base: position 21,876,700 of record NC_000003.12, read on the forward strand.
TTTTTTTTTACCAATTAAAGTTATCCAAAACTCAATTTTCCTGTTTTGTAGTACAAAATCTTTGAAAGAATTCCATCTAATGTGAAAATAACATTCTGTACAGCTTCACCCTGCTGCAAGCTACTAAGCATTAGCTTCTGTCTAAATGTTCTTTCTTTCTCTAATTGCTTTCTTTAGGATCACTAATCTTCCAAAGAATCATTGTTTACATTATGTGTTTGCCCATTAAGCAGAGAAGCACTTCTTTCCACACTTTTCCCATTCCAAGGAAGGATTAAGAGCAACTGTTAACACAATTAAAGCTCAGTTTAATTTCTATGATCCATTTGCTTTTGCAGTAAAACACCATTACTGTGAACCCCTAGAGGGTTGTAACTACCATGGGATCAGGTTTATTCGCCTGCCCTAAGTGACCTGTACAGGAAAAAGGCAAAACTTACCATGTGGAACACCAAAACACTGAGACTCGATAAACAAGGTCATTTCAGATACTCTTTCTGTTTGCATAGGAATGGGCATTTTCATAACTACCCTGCTTTGGCTCTGTATGAAACTGAGCACCAACCCAGCAAACACTGTACCCAAACATCGATTACAGCCTGAAGTAGGGCCTCAAAAGCACAGTGGCCTGGAATTTTGATCCACTAAGGAAATCAATTCAAGAGCAGATGCCCTCAATATATGACCCATTCTCTGAGACTGTGATTCTAGGGAGCACGCACATTCCCAGAAACGTGTTAGATTAGAAGGATGACAGCAGTGTCACACACACTTTGGTAGTTATTTAAAGTTAATTAATTTAACCTGACCTTTCCATATAAATATAAGGCACAATAGACGACTGGTGGTAATTGATTCTGGAGAGCCTCGGAAATGGTTCAAGGAAAACACAGCTGTGCTGTATAGCAGTTCTTGTTTGCTCTGGATTATAAACTATTTTTAGTACTTAGTTAATAAAGCTAATTTTCTTAAGGGGCCTGCAGTGAAATGTGTGAGCTGCTATGTCAGATGCTGATAGAATTGGGATTTGTAATGGACGAACCTAAGAAAATTAACTCCACCAATGCGGACTCACTTTTAGAGCTGAGGCATCAGCGTACCTGCTTGTAGAGATATCTAATCAAAGTAATCAGAATCTATTTTATGGTTTTCCACAATAAATTTATTTGGGAAGTTACAGATGAACTTCTTCAATACATCTGTTATCTCTATTTTATGTGTTGATATACTATTAATTTTAATTACAACAGCAATGAAGATTTCATGATAAAATGATAAACAACTTATATTAAGTGCTATTTGTAAGTACCTTAAATATATTCTTCCATTTTAAGATGCTGATCTTTTCCCATTTTGACATCTTTGAAATTGATGGTGTATCATAACATTGCATCTTCGAACTGATGACATCTTAGGTTCAGTAAAATATAGTAACTGATGCAATCCTCTAGGCAACTTCCTGAGGAGATATTATTACTACGTCTTACACATGAGGAAACTAAGGTATAGAGAGATCTTAAGTAACTTATCCAGGTGATGTAGCTCATAAAAACGAGAGTTTGGATTTGAAAGCAAGCAGTCTGACTGTGGATTCAAATTCTTAATTACTATGAGATATTGTCTCATGAACTCATTTAAATACAACTCAAGTGCCATGTGAGCAAGCCTGTTTCATAAGGAACTCCCTACTATCAGTTTCATGAGTGCTACAGCAGTATGAAGGCATTAATATGCGTAAAAAGAAAAATTAGTATTGTTTTGTGTATGTTTACAGAAAAGTGTATCATACGTTGAAAATCTATTTTGTGTTTTCACTCACTAATATCTGCATGAAGTCCTTATTTTTCAACTTTTATTTTAACAGCTGCATAGTATTCCACTACATGACTGCACATGTAAGCAATTTTCATGCTTCCATGTTTCCATTGTTATAAACAGCACTGTAATGAAACATATTTAAATGCTCTCATTGAAACAAGTGATTCTTTCTCTAGGTAGGTTCCATGAAGTGGAATTTCTGAGTCATGGATGTGCTTCTATTTTCTATTGAGAAGATTTAAATATTTTAGCTGTAACACGACATGCCTGTCATATAGCATTTTGTTACTAAGATTAGCAAGTTATTTTCAACTATATATCACAGCAGTTATTTATCAAGCACATTTGAAGTTCTTTTTTGCATTTATGTGGGAAAGACCTTATAAAACAATTTTTATTTAGGTTCATACAAACCCTAAAGCTATTTTATAAAAAGAGCCATGTACATTTGGAGAGCAGGAGGGTAGGACAGAACTTGCTGCCAACAGTAGTTCTCTTGTGATACACTACCAGAAAAAATATGTGCCTTTGTTATTTTTCATCATTTGAATACTTCTCAAGTTTGTAAAACACATCAAGATAGAAACACTTTGCTTGTCTTGAATGACATTAACAAGGAAACAAATGATATGAAAATTTACCTCTTGTTGAATTTTTAAAAATCATGAATGGAAAAAAAATCCTGTGTTTGTCATGTTCTTTAAGTACAATGAGTTTAGTCCTCTTGACTCCAAAGTGTTTGTTTTCATAAATGATTTCTGCCAAACTAGTGTTGTCTAAGTGACAGACTGTCTTCTCTAGAGAGGACACATGGGATCCGTTTATTGCCATCTCTGGGATTAGAGTGCTGGCTCTCAGCTACTTTTGCAGATGCTTCTTGTCTTTGTTCTTAATATAGTTGTTTAGCATTAAGAACAGTTATGTCATCAAAACACCTAATACGAATAGCAAGACTGTACTCTTGAAGTGGTGTAGGCTTTTGTGTATTAGCTGATCTGCTGTAAACTTCCTTCTTCAAAGGCAGGAAGCTATTAAGATGAATTTATTACTATAGGTATGAAGTCCTCACACATCCTAAATACAACGCTTTTCTCACCGCTGTTGTAATATGCCACAGCACTTCAATTAAAAAATAGTCACAGAGGTCAGGAATCACTAAACATAAAATAAGCAGCTGTCTCTGAGCCGCTAGGCGCTTCATTGAAAAGGGCACCAGAGAGTCCTCATTTGGAGAGTTACATAAAAACTTCAGCTTTGGAGGATGCATGACTATATAACACTACAGTTGGTTTTATAAGGTCATCCCTTTAATATTACAATGAATAGGAGAAAAGCGTGGACAGTCATACTTTTTTAATGGTTTCATCTTTCAAGGAAAAGAATGTGCAAGTGGGGGAACAAACTCTTCTTTCATGTAATCTCAAAATGTTAAATCAGTCCACCAAATTAGAGTCTGGCCACAATTTGTCTCTCCCTGGCATCATTAAAGCTAATAAATGCAATTATTTTTTAAATATGTAAAAATACTATGGGTATGCAAATAGCATGCAAATTAAGCCAAATGAAGTATTTCAAATGACATTATGGTTTCCTACCTTGGCCTTTTTTAAAGGTTCCAGAAGCATAAAATGACTATAAAAGAATGATTTTGTTACAAAAAAAGTGATCTAGATCAGTAGGATCAGCCTCACTTATGAGCACTGCGTTAGAAACAGTTATACCTCATTTTATTGCACTTTGCTTTACTGTGTTTCACAGATACTGTGTTTGAAGGTTTGTGGCAATGCTGTGTCAAGCTTCTATTGGCACCATTTTTCCAACAGCATGTGCTCACTTCGTGTTTCTGTCACATTTTGGTAATTCTTGCAATATTCAAATTCTTTCACTGTATCTGTCATGTTGATCTGTGATCAATGATCCTTAATGTTACTATTGTAATGGTTTTGGGGCACCATAAACTGTGCCTATAAGAGATGGCAAACTTCATTGATAAATGTTGTGTCTGACCTTTCTATCCACCGGTCGACCCATGTCTCTCTCCCTGTCCTTCGGCCTCCCTATCCCCTGAGACAAAATAATGTTGAAATTAATTTAATTACTAACCCTACAATGGCCTCTAAGTGTTCAAATGAAAAGAAGATTTGCACATTTCTCACGTTAAGTCAAAAGCTAGAAATGATTAAGCTTAATGAAGAAGGCATGTCAAAAGCTGATACAGACTGAAAGTAGGTCTCTCCTGCCAAACAGTTAGCAATGTTGTGAACGCAAAGGAAAACTTCTTGAAAAAAATGGAAAATGCTACTTCAGCAAACACATGAATTATAAGAAAGCCAAACAGCCTTATTGCTGATACGAAGAAAGTTTTGGTGGTCTGGATAGAAGATTAAACAAGCCACACCATTTCCTTAAAGCCAAAGCCTAATCCAGAGCAAAGCCCTAACTCTGTTCAATTCTGTGAAGGCTGAGAGAGGTGAGGAAGCTGTGGAAGAAAAGTCTGAAGCTAACAGGGGTTGGTTAATGAAGTTTAAGGAAAGAAGCCATGTTCATAACATAAAAATACAAGGTGAAGCTGCAAGTAGTGATGTAGAAGCTTCAGCAAGTGATCCAGAAGACTTAGCTAAGGTCATTGATGAAGGAAGCTACAGTACACAACAGATTCTCAGTGTAGACAAACAGCCTTACATTGAAAGAGGATGTCATTTAGGACTTTCATAGCTCTAAGGAAGTTAGTGCCTGGCATCAAATTTTCAAAGGACAGGCTGACTCTGTTGGGAGAGGCTAATCCCATTGGCGACTTTAAGTTGAAGCCAGTGCTCATTGACCATTCCAAACATCCTATGCCCTTAAGAATGATGCTAAATCTACTCCACCTGTGCTCTATAAATGAAACAACAAAGCCTGGATGACAGCACATCTGTTTACATATTGATTTACTGATTATTTTAAGTCCACTGTTGAAAACTACTACTCATAGAAAAAGATTCCTTTTAAAATATTACTGTCCATTGACAACATACTGGCCACCCAAGAGCTTTAATGGAGATGTACAAGGAGATTAATGTTGTTTTAATGCCTGCTAACATAAGATGCATTCTGCAACCCATGAATCAAGGAGTAATTTTGACTTTATAGTATTATATTTAAGAAAAACATTTCACAAGGCTATAGTTGCCATTCTAGTGACTCCTCTGATGGATCTGGGCAATGTAAACTGAAAACCTTCTGGAAAGGACTCATCATTCTAGATGCCATTAAGCATATTCACAAATCATGGGAGCAGGTAAAAATATCAACATGAACAAGAATTTGGAAAAAGTTGATTCCAACCCTCATGGATGACTGAGCACTTCAAGATTTCAGCAGAGGAAGTAACTGCATATGTGATGGAAATAGTAAGAGAACTAGAATTAGAAGTGGAGCCTAAAGATGTTACTGAGTTGTTGCAATCTCAAAATAAAACTTGAATGGATCTGGAATTGTTCTGGGTGAGCAAAGAAAGTGGTTTCTTGAGATGGAATCAACTCCTAGTGAAGATGCTTTGAACATTGTTTGAAATGTCACCAAAGGATTTAGAATATTACATTAACTTAGTTAATAAATCAGTGGCAGAGTTTCAGAGGACTGACTGCAATTTTGAAAGAAATTCTACTGTGAGTAAAATGCTATCAAACAGCATTGCATGCTACAGAGAAATCTTTTGTGAAAAGAAAATGCAGTAAACATCTTTGTCTTTATTTTCAAAAGTTGCCACAGCCATCTCAAACTTCAGCAACCACCATCCTGTTCAGCCAGCAGGCATCAACATCAAGGCAAGACCTTCCACCAACGAAAAGATTATGACTACGTGGTGCTTCAGATGATTGTAAGCATTTTTTAGTAATAAAATATGTTTAAATTGAGATATAAAACATTGTTGTTTTATACATGATGCTATTGCAAACTTAATAGACTATAGTACAGTATAAACATAACTTTTATATGCACTAGAAAACAAAAAATGTGTGTGACTCTCTTTATTGTGATATTTGTTTTATTGTGGTTGTTTGGAACTTGAACTTGCACTAACTCTGAGTCGTGCCTGTACAGAAGCTTGGGAAACATCCCAGAACTTGTAAATCAAAATTTGCATTTTAACAAGATCCCCTGATTCTCAGACATTATAGTTTGAGAAGCAATGCTCCCGATTCTCAAACATGATAGTCTGAGAAACAGCTAGTAATAATTTAGCTTTCAATTTTCATTAGACCATGTACATGAGCAGTTGCAACACAGTTTTGATTAGCTAATTATGTAGAGTTTTTTTATGAAGAGCATAGCTACTTGAGCACTTTCCCAGTTTCTCCACTTTTCCTCAGAAATTGTACTTACATTCTTTAGATGAAGGTAAAAAGCAATTAAGATGATTATGCTAATAGTAATTGCATTTAGAATATTTACTCTGGAGAATAGTATATAATTTGACTCCTCACTATTGAACAAACCCTCATTAAAATATCATTCTGAGAAAATATTGATGCTTATTTGGAGGTGACAGATTTATGCTTTGTCTCCTACCACTTTAAGAAGTGTACTAAGAAAACAACACATATCATCTTATGGGTTAGTTTGTATGCAGATAAGACTATTATCTATTTTGTTCAAAGTTATGACAATGTCTTGGTAGCTTGTCTTCTCATCAAGAGCTCAATTTTTTTATTATGTGATTATTTGATCTGTAAGAATTTGTGCCTAGGAAAAATTCAAATTGACTTATAAACTTAAAGATTTATATTAATATTTTTTAAAATAATTTATCTCAACATAAACCAACAAATTTCTTTCCCCTCAAAAAATAAAAATAAAACTAAATGATTTTTCTAACCAGACAAATGTCTCACCAAATTGACTAAATCAGTTACATATTCTGGGCCTTCATTTTTCACATCTATAAAATAAGATTTTGCCTGATCATGAGGGTTTATGATATATATTCTGATATAAACATTTGTTATCATGTGAATCTACCATTCATCCTTGGTCATGCTATTTCATGAAGTGAATAAACACATACAATTTGACAGCGTTTCCCAAGATTCCTGAAGCTTGGAATGACATAGGTTTAAAGAAATTTGCTGGAAATGATGAGAAATGCGTTTTGTTGATGCACGATGCTGCCTGCACAGCAAATAAGGCATATTCACTACAGAAAGGAAAGTCATTTCATTTTTGTTACATTCCATCAGATTGCTGCACATATAAGGCTAGAATTTATGTATGTGGAAAATGGGATTATTTAGGCAATGCACATTATTATCATGGAAGTTCTTTCAGCAGCTAATGTAGACTGAACTACATATCAGAACAATCGGTCTGAGACTGAGACATGCTACGACATCTCATCCGTTTCACTCTCTTCAGCAGGAAACCATATCTACTAAGTCGAATTTCTTGTCTTTCAAAGGGAATCGGTTTGTGCACCATTTTGTGATATCCTTAGTGTATGTTATGAGAGGGTTGCTAAGGCTTTTAGAGCTGACATGTAGCATAACACACACAATATAAATGCGGATGGTTTGCAAAGAAAAGGGAGACATAGGATAAGACATATCTGATTGCTTGTTACCATTTTGCAAGAAATAATTAGGATCACTAAGTTTGGAACCTGAAATCTATTTTTCCATAGAAATGATATTATAAATGATAATTATATTCTCCAGTCAATTGAGAAATTCCTTTTCAACCCAGAATGTTGTTAAACTGAAATTATCAGGCACTTAGCACAGAGTGTGCCTTGCAAACAGTAGACAACTCTGAAAGTAGCCTTGCCTAAGTAAATCACCATCCCTTCGCTGGAATTGTTATCTGAGTGCTTCTCCTAATGTCTATCTGACATCTAACTTTCTATCCAATATTTATCCCCTAGAATAGTTGTGTGGCCTCAACTCTGCTATTAAGTTGGTTCTTGACCTTGGCTAGTGGTATGTTAGAGCCAGCTTGTAAGGGCTCAAAAGAGCTAATTTTTAAATGTTCAGAAATTGTATAAGCCAAGTTTTCAACACAGCCAACATTAAAAAATTAATTACATATCCTTGCAATTATACTAAAAACACAGGCAATAAATGGCCAGAACTCAACGGTTCTTATTTTACTACATTTTACTATCATCTGTTCTCTAAAGTTTATTTGTGTGTATTTCATCTGTACAGTGGAAATACTATATAATTGTGTGCTAACGCATAGCTTTTTCCAGCTCCAGATCCAGTGACATTATACAGGGAGATTGAAATTGACCATATGGCAATATTTACACGGTGGAAATTGGCAAACATTTTAAATAAAGGTTGATTTATTTGCTTGTTGATTTATACACGAGGATCATGAAAGTATGACCCTCAATCCAAAATTTATCTGCACTTTTTTTTGTAAATAAAGTTTTTCAGGGAGAATACAGCCATGCTCACTTATTTTCATTTTATCTGTGGCTACTTTTGAGCAACAATGGCAGAATGCAGTAGATATAACTTGCAGACTATATGGTCCATGAATCCTAAATTAGTTACTATCTGGCTGTTTAAAGAAAAACTTACCAACTTCTTCTCTAGATTAAAGAAAGTGGTGGAAAAAATGTTAATAATTTACATAAAAGCATATCATATATGCAGCTGTTACATTGAGAATAGCAGAAAAAACAAATGAAAATTTCTTTCAATATTCTAAAATTATTATCCAATTCAGTGAAGTTAAATGAAGTTCCAAAATTCATTTTTTTCTTTCATTCTTCCTTTACTTGCTAACATAAACTAAAATATCAACTAACATTTGTATTGAACTATACTTATTCACAATAAATTCTTTGCTGAGTCGAATAATAATCAAATACTTACTTATACCCTAATATTGTGACACAATTGTTAGCAACAAAATTTGATGAAAAAAATAGTGAATTTCACAAGTTTACGTAGATTTTATGACAATATTTTTACTGGGAAAAGAGCAAATGGAGATATAACTCCATTTGTCAAATCATGCTTAAATTGCAATCAGAGATCAGCTATGCATACATAAACCAAGAAAGAATTATGTGAGAATCAATTGGTTATAAGACATTTGCAATGAAAAGTTTTATATATTTTATTGTTACTTTAAGTTGTTACACAAATTTTATATCAGTGAAAATTATAATAAACATATATATATATTATATTAGGGTTTTCCATGGAAATAGAACAGGGTGTGTCTGTGTCTGTGTGTGTGTGTGTGTGTGTGTGTGTGTGTGTGTGTAGAAAGAAAGAGAGACCGATTTATTTAAAGAAATTGGCTCACACAACTGTGAAGGCTCTGTGAGTCTGAAATCTGCAGGAGTTACAGTTATAGTCCAAAATAATTCCTCCTAGCTCAGTGGAGGTCAGTCTTTGTCTATTAAGGTCTTCAGTTAATTGGATAAGGTCCACCCATATGTGAAGAATGATCTGCTTTACTCAAAGTCCACTGATTTAAGTGTTAATCTTATCCAAGAAAAAACACCTTCTCAGAAACATCCAGAATAATGTTTGACCAAATATCTGGGCATGATGGCCCAGTCAAGTTGGCACATAAAATTAACCATCACATAGATACATGGATAATTTTTCTTACAGTATCAGTAAAAATTGGCAGCACACACTGATCCTGGCCTTATCTCAATTCTACCTGTCTTCTAGTGGTCTGCCTATTTCATCCAGACTGTTTATCTTCCCACCATAAAGTTAAGCCTGGATGATGGAAGAAGGTTTTCCTTCCTCTAAGTCATAGTATAGATGTGTCTTGTACTTAATTCGCTGCACAGTGATTGTAGATTTAGTAACCGAATCTGGCTGTGATTAATGAGGAAGAAAAAAAAAACTTTCTACCCCTTTTCTTGGTTCAGAACTGTGCAACATTTGAACTGAGCCCTTTCTGCATTTGACATCCTTTCACCTCCCGTCCTCTCTGAGCACCACCCTTCAATGATGCTGCTCATTGTGACTAACTCTGTTCCTTATCCTTTCTGAAGAAATAAAACTCAAGCAGATATTGGATGGACGGCTCAGAAAAACCACAATTTTTATGAGTCTTGTTCAGGCCTAGTCTCATGGAATCTTAAAATGCTACATTGTCTGTACTGAACTGGAGTGCATCTGTAGAAAGAAATGGAGGTATAGACAGCTGATATATATTTATGTGATAGCATCTAGTCAACATTTGCCAAAGAGAATTATAAGCTGATGGGATTTGAGTTCAAATACATGATTAGCATTGACCTCTCATAAGAAAATCTAATAAAGAGTTGTATATTTTTAAATAGTTCTCCCTACCTAATGACATTAACTTAATTTTTCCCTGTGGTGTGATTGGATCAGCAGTGCCCCCGTGGGTCCCCTCCCATTACATACTTTCATTCATATGGGTCGGCCAAATGACTAGAACGTCTGCCACTCCATTCAACGCCACACGTTTTCAAAGGATTTAACATGTTCCTTTCCTTTTTTGCCCCTCCAAGGATGTCCCCTTGGGAGCAGCATTTATTGATCCTTTCTTATGGATGTGTCAAGTTGCCCCATTATGCTTCCCACTAGGAGATAAAAGGTCCCTTCTTGAAGGAGAATCACCTACAAATTTTACCTTTGAGAAATTTGTATGAGGACAGGACTTTAATGGATTTCCGTAGTTTGTGAAGTGACTATTTCATGAAGGGAAATGTCATCAAAGATATTTGGGCTTGTGGATTTAGTCTTAAATAGTTTGTTTCTAAGTATGCCCCTTAATTATCTACTACCAATAATTAATTCTGACATTTTAGAAATTATACAAGGAAACTTAACTATGCACATTAATAAAATAGTTTGTAAAAATAAATTTATGAAATGAAGGGAGAGCATTTGTAGATGGAGAATTTAAAAGAGCAAAAAACAGCAACAACTAAAATCTGAATGTTTTCTAAGTCTAGCAGATGGTAAATTCTATAGAAACAAAAATAACACTTTGTTTTAGTTTTTAAACATTTTAAAAATTATTATATGTCAACTTCTGAGTATTAGGGAGGCAAATGGTAACAACATATATGGAATTTGCTCTCATGGAAATTGTTTAGGAGAAAAATCGTGTGATAGAACAAAAACAAAATAGGTAATAAGAGTAACAAAGATGCTACATAATATTCCTTAGGCCACATCTAACAGAAAAATTATAAATTTAAAATCAGACAACAAAGTGTCTAAGACTTACCCTAGGCTCTAGGGAGTCTTAAATAATACACAGAAAAAATACTCTTGAGATACCATCTTTTCCTATATCACTAAGAATATGTCAGGAATTGAAAAGAAAAAAATGCATGGTTAATTAATTGATAGAATGAGTTAAAATACTGTTGTTTCTGAATTGTAACAGAAGGTTTTTAAATGGGTTACACATGTCCATTGAAATAATATTAATACTTTGTAAAATAACCTAACTACTTACTAAAAATACATCACAATGAATAAAATTACTGTTAAAATAAAGTGATTAAATGATTAAGAATCTGTTTACTTTCTTTTCCCCCTTTTATTCAAACTCAATAATTGCTCCCCCCCTTTTTTGGAAAAAACATCTCATAATTTTTTTAAATTCTAGTTAATTATTCCTCAATTGCTTGGTTGCAAAATTTTGTATCAAGTATAACAGTTCAAAATTGTATTGCTTCAAAAATGTTCATTAGGTGGTTAAATAACTATGTGGAACTTATAAAAGTAAGCTAGTATGGACTTTCAGATTTGCAAATGATTAGAAAAAATCTTTTATATTGTGGTATATTGCAAAGAGAGAAAGTAAAAAAGTAATAAAATAAAACAAAATAGGGGCCAAGGAAGAGACTTGAAGACCACTAGCACTGAATTGAAGTTGGAGGAAGAAGAACCATTGGGAAGCAGATGGAAAAGAGAAAGAGAATAGTAAAAAGGGGTCAGGGATTTCTCGTGGTTCCTAGAGTTTCATAAGTACCAGAGAGTAGAACAGAGAATCAAACACCAGAAGGAACAACCGAGAGTTTATTAGTAACTTCTGGAATAGTTTTCAGTGTTGCTGCGGAAACAGAAGATTAAGAATTGAAATAAAATGGAAACAGCAGGTCTAGTTACTTTTTCAGGAAGCTTGGCTAAAAAGGAAACAGAAAAAAGGGAGAAGGGCAAGTAGAGGGTAGAGGAGGAATATAAATGAGTAACAGGATGTTAAAACTGGACCCATTTTTCTCATTTATCCAAAATCTCAAATTGATAACAAGAAAGATAGGTGGCGAGTTTTCCCAAAATGAGGTGCCTGTTCATCTAAGTTGAGGTTGCCAAGGTGACGGCAGAGGGCCAAGTCTGTGGCTCCTGTCTGACCACCTGCTACAGCCAGTGACTTGCTCAAAAAGCAGGACTTAGAAGATGGTATCAGAAAAATTACTTTACTCCTCTCCTTACACCAATAAAAGAGGCTGCAGGTCTAGAGATACTCAGGAAACTATAGATGACTTCTTCAGAGAGTAGACTGTGTGTGGGGAGTGCCCTTGACATTTATGAGATGTACAGTAAGGACATTTGTCAGAGACCTTAATAAGAACAGTTTAGGGGATGCAGAGGGCAAACAACTGACACTGAAATAGACAACAGAGAAGCAACTAGCTGAGGCTGCTTGTAGTACTAGAGAATACCTGAAGCAGCTTTAGTCCCACTGATCATATTAAAGGTCTTTGTTTCTCATGGATCAGATGGAACACACATGAGAAACACAGCAGGCCTAGTATTGCCATAGATCCTCCCTAAGGGGCCAGCTAGAAGGGCAAGGAGACCTCAGATGCAAGATGGGGGAGGTGAGGCGCCAGACGACCTAGCCTGAATTAGCACTGTAACCAACCAGATGGTGGAAATGTACTGGCCTCTGTGGAAAGAAAAGTAGGAGATGATCCCCAGTGATAGCACCCAGTGGGGAGGGGTTCCAGGAACCCACAGTGCTCTTTACAGAAGCAAGAGATGGCTTGTAATGTCCATCTGGCCATTTGAGACTGCCATTTTATATTAATTAGAATCAAATAGGACTTTATTGCCCCTTAACTTTCTTCAGAAAAAAAACTGGGGAGAGAAATTCCTCAGGGAGAAAGGAAGAGGCTCCAGGGGAAGCATAGAGAAGAGTACTTGGGTTTAGGGGAGAAGGATGAAGTATGTTTCTCTGATGCTACCTTGTGTATGAGTTTACAAGGGCTGCCATGACAAAGTACCATAAACTGAATGGCTTAGAAACAGAAATATATTATCTCACAGTTCTGGAGACCAGAAGTTTGTGATCAAGTGTCAGCAGGATCAAGCCCCCTCTGAAGGTGCCACAGAAGAGTCTGTTCCAGGCCTTTTCCTTAGCTTCTAATAGTACTTTGGCTTGTGTCAGTAAGTCCAATCTTCACATAGCATCTCTGTGTGTGCCTGTGTGTGCGTGTGCCTGTGTGTGAATTTTCCCCTTTTTATAAAGACACTAGTCATATTAGATGAGCCCACCCTAGTGATTTCATTTTAACTTGATTACCACTTTAAATACCCTATCTGCAAATAACATCAAATTCAGCTGTACTGTGGATTTGGCTTCAAACATATATATATCTTTTTGGGGAGATGCAATTCAACCCATAACATCCTACAAACCCTAATATTATGTGCAGGTTATATAAGCAAGAGAGGGAATAATTGATGTATAGAGGGAGAGAATTTGAAGGTAACAGATTAGTCTCAAACTGAGAAAAAAAGTTTTCCTTAAGACTAAAAGAAGTGGGAAAGAAAGAATGATGGTAGACTCAGGCAGTATAATAAAAGTTATGGGGCCAGGAGCGGTGGCTCATGCCTGTAATCCCAGCACTTTGGGAGGCCGAGGCGGGCAGATCACCTGAGGTCAGGAGTTTGAGACCAGCCTGGCCAACATGGTGAAACCCCATCTCTACTAAAAATACAAAAATTAGCTGTGCATGGTGGCAGGCCCCTGTAATCCCAGCTACTCAGGAGGCTGAGGCAGGAGAATTGCTGGAACCTGGGAGGCGGAGGTTGCAGTGAGCCAAGATCGCGCCACTGCACTCCAGCCTGGGTGACAGAGTGAGACTCCGTCTCAGAAAAGAAAATAAAAGAGAAGAGAAGAGAAGAGAAAAAAGGTAAGTTACGGTGACACAGACAGGTATGAGAAAAGATGCTATTTTCTTAAGGAAGTAGAGAAATGGCAAAATGGGCAGCTCAAGTATTCAAGAGAAGCAGCAGAAGAATTGCTGATGGGAAGGGGTAATAAAGAGTCAAAAAGATAAATAAGGATTGACTTGCATTATGGAGAAGCCAAAGGAAAACAGACACCATGAACTTTCAGTGGTTTCAAACCACATTGGTTGTACGATTTTTGTTTTTATAATTTTGTTTTTGGTCTCCAACAGTATTTAAGAATTTCAAGGTGGGAGAAGAGAAAGTGAATTTTTAAAGCAGCATGGCAGAAAAGCAAACCCACTTGGAACTGGACTAATACAGGTTTGGATTTTACCTTTGACAATAGTTGTACAGCAAATTTATAGGTTTTCTAGGAAGTTATAATTTCATCATTTGCAAAATGGTTAAAGTAATACTCTATAAGATTTTTATGAAAATAAAAGGATAGAGGGAAAGTGTTTATCTAATTATTGCTTGACACGCAGAAGGTAATCAATAAACAGATATTTCGTTATTGTTATTATTGTTCTGTTTTCATTGTTAAGACTCTCATCGTCAGTATTATCTATCTAATGGATAGAATGAACAAGGAGCTATCCAGGAAGTACACTGAGATCACAGGTAAAAAAAATATAAAAAAATACATTTTGATACCTTAAAGCACAGCTTTCAAGTAATGCGTGACTAGTTCAAATGTCTGCCCAGCCATCCTGACCACACCATTCATTTTTCAACCCCTTATCCTGTTGGTTTTCTGAATGGCCTTATCATTGTCACACACCTCATTATATGGTTATTTGTTTACTATCTTTTTTCCTCAGAGGTAAATGATATAAGACATGGGTTTATTTCTGTTTTACTTGTGTGTATCTGGCAATTAAACTAGAATCCAGCACACAGGAAATAATAAATATTCATTGATGGAATGAATGCTTTGATGTCACAGCAGTGGAAAATGTCCAGTTAATATTCTAACACAAGTGGTTACATTAGTTTGAAATTAGGCTGAGAGGCCTTGACGTTTTCTAACAATCTGAGATACTAATTAATGAGGTGGTAGTCTATTGTCATTATCCCTAAATGGTATATTTTTAAAGTTCTGAAGACACAGTAAGTTTCACTTACTTTTAAATTTATACTAATTCCCCCAATTCAATAATCCATAGGATTTTCTGTCATTGATGTGATTTAGAAAAGTTTCACTCTGTCTGCTTAATAGCTTTTTCAAAGTGAGAACCAAGCTGATCACAAATACTAAATCAAGGAAATATTATCAACAGCAGCAAAGATACTGGTCTCCATGTGTTCATGCAAAATATCCATTTTAATTTAACTGTAGTTTATATGATATTGGTTTGTTTCGAGGGCAACTGAAACTTTTCTTCAAAAATTAACTCCCAATACTTGCTTCGTGGGATAGGAAGCATTCTGAATGAAAATATCACTACAAGCAATGGAAATTAAAACACCTCAAATGAAATCTTATTTTTATAATTGAGATGGAAAAATTTGAATATATAGAATTTAGGTGAAAGGGATGTTTGCCTGAATTTCTCAGCCTCTATAGTGCACAGCTTTGAAAGCGCTACAGTGCCAGGAATATGCTGGCTCAGCACAGAAACCTAGAAGGAGAAATAATAGCAAATGACTGCCTCAGGTTTGCCCAAATAAATTCCTCCAGATATCTCTAAGAATACAACAATCCAGAGAAATCATTTTCAAAGTGTGCTCTTACCCTTAACTCAATTTTGCTCCTCCAAATAGACTTGTTTGTGCTTTGCTCTGATTAGATTTAAAACTATTATTATCATTACTGATTTGGTAAAACTCATTAATGTAAGCATGACTTTTCTCAAAATACACTTGAAGAAATATCAGGATTAAGACTTACTGGTTTCCTACCAAAACAAGTCCTATTTATTTGCAAAGGAGCTAAACATAGGTCTTTAACAGACTTTAAATTTAAATTAAATTTAATTACATTTAAGAGACATTCACTCTCTCCACCAGTTTTTCTACTTCTTTTACCTCAATTGGTCTATAGCCCTCTGAAGTTAATTTCCAAAAACTATTTACTCACGTGCAAGATAACGCCAAGAAATAAGATGCAGATTAGTGATTTTTTAAACCATGCATTGTGGATTGTAAAGTCCACTTGTTTTATATTTTACAAAATGAAATAGAATAGAATAGAATGCAGAATGTCAGAGTAAGTGACATATTGTAAAAATAAGCATTTTTTGGACAATTTCTATTGCGTGTATGTATTTGGTCCTATGTAAAGTGTGATTTTTACAATAAACTCCAATCAGAAAAGCTTGAAAAACATAGGAGAAGAGAAGAAAATAGAATTTAGAGGTAAATAGGACTAGCCTGAATGGTGGCTGTAACACTCCCTGCATGATATCAAGTAAGTCACGTAACCTCTCAGAGCTTTAAGTTTCTCATCTAAAATGGTGAGAATTCCAGGTATTGTTGATGTGGAAGAGTATTGGTAGATTAGAAGCATTGTAGACATAAGGCAGAACAAACTGGATTGTCATCGTACCTCATCCACATCTGCTTTTAGCACAGATACACATCATTCCAAATATGAATTGCACATTTATGGAAGGGAAGGAGGTATGACACAAAATGTAAAACATGGTAAAAAATAATAACAAACAAAAAAGTGCCTTGCACAGACAGCTTATTCTTAAATGGCACTCATGTCATCGAGCTGTTTTACTGCACTGGTCTGTGGTCTGGGAATTAGCACATGAGATATGCAAAGATGAGTCATGATCTCCATAAATAATATTTTAAAAGGCTACTTAACTAGCCTTTATGTGAAATATAAACCTCTAAGCACTTTATTGTGTCCTTAAATAATTTAGCTCATTGAATGTTTTCCCCCTGAACTCATTCAAATCAGTTATCGTTAGAAGTTCATTTGAAATTCTAGCCATGCCAAGACAGAGTACCAACAGTATTCTGAAGGTTGAAAGTTGCATGGAAATTGAGAATTGGCAACAAGGAGAATTTCCCTCTCGTCAAGTCTAGCTATTTTAGAACTCAGAGAATTAAAAAAGAGATATTCCACATTTTATCAAAGCCATGGTTGTAAATTCTAGTTCCCTAATAAGGCAACCATCTCTGCAGACTTTTAATAATATCACTTGAAATTGTATTTAGTTTTTAAATTTTATCTTGCAAACGGAAAATTATTTTCATTGTACAGGTTGTATAGCTCAATTTAAACATAATCATTGCCTTAGATAACTTACAAAAACAACTTTTAACATGTTCAAAACTTTCACCTGGACTTAGGAAGTTCAAAAATATCCAATGATAGAATACTTGTTTCTGTGTCTCGAGGCAGTTAGATACATGTTTTCCATTCCTTAAAACCTCTTAAATTTTTAAACTTGCATAGTCATATATATCAAAACGTATTTTTAAATTGCACTAAGCTAGATAATTTCTGATTTATTTTCCTTTGAACAACATAACAAGAAAAACAACAGTATTACCTCTATAATAATTAAAGTTAAACAAATTGAGACCATTAGGTTAATAATCCACTGTCACAAATACTATCTTAAGAACTAGTATGTTATACTTAGTCAATTCATGTAATATTACCTCTTGGAGAGCACGATTTGTTAAAAAATTAAGATTAAAATATTATATTGGCATAAATGCAAAGAAAAATTTTTGAGCAAATGTTTGAAGCCAAAAACATCCCTGAGTTTTAAACTTTCTAATTCTTTCTGATTTGCTCTTTCCTTTCTTTTGCAATATGATTTATCTTTGTGATGAAAACACACTTTTATTTATTTTCAGCTGAAAGACTAGTTATAGCTATGACTTTACAACAGCAAAGCTCACCTTATTTTGTTTAAAGACCTTCTTTGTAATTATTTATACTTAATATAGTTTGTGAGTTGTAATTATCCTCTAAATTCATGGTATATGGGCTCCCTCCAGTGGCTAAGTTAGCAACCACAGATCTGAAATGTCTATTTTAAATGACTGATATATTTAAGTAATGATCAGCAATGGTTTCAATATTGCTGAGTTTAAATCTTACAAGCAGCAATAAGTTTTAGGTGAGCATATAACTGCAGTGTTACAACCCTTTCAGAAGAAACGTAGAGCTTGACACAATGCCAGACACCATGCCAACCTCTGAAGAGTCAAGATATAAAGTGACCTCTACCAGGAGCTCATGGCAAAGAGAGGACACAGATGTTTATAAACAGCAAAAATCACCACCCAGCAAAACACAGAGAGGTGAGCACAATAATGATGGCATGCATAAAGTGAAGTAGGAATACCACAGAGTAAATAGCAGATAGGCCAGGGAGAGCTACGCAACAGATGGTAAAATAAGAATCTGTGGTGTGGAAAAGAAGACATTCCAAGCAAAGACATGCATGTTCCAAAACCCAGATTAAAAATAGGTTGGTATATATGGAAAATGAGGTATTTCTATTTGACTGATTAGAGTTCACCAGGGTAACTGGTAAGAGCTAAGTATATTCAAAAAGATAGGAGTCAGAACATGGCGGACATGAGATTCCTACAAGTAGCTGGAAGATGCCTTTTTGCTATGGTTGAATCACTGAAATGTGTGGCTTTTTTTTTTTTTTTTTTTTTTTTTTAAGACAGAGTCTCACTCTGTCACCCTGACTGCAGTGTAATGGCGCAGTCTTGGCTCACTGCAACGTCTGCCTCTGGGTTCAAGTGATTCTCCTGCCTCAGCCTCCTGAGAAGCTGGGGACTACAGGCTCATAGCACCATGCCTGGCTAATTTTTTTTTTTTTTTTTTGTATTTTAAGTTGAGATGGGGTTTCACCATGTTGGCCAGGCTGGTCTCAAACCCCTGACCTCAAGTGATCTGCCCACCTCGGCCTCCCAAAGTGCTGGGATTACAGGTATGAGCCACCATGCCTGGCCCACTGAAGTGTTTTTAAACATGAAAGATTTCCCTTTGGGGAAAATAAAGTATAGTGGCAGTATGCAGGACCGGTTGGAGTGGGAAGTGAAACCAAGTTTAGGGGATTCAACTAGGTAATATTTAGGAAAGAGCTAAATGATAAAAGAAAGTGAATAGTAGTTTGCAAGATGGAAATATGCAGGCAGTCAAGGGATGTTAAGATCTTGGACGTATGGCAGGGAAAGGAAAAAGAGTCTATGAAGTCTCCTAGAAGTTTGATTTACATTAAAATCAAAAATTTTGTGTCTAATTTGTAGAACTTTTTAAAATGTCAAATGATGTCACCAAAATTTTTGCGGTTTCGACAATGACAATTATTTTAATTAGAGAAATAGTTACTTGGGCCACATTAAAGTAAAATTTTTGACTTGTGTAAGGAATTCCTCTCTTCGACATTTGGAATTAATGAGGCTCCTGATATATCCCTGCTCCCATGACAATATGACAGTAAGAGAGATGTTGTGACTCTATGTTTCCACTGGCAAGAATGTTAATGGAAACCAGAAAAAAAGAAGCTTGGGATGCCTGTAATTACATCACCTGAACAGTTTACATGATAAACATGTTAAGTTTGAGTAGGAAAGAGCTGACCTTTGGGATCTTTGATGCTTTGGATATATGTCACTCGTGGCTGCCTCAAGTATCTATATTTTAATAGATACTTACCCATGGTGTAGATACCAACTTCCTAAAGGTAAATGAAAAAAACAAAATAAAACAAAAAATTTCTCTGCCTCCCTTAACACTAAGGCACATATATGTGATTTGGGTTCTACAATCAGATATACCTATGGGGTACTTTAATTTTGAACTGAATTATATGGGGGCAAAGAGGTGGGGCCTGGGCCTTTTTTTCCCCCTGGTATATTTTTATGAACAGGGCAGCACGTCCCTCGAACCAACAGCTATAAAAGAGCTTCCTATTTAGGAGGTACTTGATTGTGGTACAAATTGTGTGATTTTAGAGCCAGAAATTACAGTATTATTTTTCTGATGCAATGATGCATGGATATGAGAGACGCAGTAGTTCCTTTTTGGGAGTGTCAGGGGGTGGGAAGGGCTCATGATATGATATCAGAAAATGTTCTTGACATTCGCACTAGGTTCTGTGTTTGTATTTCTCCAATGTGTTCTTAATACTTTTTTTTTTTTTTAAATGCTTAAACTAGACAGAGGTGAGTTTGTTGTCTGCAATGGAGAATTCTGGCCAAGACACAGACTTCTAGAAGTCATTGTAGGCAGCAAAACTTTAAGAAAAAAACTGGGATCATTTTTCTGATGGCTGTGTTTGTAGGCAGTGAGGAATGAGTTACAATTAGAGTATGGAATATTGGTAGTCCTTGAAAGGCAGTCATGAAATAGCTACTGCTGACGTTATCACCCAAGTACACATGAATACAGACCTATTAAAGGCAAGACTTTGGCTGATCAGGTGGAGGCTGCAATAGTCTTGCCCCTTTCGACTCTGCTAGTTTGGAGGGGTTTTTTACTACCTGAGATAAGAATGCTTAGACCAGAGAATACAATAATGGTTCTCTTGAGCCTGCCACATGGCTATTTCAGAATTCTCACATTATTGATAAACAGGCAAGAGGGGGATTAATACATTGCCTGGGTGACTGATATTGATTACTAAGAACTATATAGTAAGAACAATATAATAAGAACATATACCTCAAACACAGGAGATCCAATGTGCTTCTTCTGAGTATCCGTAGTCTCATGACTAGCTGCAAAATCAAGACTGTGGCGGCTATCCTTATTTTATTTTATGCCCCTTACGGCATCATGTATTTATTTAGCTAACTAAATTCTCCTTTTTTCTACTTCCATTTCTCCTTACTATTTTATATAGGGTGTGCTGATTGTGGCTAACTCTCATTTATTTTCTAGGTTTCAGACGATTAAGATGAGACAGTGACTGAGCAAGAGGAGAAACAAACATCAAACAGATTTTTTTTTCCAGGTAAGCTATGAACCATCTGGTGGATTGGATGACATGTTCAGAGAAGGCATCTTGCTTCTCCTCTAGCCCACCCTAGTTGCACAGTGGGTGTATGGGTGCACAAACAGAAATTTTTGATTTAGGATTATATGCGCAGAACTTCATATAGATGCATTCATGTGATCACCATATTAATTTAACCAAGACTGAGACTGGAGTCTTATCTTAGTGTGTATCGAAAAGAAGACAGCTAAAGCCTAATCAATACCCAGCATGGATTTATTATTTTTGTTGTTATTTGTTAGTTTTTAAAAAACTGAACCATCTAGCTTCCACCTTTATATCAACCAAAACTTATTGTTCCTCTTTATCCACCTAGAGGTTTATTTTATAAACATAGAAAGATGACTAAATCATGTGCACTGGGATTGTATTTTTGTATCGTCAAATGTTAGACTAGGAAGTATGTGAATGAAAATGTACAACTTTCCATCCCTCTAGCATTTAAGTATTACTTTTGAGGCCAATTTATTTTAAAACAAAAAAGAAACAATGCACAATAAGGAGATAAAATTACATTTCAGTGATGTTCGATATCACAAAACATTTTATTATCACCGAACAATGAAGACACCTGGGCACATATTCGCTAATAAAACCCCCCTGAGATCAAGCCTAATGGCTCTACTCTATACTAACACAGCTCATTGTAATGGAATTTTCCTAATATAGATACCTGAATTTGATTTCTGGAGAGTTTCATTTTCATTGCTATTGGAAGACAAACTTCCTACATAAACACATAAGAAAATGTTGTTCATGCAGAAACTACTTCCAGATTTTTTTCTATGTATAGTTCTGTATTGTTTCATATTATTTATACTTCTAGTCTGCTTCATTTCAGTTACTGGAAAAGAACTAAAGTAGATAGATATATTATAACTTCCAATTTACCAGAAGTTGTAAATGCAACATCTCTAGTCATTGTGAATGTGTCAGTTAGGAAGCATTAGCCAAAGTAACACAAGCCAACTAAAGATTACAAAAACAATAGGCCCTTTTTCAAGTAACAGAAGCCTGAAAGTCACTGTTTTCTGGACTGATTGATGAAGCAACTCAATTATGACAAGTTTTCCCTGATCTTATAATCTTTCCCCTGATAAAGCAAAGGCTACCACGACTCTCAGCATCACATTCATAAAGATAATCTCTAAACCAAAGAAATAAAGGAGACATTTTTCCCTACGCATCTCCAGTTTTACTGGACAGGAAAATCTTTCTGAGGACCCCTCAGATGACTTCTCCTCACGTCTCATTGGCCAGAACGGGGTCACATGCCATTTTCCCCATTACAAGCAATTAGGAATGAGATTATAATATTCACATTAGGGCAAAGTTGAGTTATTCCCTCAGACAATAGTTCCCATCAGGAGAACGGGATGTTTATTATTCCCCAGTTGGACATTTTTCAATGCCTGGAGATATTCCTGGCTGTCACAACTTAGGCAGGAGGGTGTCCTACTAGCATATAGCATCTAGATGCCAAGAATGTTACTGTACGTGCTACAATGCCCAGGACAGTGCCCTATGACAAAAAATTATCTGGCCCAAAGTATCAATAGTGCCACAGTTGAGAAACCCTGTCTTAGGATTTAGCTCACCCTCCCTGGTCAAACTGCCTTTTGATATATAAATAAAATCAAGATTCCTTTCACGAGGAAGCAATAGTTTCTCCCACCGGGGAAAAGAATCTATTAGATCAGTGGTTCTCAAATTTCAGAAAACATCAGAGTTATCTAAAGGGCTTGTTAAGCACACATTACTGGTCCCCATTCCCAGACATTCTAATTCAATATGTCTGGGATGGAGGCTCAAAACTTTGCATTTACAACAAGTTCCCAGGTGACAATTATGCAGTTGCTCTAGGCACCACATCTCCAGAACCACTGTTAGATCATGCCCCAGGAGACTGTGAATAAACATTTATCAGTTGTGACATTAGACACCTAACTGAACCTTTTGTGGCTTCTGCTTTCTCCCTGGTAAAATGAACAATATATTAAAGGTTTACTGCTTTATATTTGGTGCCTTTATGTTTGCTTTATATTTGCTCCTACTAAACATAATATATTTGCTATACTAAAGTTTTATTGCTTTATATTTAAATTCTCTGTAGCCAAATTTCCCACTAAAATGATGATTCCTCCCTGCCCTACTCCCAATAGTATCAGAAAAGTTGAAGTCTTGCTTAAGATATAGTAAAAATGGAACAACTTTAACTAATAAACAGACCAGTTGAATTCCTTCTAAGTAAAAGACCAAAAACAGCTAGCTTCAATGTCAGGTGACACGGTTTAAGTTAAGTGGTTGGGCAGGTGGCAAGACATGCTTTTCAACCCTATGTTCAAAAAAAGCACTTGAGAAACTGCACTAAGAGTCTAAGTAGGTTATTTACAAAACAAGAAACACAAATTGCTAGTGAGAAAATGTTCAACCTAACAAAAATCAAAGATATGCCAATTAAAACAACCATGAGATACTTTCTATGTTTCAACAAAGATAAAAGCAGAAAAGGGAAACATTGAATGTTGGCAATTTAGAGGAAAACAGTTGGAGCCACGTCTCACCTTATTTAGCAAATTTAACTCTAGTTGGATAACAGAGTCAAATGTGAAAGGCAAATCAAATTATGGAAAAAATCAAATGGAAAATAAAATGGAATATTTTCAGATCAATGGAAGAAAGCAACCTACCCAGCTTCAACACATGAGAAAAACATTGTGACCTCTTTATAATAATGTTGTTATTGATTACAATAATATATCTTTGCTGATTACTATAACAAAAAGAAAAACAAAGATCTTAGAAAAATGTCAATTTAAATATATGAGAAAAGTGGTTAAGATGCATACTTTATTAGTGTTCATTTAGGTTCTTAGAAAAATAGCAAAACAAAGCAATAGATACATGGGGCCAGAATAAGAACTGACAATTCAGAGAAGACAGACTATAGTATGGACTTAAACCAAGAAGTTAAATTGAAAAAATAAAAATAGTGGTATTAGCTTGTTGTCAATATAAAAGACATACAATACATATGTACATACATACACACGTTAAAAGAAAAATAATTCATTGTGATTTGTTCAGTAGGTGGTACTTGGCACCTAGTAAAAGGTCTCTAGTGACTGACTTTGGCCTTGCACTGGGATAAAAGCTGGTAATTAATTAAGTCCCCATGCCTGGACATCATCTAATTTAGTTCATACAATAGCCCTCCCAGGAAAGCACTATAATCTCCACTTTATAGATGACGACACTAAGGTTCAGAGAGGTAAAGCCACCAGCCAGGTCTTGCCTGGCATCCATGCCTGTGCTCTTCCTACTGTAATCTTGGTATTGCCCTTGGATGATGATAATAAACATCATAACACTAATGAGCAACATTTATTGAGTAGCAAGTGCTGCGCTAAGCAAATTGGCTGCATTATTTTATTTAATTCTCAATATAATCCTGTTATCTATTTCCATTTATAGATGATAAAATTAAAAGGCTATGTTTAAGGTCATAGAACGGTTAAATCCTTGTGATCCCCCTGCCTCGGCATCCCAAAGTGCTGGGATTACAGGCGTGAGCCACTTATTTACCTCTTAATTTCCACCCACGCCTCCCAAGCCTAAACTTTGGTTTACAGTTGAATCTTCATCATCATATTTACCAATGCTTTATCTCCAAAGTTTGGAAGCATATAGAAAGCTGAGAATTAAAATAAACTAAGAAGCTTCCTGTCTCTCAAAAAGTACATTAAACAGCTACCAACATACACATTAGGCAATAATGTAATAATAGTGTGGGAGTAGGATAGTTACAGGAGTAATAAAAATGGTTGGTGTGCATTGCATGCATTGTGGATGCCAGGCACTGTGATATAAGCTTTAGAAACACTGCCATTTAATCCTCACAGCAATCTAAGGTACATCATTATCCTCATTCCACAGATGAGATTAAAGTTTAGGATGGTTAAATAAACAGTTCACTGGTAGTGTCGCAATCTGATACTTTATTTAGCACCAAAGCTTACGTGTTCGACCAATGTATTAACTTGCAAAACAAGCAACTTTGAAGAAAGCTATAAATGTGACAAGTATTAGGGGATAAGTTGGTACAGGAAGACCCAGACTAACAGGTTATTTGAGGTTAAAAAGGAAAGTAGAAATACTTGGATAACGAAAGAAGAATCTCAGCAAAGGGAAGGAAGACACAGAAGAGCGTTCAGTCTAGTATTAAAACTACCATGTTTAGTTCCCTTGTTTCCTCGTATCAGCTTTCAAGAATGGCAGGATGGTCACAGTCTCTCTGTCCATTGGGTGATAAGCTATTCTTTATTCCCTTTGGTCTCCTGAAACATGACACTAAACTTCAAGTTCCATTCAGTAATGAAATTCAAGGTTGTGCCTAGAGAATTAGATTAAAAGTTTCTTTCATTCATGACAAAACATTTGTAGAAATCTGTATTACCTATACACATTTAAAACTTTATTTCAAATTAAATTTAAGCTTAAAACCTTCAAGGATACACAATTCTTTTGTAATGCTCTCAATGGTCATCATGGTCTCAAGGGCTCATAAAGGCCTCAAACAGTAAAAATAGGTCTTCTAGTCCATGATTTAACTGAGACAAGTATGACTTGTGTTGTTCTATGTTAGGGTGGGAAATGTCATAGGGCTTCATTTGTTCTAGTTCCTTCATTTTACAGAAACAAAAATAGAGATCGATCCAGAGGGATGATGTGACTTTGCCAAGGTGATCACCGGTATCTTGGTAGGAAATAGCGGAGTATCTGATGGGAATAGATCAAGTTACATGACTTTGTTTTCTCCTATTCCTTTTCCTCCTTTTATAGAATCAAGTAGCTTTCATTGAGACGATAAACGAAAAGAAAGGGGTTCTCCAGGAGTAGAAATTAATCGGTCTTTTTAAAGAAACAGCAGAATGGTGTCATTGAAAATTATTTTTCTTAAGTCACTATTTTTATTTATTTCTAAAACTTTATCTTCAAGGAAGCAAGGCAGAGTCATTTAAAAGAAAATGGCATTTTAAAAAACTGTTGCTAGATGACGAGTTAGTGGGTGCAGCACACCAGCATGTCACATGTATACATATGCATATGTAACTAACCTGCACATTGTGTACATGTACCCTAAAACTTAAAGTATAATAATAATTAAAAAACTGATAATACACCCCTTTAGTAGGAGTAACTGGCTGCTTTACTGAAGAGTTTTATTTTGATAGACTTTCAGTGGTCTTTGTTCTTTATCTAACCTCATCAATACAGACCTGTTTCTGTCATCTTTGAGACCACAACTCAAACTTCACCATTGGTCTAATAAAACTGAGTTTCTGGCATGGTGATTTGTAAGTAAACAACCTTCGCAGTGCTAGCTTTGCAACCCCATACCTATAAAATGATTGCACCTGTTGCACCATGACTTGCGGTCTTGAGACCAGAAGATCAACTAAATCTCCCGGTCATCTTTCTAAAAAGGGTGACCCATTTTAATAACTAGTAATATGAACATGCTTTCTAGCCTTAGGGCAGAAACCGATCATGAAAAGAATTTCAGGAGGCATTTCCTTCTCTTTCAAACAGACTATTATAGAATTAGATGAGTATGAGGAGACTTACTTCAGGGATCACAGCAGGGGGCAAAAGGCAAGATTTGGTGCAATGATTCAGTCATTTAAAATTGTGACCCTAACTCTATTGTGTCACATTCACACCTGTACTCTATTTTTAAAAGATCTTCGGAGTCTCTGAGGCTGGCTTCATAGACAGTATCATCTCAGGCAGTCAAAAGGCCAAGTATCTAAACAAGTATTGTATGAAAATCAAAATTGATGGCTGCTACAGAACTTTTACAAGTTGATGGAAATGTATTTTGATCATGGTGATGATTGCAGTGGTATAAAAATTTCTCAAAATTCATTGAACTGTACATTTAAAAAGGGTGCATTTTATTTTACAGAAATCGTATCTCAATAAGCATTTTTTAAAATGACAGCTGTCTATGTCATCCATGAACACGTCTCTCTGGCAAAAGCAATAGAAATAATGAAGTCAGCTTTGAGTAAACCCTAATAAAGATTAAATATGGCATTCAAGACTTTGTGCAGTCATGAGCAGAAAGACTTTCCTGTGAGAAACTGGGGGTGATAATTAAAGATCTACTGGGAAATTTATCTTACACTCAAAGATAAAAAGTCACTCAATATGAGCCTCTGGAATTTGTTTTTTTCTTTATCAAACCAACCATAGAGTGTATCAGCATGTTTGATGACTTTTCAAAGGTTTGCATCCCCATATGTGTATACAATTTATTATTATAATTGGTGGTCAGGCATGGTGGCTCACGCCTGTAATCCCAGTACTTTGGGAGGCAGAGGCAGGCAGATCATGAGGTCAGGAGCTTGAGACCATCCTGGACAACATGGTTGAAATCCCATCTCTACTAAAAACACAAAAATTAGCTGGGTGTGGTGACAAGTACCTGTAATCCCAGCTACTCTGGAGGCTGAGGCAGGAGAATGGCTTGAACCCAGGAGGCGGAGGTTGCAGTGAGCCGAGATCATGCCACTGCACTCCAGCCTGGTGACAGAGTGAGACTCCATCTCAAAAAAAAAAAAAAAAAAAAAGAATTGGTAAAGCTCAAGATTCAATATGCATTTTAACTATGAAGAGTATATATTTTTCTGCTTGTTTCAACAAAATAAAGTGTGGCATAGTTCTTTTGGGATTACTGAATATGTATTTTAAAAAACTACTATGCAGGCTAATTTCCGAAATACGTAATATCATACATACTGAGATACAAAAGAATGTTCACATCTTTGATTACGTTGAGTTGGCAAAGTCACGTCATCTTTCTGGATTCTTCTTTCTGTTTCTGTAAAATGAAGGGCCTAGCCTAGATAAAGCTTTATGATATTTCCAGCCCTAATGCAGAATAACACAAATCACACAGCAAATCACGGAGCAGAAGCATATTATTACTGACTGGAAATTCTCTCTTCTGTTATTGTCTACTGCTTTGTTTTCTTTTGTGATGCTAGATTTAGGGAGAAAGAATAGCACTTATAAGAAAATGAGAAAATGTTTGCATTATGTCATTGGATTGCAGAAAGAACAGTACTTATGAGAAAATAAGAAAATGTTTGCATTATGTTGTTGAGACACACAACAGACTCTCAAATACTGGTTTCTTCTAAGCAGAATGATATTGATAGATGGAATATTCTAGAATATGGGTTTATCTGAAAGTACAAGAAAGAAAAAAGAATATTTTTGATGAGTGAAAAATAAACTACGATTCATCTCATTAATACTATAACAAAAAATCTATAATAGATTAAAATACCTTTCACTGTAAGAAGTTGAACACATCTTTGACTTTCAGGGAAATAATGATATGTATTAGAGATTATGACATTATAGAATCTTGGATATTTACAAGATAAATTAATGTTCATCAGTATCAGTTTCCCAGAGTATCATGGTGGTCCAGTAACAAAAAATCCAAAAAAAAAAAAAAAAAAAAAAACCCTAAACCTGCCTTTATTATTTTTAATGTTATAAAGGGAAATGCACAAAAACAACTTTTCATAGCTGTCACTTTGTATGCATAACTCAAGCTGTGATTAATATTTTAGAGATAAATACTCAGAGATAGCAGCAGACTTTTCTTTTATCACATAAAGGCTAAATTTTATCCAAGGTTGTATTTATTCATTTACTTTAGCTTGTCAGCATCAGGCAATCATTCTCAATTTCTAACCAAGGCACACTGCTCAACTTAAGAAGGGCTGATAGAAAAATGGGTTTGACCCAAGAAGCTAAACTCTTCAGAATCTGGAAGATAAAAAATGAAAGGAAGGAAAGCAAATGATGGAAGTCCAGAGCATCAGAAATATTATATAAAATTTGGACATAAGGCTTAAAGGTAGGTGGCATTTCTTTTAATCTCATACATGGTCAAAGGTTATTCAAGGATCATCTGTGGTAATATATATATATATATATATATTCAGTTCAACACACTTTTTACTATTGATTAAATGTCTCAAACAAAATAAAGTTACTTGCTAACCTGACCTTTGTCTGATAGAGGCAGAAATAAAAAGTTCATATATTTGCTTTATATGTACCTGACAATTATTTTAGTTCTGGAAAATCGTATTTTAACAAGATCAAAACTACAAATGAAAACTGTTAATTGTTGTTTTAAAAAAGATTAAAAAGACTGAACCATGTAGCTGGAATTTATATGAATTATGGATGCTTAGGAGAAAACCTACAAATAAATACCTAACAAGTGGGTTCAAGTCCCATAAAAAGGAAGCAGTGCTGTATATTCAATTTCTTCTGCTTAGAAAGAATTAAACTTCCGCATATCCATCTCTTACTCATCTTCTAAAACCCAGCCACACAACATTTTGCAAGGCTATCAGTGTTTCCCCATGGACTGTTACTTCCTTCAAATCATTTGTTCATCCTTCTTCAAAGTACCTACTATTTTGTACTGTAATTAATCTGCTGAAATGTCATTATCAACCCATTCTTCCCAGGTTTGTTTCTGCTGTGAGTTCCTTTATGAGTAGCCATGTCCAGCACTGATACAAGATGAACATAGAAAGACGCACAATAATTGCTCAATGACTTACAAATTCTTAGTTGGTAGCATCCAAATGGACCTGTATTTTGGATAGTTTAAGCTCTGCTCATTTGAAAGGTCAAAGCCCTAAATAAAACATTACCTTCAGAACTACTCTGAGCTTTACCAGCTACACAGTTCTATGTCCTGAAAGAACGGAGAACTTTCAGGATGGATCCAGTTTTTGCCTCTGCTTCCTTTCATCACTTAATGATTTCATATGTGACCTTGCCTTCACCCAACATCCTGTTTTTGGTTTCCCTGGGTTCTGTGCCTTCAGTAATGGGTCAGTGCCACTCTCTTTCTGTGCCCAGCCTTGGCTCCAAAACCACAGATTTGTCCAGACACAGGCTGTTTAACAATTCTTTCCAGGTGTTTGGCTTTTGGATGTTATTGTTCTAAAGTCCTGGGGCCCTTGCCTGTCTGCCATACTGTCCCTCAGCTGCCTCTGGTATGACCAGGTGAGATAACTTATTTTCTGATCAAAGAAGACACACTTCAAGGTCTTGCATTCACAGTCTTCAGTCTTTAGCTTCTGTACTCTTCAAAGTCCATTGCCAGGTAAACTAGCTTCATATTAATCCTGGAGTTCTGCTCTTCCCTGTTTCCCACTACTCAAGAGCTAGCAGTGCAGTCAGACTCTTTGGAATGCCTCCACATTATGCTGCATCTACCCAGGATCCATGTCAATATCACTTTCTAGTGCTGGTAATTCAGCCTTTGTACTAGGCCATTTGAAAACACATTTCCCACCTGCTCATCGAGAATGTTTATTAGAACTTACACCTCTTCAATAGGCAGTCGGGCAATCCAATGGTCTCTTAATCTTAGTTTTTCTTACATTCCTTAATAGATGTATAATAAAGTTCACTTTATTAAAAATTTAAAAAACATGTATCTGTAACAACATTTTAAAAATAGAATAATTATAACTATCATCCAGAGACAAACATTGCCAACATTGTGGTATATTTCTTTATATCTTTACTTCTACAATACACAAATATAAATTGTTACTATAAAATGGCATTTGTTACCCTTCACAATATCTTTTTTTGTATAATAAAATCCATTTTCATATCAATATAGTTTTCTCACATTATTTTAATAGGTAAACTGCATTCCACTGTGCACATGACCAATGCTTGTGTGAATAAGTCCTTATGGTTGGAATTCAGGTATTTCCCATTTTTTTGTTATTAAAAATAGCACTGCTATGGACATTTTGATCATAAATGTGCACGAGTCAGATTAGTCCTAAATGTGGAATCCGTTAAAAGGAGATACATTATAAGAATCTTTGATACTTATTACCCTTCACAATGGTTGTTCCTAAAGGTTACTCATCCACCAGTACATCCTCAAAATTGTCATCAATATTCAGTATTATTATTTTTAAATGTTTGACACTAAAATAGAAGAAAGGACAATTTTTCCAGTAATAGACAATTTTACTACAGATTGTTCACATCACTGCACCCTCCAGATTAAGCTCTGAGATCAGAGTTCTTACAGGATACATATATGTGGAGACTGAGGGAAGCCAAGGGTAATTGGAGAACTTGCCTATTAGAAATAGGCCCAGAAAGACCTTTTATCATGGAAGGATAAGCAAACTATAGAAATAAAAACAACAGGGGTTTGTGAAAGGCTGAAACATTTAAAGAACTGAAGATACCATATTCAACATGAAGAGGAAAATATGTTTAAAACATTACTGATAGTAACTAGGCAAAAAAGTTATTTATTTTCTCTCTATATCTATATATCTTTCTCTCTATATCTATCTATCTATCTATCTATCTATCTATCTATCTATCTATCTATCTATCTATATATGTATAAAGGATTCTAGGGAACAGGAAAAGAAAGATGAGACCAAGATCCAAGGAATGAGTAGAAAATTAGATTACTGAATTAAGAAAAAGACGTAAGGAAAAGAAAAATATAATTCCAGGATGCAAAGCTGCATGGGAAATAGAAAAGGGCCTGAATGATATTACATGAGGAACAGATAGATACCTTTCCTATTGAGATTGGTATTATGCTGTATACTATTCATTCATACCAAAAAGCAATTCTGGGCACCTACTGTGCATGTCAACATTTGAGGATAAATAATAAAAATCCAAGTGTGTAAAGAGATCACCTTGTAGAGGGGGAGGCAGATTGGAAACACTGTAACAGGCTGAGCCTCAAACTGAGGCTGAGGGTCAGAGTAGCAGAAGCACAAATCAAGGAAAGATTACCTACAACAGTTAGGAAGGTTTTCACTAAGGATGGAACCTGTAAGTCAGGACTTTTAAAATGAAGAAATTTGGCCAGATTCAAGAATGACAGAAGAAATTCCAGGGAAAGAAAACAGCATGGGCAAAGTTCTCAACTCCATCTATTTTTCAAGAATCCTTTGTATACTGGTTCTTAACATTTTGAGGAATAACTAGTTCTTTAAAAAAAACAACAACCTTTGCCTGGGAAACATGCAAATTATAAGCATGTAAATTTACATGTCAATGTTATGACAATTTCAGCTGTTAAAAATGTTATATGACTACAGAATATGAAAATTATTTTTTTCAATGTGTTAGCTCTATTTTACCTAGTTAATAATCACAAGTCTTATAGCCTATTAAAAAGTTACAAGAAACCTCAGAATTTTTTTTAAATGTGGTAAAACAAAGCAGAAGTACAGTTTTCAGCATTTAAATTACTTTTTCTCTGAAGGTCTAAACAACAAGTTAAACGTTCATTGATAGCACTAGGGTTGAAAACACAGATGTTCAATTTCTTTAAATAACTTATCTTCCTACAGAATGGTTGTGTCCTGTGAGACATAAGTTCGTCCAAATATAATACGGATATAATACGGTCCACATATGGAAGCAATCACATTCCATTTTTGGAACCAGTTGACAGAACTCTGTCACTGCACAAAATACAAGCTTCCTCCTGCCCCTTTTCTCTTTTTTATGCAGCAAAAGTTCATGTAACAACACAAAATAACTCTCATGGCTGAGAATTTGGCAATGTTTCATTTTCCACCATGTCAGGGTGGGAACCAAGAGAGACCAAATATGACTGATAATAACATCAGAGAAGCCTGTTCTCTCAGCTTATGTGCAGGTGGGAATCATTAATGGTAACAAAATCTTTGTAACAATCATTTTGTCTTTAAATATAGCTAAATATTGAGCTCCATGTGGCAAGAGAGAGTTAGTAGATAGGCATAAAAATTCTGCTTCATTCTTATCATCTCCAACTCAAGGTCCTGAATGGATTGTTGCAAAGTCACAAACCCATTCCTCTTGGATACTGTAGCAGGAATAGCATAGGCTTGGTAGACATTACAGAGGAGAAAGAAGAATGGATGTGGAGTAAGAAGACAAATTCCAGACCTTTAACTATGGGAAATCTTCAAAAGACACCACTTAAATTTAACGAGTTTCCGTTTTCTTGAATGGAAAATGAGACTATGCAGTGCAAAATGGAAAAATGAGAATACATGGGACAACTCTTTCGAACATCAGAAAGTTTATAAGCCTAGCTTTATGAATAATGTATCATTGTTGATATATGGAATAAACATTTTACAACAAATTGCTTTTGTAACATTGACAATTCACAAACAACTAAAGGTGGCCAGAAAAACAGTATAAACTGCTTCTCAGGCACATGCACTATTTAGCTTACTGCTACATTTCAAAGTATGTATAGTCCCAATTAGCTGTGGGTTAAACATATATTTTACACACACACACACACACACACAGAGCCAATTATCTTCCTTCTTTCTAGACCATCTTTGGCCTACTTCACCTCCATGATAGGATTGCACCGTCATCCAATAGCTATGTGACTCTTGGGCTTCATTCACTGTTTAGTACATTGTTGTTGGAAATGATACCATTTGCCAGGCATTATATCTGTTCTGTGTGTTCATTATATAGGTTGCATATGTTTTACGTAGTTTCCAGCTCTCTGAAATAGAGGGGAGGCAGTTGCTCCTTAAAAGCTAATAAAAATGATAATTTTGAAATTTCTCAGCTGAACAATCTTTTAAAATTTCAAAATGAAGAGAGCCTTTGCACTTACCTTAAACCATTTGAAATATTAAGTCTTGTTTGCTTTCTGCTAAAACTACAAATACTAAACAGTAGAATTTACTACTTTCAGGAAATTATTAAAATTCTCATTTAAACACTAATATAACTGCTCTAATGAGCCAAAAGCCTTTGAAAGTTTAACGGGCAAACCAAAACCTATTCAGAGACCTATAATCGTTGTATCTCATGTATAATAATATAATTGTGTGAATGAACAGACATGATTGATAGGTCAAAATATGAACGTAGAAAAGTAAAAAGTAACATGCATGGGCCAGGGGACGGGGGGCAGAGAAAGCTTTATTGGAGAAGGCAGGACGGAATACAAAGAATACTAGATAAATTCCGTGAAAATAAAATGGTGGCATTTGAGTAATAAAATAAATGTGACTCATAATTTCAAAATGTAGAGTACTAAGCTTTAAGATTAAATTTAGTTTTTGAATTTTATTATGTTTGATAACTATTTTATATAGAATTAGTTGAAGTACAAAATAAACCTGATGCTTTTTAATTAGATGAAAAACTACATAGTATTTTCTAAAATCCCTAGGATGAAATGTATATATGTGGTTGCATTGGTGCTGATATGTTGAGAGAAGGGTGCTTATTAGGGGGAAAGAGAATATCTATGTGTTTTTAAAATGATATAGTTTAACAATCTCTTACATATAATATTGGCTCTTCCAAAATGCAAAATAGATCTGTAAATAGTGACTTCTAAAGCTGGAAATACTTGGGTAATTACAAAACATAGCACAAGTAATTGCTACCTTGAAATAAGCTAAAAAAAATTAAGGTTTTTATGAGAGTCCATTAGTTCTCATTTTAATATTTAGCACATGTTGTAAGAAACATTAGTAAAGTTTATTAATAAGATTCTAAATGAAGTCAAAGAGAATGTAAAGTGTTTTGTAGATCACAGGTTTTATGGTGACAATATGCCCACTGTGACAAGGTCATGCTGGGGAGAGGCTGGAGAAATGAGCTCATATTCTTGCTCTGCCATCTATTAGATATGTGACTCTAGGTAAGTTATACAAATTCTAAAGGTTTTTTATTTGTATTATGGCCATATTCCTAGTATTTCACCTCATAATGTTGTTTTGAGAATCAAATTATCTGAGATGATATTCATATATCACTTGACTGAATAAATTGGAAATCCTCAGTTCATTTTACCATTTTTATTGAGAAATAGTAGCTATATTGCAGAAGGCATACATTTTTTTATTAACATTAAAAGCCATTAAATAATTTCCTCATTTCAACTATTTGCCAAAAACTTATTTTATTAAAGTGAGAGAGATATTAGGGATTTTACTATGTACCTATAAACAGGAATTTATCACACTTGAAAAATCGTCCCAAGATTTTTAGACAAGTGGTGCTTTATAAGACAAATATTTACAAAATATAGTATAATCACTTTTGTTAAATTTCCTAGAAGTCATAGAAGATAATAATGTAAGCATATATTAATATATCAAACTAAAAATAAGCTTAAGAGTGATCTAGTACCTTAAAAATGAAATTAATGAGAATTGAAAGTAAGGCCCTAAATCTGTTAAAATTATATTTGAACTAAACAAAATTAACCTAATTTCTTGTTCCAGGAAATCTTTGCTCCTGGAATCTAAACAGCTTGCTTACTTAGGCTCACTTCAAAATTCTTATTTTGCCATCCACACCAATACAAAGCTATCGTGTTGTGAACTCTGCTCAGTCTCAACCATTTCTCTTCTTACAAGACTTGTCTTAAAATTATTCAGCCCAGACCCTAAACTCGTTAAAATGGGAAACTAAGGCACAATATTTAAGACAATAATAACCCCAAGTAGTTTACCCATTTGTTGCAGTAGTTCTAATAAATTTAGCTTTACTTCATCAATAAATTTTTCTAGTGGACTTCTGGGGAGATGACAGTTAACATCAAGTTTTAAGAGGGTAATCTCTTACAATATTTAGAGAGACAAAATAGGAAGGAGTACCAGATACCTGCTTGATGGTAAAGGTAAAGTGTTCTTTCCACGGATACACAGATAAATCCGAATGTGTACAGAGGAAGCTAAATAAACTGACATGCTTTGAACCAGGCATTGTGTGCCATTCGAAGCACTCCAGTGGATTGCTATAGTGCATGCAAGTCAGGAGACAGATACAGATTGTGCATCAGTAGGAAATACAATGCCACGTTAGGGGATTGTATATATCCAGTGGCGATCATTAGAACTTTCCCCATCCTTTTGAAATTGGAAAAAGAGCAAAATTCAATTAATGATATTATATGCTAAAATACACTGACAACAATTCAAGCTACATTTGGACCTTCTTAGAAAAGCTGTTGATAAGATAGATTGGCATTCCTGGGTCATTATTGGTCCCTTTATTTCTTGAACAGTTCTTCTCTGAACAGCATTTGGCTGTCTCCCAAGAGCATACAGAACATTCTTAAACTATCTTGGCTTCCACATCTAAGAAATTGAAACGGTACTGACAATCTTACTGTGGTTTAAGAAAACTGGAAACAGAATTGTGATAATAATTTTTTTAAAAGCAAATTTTTACTTTCTGGATGGGATTCTCACTTTTGGGATCAGGGTATGATCACTCTGGGCAAGGGTTCTGGAAAATTATTCTGAAGAGTGATTTACCAAATTGAATCTTTTGGCTGGAGATGGAATGTTCCTCTAAATGTAAATAATTTGCTAGTTCTTCAACAGGAGAATGAATCCTTGAGGTCACTAGGTGTGGGTTCAGTGAGGAAGGGAAGGTCAGAGAAGGAACAGTGTCACCATGCAGTGCTGCAATGCGTGTTAACTAGAACCATTATAATTTCACCTGCAGAGTAGAGTACTTCTAACTGTACCCTCCTCACATAAAACTATTTTCTCAGGTCGTATATCTGAAATAACTCATTAACAGAAAAAATTGGCACATTCCATTTCCCCAACCTGATGTTAGATGGGACTACCTACATGAATGTATGAGTTTTGTATTACAAATTCACTCGAAAGCATTTACTGAATGACTATTAGATTCCAGGTATTATGCTCATCCTTACAGTGTTGGCATTTAATATTCCAATATAAAAGTGGATTTCAACAAATATTATAGCAACTCATCATTTTATTTTGTTTATCTCTGGGAAGCTGCTACATCAAAAGCCTTGTCTTTATTAAAATGTAAATCAAAAGATGCTATTCTTTCTGTTTATACAAAGGTTACTGTGTTTCTATCAAATTCAGATGAAAGTATCAGATGCTTGGCTTTCCAAAGAGAGATTAGAACTCTTATTTGGTGAGGATTAGTAATTCTACCTCCTGTACCATTCGGCAGCCATCCTCCCACCCTTTGATCACAATACTAATTCATCATAGATCCATGCCTCATAATGATCCATCTGTCTAGATTTCCTCATCAGTAGTTGTTAAAATTAGGCAAGGATTTGTTGGTTGGTTATTTTTGTTCACAGCCACATTAATGCAAGCCCTGAAGTAATCAGTTTGTATTATGTGGCCTTTCATGCAGGGTGCACAGATTTGCAGCTTGTTTGGTTTATCTAGGCTCATGCTTGTGAGGCAGCTGTTAGGCATTTAGTTAATAAAATCCTCTTCCTCTGGGAAATTGTGCTTTGTCCATTCACAGGGAGACACATGTAGCCTACAGTTTAACATTGGAAGCATCTTAAATCACTCTTAAAAAAAATGAAGATGGCTCCAGAATTTTAGTAGACAGGGAACCTAAAACTAGCAGACTAATTCAAGCATGACATAATGTGGTCACTGTGTTTATTTTAATTTTCTTGAAGGGGGTGAGTTAACACTTATATTTTTTAGCTAAATCACATTGACTTCAAGTGTTAGTAAGTAAATTATCTTCAAATGTACTTAAACTATTCAGTCTCTAACCCATCTTCTGTTCAGTGCTTTTGTTTGACTTTTTTTTTTTTTTTTTTGGTCTTATCTCTTTTTTTCAAATATTGAAGAAATGAAAATATGTGAGATTAAACCTTTCTCATTTGATTGTGTTCCTACCAAAAGATCATATCAATGAAAACTCATTCACATACCTCATTAAAATTCAGTCCCTAGATGAGCAAATTTAATTGGCATGAAGTCGAGATACATAATTATTTAAATTATGAACATTTCTAGAAACAGGAGATTATGATGAAAGGCATCTATTTACATTGCATCACTTCATTGTACTGGAAGTTACAATAAAAACAAACACTGTACATTGCTGCTGAAAAGGAAGTGAAATATAAAATTATGAATGTGCAGCATCTTAAGAAAGAGTTTTACTTGAAATATTCTAAATACCCCTCGGTTTATTTTTATTAAAAAGCCACTTCATTATCTGAAAGATAAAGTCTTTATTTTACCAAGAGTTCATTTCAAATCCAACAATGTTGTGGTAAATTACTTTGATGTTTAGCCAAGACAGATTTGGACACTAAAAAAATGGCAAAAAAATTCAGTAAAAAAAAAAAAATCCAAAATTAGTATGTGTGCAAATACCACAAGCACGAGGAAAAGTTTGTGACTTGGTTAATATAAGTCACCAAAAATATATTCAATAGAAATCCAGAGTGTAAAAATTATTTTAAGAATGAGTAGAAATAGAAAAAAAAAAGAGTTGGATTTTTTTAACACCTTACATACTTCTCTGTGATTCAATTCACATGGCATGTTTTCCTTACTGCTCAGAAACTCTAGGTGCGTTACTTGACGGTACTGAGGTTATCTGGGATTAGATACATATTTTTAGAATCTCAGAAAAAGAGCTTATATTTCATTAAAATTCTGTATACTACAGAACTGCTGACACTATGATTCTCATTTCCCCAAAAGCACCTTGGGTTGAGTTTATTTTTCTTTAAGATTAGTATTATTATTATTGCAGGTATTTGCCTGTTCAAGACAATGTAAATAGAATTGTAAGCATGAACCATTTAATAGCATTGTGTTACTTTGGAAGTACTATCATGCCTCTTTTTAATGTAGATGTATCTCATTTCAATTCTTTTAATGTTCTAGTTTTAACTTATTTTTTCTGTTACAAGGTAAAATAAGTAAATGTGTTTCTTTGCAAATATTGCCTGTATTGATGCTTTGTATTAGTGTTTACGGTAAAGCATCTGGTTCATTCAAGAGAGCTTGAACTACCCCTTACCACCCCCAACCCATACACAAAGAAAAAAAACAAAAACAACAAAGTGCTTTATATCCCAGTACAAAACCAATAAGTAGGTCAATTGCACATAGCATTAGGAAGGTAGAATATCAAGGGTAGGTTGGAAATCAAGGACTTATTTAGAAATTAGTCAAAAAGCAAAGACACCTCATACCTTTGATGGGATTCAAGGCAAACTGAGGGCTAGTTGGAAAATTTTTGTCCCTAGTGAAAGAACTTTACCAAACACGGCAAAAATAACTCAGAATGAGGTTTTCTAGCTGAGACTACCATGGCTATGGCTCTTATTACACTGGCCAGTGGCAACTAAAAAGCTAAAATGGTTTCATCAAATTCCAGTGTAAAAGCAGAAAAGGTGACTAATAACAGCCAGGTATGCACTAGGTTTTGTTTTAAAAGATATATGTCAAATCTTGTACTCCAAAATGAAAAAGGACTCCTTCTTAAATGTTCATGAATATTGAAGGTATATTAGGGTACATTAAAAGCATAATGTATATCACAAGGTAAAAACTCTATAGGTCATATTTTGTTAATCACAATGCAACAAAACTGGAAATATATAATTAAAATAAAGAGAAAATTGGAATATTCAAAAGTAATAAAGCTTTTCTAGATAGATTTTGTCAATTTAAATAACAAATATCATGTATACTTTTTTCTGGTATTTGAATCTTATTTTACTATTTAATTTTGTTCTTCAAACTAACCCTCCACATTACTGATTTGATTTTCTGTTGGGTTGATCATCTGCTTTACTGATTCTAATGCATATTTTAACTTTTACACTTATGTCTAAAATATAATCTGCACCCAATTAATACTTTAGAGAGAGTATAAGCAAAAAGAACAACAAAAATCCACATATTTCTATACCCCAAAGTCACTATTTTAACCACAAATAATATACTTGTATATAGTCGATTACATATGCTTTGGCATAAATTTTTCTAGTATAGCCTATAAGCGAAGTGCTTTGTAACTGTATTTTTAACACTGTACTGTCAGTCTGTTCAAGTAAACATTCTCTACAAAAGACACTTGAATTAATTCATACTAAATTTTGGAAAAGGTCTGCCACAATTTACCCATTCCTTATTGTTTGATATTTGGGCTATTTTTAAACAATCAGTACAATAAACGAAAGCACTGTAATAGGTAACTTTATTTGCCAAATATTCCTAGAAGAGACTTTTGTGTGTAAAAGGAAACTTAGCTTTAGATCTCAATTAACATTGACGAATTACCCTATGGAAAGATATACCAATTTCCAATCCCATTCTGTATGTCGATTAGCGTTAGCTCCCCCACACTCCCACTGCTGCTGGTTGTTATCATGTTCTCTGCTGATTTAGTAGATGAAAAATCACATATTTTAAAATTTGTCTATTTTGCTAATTAGTTTGAAGGGAAGAAAGAGAATCCATTAAATAGAGTCCATTAAAGAATTATTATCCCTAAAATGGAGAAGACACAAGATATTTTGGAGAAACAAAATCGTGGAAGTCTGGCCTGGTGCGGTGGCTCATGGCTGTAATCCCACCACTTTGGGAGGCCGAGGTGGACGGATCACTTGAGGTCAGGAGTTTGAGGCCAGCCTGGCCAACACGGTGAAACCTGGTCTCTGCTAAAAATACAGAAATTAGCTGGATGTGGTGCGGCACTCCTGTAATCCCAGCTACTCAGAAAGCCGAGGCAAGAGAATCGCTTGAACTCAGGAGGGAGAGGTTGCAGTGAGCTGAGATCGGGCCATTGCACTCCAGCCTGGGCAACAGAGTGATACTCCGTCTCCAAAAAAACACCTTAAGGGTCTACCATTTCTAGAGAGAATGGTGGTGCTTCTGATAAAGATGAAGGACTTGTATCAAGTGGAAAGCATTAGAATAGAGACCTACTGGTCTCATATGCTATGACATGAAAAGATTGTTCTTTAAGAGTTTCATGTACTGAAGCTGTGCTTTGGTTGACTATAAACTCTCAGCTTTCTGCTTCACGTTATAGAGTTTTAAAGTCATATACACAGGAACAGAAAAAAATTTGTCATGGATTCTTTTTATACTTTATTGGGAAAAAAATCATTAAAAACCATTCAACCATTCATTCAGTATCTTTACAAGTCATATCTGTACCCTCAGTGGCTAAGTGGAGTCTCTTGACTCAGAGCTATGCTTTTTCTTTTTTCCACTATATCCATTGGTGTATGTTCAGTATATCATCAATTTAACAC
This sequence comes from Homo sapiens, assembly GCF_000001405.40. Lineage (NCBI taxonomy): Eukaryota > Metazoa > Chordata > Mammalia > Primates > Hominidae > Homo > Homo sapiens. The sequence continues at coordinate 21,917,868 of NC_000003.12, forward strand.
TCTAGTCAGTCATTAAGCAAAATATATACTGCATGCAAACTAGGAACTTAAAGTATACTTCGTAAGTGTAGAGGACCCACAGATATAAAATACTTGCTATGTAACATATAAATTTATCAAGTTACATGAGAGCTAATCTGAATTGATTGCTCAGGGAGGACTTTTGTGCTTTGACTTAGAGATGGAGCAGAGTTTTGCAAGCTGGAATATTCGAGAATGCTTCTCAATGTGTTTTAATAAGCTGAGAATACACTAGGCACTAAATCAATGTTTAGCCAAATTTTAAACAGTGGAAAAATTTAGCAATGGGGAATATGATTGAAAAGCAAAAATGAAAATCTGCGTGCTATATGGTCTATGCTCAGACAGTGGATGAGTCTTAGGGCAGGCCTTTCCTAATTAAGTGTGTAAACAGAAAAGTGAGAGGCCAAAACAATGACAGGAAACAAAAGAAATGAACAATCCAAGATTTATTAATACTCCACTTTAAAGTGGAAGAAGTTACTATCATTGTTGTTATTTGGATTTTCTATCTGAAAATAGAGCAAGTAAAAGTAGGGACTTTTAAGTGAAGAGTTTGTAATTCTAAAATTGTCTTTCTTGATACTTCAGATAATTTTTGGGTGGTTCACCTGAATGATATATTTTCATTACTCAAATTGGATTATATGTGAAATGCTCATAATTTTCACATTAATAATCATGTCAATAGTTTTAGTGAACAGCATACATGAGAGGAAAAGTGAAATAATAGCAGAGGGTATTACATGGTCTGTGGTTTAAGAAACAACAATAAATTATTCATTACTTTTGACATTATTCTTCTTTGTCTTTATTCCAATATCACTTTATAATTCTATAACATGGTGTTTGTCTTTTTATTGGCAGAAGTGTGCAGTGTTTAAGTCACTTTATCTTCCTATTTTTAATCATTTTAGTTAAATTTTCAGAATGAAATGACTTCTTGACAGCGAGATCTCGTGATTTTAATCAATGTCTTTATCTTCTGACTCATCCTTTGTTACTCATTAGCTTCAAGGTTATATTTCAAATGCTTGCCCTAGATCCCAACTTCTAAGAGAAAATATTCAAATCCTTTCTACTTTTGTCAAACACAGACAGCCTTAATTTAAAATCTCTTTACTTGCTATCAGATTGTTTCATAATGCATTAAATAGTATCGTGGACATGGTCTTCTCTAATAACATTTGTTTGAAGAGTTGTCTCTTGTATCTTTCTCTGATAGTGTTATTATAAATATTGCCAAAGGATTTACAGAATGTTGAAGGACAATGTTAATATTCAGTCTTCATTCATCCATTCATTCATCCATTCATTCACCACACAAGTACTATGGTCAACCATATATCAGGAACTGAGCTTGGCACTAGGAGTTCAAAGATGTAAAATACATGTTGCCTGGCATCAGGGAGTTTGACATTTCATTTTGGCTGCAAACACAATGACAATTATAATGCACTTTGAAAGCTGCCTGCCTTTCTAGGATGGAATGTTCTATATTTTGATATTGTTGTGAGCTATAACGATGTAGGCATTTACCAATAGTCACTGAACTGTGCACTTAAGACCCGTGTATTTCACTATATGTAAATCATATCTCAATTCAAAAAAGGTAAGCAAAACAAGTAGTGGGAGACAGACTGTGAGCAGAGAAGTTTGGGAACAGTTTCTTGCCACAGCCACATTTCCACTTCAAGAGAGCATGATTCACATGCATATTAAAAGCTCTGATAATTGCTGCAGGCAGACTAGAATTAGCTTTGTTTAACTCAGTATTCACTAAATTTAACCATATAATTCCCCTTTGTCTTTTCACAGTTGCTCATACTACCATCCTGCAGAACCAGCATTCTTCAGAACACACTTAGGACAATGCCAAATTCAAATATTTTTAAGAAACTTTTCTAGCATCTTCCATTTTGATATTATTAAGTACAAAATGTAGAACTGAATAACTTTTCTGAATAACTTTGAATAACTCTGAATAACTTTTCCAAAGTGTCTCTGCCACATTTCTAGACAAAGACTTTCGTGTGCCTTACTCTAAGCTCCCTCTATAAGCATTTTCTAAATACCATAAGAATAACAATCTCCTATTGGAATCATCATCACATTGCATTGAAATCATTTCCAGGGGTTGAGAAAATATGTTCTGAGAGTCAAATCTAGCCAAAGTATATTTTGGTATAGTGGTTTTTAAATTTTTAAATGGTTAAAAGGAAACAAACAAAGAAGAATATGCAACAGAGACTATAGGTGTCCCCCAAAGATTAAACTATGTACCATCTGGCCATTTAGAGAAAGTATACTGACCCCTGATTTATGGGACTCTGTCTCCACAGATTTTAGCTTTTTGAGAGAGATATTGTGACTTAACACTATGACCAGGGCCTGACAGACGCAGTGCTTCAAACACAGTTGTGTATGATAAATATTTTTGAAGGAAAAAAAATTAAAAATTGCTTGCTGTAACTCCAGGGATTTGGGGTCATTGTTACAGCTGTGACATTTTGAATATGTTACATTTTATTTATTTGTTGCACTTAATGTACAGATATTACAGACAGAAATATTAGTAGGTTTTTTTTAGGTTTGGGTTTCAAGAGACTTCAGAGCTTACAGATAGAAAGCTGTGAGTCATTAACATAGGCTTAAGCAAGCCCTGAAAGTGACTGAGATCATTCTGGAAGAATGCATTTAGTGATAAGAAGAGGGTTGATGATGATACAATGCCAAAAAAAAAAAAAAAAGATGAAATGGAAATTCTTTTCCTTCATGCTCTAGGATACTATAATTTTGTGGGGTGAAGTAAAGTAAATATAATTGATGAAGTTAGGCAACTCTCCCCACACTGGCGCTCTTAAAACTAAAGTCAAGAAAATGAGAAATTTGAGGAAGTTGGAGTTATTTCCCTGTTATGACAACAATCTTGCAGACTGATCTGTAACACTGCTTGATGATTAACTTCAATACATGCAAACTTTACAAAATACATTAAAATATGAACATTTAAAATTTGAACTCATTTAAGAAAAACAAACACTGGGTAAGGCGCAGTGGCTCATGCTTGTAATCCCAGCACTCTGGGAGGCTGAGGCGGGCGGATCATGAGGTCAGGAGATGGAGACCATCCTGGCTAACACAGTGAAACCCCATCTCTACTAAAAATACAAAAAGAAAAAAAAAATAGCCGGCGTGATGGCGGGCGCCTGTAGTCCCAGCTACTCGGGAGGCTGAGGCAGGAGAATGGTGTGAACCCGGGAGGCGGAGTTTGCAGTGAGCCGAGATCGCGCCACCGCACTCCAGCCTGGGCGACAGAGCGAGACTCCATCTCAAAAAAAAAAAAAAAAAAAAATACTGAAGAACGAAGCATCAAATAAATGGCATATTTAACCACACTCCTCACTCCCCCAAATCACGTAACACTTGGAGTATGTATTTGCATTATCAGTAATATGCAATCATTAACTATAGAAATTGATGCTATTCTTAGAGGATGCCAAATGTATTAAGAGGTATATAATCCATTTGTTCGTGCACCTATGACAAGATATGTCACATTACTTAAAGACAAAAGACAGAGGTCCTTAAATCTTGTATTTCTTTATTTTTCATATGCCCAGAAGTAAATCTTATGATATCAAAGCAATCAATAGAATCTATGTTTATTCCTCTTTTAAAAAAGGCAGGATTTTTTATTTACCAGGATTATGAAAATGCAGTAGATGGAGAAAACACCTAAAAAAAGAGACATAAATATGTACAAAATAAGAAGCCAAGAATATATGTCTTCAAAAGATTGCCTCAGAGATGATTGTGAATACCTCTACGCTCACAAACTAGAAAATCTATAGAAAATAGATAAATTTCTGGAAACACAATCTCCCAAGATTGAATCAAGAAGAATTTGAAACCCTGAACAGACCAGCAAGTTTTGAAACTGAATCAGTAATGAAAAAAAAAAAAGACCCTACCAACCAAAAGATGCCCTAGAACAGATAGATTCACAGCCAAATTCTACAAGACATACGAAGAAGAGATGGTGCCAATCCTACTGAAACTATTTCAAAAAATTGAGGAGGAAGCACTTCTTCCTAACTCATGTTATGAAGGCACCATCACCATGATAACAAAACCTGCCAAAGACACAACGAGAAAAGAAAATGACAGGTCAATATTCCTGATGAACCAAGGGGGTGAAAGATCTCTACAAGGAGGAATACAAAACACTGCTAAAAGAAATCATAGATAACATGACAAATGGAAAAATAGTCCATGCTCATGAACTGGAAGAATCAATATATTTAAAATGGCCATACTGCCCAAAGCAATCTACAGATTCACTGCTATTCCTATCAAGCTACCAACACCATTTTTCACAGAATTAGAAAAAAAATTTTATAAAAATCATGTAGAACTAAAAAAGAGCCGTAACAGAAAAAGCACTCATAAGCAAAAAAGAATAAAGCTAGAGGCATCACATTGCCCAAATTCAAACTATACTATAAAGCTACAACAACCAAAATTTCATGGTACTGGTACAAAAGCAGATACATATACCAATGGAACAGAATAGACAACCCAGAAATAGAGTCACACACGTACAGCCATCTGATCTTTGACAAAGTCAACAAAAATAAGCAATGAGGAAAGGACTCCTATTCAATAAATTGTGTTGAGAAGGCTAGCTAGTCATAGGCAGAAGAATAAAACTGGACCCCTTCCTTTTACCACACATGAAAGTTATCTCAAGAAGAACTAAAGATTTAAATGTAAGACCTCAAACCATAAGAATCCGAGAAGAAAACCTAGGAAACACCATCCAGGACATCTGCTGTGGGAAGGAATTTATGGCTAAGTCTTCAAAAACAATTACAGGAAGAACAAAAATTGACAAGTGAGACCCAATTAAACAAAAGGGCTTCCACACAGCAAAAGAAATAATCAATAAATAGACAACCTACAGAATGGGAGAAAATATTCACAAGCTACACATCTGACCAAGGTCTAATATGGAATCTATAGGGAACTTCAATAGCTGAACAAACAAAAAACAAATTGCCCTGTTTGAAAAATGGGCAAAAGACATGAACATACACTTCTCAAAAGAGGACATACAAGTGGCCAACAAACATGAAAAAATGCTTCACATTTTTTTATTATACTTTAAGTTTTAGGGTACATGTGCACAACATGCAGGTTTGTTACATATGTACACATGTGCCATGTTGGTGTGCTACACCCATTAACTCGTGATTTACATTAGGTATATCTCCTAATGCTATCCCTCCCCCATCCCCCCACCCCACAACAGGCCCTGGTGTGTGATGTTCCCCTTCCTGTGTCCAAGTGTTCTCATTGTTCAATTCTGCTCCACATTATTAATCATCAGAGAAATGCAAATCAAAACCACAATGAGATACCATCTCACACTACTAAGAATGGCCATTATGAAAAAGTCAAAAAACAACGCATGCTGGAGAGGCTGGAAAGAAAAGTGAATGTTTATACACTGTTGATAGAAATGTAAATTAGTTCAGCCACTGGGGAAAGCAGTTTGGAGATTTCCCACCAAACTTAAAACAGAACTACTATTTGACCAGCAATCCCATTACTGCATATAGAATCAAAAGAAAACAAATCATTCTATCAAAAACACACATGCACTTGCATGTTCCTCATGGCACTATTTACAATACCAAAGATATGGAATCAACCTAGGTGTTTATCAGTGGTGGACTGGATAAAAATATGTGATACATACACAACATGGAATACTATGCAGCCATAAAAAAGAACAAAATTATGTTCTTTGCAGCAACATGGATGCAGTTGGAGTCCATTATCATAAGGAAGTTAATGCAGGAACAGAAAACCAAATACCATAAGTTCTCACCTATAAGTGGAAGCATTGGGTATTCATGGACATAAACTGGGGACTACTAGAAGGGGGAGGGAGGGGAGGAAATGGTTAATAAACTAACTCTTGAGTTAACCTCAGTATCACATAATGTGCCCATGTAACAAACCTGCACGTGTACCTCCTGAATTTAAAATAAAAGTTGAAACGAAAATCCTGGAATAAAATAAAGTAAAATGTGAATGCTGAAAACTTAAAACAATATATTTATGCCTCAAAATTACCAAAATTATCCTCTTATTTGTGGTAAAAGCCAGAGCACATAATCAATGAGATAATAAAATAGCTCAATCAACTACAGAAATAAACAATTTATGCATTAAAAAAGTAAGTAGTAACTTCTGCTTCCTGGAAAATGGAACAGATGTATATTTCCCTATTTCTACCACTAAATTCTGAAAACCCTGGACATTATATATAATACAAACATAAAAACACTCTTAAAGGTGAAGAGAAGAAGGCAAATTCACAAGGTATTGTAAAATCCAAGGAATAATACAGTAGTTAGCTTCCTGAGTTTTTTTTGTCATTTCTCCCAGACTTAAGGCTGAAAAAGCCAGCTCCCAAAGACATCAAAGAGTGCAGATGAAAAAAGCCCTAACAAAATCCTGCCCTCTTTAGTCAAGGGACAGAAGAGGGGCAACCTAGTATCACAGAAAACTTTTAGACAGTAACTGCTCAACCCCAGTGAAACACCCTCAAAAAATTGTGGCCCCAACACCATCCATGCCACAAAAGGCTGTATATGGATCCTAGGTTTCAACCTCTCTAATCTATTACAAGCAATCCTTGTCTCCTGTACCCTTTACTCTTCAAGATAGTGTCAGAGAAAGCCAAATGGGGAGCTGGGACATTCATCTCTATCCAGGGAGTAATAAGGCCCTACCTCCATAGTGTTAGTGGAGACAAGTGGGGGCAGTAATAAGAAACTCATTGCTCTCAGCCAAGGTATTCTGTAGAGAGGCATAGTAAGGAGCCAGAACTCCCCCTCCCACACAAAATTAAAAAGGAGTCTCTCCTTACTTAGGTGGTCAACTGAGGCCCATTGGGAAACCTGGACTTCTACCCTACCTGGCAGTAAGAAAGTGGTGCCCTCCTTCTCCTGCTACAGTAGTGTCAGAGGAAGCCAGCTAATTCTAACAAGACATATACAGGACTTGACTACTAAAACTAAAAACTGCAAAACAATGATAAAAAAAGAGAAAAATAAGTGGAGGTACATACCATGTTCATGGTTTGGAAGAACACAGTAAGGATGCCAATTCTGCCAAAATTGATATACAGATTTAATCCAATTGCTAAGAAAATCTTAGCAAGACTTTTATAGGTATACATACAATTATTTTGAAATATATATGGAAGGCAAAGTAGGTAGAATAGCTAAAATAATTTTGAAAAAGAAAAAGTGGGAGGAACAGGTTTACTCAATTTCAAGACTTTCTATATAGCTATGACAACCAAGGTTGTTTGGTATTGGCAGAAGGATGGCCACACAGATCAATGAAGCTGAATCCACAGACAGACCCACACAAACATGCCTAACCAATTTTTAACAAAGATGCAAAATTCATTGAAGAACAACTGCTGAAACAAATAGGCAGGTATACACAAAAACATGTTTAGCTTCAATATAAATCTAACACCTTATACAAAAATTAGCTCAAAATGAAACATGGATTTAAATGCATAATTCAAAATTACACAACTTTTATAAAAATAGAAAACAATGGAGAAAAGTTTATACATCTAGAACTAGTCAGAGTTCTTGAGACTTGACCCAAAAAGGATAATCCATAAAAGGAAAAAAAAGATAAATTGGACTTCATCAAACCTACAAGTAGTTACTTTCCGAAAGGCCTGTAAAGATGTTGAGTGGATAACCTACAGACTCTGAGAAAATATTTACAAACCAGATGTCCAAAAATGATTAGTATCTAGAATATATAGTCCAATGAACTTTCAAAACTTGACAGTAAAAAAAACCCAAGCAATCCAATTAGAAATAGGCAAAAGACCAAAAAACACCTTGCCAAAATGATATACAGATGACAAATACACAAATGAAAAGGCATTTAGCATCATTAGTCATCTGAGAAACACAAATTAATACCACACTGAGCTATTACTATGTAACTATCAGAATGGCTAAGTAAAAAAATAGTGATAACAACAAATATTAGTAAAGATGCAGAAAATCTGGATCACTTATACGTGGATAGTCGGAATGTAAAATAATATAGCCACTCTGAAAACTTTTGGAAATTTTTAATTGAACTAAACATGCAATTAATGTAAAACCCTTGATGCAGTTTGGATATTTGCCCTCTCCAATTTTTTTTTTTATACTTTAAGTTCTGGAGTACATGTGCAGATTTTGCAGGTTTGTTACATAGGTATATATGTGCCACAGTGGTTTGCTGCTCCCATAAACCTGTCATCTTCATTAGGTATTTCTCCTAATGCTATCCCTCCCCTAGTCCCTCATCCCTGACAGGACCCAGTGTGTGATGCTCCCCTCCCTGTGTCCATGTGTTCTCATTGTTCAACTCCCACTTATGAGTGAGAACATGCAGTGTTTGGTTTTCTGTTCTTGTGTTTAGTTTCCTGAGAATGATGGTTTCCAGCTTAATCCATGTCCCTGCAAAGGACACGAACTCATCCTTTTTTATGGCTGCATAGTATTCCATGGTGTATATGTGCCACATTTTCTTTATCCAGTCTATCATTGATGGCCATTTGGGTTGGTTCCAAGTCTTTGCTATTGTGAACAGTGCTGCAATAAACACACGTGTGCATGTGTCTTTATAGATTGCTTCCTTACACCTTATACAAAAATTAACTCAAGATGGATTAAAGACTTAAATGTAAGACCTAAAACCATAAAAACCTCAGAAGAAAACCTAGGCAATACCATTCAGGGCATAGGCATGGGCAAAGACTTCATGACTAAAACACCAAAAGCAATGGCAACAAAAACCAAAATAGACAAATGGGATCTAATTAAACTAAAGAACTTCTGCACAGCAAAAGAAAATTTCATCAGAGTGAAAAGGCAATCTACAGAATGGGAGAAAATTTTTGCAGTCTATCCCTCTGACAAAGGGCTAATATCCAGAATCTACAAAGAACTGTCCTCTCCAAATTTTATGTTGAAATTTGATCTCCAATATTGAAGGTAGGGTCTAGTGGGAGGTGTTTGGGTAATGAGGACAGATCACTCCTGAATGGCTTAGTGTCATCTTTGCAGTAATGAGGGAGTTCTCCCTCTATTAGGTCCCATGATAGCTTATTGTTTAAGAATCTGACACCTCCCTCCCCTCTGTCTCCTTTCACTGTCTTGCCCTGTAATGCCTGTTTCCTTTCTCCTTTAGCCATGGATAGAAGCTCCCTGAAGTCCTCACCAGAAGCAAGTGTTGGTACCATGCTTCTTGTATAGCTTGCAGAACCATGAGCCAAATAAATCTCTTTTTTTTTAATATATAAATTACCCAGCCTCAGGTATTCCTTTATAACAAGGCAAAATGGACTAAGAAAATCGTGCATTGCAATTCTGATTATTTATTTTGGAGAAATGGAAAGTTAGGTTCACATAAAAATCTGTGTGCAACAGTTCTTGGCAGCTTTATTTATAATAAGTGAAAACAACTCGTATGTTCTTCAACTGGTAAATGATTAAATAAATGATAGCATATTCACATCATGGAACAATACTCAGTATTAAAACGAAACAAAAAGAGATTGCTGGGCTGAATTTTTAAAGTTGAACTATATCCTCTCATAGAAGACAAACTTTAGATTTAAAAACACAAATATGTTTAAAATAAGTTTAAGCAAAGGTTTGCTATGCACAATGTAAACATAATAGAGCTAGAGTGAATATTCTGATATCAGACAAAATAGACTTCAAGACAAAAATGTTACTAGAGACAGTGATGTTTATAATAAACTAGGGGACATTTTATTAGGGAGCTACACATTTACAAACACATATTCATCTAACAATAGAGCTCCAAAGAATTCAAGGTACAAATGAGCGATTCAATGACAATAGTTGCAGACATCAATATACCACTCTCGATAACAGCACAACTAGACAGAAAATCAGTAAGGAGATAGAATACTGAAATCACATTGGCTAGACATGGTGGCTTGTGCCTGAAATCCCAATATTTTGGGAGGCTGAGGCAGGAAGTTCACTTGAGCACAGGAGATCAAGACCACCCCAGGCAACAGAGCAAGACTCGATAAATATTAAAAATAAAAAAGTTAGCCGGCTGTGGTGGTGTGTGCCTGTACTCCCAGCTAGTGGGGAAGCTAAGATGAGGCCAGGTGTTCACAGTTGTAGTGTGCTATCTTCACATGACTGCACTACAGCCTAGGTGAGAAGTAAGAGCATAGGAAGGAAAGAAGGATGGACGGACGGACAGACGGAAGGAAGAAAGGAAGGAAGAAGGAAGGAAGGAAGGAAGAGAGGAAGGAAGGAAGGAGGGAGGAAGGAAGGTAGGAGGGAGGAAGGAAGGAAGGAGGGAGGGAGGGAGGGACGAAGGAAGGAAGGAAAGGAAAGGAAAGCAAAGGAAGAAAGATGAAAAGAAGGAAAGAAGAAAGGGATGCAGGGAGGGAGAGAGGGAAAGAGGGAGAGAGCGAAGGAATCACATTATCACCAGCTGGACTTAAATGACATCTATAGAACTCTCCACTGAGCAACCGCAGAATGTACATATTTTGCAGTTGCATGTGGAACATATTTCATAATTTGTTATTTGAAAAGGTTAAAAAATAATAAGGCTTTAGCTATGTTAAAAAGGAAAATAGTGGGGAGATAGATTACCAAATTGAGGAATCAGAGGGGGACAGCAACACAAACTTCACAGAAATTTTAAAATAAAGAAACGTTATAACAGTATTATGCCAACACCTAGACATTTAGATAAAATGGACATATTCATAGTAAGACATAAATTTCTGAAAGTAACCCAAGAAGTAATAAGCAATCTGAATAAATCTATAACAACTAAGTTGATTTACTAATTAAAATTATTCACAGAGAAACACAGCCCCAGAGAGTTTTACCGTGAATTCTGTCAAACAATTTAAAAGGAAATAATACCAATCCTATGCAAACTCTTCAAGGAAACAGAGAAGGTGAGAACATTTAACAACTCATTTTAAGAGGCTACAATTTCCACAATGCTAAGGCCAAACAAATGTATCAGTAGAAAAGAAAGCTATAATTCAATATCTCTCATAAATATAGATGCAAGATCCCCAACAAAATGCTATCAAACCAATCCAACAACATATAAATAGGATTATATATCATAGCCAAATTGGATATAGTGTTGGAATGCAAGGTTGGATTATACCCAGAAATAAACTAATATAATATACCATATCAATAAAATAAAGAACGAAAACCACATGATTCTTTAGATGCAGCATTTGACAAAATATTATACTCATTTATCATAAAACTCTCAACAAACTAGGGATTAAAAAAAGAACTTTCTCAAACTAATAAAGGGCATCTATAAAAAACCTATTGCCAATATTGCACATAATAATAAAAATTGAATACTCTCACCCAAAGACTGGGAGCAAGGCATAGACAGCTGATCTTGCCAATTTTTATTTATTATTTACTGGAGATTCAAGCTGGTGCAATTAGGCCCAAAAAAGTGTTTGGATTATAAAGCAAAAAGTAAAATTGTTTGTATTTGTTGAAGAAATAATTATTTATGTAGAACATTCTAAAGAACCCACAAAAATGCTACTAGAAATAATAAACAAGTTCAGCAAGGAAGCAAGATAAATGATCAACATATAAAAAATCAATTGTATTTTTATATATTAGAAAGAAACATCTAAAAATAAAATTAAGAAAACAATTCCAGTCACAGCAGCATCAAAGGAGTAGAACACTGAGGAATAACTTTAACAAAAGAGGGGCAATATTTTTGTACTGAAAACTACAAATAATACTGTAAGAAATTAAAGATCTAAATAAATAGGGAGACATTCTGCGTTCACCATTTTGAAGGCTTAATTTATTAAGATGGCAATACTATCCCAAATTGATCTATAGATTTAATACATCCTTTATCAAAATCTCAGCTGGATTTCTGTAGAAATTGCCAAGCTTATCCTAAAATTCATATGGGAATACAAGGGACCCAGAATAGACAAAACAATATTGGTAACGAAGAATAAAGTACTCACACTTCTCAATTTCAAAACTTGCTACAAAGCTACAATAATCAAGACAAGTGGTACTAATATAAGGGCATATGTGCAGATCAGTGGAATGGAATTTGAGAGTCCAAAAATAAACCCATACTTTATGACAATTAGTTTTCAACAGGAATGCCAAGAAAGTTAAAGGGGTGAAAGAACAGTCTTTTCAGCAAATGATGCTTGAACTATAGGGTATCTACATGCAAAAGTAAAGTTGAACACTTTTTTTATACTGTACAAAAAAAAAAAAACTAGAAACGGATCATAGATTTAAACATAACAACCAAATCTAAAAAACCTTTGGAAGAATATATAAAAGAACTTATCATCTTAATTAGGCAATTGCTACTCAGCTAAGACACCAAAAACACAAGCAACAAAATAAAGAAATAGATACTCTGGACTTCACTCTAATTTCAAAAATTTGGGCTTCAAAGGAAGCCGTCAAGAAAGTGATAAGTATATAGAAATGCAAATGACTCAGAAAATCTAAAATAATTTTGAAATAAAATAAGAGAACTTATATTTATCAATTGTCAAAATTTTACTATAAAGCTACGATAATCAAGGTAGTATGACAATGGCATAAGGAAAGGCAGTGGACAGAACTAAGATGAGAAATTAATCCTTACACATGTGGTCAACTGATTTTTGACAATGAAGCCAAGGCAAGTCAGTGAGAGGAATGATAGTCTTCCCAACAAATTGTGCTAATAAGATGCCCATATGCAAAAACATAAATTTAGATCCTTATCTCACACCATACATATAAAATAACTAAAAACTTATTGAAGACCAACATGTAACAGATGAACTATGAGATATACAGGAGAAAAAAGAAAATCTTCAAGACCTTGGGTTACACAAAGATTTCTTATATATAACATTAAAAGCACAATCCATTTAAAAACTTATAAATTCAACTTCATCAAAATAAGAAACTTCTGTGCTTTAAAAAGGACCCTATGAAGACAATGAAATGCCAAGTCATATAAGGGAAAAATATACACAATTATATTTGATGAAGGACTAGTACCCAGAATATATAAAGAAATTTTTCAATCCAATAATAAAAAGACAAATAAAATTAAACATGGAGAAAGGATCTGATTGAAAAATATACAAATGTCTAATTAATAAGCACCTGAAGAATGCTCAGTATCTTTAGTAGTTAAGAAAATGCAAATTAAAATCACAATGATATATAATTTTTTTACCCACTAGGAATGCCTATAATAAAAAGGAAAGACAGTAACAAGTATTAGAGAGGATGAGGAGACACCAGAACTGCACACATAGGTGGTGACAACATAAAATGGTATGATCACCTCAGAAAATAATTTGGCAATTTCTGAAAATGTTAAAAATAAAATTACAGATGACCCAGCAGTTACATTCCTAGATATTTACTTAAATGAAAAACGTATGTCCACACAAAAATGTATTATTTATAATAACCAAAACTTTAAGCAATCCAGAATTTCCATCAACTGGTGAATGGGTAAGTACAAGACGGCATATTCGTAGAGTGGAACATGTCTCAGCAATAAACAAGAATATACCACGATATGGAAGCGTCCCCAACATACTATGCTATTGAGAGATGCTAGATGCAGATGGAAAACAGATAAATGGATGCCTTCGGCTGGGGTGAGACCAGGGATTGACTACAAGAGACAAGAGGGGTATTTGGGGGATGATAGATGTTCAAAACTAGATTGTTATAATGTTTATACAACTCTGTAAATGTATTAAAAGTCATTGGATTGTACACTTAAGTGAGTCAGTTTTATAATATGTAAATTTCAACTCAATAATGGTGTTAAGAAGTGTGACTTGAGGCCGGGCGCGGTGGCTCACACCTGTAATCCCAGCACTTTGGGATGCCAAGGTAGGCAGATCACGAGGTCATGAGATCAAGATCGAGACCATCCTGGCTAACACGGTGAAACCCCGTCTCTACTAAAAATACAAAAAATTAGCCGGGAGCGGTGGCGGGCACCTGTGGTCCCAGCTACTCGGGAGGCTGAGGCAGGAGAATGGTGTGAATCCTGGAGGCGGAGCTTGCAGTGAGCCGAGATAGCGCCCCTGCACTCCGGCCTGGGCGAAAGAGCAAGACTCATTCTCAAAAAAAAAAAAAAAAAAAAAAAAAAAAGTGTGACTTGATCAAGGCAAATATTAAGTGTAAGAAGCCCTTTGTGATATAGGAAACAGTAATCTAAATGATATCTTTACAACAAATATCATATTTAGCTGCCTTTGTAAATGTTCCTAAATCTAGAACTAAGGAAAAAAGATTCAAAACGCAATTAGTCAAAGCAAGTTTTCAGTATATAACGCAGCACTCTGATTGTGACTTAATATGGGGATAGATTTTTTTTTTAATTTTAAGTGATGCTCAACATTGCCTTCAGGCTATCTACCATAGGTACTGTTATCCCTCTACAGAGCTTTTGATTAAATATTGAATAGCAGTGAGTTTGATGTTATAATCCCTGACAAGTATCTGTAATGCAGTTACTTTATGTGGCTGATTACGTGGGGAGACAAAAGCTTTAACAATCAATTGAATTGGAGTCAGGATTATTTTCTTCTTAAGAAAGTTAAGGAGGTTAAAAAAACCCCACATGCTGGAATAGTAAGCCATCTCACTTTACTTCTTGACTTTATGGTTTCTCAAGCAGAATAGGTGAACAGATTCTAAAAAGCCAACCACTTCTGATCATATTTGTCCCAGAAAGTGCTACAGAATAAAAACAGCATAGAAACATTTTTACAAATATGCTTGTTCGTTTTCATAGCTATTTTCATGGTTAGAATTGATATTAACCATCACAATAATAATTAATTTGTGATTGTTACCTGGGCCTATCTTGAAGCATTTACTGAAATTGGCTACTGGGATAGGAGATCGCAAAGCTAGAGCAGGTGTATGGCTTTCTCCAAACCTGGCTGGCCAAACTTTCCCCCAGGGGATGTTGAAGTTCTGAACCCAAGAGAGACAGCGGAAAACTTCCTGAATCTTGGAGCTCTGGGCAGCTTCCTGTGCCATTTCCCTGTGTGGTGATGTTCTCCAGGACTTACAATAGAAAAACTCGTCTCAATTTGGAGAGCTATATATTTAAAGACCAATAAAATACACTTGATTCAATTTTTTTCCAAATAATATTTTATGTTGCTTTTTCTCTTTTCCCTCCACACCTGAATCTTCTCTAGATCTGTGAAATTAGGAGTTGCAAAGGTTCATCACAGCTTCTTTTGTTTCTCTGTCCCCAGAAGAAATTTCTCTGACTTTGAATAGATTTTGCTATTTGATCTATATACCTTAGTCTGTGGTACATTTGAAATCATGTAACTGTGAGCTAGTTTAAAATATTAATACATGAGACTATTGATGGTAATTTAAGAAGATACTAATACACAGAATTTGTCCCCATTTGTGAAAAAGGCCAATGCTTCATAGGCTATAATTACCTGAGCATCTCAGGACCAGGTCCCTAGATCTGCTTTGTACTATATGGGCCTAACATGATGGCATTTAGCATTAACATGGAAAGCAAAAATATAGCATTACTTTATATTTGAGAAAAGAATGAGAATCTATATTAATTTCTGTATACCATGACAAATACTAATAAATGGATCCTACCTAAATATGACTCTACCGTTGAGTCTTCATATAAATTAAATCTTATTGAGAAAGTCAAATTGTTTCAACTCAATTCAAAGATGCCTGAAAACAACAAAATCTAAACAACTTTTCTATCTCCTGGTTTCTTAATTATAGCATTTAAATTCTCTTAGGTTTTGTTTTCTCAAGTCCAAAAGGGAGTTAATTACACTTAAATCATAAGACTGCCAGGAACATTGGATCAGATAATGCATAAAAGGTACTTAGCAAAGTTGCCTGGTGCATTGTTGCCTCTCAATTAGTCACTATTATTTACATAGTAACTCACTGGTAATTAAAAAAAAAATCCTAACTTTGGCTAAAAAAAAAGTGCTGAAAAATGAAAATTTAGAAAGAAATCATTCTTTCAGTGTAAAAGAGAATCGAGCATGCTTTTCAGCCAAGGGAAAATAGTGATATTTAATAGGTCATAGAATACATTTTCTTTAGTTCTGAGAAGCAAATATTACCAGTTCTGTTGAATCTTACTTTGGAATTCAACTATTGTTTGAAACAACTATTGTTGAAGTATATTTTTTCTTTTTGGATGGGAAGATATTTAGAGTGAAGAAGAGCCTACAAAATCTAGAATACCAAAAGCTGCATTTGGGTGAAATAATGCTCTATGCTTTTATGTAAACACTCCAAATAAAAACAATTTGCAAGAAATAACTTTCAATAGATTCTTTAAGCTCCAATTAAGCTATTTTGCTGCTTTTATAATTAGTAGCAACCACCATCAATTATATATTCTGAGGTTAGTAATAATAATTACACCGTTAAATATTCACTGTGTAAAGATCTTGGCTTTTTACCAGATGACCTCTTCTAGCAATCACATATGCAAAACACAGATGTAGCTTTAACTTCTAAGACAAACTATTTATTGACTACATCACAAAGACATTAGAAATAGATTACAATTAAAAAATTGACTACAAATTGATAATGCAACAAGAGGGACTCTTAGTGATACAATGAGAGAGTTCAGGTTTGGGGGACACATTTCTTCAGTTAAGGATTAATTAAGCAATTTCTGCCTTGAGGAAGGCTGCTTTGGCTGGCAGCTTGACTGTACTAACAGATGAGCTTGTTTTGCCAGCAAATGAGTAAACAAATCTGTTAACTACAATTAATTTGGTTTTTTCACATTGATTCACCACATTTTTATTTACCAAATAATTCTCATCTCCACTTAAACATAGAAGTCTGACTGCACATATATTAGCTATGTCTTAGTTGATGTGAGTAAGAAGATGAGCAAAAACATTTTACTTCTGTGTCCAGTGGTACTTAGTGCATTGGTAGCTCTTAGTTGCATGTTGCTATAAAGGATCCTCCTTAAAACTATGCCACATTAATTAACTGATTTGCCTAATAAGTCTCCTTTATGCATTATTTATCTAGTTAAGTGCATAATGATATATTAATAAGTTGTATAGAAAGAGAGGCTGTGGAGGAGTATTTGTTCTCTGATTATCAAAAGTATATGCCATTGATATTAGCAATTAAGTCAATTTTTTGTGCTATGCATGCCTTAAAATAATTTTTATAAGAACATCATTTCAATAAAACAGATTCATTCGTTTTATGTAACAAACACTTCTGCAGCACTTACTAAGCAAAAAACACTGTGGTACGTGCCTTATTAACTCAGTTATCCTCCAAATAACTATATGACTTGAATATTATTCCCATTTTAACAATGAAGAAATTGGGACATAGATATAAAGTAATTCACTGAGAACACAAACTGGCAAGTGGGTTTGAACCTAGATAGTTAAGTCACATGCTACAGCCTCAAAACCTGCTGGTTCTTTCAATCCTGCCTTCCTAGAGTTCCTTTCAGACCTGTACACTTGAGATTTCTGTTGACGAAAATCAATTTCCTATCTGTCCACTTTTCTGGAAAGAGTAAAAAGTTGCTTGTCTGTTTAGAAGTGACCTTTTTTTCTTAGCACATACAATGAAGACTATATAGGCAGACTCAGTTTCCCTAAAATCTCATCCCAAGGAGAGCAAAGGCAGAGTAGATACAACACTGGACTTGAAACTAAACTTTACTTTGCCCCTTGTTTTTCGTTGTGCATAACCCGGTGGAGTACCTTTTCTTGACTTCCTTTGGCTTCTAAGCAGGAGTCCACATCATGTGAGGTTTTAGAATTGTTCACATCATGTAAACAGAGTTTGGCTTGTCAGATTAGAGTCACATTTTAAAGGGTCTTGAATGTTGAGTTTGAGGTGTCCTAAGTGCAACAGAATAGGGGAACAATGAGAATTCTTAAGGAGAGAAATGGAAGATGAAAGCCATTTCATCTGGTCTCTTGAAAGGTGCTGAATGAATTGGAGTAGAGCACTAATATGGCCAGAGACCAGTTACACAGCTAACTGGGATGAGGAGGTGAGAGAGGGAGGAGAAGATAAGAAGATAGATCTAAGGTGATTCAAGAGCCTCAGCCCTGCGTAACTACAAGAATGTAGTTTTATTCACATCACCAGATGAGAGAAATCTTGTTTGGGAGAAAGGAGACACAGGGAGATGACATAGAGTTTAAAGAGAGAAGATAAATGCGACTTTCAACAATATACATAAAGATTTATTTCAATCATCTTAGCGTATTGAGGCTAAAAATTCTCAAGATTTTTAAAGTAGTGTGAGCATATTAGCTGAGATGTGTAACAATTTTTTTTTTTTGGCTATGTCAGCATTGTTCTGTGCAAAGCAGCTTTTTCACCAATACTATTTTCCCTTACTGTTACTAGCCCTACTCTGTGAGATAAACAATTTAAATTGGTGTCTTTTGTAACTTTCTCATGGAACACATAGTTTTTTTTATAGCATTTATCATAATTTATAATTATATACTCATTTATTATAGGTTTGATTGTTAAATGTTTCCTCTACTAGAATGAAACTTTAAGTGAAGACATAAACTTCATCTTATTTTACAGCCATGTATACCCAGTTATTAGCATAGTTTAGAGCTCAAGATGAATAAATAAATGATTCAAGTTTCTTGTCCTCATTAAAAGCTAAAATTTTAAAAAATCTTACAGACTCAAAAACTGAAGCAATACCTGGAGGATTTTATTTACCTCATTGTGCTGAAAAATAAAATAAAAGTCTGTAAACTTCCTGGGCTTTTATTAGAAATTAAAGGTTAGGAATAGTTGTAACTAGGTTAGCAGTGAATTGCTAAATTTAAACACTTCCCTTCCAAGTGGTTCAACTTTGTTAACATCTCAACTGTTCAGGTTCTTGTAAGTAAAATATTTATGGATATAAAAGGTTGTAATGTAACATTGTAATAAGCAGAGAAAGAAGCACTATTCTTTGTCAGAGAGATTTGCATTACTAGTAATAGAAGTTAGCCTCACAGCTGGAGTGCTGCAAGAAAGAAAAAAAATATTTTTTGAGATGGAAAAAAATGTGTTCATAAAAAGTTCAAATACTTCAATCAAAGTATAGTATGATATACACTATTTTTTTTTCACAGATGAAAGGCCCAAATAATGTAAGCCTTAAAAAAATAAAAGTACAATAAAGGTCTGTGATCCAGAACATCTTCAATCACAGCCTCTTATTCTGCTCTGTCATCTAATTTCACCATTCTCCACTCCAGTGCCTTTGACCTTCGGAGAACAATAATGCCAATGACTTTTACAGTTATTTGCCCCATTGTGCCACTGTAATTGAGTTCACCTACAGACCTATGTGATATTGTATTAATAATTATTTATGCTAGAAGTATTCTAGCTACACTAATAAGTCTCTGTAAAATCTCATCAAGAAACTTTAAAAAAGATGTTTTGTGTTAATGATGATGAGGTGTCCTTGACTATACTGAACTTCTCACTATTGTTTGAATTCTAAAAATGTATTTATATTTATATTTATGCATAGAAATAAAAAATTTTAAAAACCTGTACATTATAAAAATTTAAATGACGTTATTTTCATGAAATTAAAGAAAAATTATCTGTTTCCCTACAGCTTGATGTGAACAAGAAAAAAATGTGTTTTCCTTTTAATGATAAGCAAAAATGTTTCAGTAATTTTAAATGTTTTATACATTCTCTAAGGTCTTATCAACCCAATGCTTGCTTTAAATGTAGTTAATATAAGACAATATGTATGTAGCTTTAAGTAGCCTCTATAACATAAGCGTATTTTCCAATCATTAATGTCTTAAGCAAAAAGACCAAAAGTAGAAAATAACATTCTTCAAAAAATGTCTTTCTTGCAACAGTGTCCAAACTCTTCTATATGGCAGATGTGTAATTTCCAGAAGTAATATAACACAGTGCGAAATCTCTACGTAACAAAGGAGGTCCAAATTTTTATTTGCCTCAAATGATATTCAACCGAACAGAATCCCAATGCATAGAATATTGTAGACAATTAGAATTTCATTTTTGATGTAATTTTATTTCTTCACCAAACTAGGATTTGTAAATGTACCCATTTTAGTCGGATAATTTGTTCTAATACCTAAGTAGGTTTTGACCCTATAGTTAACAGAAGCTTTCTCTCAGTTATGCACAAGAACCCAGAAGAACGTTTTTGTGACTGACACCGGTGAGCCTGGCAGATGAGAGTGACTCAGGGCAGTGTGACACATGTCACTGAAGTGTATCAGGTCCAAGCCTGAATGCACCTCCTGTAACTTAATTGGGCTGCAAGTGCTGAGGCGGGCAGAGATTGGAGAGAATGAAAGTAGGCCAGATGTTTCTAGGCAATTATTGGCCTACCCACAGCACATACATGAATTAGACCTTGTTCAGACAATGACTCCACATATACTGCCCAGATGATAAGCATGGGATTTTTCTCCACTCCCTACTGTCTCACAATGAAACTATTATTTACATTTTAAGCATGTCTACAATTTGGCTACATTCTTCCTCTCCAACTGCGTCAGACACCTGCCATGTCAGTCACACTGCTCATTGCTGTTCTGCACTCACACGCATTCCTTTCTTACCGTGCTTCATGTGCACTTTCCCCTAAAACTAATGTCCACCTCAACACCCCCACCTTCTATGTCCATCTTTCTATGTGTAATTCAGTACAAAGGCTATTATCCCACAAAGTCAAGATCAAGTTCACTCCTTCTACTCTTTCTTATCCAGTTTCAGGCCTTCCCAACTTTTACTTTAATTTTATTCGTTACTTTGCAATTTAGTATATAAGTGTATTCTTCATTGTTTGAAGCTCATGAGGTAGTCACTGAACTGAACTGTGAAGTCTTCCAGTTCAAGGCCCATCTTTTGTGCTTCCTGGTATCTGGAATTTGGTTGCTAGAAGTTCTGGATGTCACATTGATGGGGCAGGTTTCTCACTAAACTAATTTTCCATGCTGGCAACTAAATGGGAGTTAAAAATGTCGGTAAAGACAAAGACAAGTGGAGACTAATGTGCTGTCATTACTAGGGCAAGAATGGTGGTAAAGTCCCTATATTTGCCCACTGAAATACCAACTATGATCATTACCACAATAATTAGCATTTATTGGGCTTCTACCCCGTGCCTACTTTGGCTCTAAATCAGGGGTTTAATATGAACATAATTGCATTTAGTCAGGATAACAACACTGTTAAGTACGTATTATTTTCTTCATTTTAGGGAACGTAAGGAATTTCTCAAAGACCATTCAGAAGGTAAGAGTGGTGAAAATGGAATCAAAACATAGTTTGACCTGACTGTACAACTTTTTACCATAGAACTCAGAAAGAATTTAGGCCTCTAAAAACTATACACTTGTTCACAAAAAAAACCATCCACCAATTATATATTGTAAATTATAAGTTGCATTGTATTTTAAAACAATAATCATTCAATCAAGCCCTGTTGAGCTCCTAAATATAGTATAGAAGGAATTAAATATCCAGTCCTTATAATAAAAAAAGAAAATATAGATGAATGGAGAGAAATCAAGTGTTAAATAAAAATTATATTAGAAATGTCTTAAAACAATTTGTGATGAGTTCAATAACTGATGCCATGAGATTATATCAAGGCTTACTGTGATTGTAGGCTGAAGGTTTTAAGCACTAGATTCGATAGGAGAAAGACTTTGGAAAAGGAATGGAAAGCTTTTCTATCATTGGAAGGGAAGGCCTCAGATGTGAGAGATCTATATAAGTAAAGCACAGTTCCTTGTTCAGATGGCACTGAGTAAACTCATTTGGCAAAAGGAAAAAATTCACATAGGGAGTGATGAATGGAAGAGTATTAAGTTGTCCCAGGGAAAGAAGAATGAAAGCATTTTTAGACTAACCAGTGAGGAAGGAAAAGTTAGAGCTAAATGAATTTTCTCTGAACATGCCTCACTTCTTTCCAGTTCTTTTATTTCCTTTTTTATTTCTTCCCTGGGTCTTTTTGTTTTAGAGGTCTTTGGAAACTTTTGTCTTGTTTGCGTTATTTTATAAGTTTCTGACAAACCACGAACTATGACGGTGTCTACTGATATTTCTCTATTCCTTTTTTCAACATATGAAAAAAATTTTAAGTGTAACGTATCATCAGGTAATGTGATGTAGCAAAAAAAGTGTTTATGGATTTTAAGGGCAAGCAGAGGTGGATTTGACACCAGTTCACCCAGTTCACCCATTTAGTGGCAAGTTGCTTACTCCCCATGTATCTCACGTTCTTCGTCTGTCAAATGGGAAAAAGAATAACTACTTGGCAAGTAAATTGGATGTGAAGATTAGGAAATACATATGTAAAGCACTATTTTTTACAACATAGCAAATGCAATGTTACATCTGGGTATTATCAGTTCGTTCAACATTCAAGTCAACAAAGTTTATATTTTATGCCAGAAACTCTGCTTCTTGCTGAAGTGCAGCAATGAAAACAAAACAGAACAAACCTAGTCTATATGCTATCAAGGAACTTAGATTCTAGTTAGGGAGATAGACAACAATCAGATTATAAATATGTAATATAGTTCACTATATTTCAATGCTGTGAAAAAATAAAAAGTATAAGTTAGGCTACGAGGATAAAAGTAGGCTTGGAGTATAAAGAGTTCATATACAGTGGTCAGGGAGGTTCCAAAATATATTTATTTTTAAGGAAGAAAATATATGTAAAAATATGCTGCATAAAATATTTATCAATGTCATAATACAGAAATAGTTTTGAATACTGCAAAAATAGTACCAACTTTGTAAGAAGTTACTTCAAATAGAAATACACCACAGAGGATCCATCCAAGTACTTTTACATAATTCATGTTTCATCAAAGGCTGAAAAACAAAGAATATTAAATCTAAAGTGTTTGAAACCGATAACTAATAAAGATCAATGAGGGACAAAAGCAAATTATCTTGGAAAGTGTGATTCCAGCCAATGAAAAAAGATGACACAATTTAACACCTACTTTGTATTCTGTAGAAAACTATTAAATGACTTGAGCACTATTTCTATTGTATGGTGGTTAAAAGGGAAGTCCCAGGAAACAAAATATTTGGGTTCAAAGCTTTGATTTTTCTTAGCTGTGTGACCTAGCTTATGGAATTTATATGTTACTATGTTGATAATGCCATTTTTGGGGAAATTTTGTTATTATGAGAATACCAATACATTCTCTGACAAAAATATTATCTATTTGGAAATAGAGTAGTAGTATATGTATGCACTAAGCTGACTCAAATGTCAGGTATAATACAATTTCCTACTTAGCTGAAATAAGTGAAGCAAACAATGATCTACCAAGTATAGTGATTAAGCAGGATGTTTTCTATGGTCTTTTTCCATTTTAATTCCATTACTCTTTTTTTTTTTTTTTTTTTTTTTTTGAGATGGAGTCTCACTCTGTCCCGCAGGCTGGAATGCAGTGGCATGATCTCGGCTCACTGCAACCTCCGCCTCCCGGGTTCACGCCATTCTCCTGCCTCAGCCTCCCGAGTAACTGGGACCACAGGCGCCCGCCACCACGTCCGGATAATTTTTTGTATTTTTAGTAGAGACGGGGTTTCACCGTATTAGCTAGGATGGTCTCGATCTCCTGACCTCGTGATCCGCCCACCTCGGCCTCCCAAAGTGCTGGGATTACAGGGGTGAGCCACCATGCCCGGCCTCTTTAATTTCTGTGTTATGGCCCACCTCATTCTACAATTAATTTGAGGCAACTAAATCTTTAAGCTCTATGATGAAAAATAAAAATTATTTTTTAGAAAAATTGTTCTTCCTCATTCATAGCCTTAGGTCCTTTTACAAAGTCCCATAGCTAGAAGCCATTAGGTTATATACAATTATTCTTCTTGAATTTGGGAAATTCCGCTTTCCTGGAACTTTTCTCTTTTATAAAGAAAATATATACAACATACACATGTGTATTGTCAAATGTATATGTTATAGCTAAGGACATGACAAAACAGTAACACTTTAACTTTATGTGTATTATGTCAAGTAACTGATAAGTTGTCAAAAATTTTATAGCGTAATTTTTAAAATTTCTGAAATATTACATTTTAATTTTTAGAGAAATCATACCCACTTGTTATTCACGTAGTTTGTTTTTAAAATAAAATGACTCCTTTTTTAAATGGTCAGAGGAGAATAAGCAAATAAAAATAGATTTGAATTCTTTCCCTAAACCTGTTCATAAATGAGGGGCTCTTTTGGATTATAATCCACATTCTAATTTCTAGTGAGTCATCCTTCCTTACTATGACACATAATACAAACAGAATGTAAGGACTCATCCTTCAGCTAATGCATTGTTTAGAAACTTAGTAAGCGAATAAAAGCGCGTGGCCACGAGGACACAAGAATATCTAAGCGCTGCAGAAACAGCCACATAATTTGCTCCTTGATTTATTGCATCTTTGGCAGGCAATGCTCTGAGCTTTCATGCATATATGGGCAATTGGGGCATCTGTGATGAAGTGCTGTTGACAGAAGTATGGCCCGTGGTAACATGATTGCTATAATAAGGAACCATGGTAAGTCAGACAGCTGTATCAATGGTTATTCTCTGCTTTGATATTTCAAAATGTCAACACACCATCACAAACTGTCAGGGGAAACAATTTAAAGATGTAGGGGAAGAAAAGAACACTTCTATTGGCAGTTCTTTAATCAGGTCATTGTTTAAGACATCCCTAATCACAGATATAATATATGCTGTTCTGTAACATATCTAAAAAACATAGGATTTCACCAAAAGCTGAAGGCCAACTTCATCAGTCTTATTTTAAAGTTATCACTTATTTTGCCTTGTAAGATGTTATAACTTAACCCTTCTAGGTCCACACTGGAATCTTCATGACAATGGTTAAGAACTTATAAATGTAATATTACTTCACATAAGAACTCATACTTCTAAAAATAAAAACTGTATCAGAAAAGCCAAAAAAGGTCTTAACTTTAGGCTAAATTCAGCTATTTCATACTGGAAGGCCTAAAAATGAGGGAAGTATTAATTTATTCCACCCAGTTCACATTTTGGTACTGTCTAGCTTATAGTGAAAAAAGGCATCTTGAAGAAATAACTAATTTATAAAAGCGACTAGTAAATACTAAATGGATATATTCACTGACTCTATATTTGAATGTGTGTGTGTGTGTGTATAGATGTGTGTGTGTGTATATATATGTATATATATACATATATATAGCGAGTGAGAAAGAATAAGTAATTATTTATTTGACTTATCCTGTCTTATCTCTTTTTCTATGTTCCAATTTATCAAATACTGATCTTTGATAGTATTAATGACTTCTGCAGTGACAACATCATGGAAAAAAATGATATATCTACTAATTATAATATATTCAGTATATTTCATCAATATTTTAACTGGGAAATTAGTTCATATGATACAGTATAGATTAAATTATAAAAGAAAAATAGCAACATGTACTCAACAAATTATATATACTACTTTGTAAGGGAAATGTCTTTTATGTACATAATGAATAAATGCATTTATATGTTAGTTACTGTGTGCTATAACTAATGTAAACATGTAGATTTTTCTCAACCAAAGTGAGAGATTTTACTAACCAGATATAATTTTGCTAGCAAAGAAGGAAATAAAGATACTACATGAACAGTAATTTAGTCCTGGCAGTTTAATGGAATGGCCAAACTAAGCCTGAAAACACTGATGCATTTTGTTGCATATGGAAATACAAAGAAATCATTAAATACTGTTACATTTGACGACAAGAATTATGACTGTGTTAAAAATTCAATCAAGCTTCCTTGTCAGTTCAGTAACGATAATTTTAACATGTTCATACCAAAACCTAGTGAACCATGGAATTGCATTCAACAAACAGAATGAAGCCAGATGCTAAGTCTATGATTAAGAAAATATTAAATATATTTACCATTTATTTATATTTTCAGCTGTATTGTACTTAAGTAAAAGGATAGTTTTTTAAATGGAATAAAAATTCATATATACAGCACTCTTCTTTTCTACAGTCTTACACATTAACTTACCCAGCAGCATTGCACTTTCTGCTAATGAAAAGAGAGCAGGCTGTACAAATCTTCTTAAGTCTCCTGTGGCAAGAAAACTATTACAGAAATGAATAGAAGGTCGTCTCTGCAGATTTTCTCTTGCCTTCTTGTTTTACCAGAGGCTGTTAGGATCACACTGAGAACTGTCAAAGCTGAAGAAACCACTGACAATTGGGTTTATACCCTTTGGGCAGTCAAGCTTTCATAGGGGATGATTCAACTTTGTCCGAGCACCAATATATTAGAAACAATGCGAAAACTCCCAGTGACTGGAGCCTGGCTTGTAACTGTAGACAAAGAGGAACTTTTCTGCTGGTGGTTCGCAAGGAAAGGCTTGTCGAAGAGAGTTAATTCAAGCAGCCTGAAATTACGTCAACCCTGTACATTTAAGCACTGTTAATCTGCAGCTTTGCACATTGTATTTTCAAAGCAGTTCAGCTGAAGGGTGGGAGAATAACTAGGTTTACAGAATCATTTAGAAACGTTAAATTTCTTAACTCCCAACTTTGACAAGAAAATGCTCATTAGTGTTATGGGATGAGAGAGGAGAAAAAAATTTGAAAATCAAATTAAGATTATTATTTTATATTATTTTATGACACATTTAATTTTTTCCAGAATAAATGAGCAAATTCATTGATGAATAAAATTATAGAAATGTAGATATATATGTAAAGTACTTACTAGGTCAATACCTTCATCTTCATTTTATAGAGCAGTACAGTTGAGTACTTCTTAATGAGTTTTGTAACTCTCATTTACATAGAAAACATTACAAATTCCCTATCAATATGAATCATTTGAAATTCTTATTTTCGATTTACACATAGGTAGTCTCTTAGAAAATATACATCATAATATTTGTCAAATACTAAATGCGTATATTCACTGACTATATTTGAATGTGTGTGTGTGTGCATGTATATACGTGTGTGTATATATATGTATATGCATATATATATACACACACATATATATATAGTGAGAGAGAGAGAGACAGATTGAGAGAAAGAGAATGAAAGAGAGAAAGAGACAGAGAGAGGAGAAAGAGAAATTTTTCTATGCCACACAGGCTGGGATAGAAAAATGATAACTGACTTAATAGAGTTTGTGAATATTGTCTGGTCTTCAGAAAAATTTTTTAACCAATGTGAATGTTCATGCATGCAAAATGCATGTTTATGGTGAGATGCACGTTAGTTGTATGTTTTCTTCATAGAAGAGCAAACATTTTAAGCCTGGTTTTTCTACTCACTAGCTGTGAAAACTTCAACAACTCACTGAAAAACTTAATTTCAATTTCTGTAAAACAAAAATAATAATGCCTAGGGAGCTATCAAGATTAAATTATTTTGATCATGTGAAAGAAGATGACATAAAGTAGGTTGAACAAATGTTTTTTTCTGGACTAAGAATTTTACACCATGGTAAATGTTTATCTTCAAAAACTTATTTCGTTGCTTTTATTGTGTGTCTGGCTCAGTGATCCTCTGCCCAATTGATGTAAGTTTCTTAATCCTACCCTTAACTAGAATTGCCATGTTAACCTACATTGTGGAATTACCTAACTTTGTGAAATGTCTTAAAGAAAAATTGTTTAAATGTGTGCCTTGACATATGAAGCTGATGAACTCATATTATGTGTTTATACTGGAAACATAAGTAATTATGCTTCATTTCCTCTTTGAGGAATTCAGATTAATAAGTCTTACATTTTGAGTTATGCTTCTCAATTTCAGAGCTCTCTAAAAATTAAGAAATCAGTTCACAGTAATATGAACTTAAGCTGAACTCAGTAATCATCTCTTAATTTTACTTAATGCAGTGTGCATATTCACATGGCAAACTAGCTGATTTAGCTGACCGCTGCTCAGGTCATGGATCAATTCACCAAATGTATTTATCTATTTCTCCAAAGTCATACACCGGTGAACCACAAAATTAGGATCTTCTCTTTTGGAGAAGCATTGGTTCCTTGATTTTTCTTTTAAAGAGAAAGAGAACTTTTCTCTTTTAACTTAACCATTTCCATCCTCTATTTAAAATGAGACAATTACAGAAAGTAAAATATTTAATAGTCTATTAGTTATTTTACATTCTTTATATACACAAAACATTTTTATGTATATATATTCAATGCTGTATATCATGTACAAGAAATTCAACACATAAAGCAGTCTACATGGAGTCACCCATTAGTTTGTAGGCATTGCAAAGTTGAAAATTAATTCATTAGATTTTAAAGATAAAAAGTTTTTGAAGTTTTTCTTTGTTTCTCTAATACATATTTTTAAGTAGAATGTTCTTATGAACTGATTTGTTTTCATGTAACACTATGTTAAAACTTACTTTCTCAGGCCAAGCACAGTGGCTCACACCTGTAATCCCAGAACTTTGGGAGGCTGAGGCAAGTGGATCACTTGAGCTCAGGAGTTGGAGACCAGCCTGGCTAACAAGGTGAAACTCCGTCTCTATTAAAACTACAAATATTAGCCAGGTGTGGTAGCTTGCACCTGTAATGCCAGCTACTAGGGAGGCTGAAGCAGGAGAAACACTTGAACCCAAGAGGCGGAGGTTGCAGTGAGCCGAAATTGCGCTACTGCACTCCAGCCTGGGTGATAGAGCGACACTCCGTGTCTAAAAAGTAAAAATAAAAACATTAAAAAAATTACTTTCTCATTTTGAAGCATCTTCCACAAAAACATTTTTAAGAAGCCATATCACATTGCAATGTGCAGATCTACCATAATTATTTAAATTCAAATACCTGATTGGTCTTGTGGATTAATGCCAATTTGACCCTTCTAAAAAAAAACATCAGTTTGAGTATGCCTGAGAAATGTCTTGTGAATCTATGATTTCTTTCTTAACCTAAATTTTTCCAAATGGAATTTTGGGGTCAAAGGTGATATAAATATTTCAGTTTGCACTCATGAAAGTTTGTAATAATTAATATACCACTTGGATATAAGGAACACTGAATATTTTACTTACAACTCCACACACAGCATCAAACTTATAAATACAATAGCGAATTTACGATTTAAATATATTTTGAGTTGCTTATATATAAATATTGGCAAATTTATGGTACAGTTAAGCCACTCTCTTATAAAGTTATGTCTTTCAAGGCTCTTTCATGTATTTTACTAGTTATTTATTTATTTATTTATTTTGAGACAGAGTCTCGCTCTGTCGCCCAGATTGTGTGCAATGGCACAATCTCGTCTCACTGCAACCTCCGCCTCCTGGGTTCAAGCCATTCTCCTGCCTCAGCCTCCTGAGTCGCTGGGATTACAGGTGTGCACCACCATGCCTGGCTAATTTTTTGTACTTTTAGTAGAGATGGGGTTTCACTGTGTTGGCCAGTCTGGTCTCGAACTCCTGACCTCACGAACCGCCCACATTGGACTCCCAGAGTGCTGGGATTCCAGGCGTGAGCCACCGCGCCCGGCTATAAGTTATTTTTAAATTGGTCATTTGCATGACTATTTTTTGCGTGTAATATCTCTATATGTATTAATCCATCTATCTTTTTTCTATCATCTGTATTTTTGTTGATACACCAAAATATATCAATTTTTTAAATTTATGGTTTCAATCATTGGTGTTATGCTTAGAAAGACTCTTTCCAAGTCAGGGTTATGTATTTGTCTATATTTAATAGAATTTGTTACTTTTGAAGCAATATTTCTCCTGGGTTTTGTTTCACCACATTATATGAAGTAGAGAGCAAGATACTGTTTTTAATTTTTGATACAATTAGTTCTTTGTTCTGATGCCACTTGAAAAACCCACTCTTTATTCATTTTAAATGCTGCCATTATAATTAATTTTCATATAAATTTATGTCTGATTCTGGACTTTCTGTTATAATTTACTAATTAATGTACATCTTTTTTTCCTGTCAATATCACACTAATATAATTACTAAAGCTGTGTAACATCTGACAGTTCAATCCACCATCAAAACTGGATGGATTCTTCTCTTTTCTTAATTATATCAATAAATTTCATAAATGGCCCTCATTTTTTTTACACTTACTGAAATAGATTAATTTAAGAGAAACAAAGCATTCCAATATTGGCTCTATGACATAAAATGTAAAAAGCAAATTAAAAAAAACTTTCCTGGTATTAATAAAACATTCTGAACCCAGAAACTCTTTTAGGAGGCAGGTTTTTCTTTTCTTTCTTTGCATTGACAAGTTTTTCCACAGATACTGATTTTCTGCTCCTCCTTAAATTCCTTAAGTCTCTTAGAAAATTTACATTTTATAGTAAAATATTCAATATTGCTGGAGGGTTTTGGACATATAGTCACATAACTACCCCGCTTCTCACATCTAATATTATATATTTGTATATGCCATTTTCGTTGTGAAAAATACCAGATTTCTATATACTGAATTGGCATATAATATTTTGATTTATCAGTTTTATTTTTTCTAATTCATTAGATTCTGCTATAATCCATACACTTGCCTTCTCTGTTTTCCAATTGCATGAGACAAATATTTCATTCATTGTCACTTTTTTCTCAATTTCATTGTTCACTGTAAAAACGTTGAAAAATATAGAACAAAAAATGTGAAATTAACTATTATGTTACAATTGAAAAATAATTTTTGCTATGAAGTATAAGAAATCTGTCTTTGATCTAAAAATCTTGTGTAAGATTTTAGGATAAAATTAACAAAGAAAACTTTAAATTAAACAATTATTATAGTTTTACCAATTACATTGACAAATTGCCCTCCAGGAATGGTCTATTTTTCCTTCAATACATTGGGTTTTGCAGTATTTCATGTCCTTACTTAATATCCAAAAATTTTACCTTTTTACCATTTGTGCTCTTTAACTTACATGTATTTAGTTACTAGTGATATTGTGATATTTAATACACTCATTGTTCATTTGTTTTGTGACAATTCCTTTTATCATCTGCTTAATTTTTTCTTGGAAACTTTATTTTCCAATTGAATTATAAGAATTCTTAGGGAAACAGAATTTTTGGCAAAATACTACAAATATCTTCCCTGATTTTTCAATAGTGTTTAATAATTCTATATGACATGGTGTCCTTTTAGATATTTGTGAGTGTTTGTGTCTGTGTGTGCACACATTAGAAATGCTTTCCACTTGAGAACCTGTGTTTCATCCTCCATCCTGATGTGCTGTGCCTTTTCCATCCCATCGGTTGGGGTGGCTATCTTTATTGTTGGGCCTCTCAGTGGAGTGTAGGTGTATTTGAATGCTATTGAGCTCAAGTGTTTTAGGGTAGTCTAAACTAGATGAGTGCTTTCTGAGTTCGGCCTTCATCTCCATGCCCCTATTTTCTTTCCTTCTTTTCTTTCTTTCTTTTTTTTTTTTTTTTAATACTTTTAAGTTCTGGGATACATGCACAGAACGTGCAGGTTTGTTACATAGGTATACAAGTGCCACTGTGGTTTGCTGCACCCATCAACCCATCATCTACATTAGGTATTTCTCCTAATGCTATCCCTCCCCTAGTCCCTCACCAGCCAACAGGCCCTGGTGTGTGATGTTCCCCTCCACGCGTCCATGTGTTCTCATTGTTCGACTCCCACTTGTGAGTGAGAACAGGCAGTATTTGGTTTTCTGTTCCAGTGTTAGTTTGCTGAGAATGACCATTTCCAGCTTCATTAATGTCCCTGCAAAAGACATGAACTCATCCTTTTTTATGGCTGCATAGTATTCCATGGTGTATATGTGCCACATTTTCTTTATCTAGTTTATCATTGATGTGCATTTGGGTTGGTTCCAAGTCTTTACTATTGTGAACAGTGCCACAATAAACATATGTGTGCACATGTCTTTATAGTAGAATGATTTATAATCCTTTGGGTATATACCCAGTAATGGGATTGTTGAGTTAAATGGTATTTCTGGTTCTAGATCCTTGAGGAATCACCACACTGTCTTCTACAATGGTTGAACTAATTTACACTCCCACCAACAGTGTAAAAGTGTTCCTGTTTCTCCACATCTTCTCCAGTATCTGTTGTTTCCTGACTTTTTAATGATCACCATTCTAACTGGCATGAGATGGTATCTCATTGTGGTTTTGATTTGCATTTCTCTAATAACCAGCTATGATGAGCTTCTTTTCATGTTTGTTGGTCACATAAATGTCTTCTTTTGAGAAGTATCTCTTCATATCCGTTGCCCACTTTTTGATGGAGGTGTTTTTTTCTTGTAAACTTGCTTAAGTTCTTTGTAGATTCTGGATATTAGCCCTTTGTCAGAGGCACAGATTGCAAAAATCTTCTCCCATTCTGTAGGTTGCCTGTTCACTCTGATGATAGTTTCTTTTGCTGTGCAGAAGTTCTTTAATTAGATCCCATTTGTCTATTTTGGCTTTTGTTGCCATTGCTCTTGGTGTTTTAGTCATGAAGTCTTTGCCCATGCCCATGTCCTAAATGGTATTGCCTAGGTTTTCTTCTAGGGTTTTTATGGTTTTAGGTCTTACATTTAAGTCTTTAATCCATCTTGAGTTAATTTTTGCATAAGGTGTAAGGAAGGGGTCCAGTTTCAATTTTCTGCATATGGCTAGCCAGTTTTCCCAACACCACTTATTAAATAAGGAATCATTTCCCCATTGCTTGTTTTTGTCAGTATGCCAAAAATCCAATGGTTGTAGATTTGTGGCATTATTTCTGAGGCCTCTATTTTGTTCCATTGGTCTGTATATCTGTTTTGGTACCTGTACCATGCTGTTTTGGTTACTGTAGCCTTGTAGTATAGTTGGAAGTCAGGTAGCATGATGCCTCCAGCTTTGTTCTTTTTGCTTAGGATTGTCTTGCCTATATGGGCTCTTTTTTGGTTCTCATTAAACTTAAAGTAGTTTTTTTCTAATTCTGTGAAGAAAGTCAATGGTAGCTTGATGGGGATAGCATTGAATCTATAAATTACTTTGGGCAGTATGGCCATTTTCATGATACTGATTCTTCCTGTCCATGAACATGGAATGTTTTTCCAATTGTTTCTGTCCTCTCTTACTTCCTTGAGCAGTGGTTTGTAGTTCTCCTTGAAGAGGTCCTTCACATCCCTTATAAGTTGTATACCTAGGTGTTTTATTCTCTTTGTAGCAATTGTGAATGGGAGTTCTCTCATGATTTGGCTATCTGATTGTCTATTATTGGTGTATAGGAATGCCTGTGATTTTTGCACATTGATTTTGTATCCTGAGACTTTGCTGAAGCTGCTTATCAGCTTAAGGAGATTTGGGGCTGAGACGATCGGGTATTCTAAATAAATATACAATCATGTCATCTGCAAACACAGACAATTTGACTTCCATTCTTCCTATTTGAATACCCTTTATTTCTTCCTCTTGCCTGATTGCCCCGGCCAGAACTTCCAATACTACGTTGAATAAGACCCTATTTTCTGAATTAGGGTTCTTCCACTGTCTCCACTACTTGTTTTCCATGACAATGCTTTGCTTCTTTAAAAAGTGAAGCTGTTGGTGCACCTACATGGTCTTTATTCAGGCCCTACTTTTACTATACATACTGAAATAAACCCTTCAACTTTTAAATTTGTTCTATATATACAATGCATTTTCTAAATTATTGGCTTAAAGGTAGGATTCTCCCCCACTCTTGAGTTTATATTCTTTTATTTAGCCCCTGGAAAAAGAATAGAAAGAAAAACTTTCCATTTCTGCAGCACTTGCATGGAGATAGTAAAACTGAATGTTATGTTTTTCCACAAAGAGCATTAACTAGATGAGGTTGTTGAAAAACCATGACCTTTGAGAGACTCCATTATTTTAGATCTTCAGGACCTAACTGACCCCCTGAACTCAACACAAGACTGTCTTGAGCAAAGAACAATGGGACTCTTTTTAAGCAACTAAGAACCAATGATCTCATACCTTCCTATCCAGAATGTTGCCTTCAATTGTTATATGTGATGTAAATATGATGTAGTAACTATGATGGTTTCCTCTCTCCTCTCATGGCTTAAAAATCCTGAATTGACCCCTCAGTAGGATACTCTGATTTTTCTCACTGATCTGTATTTCCTTGCCTGGCATCTCCACTACTTTTATTTCCATTCCCAAGATCTAGTGGTCTTTGTTTTACTCTCTAACGTGACATTTTCTTGATCCTAAGACACCATAAAATTTTAAAACACATTTTGAATTTAATAAAAGGCCTCATTAGGAGAGGCATCAATCAACATCAACATGATACAAAATTGTTTGCCTTAATTTTAAGCCACAACCTGATATCAGAATTATTAAAATGTGAAAAAAAATGGACTATACTTTTAAGGTCAAATGGCCTGGGTTTAAGTCCTGATGTCATTACTTACTTGATGATTTTGGAATCCCCCTAAACCTCAGTTTTCTCACCTTTAAAATATAGATAATAATAAAACCTAACTCAGAAAGTGGTTGTGATAATTAAATACTTCAAATTTAACTACTAACTCCGAGCTTGGCCTAAAACAGTCACTTAAATATATTTATTTCATATAATTATGGATTAATTTTTGGTGACTGGTATCAAAATCTTTTTATACAATAGTATAAAAATGTAACTGCTACTTAATATATTTTATGATTCTTTCAAAAAAGTTCCAAAACTAAACATTTCCATTGCCTTTTATATCATACATAAACTAAACTCAAATGAAATTTCTGATGCCAAAGGTAGAATTGCTAGTTACACGAAAAATGTTCACGGTCTATAAACTCATTTCTCAGACTTTCAAAGAGGTTTCCCATGATGCCTTAAATACTTTCTATTCTTCTCCCTTACTAAACACATTCAGCAATCACAAAATCAAGATTGCAGGTATCTAGTTTCTTTATTTTCCAGCTTTATGTGCTTCGTTGGGTTACAAACTACCACAATTGTCAAACCTGAGTACTCTACAGTATTATCTTCTCTGCTGGCCAGATTTTCCTCAAGTGTTTCTTTTCTTTCCTGTCTCTGTTTAATTAAATCTAATAAAACATTTGTAAAGGTCATGTGGGAAATGCACATTTCAAGCAAGCAGCAGAACTTACAAACTAGAGGCTCAGAATAAAACTTTTTTTTTTTTCCTCTAAAAAGTTACATCAAGCTCAATAGGTAATTATTTAGTTTTTGGATGACAGTAAAATATCTGGAAAAAACGTAAAATTGACTGGATCTTTGAATTCCATTCTGATTTTTCATTATATCATTCTCCTTTGATTCATCTTTTATGACTATATTCCTTATGCTATATTTGAAACTTCCTGAACAAATATAATTTCAGCAAGATTAAATATTTACATCCAAGTAATACTTCTAAGAAAAGTTTTATCAAATGGCTAAAATACAGTTTATTCAATAGCTTTGGTTCTTAGTGGCTACTTTTAAATAGGGTAGCTTCCAGGAAAATGACATTAACTCATATTTTTTACCTCAACTAAACCCCTGTGTTTTCTAAACATTCAAGGAATAGAGAGCATTTTTGCCCTTCCATTTAACTTCAGCAAATACTATAACCAGCCATCCATTTTTTTAATATTCATGTAACTAAAATAAATATGATGCCTGAGAGAGTAATTTACTTAGGCTTGCACAAAGATACCACTGTAGTGTTTGGAAATTAGAGAAAAATTAGAGTAAGTGATTTCTAATTACGGTAGTAAACTCACTCACGTATACACACACACAATGAAGGCACATGTAGCCTGCAGCAAAGCACTAACAGAATTGTTTAAAATGAGATCCCTTCCAACATGCTTTGCTGAGCCAGATTTATAAAATCGTGGATAAATATAAGCTGGACAAAAGAGAAAAACAAGGAAAAGATACTCAAATTACTTCTAATTGAATTATTTTAAGGTAAAAAGTCAGATTTTATTTAATCACAGCATAAGTGCTGCCCTCCATCCCCATTTGGAAGATAAGATACAACATATGTCCTCTAAAGCACAATATTGAGTCACGTCTTCTGATTGCTTTGCTGTGTTAATAATTCTCTCTGTACCTCAGTTTCTTTGCTGTAACAAGGGTCTTATAACAATGACAACTTCAATGCCTGAATATTCCATTTTAACACTTACATATTAGGTGATGTTTGACCCACAGCAGATGAAATTTGTCTCTAAGTAACTTGCCCCAATATGTCTTTTGTTTCAAGTAAACACATAGGGATCAATATTCTCAAAATTAGAGTTTTTGACACATTCTCATGATGGGAGTTTTTAATTATTTTATAGGCTCACAAGGATCTAAGGAGCCTTAGTAACACTTAGAATAACTCCTCAACCTGGAGGTTTCTAAACTTTCTCATTTTGCAGCAATTTTAGTGTCTTAGTAATATTTACACGGGACCCCTAGGCCAAAAGAAATATGTGAGTTCTGTTTGTTAATTAGTTAGGTGTAAACAACTTAATTTTTATATCCTTAATAGTTATATCCTAACAACTCAGTGGCAACATGATTCATTAATATATATTAACTGAAGGTAAAACATTATTTCTATTTCATTTTTAAATTATCACAGTGACTTACTAAGGGAATCCATGTTCCTGTTGGACTCAAAACAATTTCCTAAACTTTGGAATAATGTTAGACATCCCCACCCTCACTTCCCTTTCCTCACTGACTTTTGTGTTATACTTGCATCATATCACAGCAACCACTGAAAGTGAAGCTTTACAAAAATATGACATAATGAAAAGGAATGTAGCACAATCTAATGTTGAAACTGTGACTAGCCCCAAGCAAGCAGCCTGCAAGGCTGTCTAGCCTTCGAAACACTTAGAAATCTGGTGATGCCCCTGTGAGTTCACTGGAATGCTTAAGACTGACTTTTAACTTTTATTGTAAAAAGTCAAGGTTTTTTATCGTTACCAACAGATGTTTTTGTGTTTACTACAAATGGAGCATCATTGTGAAAAGGTATGACAAGTTATTTCATCAAACAAAGGAAAAAAACTTTATAAAATTTCTCCTTCCTACAAAACACAGTACAGTAACATAAATGTGGATGCAACACTATAGGCAACTGACTGCTTATCCTTCTTGCTGGCTCTGTTCTTAAAATGGCTGGAGGAAGCAGGTGATATAGGAGATGGAAACTAAAGTTCTTACTTTCTTGTAGGGAGTGGGGACAGGGCATGAAAGAAAAAACAAAGCTACATGGAAAATGCAGGTAATTCCACCCCCAAAAATAGGGAGGAAGAAGATGGGTTCTCTTGTCTCCAATGTTCTTCCATATCCATCTCCCCAATTCTGGCCAATAAATATCACCTAAACAGGGAGGTGATTTCTTAAGCTTCTGATGCATCTTAAGAAATCAGAAGCTTAAGAAAGATCATTCTGGATTCAGAATCATCTCTGTTAAAACTGAAGCCTGGGTGAGGAAACATTACTTGCGGTGCCAAACCAAACAAAAACTTGAATTTACCTAAATTTTGCAATCTGTTCTCAAATTCTGTTTACCCTGCTGCATAGATTCAGCCTGACCATTTAATTAACCCACATGTTATAAAATTGAGTATCTTCGATTAACTCATTGAGTTATGGTGGTAAGAGGGTTAGCTTCATCATTTATTAAATGTCTACTGTATGCCAATTCCATACTGGCACATGCTAAGTACTACTGGTGTGACACAGATAATTCATTCTTTCATAATTCAAAGGAGGGAATATTTTTGTGGTTTTTCACAAGTAGGTAAGAACCTGAGTTTATTGGCCAGGCATAATGGATCAGGTCTGAAATCCCAGCAATTTGGGAGGCCCAGGCATGTGGTTCACTTGAGCTCAGGTATATGAAACGAGCTTGGAAAACATGGCGAGAACCTGTCTCTCTAAAAAAGAAAAAAAATTATCCACGTCTAGTGGCACATGCCCATAGTCCCAGTACTCAAGAGGCTGAGGTGAGAGGATCTGCTTGAGCCCAGGAGATAGAGGCTGCAGTGAGCCGTGATCACACCACTGCATTGAAGACTGGGTGAGAGAGTGAGACTATGTCTCAGGAAACAAACAAACAAAAAAAAGTGAAAGAAAGAAAGAAAAGAAGAAAATGAAATGAAAAAGAAAAAGAACCTGAGTTTATTTATCCAGAGTCCTAGAGGTGAACCAGATCATTGTCCCCACCTGCTGTATAGGGGCTTCCTTTACAAATGTGATATTCCTCCTAATTTTCACACTTATTATATTTTATAATATAATAGTAATAACGAGAAGATAAAGGTATGTTTAAAATGATAAAGTTTGAGTGGGAGAAGAAGAAAAAGGATTGACACTCTACAGTGATCTAATTGTAAATATGTAAAAGGGAGACAACTAAGAGGTAACCTTGGAAAAACTAAATACTTTGCATTATACTTAGCTTTTCAATAACTGGAAGTTCCTGGCCAACAGAGTGACATATTTAAAACAATCTATATGTCAGAGGAATTTGTTCACAGTGGTTAATGCATCCTCTGCCTTTAGGAACACTTATGCAATGGTAAAAAGTGATAAATGATTTTCGTCATTGGAGTAAGTGTTATGGCTAAACATAATCTCTCAAAATAATCATGTAATAAGCCTGGTTTCAAAAAGATGGATGCATGACTGCAGGGGCCAATCTAAGACCTTCAACAAAAGCATTCCTCAAGCAGAAGGCAATCTGTATTATTTATCCTGTGATCCACAGTCTCTCTCCATCAGGTGATCCAATTTAACCTTACCTTCAAGTTTATCATCTGTGGTGATATAGTTTGGCTGTGTCCCCACCAAAATGTCAACTTCAGTTGTATCTCCCAGAATTCCGACGTGTTGTGGGAGGGACCTGGGGGGTGTGGGGGCATAATTGAATCATGGGGACCAGTCTTTCTCATGCTATTCTCATGATAGTGAGTAAGTCTCACGAGATCTGATGGGTTTATCAAGAGTTTTGCTTTTGCTTCTTCCTCATTTTCTCTTGCTGCTACCATGTAAGAAGAGCCTTTCACCTCTAGCCATGATTCTGAGAACTTCCCAGCCATGTGGAACTGTAAGTCCAATTAAACTTCTTTCTTTTGTAAATTGCCCAGTCTTGAGTATGTCTTTACCAGCAGTGTGAAAACAAACTAATATAGTAAATTGGTACCGGGAGTGGAGCATTGCTGAAAAGATACCCATAAATGTGGAAGTTACTTTGGAACTGGGTAACAGGCAGAGGTTGGAACAGATTGGAGCGCTCAGAAAAAGACAGGAAAATATGGGAAAGTTTGGAACTTTCTGTAGACTTGTTGAATGGCTTTGACTAAAAGCCTGATAGCAATATGAACAATAAGGTCCAGGCTGAGGTGGTCTCAGATGGCGATGAGGAACTTGTTGAGAACTGGAGCAAAGGTGACTCTTGTTTTGTTTTAGCAAAACTCACATGGCACAAGCCTACCCAAACCCCAGAGGACATGCATAAGGTATTGCTTGAACTGGTGTTCTGCTTATGTTGGGGAATCACTGCAGGCTTTGTCTCCAGTTCTCTGCCTCCCAGCATAACCATCTGCCCCATCTCCTCCTTATTTCCATCCCATTTTCTCCTACATGGATTTTCCCTCATGGCTTAGAAGGTGATAATGCATTTAGTCTGCCTACCCAACATTTTGCTTTGACTTTTTCTCCTTCAATTCTCTATTATTTAGCCCATAGGTTCTCTCTCCAACCTTCACCACCATTCATCTACTAGTAAATACAATGTCTCAGGAGTAGATGTACTAGTTTCATCAATGTACTAATGTACCACTAATGTTGTCATTCAGAAAAACAGACAGTACTTGAAACAAATGTATTCACATCAGCACCCTGCTTCTCAAGATCACCGCCAGTGTGCCCGAGTGTTGTTCCCCACACATGCACCCACACATTGCCCTTTTAATAAAACTGTTACAATTCACTGCAATGGGCACATGCAGACTAATCTTTATCCTCCCTGAAATTTTTTATCTCCTTATTTGTTTTCAAATTTAATGTAACTAAGCCTTGTAGATCATATTCTATCGTTTCTACCTAAGAATATCAGCGTGCACCAATAATGGGCAAAATCATTTTGTGAGGTGATCACATTAAGAAGACCTATATTTTGGAGTTAGGGACACTGGAGATTGACAATAGAGGTCAGGAACATGGGCTTTGCTGTCAGGCCAGAGCTTATACTTTATTGCTTTCCAGTCACAGGAATTTGTGTAAGTTTCATACCTCAAAATCCAGTTATTCATCCTTAAAATGGAAATAATAATATTTCTCCAAAAGATCACTATTAGAACTAAGTGAGACATATTTATGTAATGCCACCTTGCTGGGAACATGTTACGGGATTAATGAATAGGGGCTCTTATTTTGTTGATATCACTCTTATTTGTAACTGACAAGAAGCTATATATCTAATAAAAGATAAAACCATTGTTCCAAGTCAATGAAAATGAACAATTTTACCTGTAATATAATCCCAGGGTAGAACTAGATTCTATCGCCAAATTCTATTATAACTGCATAACCTATTTTTCTAAATTACTGCAGAAAGCTTCACAATTGAAATAAAAATTCAAATAAATATTAAGCTGTAGAGTGATGGCTTGCGGATAGCAATC
Organism: Homo sapiens; assembly: GCF_000001405.40. Taxonomy (NCBI): domain Eukaryota; kingdom Metazoa; phylum Chordata; class Mammalia; order Primates; family Hominidae; genus Homo; species Homo sapiens. The sequence continues at coordinate 21,958,772 of NC_000003.12, forward strand.
AGAGAATTTTCTAAATATAAACCATGGATGTTCACGATATTATTTTTTCTCTCTTAACAGATCCATCTACAAGTATATTTTTTCATTACAAATAATTCAAGAAAAAGAAATCATTGAAGATAAATGAAACATTGTATTACATTTTATGCCAGGTGAGAAAATATAAACCCTAATGTTCTTTCTTTAAAGCCCTGAGATTTCATAATGCAATATTACAAGATAACATCTACTGGGATTGTAGCATAAAATACAGGTTTCTGGTATTTGTTGTTTCTATTTCATGCAGTTAATAAAGTTACTTTTAAAGTTATTTTGCAACTAATAATACAGTTACATAAATGTCATTGCACTTAAAGTATCACAAATAACATATAATTCCAGGCCAGAAATTTAGTATACAGCAATGTGAGAATCTTGTGCTTTTCCTTGGTTAGAGATCTATTTAAATCAGCAAATAGGAATAAAGTGTAGTGCCTACAACAGATAAGAAAAACACACTTCAAATAATAAGGCAAAATGCACTGGCAAATAAAAACAAATGAAGATGCTGAATGCAGCTAAGGAAATGCAATTGCTCCTTCAGGATATTTTTTTTTCATTTGTCCAGCCAAAACGGTAAGAGAAAATAATTTATAAAGCTGTAAAATACTATAGTGTTTGTGAGGAACCAGTCAAAAATCCAATCTCTATCTTTCCCCTTCAGCTGAGATTGAAGGCAATCAACACATTCATTTCAAATTGATATTTTCAGAGTGCTGGAAAGAACCATGTAAGGTACTTGCCCTAACTCCAGTCACAGGAGTTGTACTCAGATGTACTCAGAAGTTGTTCAGACACAATGCAAGGAGCCTAGTCACCATGGTCTCCTGTCACCATGGAAGATGGGGCTAGCCCCATGGGTGGGTACACAGAAAAGGAACCTTGGGCCTGTGAGGCTGTCTGAAATACTTGAAACAAGAAGGATCTAGGAAGGTAACTTATTTAACTGCTCCCCTCACTCCAAGGCAAAATAGAGAATCTGACCTAGAAAGAGAAAATCTGCAAAAGGCAGAAGCTTTCTTTGTCTAACTCAGTTCTGGCTCACTAGCCTCTAGAAGAGTGTCTGGCAACAAAACTCAACTCAAAATGGATTAAATACTGAAACATAAGACTCAAAACTATAAAACTGCTAAAAGAAAACATAGGGGAAATTTTTCAGAACATTGGAGTAGGCAAATATTTGATGGCTAAGACTTCAAAAGCACAGCCTCCAAAAAAAAAAAAAAAAAGACAAATGGACTATTTTAAGCCAAAAATCTTCTGTACAGCCAAGAATACAATCAAAAAGTGATGAAAAAAAATCTGTAGAAGGGAAGAAAATATTTGCATTCTATACATCCAACAAGAGACTAATATCCAGAATATACAAGAAACTCAACAACTAAACAGCAATACACACACACACCCTCCCCAACACAGACACTCACAGAACAAATAATCTGGTTAAAAAGTGGCAGAGGATCTAAATAAACATTTCTCAAAAGAAGACATACAAATAAATGGCCAACAAATATCCAAAAAAAAATGCTCAATACCACTAATCATCGGGGAAATACAAATCAAAACTATAATGAAATATCACCTCACCCCAGTTAGAATGGCTATTACCAAAAAGACAAAAATAGCAAATGCTGGTGTGGATGCAGTAAAAAACGGATCCCTTGTACACTGTTGGTGGAAATGTAATTAGGACAGCCATTAGGGAAAACAGTGTGGAGATTTCTCAAAAAACTAAAAATAAAACTACCATAAGATCCAGCAATCCCACTACTGGTTATTTATTCAAAGGAAAGGAAATCAGTATATAAAAAGGACACCTACACTCCTTTGTTTATTGCAGCACTATTCACAATCGCTAAGATATGGAGTTAACCTAAATATTAATCAACAGATAAATGGATAAAGAAAATATGATATATATATACACAATGGAATACTATCCAGCCATAAAAAGAATGAAACCCTATCATTCACAGCATCCTGAAGGATATCATATTAAGTGAAATAAGTCAGGCACAGAAATAAATACTGTATGTTCTCGCTCACATGTGGGAGCTAAAAAATACTGAGCTCTTGGAAGCAGAGTAGAATCGTGGGTATTAGAGGATATGGAGAAGAGGAGAATAGGAAGATGTTGTTTAAAAGATATAAAATTACAGCTAGATGGGAGGGATGATTTCTGCTGACCTGTGGTGCTATAGGTTGATATGGTTAACTATAATTTATTGTACATTTTGAAACAGCTACAAGAGAAGATTTTTGATGTTCATAACACAAAGAAATAATAAATGAGGAGACACGTGTTAATTATCCTGATTTGAGTATTATACACTGTATACATGTATAAAAATATCACTCTGTATGCCGTAAGTATGTGCAATTAGAATATGTCAACTAAAAAAATAAAAGAAAATAATTTTTAAATGAATGCCTGGAATATAAAAAAGGTCTTGGTATTTGGATATTAAATAAATGAATGAAAGAACAGAAACTTACAGGAATTTTCTTTCCTGTCATCAATTTGGCCAATTTTATGTGGCATTTGGAAAATATTCGACTTAATAAAATTTTAAATTAATTCTTTTCTCTTTTTGATTGTCAACAGGTATTTTGCCAAAAAAATTGTTTAAAAAGAAGCCAGTTTAATTAGAAATATGAAGTAACTATTGAATTGTTCTATTTGCAATGAAATAAATTGTAATCATGCAGGAAAAATTTCCTTAGAACAAACTATAGTGATAAATAAATTTATTTCACATTTTAATTTTAATGCCTTTTATTTTTATAGAACATTAAAATGTCTAAAGTAGGGCTACATACATTATTTCATTGATTGTTACATTTCAATTGTTGAAAAACTGATTACCTAATATTTTGTAAGTGAATGGATTGCATCCATATAGGATTCTAACATGATCCAGGGATTCAGGAAAGGCATTTCTTGAGACATTAGTTCTGAAGAATACACACAAATCCATCATTTAGTGGGAGAGTGCACTGGATGGGATGGGGAGCAACTCTGAAAGAAGGAACATTTGCAGAAGTTGAGATAAAAATGACCATAGAGCTTATGAGAAATTGAAAGAAAACTGTTATGACTAAAAGGAAAAGAATTAAGGAGAAAAGTCACCGCAAAAAGAAGTGACATGGGTTTTCAGGACAGCACACAGGGTCTTGTGGGCCAGATTAAGGAAGTGAGCCTTAATCCTAAGAGCAACAGAAGACACTAAAAAGTGTAAAGCAAGGGTATTACCTGGTTATATGGGTGTCTTTCAAAGGTCCATCTCATTAAAGTGCAGAAAACATATTATGGGCAATAAGAGGAAGGCAACATAAAGCCAGACAGAAAATGTTTAAGAGGATATTGCTGGGAAGAGATGATTATGTATTTGGCTAGAATCCTGGTGCTGGATGTAAAGAGAAGTAGAGAAATGAAGATTTCAGAGGTAAGATCAATAGGTGAGGGGAAAATGGTATGTGTGGAAAAAGAGGGGTAGAAGGTAAATTCTAGGTTATCAATGGAAACAACAGGGGATGGCAGAACCACTCCCTGCAAAGACATCTCTGCAGAGAGCATACTTATGGAGAAAAGTTCACTGAAGTTTAATTTTGGAAATGTTAACCTTGAGGTGCCTGCAAGGCATCATAGCAGAGGTGTCAAGCAGGCAGCTTAGAAATAGCACATTATGTTCACAAAAAAGGTTTGGTCTGCATTTTAAAAGCTTTGTAGAGAGAATTAGTTTCCTTCTTTTTTAAGAACATAAAATATGGAAGTACTGATTTTTTTCAGATGGAATGCAGCAGTTCAGCTCCCAGAAGGGAAATGTGGTCAATATTTATGCTGGCTTCTTGCCAGTGCTATTAACTGGTGAGGTGTCCAATTCTCTGTGGAAAGGTATTTTTTTGGAACCAGATGATTTTCTTTTTCTGTCTTATAATTTCGTTGCCTAGCATACATTCTCATATTTTCTGTGGTTTTAAAGTTGTTTCCTGATGAGGGAACATTAATATGTACTAGGGAAATGTTTCATTAAACAAAGTTAAAATTGATTTTCATGTTGCAAGACATCTTGGAGTCACCATTACTCTAATATGTGAGGGCGACCATGTAATAACACATTTTCCAAATATTTAAACACCAAACACTTTCTCCAAGATTATCTCTGACAACTAGTGTTTTATAAATTATTCTCTGGGCAAATATTTGTTAAACAGTAGCCTTGCTTGGAGCAGTATCTTTTATTCAATAGTTTTATCCTGGTTCAAAAACCCAACCTGGCCTTAATGACCCTTTCCCAAGAAATTTAATACAATTTTCCTGTACATAAAATGCTCATTTTCTTTTCTGGATATTAAAGCTGAAGCAAACCGGATGTTCCACTTATAACTCTGTGGCAGCAGTCATGTGGGAGAAGTTTATCACCTGTGTAGGTCACTGTCATCTTTCATTCTTGTGGTAGCATTGGGTCTATGTGAGGGTGTGTTCGGAGGTAGGATTAAAGCAGTGGCCAGGAGAAGGATGAACAGTACTTAGTCTACTTTTTCAGATTGTGATCAACTCTACGTAGAACCGCAGTAGCGTGCAGAAATGTAGTTAAGGATAGGGAGGGGAAAGAGTTCGCATCTTACTTTATTTACTGCTTCTATCATTATCCAAATTAACATCCTTATTGCCTAAGATTCTGAACATAGTAATCCATATATAAAACTTCTGATCTCAATCTATATTCTGAAAAATGAGACCAATCAAAACACCGAATTCCACTTGTAAGAACAAGTTGTTTCATACTTTCCTGCCGCTGGTGGTTGACAGTTTCTCCATTCATACGCCTTTAAGTTATAATACAATGAATATACAAGACATCTCTTTATATTACAGACCTCTTTATATTAGATTGGTGCAAAAGTAATTGTGATAACCTAATAATAACTTTATGTTTTTCTTCTCCTCAGTGATTAAAAATGTATGTATGCCCAGAATTCTAGAGATATAAATTAAAAGCAACAACTTGTAAATTAAAATAATGGCCCTGGTGATGACACTGATCAAAATAAAAAGAAAAATTCAGAGCAGAAATACAAGAACTAACTCAGAGCAATTTTAGAATGGCTACTAATATTAATGTTATTTTATGTTAGATATTATTATAGGTACAAAATGTCATGAAGACATTAGTACAAAAGCGACTAAGTATTACATTAAATATTCATTTAATTGCGGGCAAAGTATTCTGCACAATGCTTTGGAATATAATAAAAGGTGGTTATCATCATTTCCTACTTAACCCTTCTAATTCAATCTAATACAACTGGCCCACAAATCATTTTATAATCTTCAGTAAAGAATGAACAAAATTTCATTAGCCAGGATAAAAAAAATCAAGGTAAGTTTAAACTATTTCAGATATGAGATACAAATTTCTCCTTCTGTGTCTCCTTCATTCGCTAAAAACTGAAATTGGCATCATTGTATGTGTGAAAAACTATAGATATTTTTACAATACAAATGGAAAAAAAAAGAAAGAAAAATCCCTGAGCTCTTCCATAGCACTTGCTTCAGAGAATCTTTGTAACTACTGGCTCTACAGTTGGTCCTTTTTGTAAAAAAAAAAAAAAAAAAAAGAAAAAAAAAAAAAGAAAAAGATGTCCAATTTCTCAGATTTTTTTTTTTTTTTTTTTTTTTTTTTTTTTTTTTCTGAGACGGAGTCTCACTCTGTCGCCCAGGCTGGTGTGCAGTGACACAATCTTGGCTCACTGCAACCTCTGCCTCCCAGGTTCAAGCGATTCTCCTGCCTCCGCCTCCTGAGTAACTGGGTTTACAGGTGCCTGCCACCATGCCCTGCTAATTTTTTTGTATTTTTAGTAGAGATGGGGTTTCACCATGTTGGCCAGGCTGGTCTCGAACTCCTGACCTCAGGTGATCCACCTGCCTCGACCTCCCAAAGTGCTGGGATTATAGGCATGAGCCACTGCGCCCAGCCTAATTTCACAGATCTTGAAGTAACATAATTCTTTGTTGTATGTTCAAAGGTAATAATTTCTATTCTTATTATAAATATATTTGTAGACAAATGATATGAGACTGTGAAATATCCTCAGAAGCTACTGAACATAGGAAGATGCATATATTCATGTATTTAGCAGATAAAAATACGTTAGCACTTAGGTTTACATCATTCCATTCAGTTACATTTGTATCTTAATAATTGGCAGCATAATTAATATTAAAGTTGACACTAGAATCAGAAAGCACAATGCCTGGAAGATTGAAAAATTTTAGAGACTGAACACAGTATGAAGAGAAGAGATCTATGATGAAGAGACAGCTTTGGAGCTTAGAATTGCAAATTAATATCTTATGTAACTTTGGTGATTAATAGACTCTGACCCTAAGTTTCTTTATCTGCAAAATGGGTTTAAGGATAATTAGATTTGAAGTTGTAGCAAGGATTAAAAATTAAATAATATGCATCAAATGAATGCCACATATTGGTATGTGTCTACTCAAAAATCAATTACTGAGTACTTACTGTGTACCCAGGCACAGTACTAATGATGGGGAAACACAAATGAGCAAGACAGATACATTTCCTAGACATAACGTGCCAGAGCGTACAGTAAGTAGCTAAGTAAAAATATGCTTTTAAAAAATCTAATATCAGAAAAAAAACTGAAGAACATCCCTCAGAGTAACTGGCTTGTACTCTTCACAGATGTCCAAACAAGAAAGATAAAGAAAGGTTGAAGAATTGTTTCACAATAAAAGACTCAACATGAAAACTAAATGCAGTATATGAGTCTAGATTGGATTCTGGACATGGGAGAAATAACTAAAAAGGACATTACCAGAACAACTGACAAATTTAAATATAAACTGCAGATTTGGCAATGTTATATCAACATTAAATTTCCTGATGTTGATAACTTCTGTGGTAAGAGGATATCCTTATTTTTAGAAAAGACACACTGAAGTATTTAGGGATAAAAGGGCAAAATATTTCCAACAACACTTAAGTAGCTCAAAAATATGGAAGAAAGAAGGGAGGAAGGAATGGAAGAAGAAGAGATAACAATAAAGCAAATGGGAAACCTGCAAATAATTAGTGAATCCAGGTAAAGTCTAGATAAGAGTTCTTTGTACTATTCTTGTAAATTTTCTGTAAGTTTGAAATTATAGAAAATGAAAATACACTTTGAGGGAATGTAGAAAAGTTTACAAGTATTCATTTTCTTCTTTCCTAGATCTTTACTCCTTGTCTCTCTAGAGTAAATTTTGCAAATCTTATTTTGAATTTCAGCAATAGATACAGAGACATTTTTGTAGGTTCTCCATACTGAGTAGTGCAGTTCTATCTCAATGGATTTGATGAAACCAATAATTTATAGTATAGGACTTTAGGTAGAATGATGTTACAGGCTTGAATGAGCTGAAAAACATCCCCTAACATCTAGCACAGCTTTTAAAGCTTGTATTTTGTTTGGAAAACAAACTGAACTGGTAGTAAATTTTAAAAAGCATGTAGACATTTTAAAGCTAAGGAACTAACTTCACCTTCATTTCCTACCATACCTGAAAGAGAAACTTTAGGCTGGTAAAGACGCATTTGTGGCTTTCATTTTAATTACCCTAACATTTCTTGGACTGGTTTGGATTCATCACATCCAGCAGAGGCTTTATAATCAGAAATTGTTCACTGTATTCATTTCCTGATTAATTGTGTCCCTATAAACCTATTGTAAACCTATTGGTGTCAACTAGCAGGTTTACTTCTTGTTTGTTTGTTTGTTTGAGACGCAGTCACACTCTGTAGCCCAGGTTGGAGTGCAGTGGTGCAATCTCGGTTCACTACAATCTCTGCCTCCCGGGTTCAATCGATTTTCCTGCCTCAGCCTCTGGAATAGCTGGGATTACAGGCACGCACCACCACGCCCAGCTAATTTTTGTATTTTTAGTAGAGATGGAGTTTTGCCATGTTGGCCAGGCTGGTCTCAAACTCCTGGCCTCAAGTGATCTGCCAACCTTGGCCTCCGAGGCCGAAGGATTATAGGGATTATAGCGCTGCGATTATGGGCTTGAGCCACAGCCCCTGGCCTAGCAGATTTACTTCTAATTTTTTAGAATGAGTGTGCATGCACATGCACGTGGATTTATGAGTTTTGTGTGTGTTACAGCACACAAATATGAAAAAAATTCTAAAAGAACACACATAAATTAAAATCTGTATAGTAAAAACTATTAATTCAAATAATAGTGAAAAATTCCATACATTGTATGATCTACAAAGAAAATGTTTACCTTTAACTTGTGAAAAGTGGGTATTGTAAAATATATAATCTAGATGTGATGTAATGGTCATTACTTTAAGCATTTCTTTAGCTTTGGCACTGTTTAGTCTCTTTTTATCTATTTCAGTCCTGGGGAAGTAAATAATTTCTGGTCTTTTCTCGTCAAATTTCTTAAAATTTGATAATTAAGAAAATTTTTTCCCCCAAAATTTACTGTCTTATATGTTGGCAGCAGCTTTATCTTAAAGCCACTTAAGCATTTATTTTAAAAATTGAATAAATCAAAATTCAAGCGTGGAACTTCTACTTCCAGCTATTTTGGATTATTTTATGGCAGAACAATAATCCTGTTAAGAATTAAATATCTTGATGAAATTTTAAACAATGGATCTCAAATCACTACAGAGCTGCTAAAACAGCTGGTCCTAAAGGGCCAGTTCCTGGAGAGAAGGAAAGCTTATAGAGGGGAGCTAAATTTTCTGCCCATTGGCTTCTTCCTCAGGTCATTTACTGATTTTTGACATATGCCAAGATATGACTAAGCTAGTTAGAGGGGCTCCTAAGACTTCTAACACACAGAAGACCTTTCAGTGTTTGCACAGGGCTGGGGAAACAACAATTAGAGTTCTGAACTGCCAAGGCATTTAGGACTTGAGTGACCAAAATTCCAATGGCAAATGAGGTTCCTAAAAGAGATTGGGAGGAAGTTGGAGTAAGATGGCTGAACAGAAACCTCCCGTGATTATTCCCTCTACAGGAGCACCAAATTGATTGACTATCCATACAAAAACCACCACCATAAGAACTAAAAATCAGGTGAGCAATCACAGTATCTGTTCTTAACATCATGTAAGGAAAGAGACACTAAAGTGGGTAGTTTTAACACCATTTAAGGAAAGAGACACTGAAGTAGGTAGGAAAGAAAGTCTTGAATAGCTTACACCACCCCTCCCTTACACCCCAGCTGTGGGTGTACGGTGCAGAGAGAGTATCCATGTGCTTGAGGGAGAGAGAGGAAAGGGATTGTGGGACTTCACATTGGAATTCAGTGCTGCCCAGTCACAGCGGAAAGCAACATCGGGTGGAACGCAGCCAATGCCACCACGGAGGGAGCATTTAGACCAGCCGTAGCCAGAGGAAAATTAACCATCTCAGCAGTCTGAATATGAGTTTTGGCAAGCCCTCCACCATGGGCTAAAGGGCTCTGGGGTTCTAAATAAACTTAAACGGCAGTCTAGGCCACAAGGACTCCAATTCCCAGGCAAGTCCAGGTGCTGTGCTGTGTTCAGAGCCAGTGGACTTGAGGTACACATGACCTAGTGAGACATCAGCCTAGGAAGCCAAGGGAGTGCTTGAGTCATCCCTCCCCCAGCCCCAGGCAGAAGAGCTCTCAAGTCCTAGAGCCTCATTCCTTCTGTCTGAGGAGAGGAGAGGAGAGAGTAAAGAGGACTTTGTCTTGCATCTTGAATACCCGTTTCAGGCCCTAGCTGTCATACTTTATTTCTAGACACACCCTGGGCCAGAAAGGAACCCACTGTCTTGAAGCAAAGGGCCAAGTCTTAGCAGCATTCATCACCTACTGACTAGAGAGCTCTTGGGCCCTAAATAATCAGCAATGGTAGCCAGGCAGTACTTGCCGTGGACCTTGGGTGAAACTCAGAGCTATGCTTGCTTTAGGTGTGACCCAGCACATTCCAAGCTATGTTAGCTAAAGGGAGAGACTCCTTTTGCTTAAGGAAAGGAGAAAAAAAGTAAAGAGGACTTTGCCTCACAGCTTGGATACCAGCTGGGCCACAGTGGTGTGGAGTACCAAGTGTTTACTGGGGTCTCTGATTCCTGGCCAAGCTGCTGGATGATATTGCTGGACTTGGCTTGGGCCAGAGGAGAACCCATTCTCCTGAGAGACACAGATCTGGCAGCTTTTACCAACAGCTGACTGAAGAGCCCTTGGGTCTTGAGTGAACATTAATAACAGCCAGCAGTAATCTCCACGGACCTGTGGTAGTGGTGGTCATAGGGAGAGACTCCTCTGCTTGTAAAATGGGGAGGAAAGAATGGTAAGAACTTTTTTGTGTGACTTGGGTGGCAGCTCAGCCACAGTAGAATGAAGCACCAGGTAGATACCTGATATGTTTAGGCTTTGTGCCCCCACTCAAATCTCATCTTGACTTGCATAATCCCCACGTGTTAAGGGAAAGACCAGGTGGAGGTAATTGAGTCATGGGGGCAGTTTCCCCCATTCTGTGCTCATGGTAGGGAGTTCTCACAAGATCTGATGGTTTTATAAGGGGCTCATCCCTCTTTGCTCGGCACTTTTCCTTCCTGACACCTTGAGAAGGAGGTCCTAGCTTTCTCTTTGTCTTCAGCCATGCTGAGCTGTGAGTCAATTAAATCTCTTTCTTTTATAAATTACCCAGTCTTGAGCAGTTCTTTATAGCATTAGGTAAACGGACTAATTAATACCCGCGGTGCTTGACTCCAGGCCCTGGTCCTGGATGACATCTTTGGAATGGCCTGGTGCCAGGGTAACTCATCATCCTGACGAGAAGGAAACGAAGCTGGCTGGATTCACCATCTGCTTATTGTAGGGTCCTTGGGCTTTAAGTGAACACGGGCAGTAGCCAGGCAGTAGTCACCATAGGCCTTGGGCAGGACTCACTGCTATGCTGGCTTTGGGTCTGACTCAGCATAGTTCCAGTGGTGGTGGGTGGCTTCAGGGGTGCCTGTGTCACCCTATCTCAGCTCCAGACAGCTCAGAAAGGGATAGAAACTCCATTTGTTTGGGTGATAGTAAGGGAGCAGAACAAGAGTCTCTGCCTGGTATTCCAGAGAACTCTTCCAGATTTTACCCAAGACCTCCAATCCAGTATCTCTATAAGTCTGCAAGAGTTACTGTGTTATTGAGCTTGGGTGTCCCCTAAGGCAGATATAGCTGCGGTGATGAAAGATTTACATTACAGCACCCAAGACCATCTGAATACTTGGAAATGCTTCCCAAGAAGGACAGGTACAAACAAGCTGAACTATGAAGGTAAGAATAAATATATAATTCTTCAATACTCTGACACCAATAACACTGACAAGCATTAAAACCATCCAGGAAAACGTGACTTCACCAAATGAACTAAATAGGCATGAGTGACCAAACCCAGAGACACAGAGATATGTGACTAATAATTCAAAATAGCTGTTTTGAGGAAACTCAAAGAAATTTAAGATAATTCAGAGAAGGAATTCAGAATCCTATTAGATAAACTTAAAAAATAGATTAAAATAATTTAAAATAATCAAGCAGAAAATGCAGTTGACATACTGTAAAATGCATTAGGGTCTCTTAACAGCAGAATTGATCAAGCAAAAGAAATAAATAGTGAGCTTGAATACAGGCTTTTTGAAAATAAACAGTAAAAAGACACAAAAGAAAAAAGAATGAAAAAGAATGAAGCATGCTTGGAAAACCTAGAAAACAGCCTCAAAGGGCCAAATCTAGGAGTTATTGGCCTTAAAGAGTAGAGAGAGAGAGAGAGAGAAATTGAGGTAGAAAGATTATTCAAAAACATAATAATAGAGAACTTTCCAAACCTAGAGAAAAACATCAATATCTAAGTACAAGAAGTTTATAGAACACCAAGAAGATTTAACCCAAGGAAGACTGCCTGAAGGCATTTGATAATCAAACTCCTAAAGACAAACATAAAGAAAGGATCCCACAAGGAAGAAGAGAAAAGAAACAAATAACATGCAATGGAGCTTCAATAAGTCTGGCAGCAGAATTTCCAGTGAAAACTTTACAGGCCAGGAGAGAGTGGCAGGGCATATTTAAAGTGCAAAAGAAAAAAAAAACTTTCATCTTAGAGTACTATATCCAGTAAAAATGTTCTTCAAACAAAGGAGAAAGAAATAGTTTTCCAGACAATCAAAAGCTGAGGGATTTTATCAACACGAGACCTGTCCTACAAGAAATACTAAAGGGAGCTCTTCAATTTGAAAGAAAAAGACATTAATGAGTAATAGGAAATCATCTGAAGGTACAAAACTCACTGGTAATGGTAAGTACATAGAAAAAACACAATATTATAACAAACACTGTAATTATGGTGTATAAACTACTCATACCCAGAATAGAAAGACTAAAAGATGAACCTAGCAAAAATAATAACTACAACAACTTAAGACATAGCATAATAAATAAATGGAAAAAACAAAAAGTTAGAAAACAGGATGATGATGTTAAAGTGCAGAATTTTTATTAGTTTTCAATTTACTTGCTTGTTTTTTGTTTGTTTATGCAATAAAGGTTAAGTTGTCATCAGTTTAAAATCATGGGTTATAAGATATTACCTGCAAGTTTCATGGTAATCTCAAATCAAAAAAAATAATGGATACACAAAAATAAAAAGTAAAAGATGAAAATATACCACTAGTGAAAATCACCTTCACTAAAAGGAAGACAAGAAGGAAAGAAGGAAGAGATGGCCAAAAAAATGAAAAAATGGCAAGAGTAAGTCCTTACTCATCAATAATAGCATTTAATGTAAACAGACTAAACTCTCAAATCAAAAGACATAGACTAGCTGAATGAATAAAAAAAAAAAGACCCAGTGACCTGATGCCTACAAGAAACACATTTCACCTATAAAGATACATATAAACTGAAAATAAAGGGATGAAAAAAGATATTTCGTGCCACTGAAAGCCAAAAAAGAGCAGGAGTGGCTATCCTTATATTAGACAAAATAGATTTAAAAACAAAAACTATGAGACAAAGAAGGTCACTATATGTAATGATAAAGGGATGAATAAGGAGATATAACAACTGTAAATATATATGCACCCAACACTGGGACACCCAGATATATAAAGCACATATTATCAGAGTTATCAAGAGAGGTAGATCCCAACACAATAATAGTTGGAGACTTCAACATCCATTTTCAGCAGCGGAAAAATCATTTAGACAGAAAATCAACAAAGAAAAATTGAACTTGATATGCACTAAGAACAAATGGACCCAATATATATTTATTATTTTCAGCCAATGGCTGCAGAATATACATTCTTTTTCTCAGCATATGAATCATTCTCAAGGATAGACCATATAATAGGACAAAAAGTCTTAAAAATTTCAAAAGAAGAAATTGTATCAAGTATCTTCTTTGACCACAATGGAATAAAACTAGAAATCATTTGGAAAGTAAACAAATACATGGAAATTAAACAATATGGTCCTGAATGACCAGTGGGTCAATGAAGAAATTAAGAAGAAAATGTAACAAGTTCTTGAAGCAAATAAAAATGGAAATACAACATACAAAAACTTACGGGACACAGCAAAAGCAGTACTAAGAGGAAAGTTTATAGCCATAAGTGCCTATATAAAAAAAGTGTTAAAACTTCAAATAAACAACCTATTGGTGTATTTTAGAGAAGTAGAAGATCAAGAACAAATCAAACCACAAGTTACAAGAATAGGAATAATGAACTTCGGAGCAGAAATAAATGAAATTGAAAGGTTAAAACAATATAAAAGATGAACAAAATGAAAAGTTGTTTTTTTGAAATTATAAAGAAAGTTGATAAGCTTTAACTAGACTAAGAAAAAAACAAAAAAGACCTAAATAAACAATGTTAGAGATGAAAAAGGGACATTACAACTAATACCACAGAAATTCAAAGGATGACTAGAGGCTACTCTGAGCAACTATATGCCAATAAATTGGAAAACGTAAAAGAATAAATTCCTAGACACACAATCTACTAAGATTGAACCGTGAAGAAATCCAAAACCTGAATCGATGAATAACAAGTAATGTGATCGAAGCCATAATAAGAAAGTCTCCCAGCAAAGAAAATACTAGGACCCAGCGGCTTCATTGCTGAATTTTACCAAAGTTTTGAAAAAGAACTAATATCAATTTTAATCAAACTATTCTGAAAAGGGGAGAGGGAATACTTCCAAACTCATTCTATGAGATCAGGATTACACTGATAATAAAACCAGAAAACACCTCAAAGAAAAAAGAAAGTAACAGGTCAATATCCCCGATGAACACTGACGCGAATTTCCTCAACAAAATACCAAACGACCAAATTCAACAATACATTAAAAAAATCATTCATCATGACCAAGTTGGACTTTTTTCCAGGGATGCAAGAATGGTTCAACATACAGAAGTCAATCAATGTGATATCTTATATCAGTAGAATGAAGGACAACAACCATATGATAATTTCACTTGATGGTAAAAAAGCATTTGCTACATTTTAACATTCCTTCATAATAAAAAACTCTGAAAAACCTGGATATGAAAGGAACATACCTCAACATAATAAAAGTCATATATGACAGACTCACCGCTAGTATCATATTGAACAGGGAAAAACTGACAGCTTTTCCTCTAAGATCTGGGATGAGACAAGGATGCCCACTTTCACCACTGTTATTCAACATAGTACTGGAAGTACTAGCTAGACCAATAGGAGAAGAGAAAGAAATAAAGGCCATCTAAATTGGAAAGGAAAAGGAAAGAAGTAAAATTATCCTTGTTTGCAGATGATATGATTTTATATTTGGAAAAACCTAAAGACTCTGACAGAAAACCACTAGAACTGATAAACAAATTCAGTAAAGTTGCAGGATACAATATCAACATGCAAAAATCAGTACCATTTCTATATGACAACACCAAACTATCTGAAAAACATATCAAAAAACTAATCTCATTTATGATAGCTACAATTAAAATTAAATATCTGGGAATAAAACAAAAAAGGTGAAAGATCTCTACAATGAAAACTATAAAATATTGATGTAAGAAATTGAAGAGGTCAAAAAAATGAAAAGGTATTCTATGTTCACAGATTGGTAGAATATATATTTTTAAAAATGTATATATTGCTCAAAGCAATCTATATATTCAATAAATGCCTATCAAAATACCAATAACATTCTTCACAGAAATAGAAAACATAATCCTAAAATGTATATGGAACCACAAAAGTCCCAGAATAGACAAAGCTATCCTGAGCAAAAATTTGAACAAAACTTGAGGAATCACATTACCTGACTCCAAATTATGCGACAGAGATAATGTAAGGAAAACAGTATGGTACTGGCATATAAACAGACATATAGACCAGTGGAACAGAATAGAGAACCCAGAAATAAATCCATACATCTACAGTGAACTTATTTTCAACAAAGGTACCAAGAACACACAATGGGGAAAGGACAATATCTTCAATAAGTGGTGCTGGGAAAACTAGATATGCATATACAAAAGAATAAAACTAGACCCCCACCTCTCACCAAATACAAAAATCATACCAAAATGGATTAAACACTTAAATCTAAGATCTTAAGCTAAGAAACTACTAGGAAAAAATTGGAAAAACTCTCTAGGGCATTGGTCTGGGCAAAGATTTCCTGAGTAATACTCTACAAGCACAAGCAACCAAAGCAAAAATGGACAAATGGGTTCACATCAAGTAAACAGCTCCTGCACAGTAAAGGATACAATCAACAAATTGAAGAAACAACCCACAGAATGGAAGTAAATATTTTCAAGCTATCTATCTGATAAGGGATTACTAACCAGAATATATAAGGAGCTCAGACAACTCAATAAGAAAAAAAACCAATCCAATTTAAAATGGCAAAAGATCTAAGTAGACGTTTCTCAAAAGAAGGCACGCAAATGGCAAACAAGGATATAAAAGTGTGCACAACATCACTGATCATCAGAGAAATGCAAATCCCACCTACACTGAGATATCATCTTATCCCAGTTAAAAGGGTTTTGTCCAAAAGACAGACAATAGCAAATGCTGGCAAGGAAGAGGAAAAACGGGAACCCTCGAACACTGTTAGTGGAAATGAAATTAGTACAACCACTATAAAGAACAGTTTGGCAGTTCCTCAAAAACACTAAAAATAGAACTGCCATACAATTCAGCAATACCACTGCTAGGTATGTACCCAAAAGAGAGAAAATCAGTATATTGAAGAGATATCTGCACTTCCACAGTTTGTGGCAGCACTGCTCTGCCAAGATTTGGAAGCAACCTAAGTGTCTGTCAACAGACAAATTGATAAGGAAAATGTACATATACACAATGGAGTACTATTCAGCCATAAATATAATATCCTGTCATTTACAAGAACATGGATGGAACTGGAAGATATGTTAAATGAAATAAGCCAGGCACAGCAAGACAAACTTCCTATGTTCTCACTTATTGGTGGGAGCTAAAAATTAAAACAATGCAACTCATGGAGAGAGAGAGTAAAATCGTGGTTACCAGAGGTTGGAAGGGTAGTGAGGATGGGAATAATTAATGGGTTCAAATATATGGTTAGATAGAATGAATAAGACCTAGTATTTGATAGCACAACAAGGTGACTACACTCAATAACGATTTATTGTACACTTTAAAATAACTAAAAGCATATAATTTGGTTGTAACACAAAGAAAGGATAAATGTTTGAGGGAATGGATACCCCATTTACTTTGATGTGATTTTTACACATTGTATACTTTTATCAAAATACCTCATGTGCCCTCTATGAACCCACAAAAATATATACCTATTATGTACCCACGAAATATATATATATATATATATATATATATATATATATATATATATATATATATACACACACTATGGTATCCACAAAAATATATATCTACTATGTAACTACTATGTACCCATGAAAATAAAAAAAAAATTAAGTGAGATTGGCAATCAATACCTGTTCTTCCATTGAGTCATCTGATTAACTACACAGGACAAGATGCAAACGAGCCAAGCATCAAGTGTGTTGAAAAAAGCCAAACATACTTGAAGGGTAATATGAAGTTTTCAGCATTTCCACAGTTCTAGGGAGACCAGACTTCTACTTCAGAGCCTTCAAAGAAGAATGGCCCTAGCAAACACTCAGGCTCTAACTGGGACACCTTGAGGGATGCACCATGTATATGGGGAAAACTAGAGGGATCCTGAACCTTACTGAAGCTGCAGACTAGCCAAAGTTATTTCAAGATCTGATCAGATTTGAGTGATATACCTCTTCTTGGCCTGCCAGAGGATAGGTTAAATTATCACTAAAATTTCTCATTCAGAAGACTGGTAATGACAACACATTTTTTTTAGAGATATTAAGTAATAGGACCAGAAGAAAAAATAGACAACAGAAACATATCTACATGTGACACAAATACTACAGTAATAAGAAAACAAATATAAAATAGTTTTGATTAGTATCTTCAAATAAATAAATGACCAAGTGGAGAATGATAAGAGGATGATCACATGGAGAATTTTGAATTGAAAAAATACAATAACTAAAATTGATAGCATGATAGAGGGACGCAGCTGAAGATAAATGATCTGGAAGATAGATCAAAAGAAAATATCTAGACTATAACAGGAAATACACAGAAGAGTACAGGAGACATATGTAACAGATAATCACCAAAAACATGTACTACATTGCCTATGGTTGTGTTATTTATAACAGCCCCAAACTGTCCATTAACTCCAGAATTGGTAAATATATTTTGGTACATCCATAAAATGGAAAATTATTTTGCACTGAGAAATAATAAACCAGCTGGGCAGGTGTCTCACGCTTGTAATCTCAGCACTTTGGGAAGCCAAGGCATGCAGATCATGAGGTCAGGAGTTCGAGAACATCCTGGCCAACATGGTGAAACCCCATCTCTGCTAAAAATACAAAAATTAGCCAGTTGTGTTGCATGCCTGTAATCCCAGCTACTTGGGAGGCTGAGGAAGGAGAATTGTTTGAACCTGGGAGGCGGAGGTTGCAGTGAGCCCAGATTGTGCCACTGCACGTCAGCCTGGGCCACAGAGCAAGACTCCATCTCAGGAAAATAATAATAATAATAATAAACCACTGCTACATATAACAACATTGATGAATCAAACATGGTATTGTACAAAACAAACCAGGTACAAAAGAGTACGTGTTGCATGATGCCATTTAAATAAAACTCAGTATTAGGTGGAACTAATCTATGACTCTAATTAGAGGAAGATTGATTTCCAAGGGACAGCACTGTGGGGCTGCTAGGGGTGTTGGTAATATTCTATTATTTGACTTAATGGTAGTCACACAGATATGTTTACTTTGTGGAAATCCATTGAACTGTACACTTATGATTTGTGTTTGTGTGCTTTTGTATATACATACTACATTTCAATTAACAAAAAAAAATTTGTTTTTAATTAAAGCTTGAGTATGGTGGTGGTTGTCTAGGGGGTTCCACAGCTAATAAACTCCCTCTGAATATTGGTTGTATTTGGCTTTCAAGGAACACAAAGAATTAATCAAGGGAGAGAAGTTCAAAGATGAAAAACAGTAATAAAGATAGGGTGGGAACTGTGTTTGCAGGTCTACCTAAAAGACTACTCAGGGCCTGGTGTGGTGGCTGATGACTGAAATCCCAGCTATTTTGGAGGCCATAGTGGGAAGAGTGCTTGAGGACAGGAGCTAGAGATGATCCTGGGTAACACATGAAAACGCCATCTCTAAAAATATATATATAAAAATAATCATAATAACAAATTAGCTGGCATGGTGGGGCTGTCTATGGTCCCAGCTACTCGGGAGGCTGAAGCAAGAGGATCGCTTGAGCCCAGCAATTGGAGGTTACGGTGGGCCATGATCACACCACTGTACTCTAGCCTGGGCAACAGAGCAAAACCCTGTCTCTAAAAAAAGGAAAACAAACAAACAAAAAAGATGATTCAATAGCTCTGTACATCTTTGGAGAAACGAGTAGAATGCAGGCTGTTTAAGGGCAAGCACACTGCCCCACCAATTCTCTCCTCTGCTTTTTGTTCAGCAGACCTGGAGGTAGTTGGTATAGCCAAAGGAAAGAACTAGATACACCAGATATTAATAGTGACACTACTAAAGAATTCATAAATAAACAATATATCAGACCAGTCTTCTCTTCCAGATAGAGAAATACTTAAACTACTTTTACCCTGTTCTGTTTTGTGTTTTTATTAATCATCTCCAGAGGTAGGATGTCTTTGAAACCTTTTATGCTGCTTTATTGCTCTTTACTGCAATCTCTTAATTCTAGATTCAGCTTCTTGAGAGCAGTGTCTGTTTCTTACTTTGTTGCAAATGTACATTCACCAATCAGGCACTTGTTAAAAAGTAAGTACTAAATCAATGTTTGCTGTCTATCTGTTACTGGTATGATCTAAACCTAGGATTTAAATTAAGGCCAATATTGTGGAATATTAGATATGCTACGTGTTTTGCCTTTGCTTTTTAATTTATTTATTTTTGCTTTAAAGGGGGAGAAACATAACCCAGGAACTATGCCATCACTGGCAAAAGTAGATTAGGATGTGGGTGTTCTGGTGTGACTTAAGTTATTGCTAAATTGTCTCAGAGCTTAGAAGTTTGTCTGTGATCTGAGACATACGTTTGTAATCAGATTTTGCTTTTGTCTCCAGACTAGGCCTGATATTAGTAAAAATTTCCATATGTGTTCTTATTCAATTACTCTTTTATGAGTACAAGACATTTCTATTATGTCTATGTCTCTAGATAGCTCATTGTAAATTTAATCAAATTTACATATTTAAGCAAATTGGCAAATTAACACCTTGAAAAGTCTTCTCGGGGAGCAAGGCTAGATGGCATGTGAAAGGCATGTTTAGGTGCTCAGCATTATGACAAATGTTTCCTGCATTAGTGACCTTGACTGTATAAAAATATTCACAAATATTCAACTTAAAAAAAATTTACTTTTCCCAAGAAAAGTAAAATATGTGAAAAAACAAAACATATTTTCTTCATATTAATATCTAAAATTGGAAATTTAAATTTGAAAGCTTATTTGCTCAGTATGCAGCTTCCAAAATTCAGGCTCACCAGCTCCAAAAGCCTGCTCAATGGACAGGTGACACTTAGCACAATAGAAAATAGTTGTGACTATCTCCAGTACATGCCAATTTTTTTTCAATGGTGACCCTGACCAAATGATACACAGTTAATAAATCATTTGCCTGTAGAATAGTCTGGGCTGGGTCCAAACATTTGTAAAAAGGAGGATATGGGGGACCATGGGGTATTTTGTTATTGCCCTGTATAACTGCACCAAACAGAAGGGGGAAAAAAACCCACAAAATTCTGTGCTATTATATTATGTATATTTAACCCCACATGTCACTATTAATCATAACCATATACTATTTTTTCATTAAACAAAACCTTACAGGTAACCTCATTGTAGACATAAGAAAAACTGAGGTGTGAGATTGAGCTTTTTATCCAATATTTGACAGCTAGTTAGCCACTAAGCTGAAACCACAACTCAGTTACGCTGGCTCACAATAAGTAAGTTTTCCTCTAACAAATTGTGGGGCTAGTTTTTTACAAAATATGTGGATTTACAGTTTCATATAAATAGAGCTGGAATAAAACTCCTGCCTCACTTCATTAAACATTTACTTTCTTACAAGGTTCAAGTATGTTTGTCTCATAGGTGCTTGAAACGGCAAATAATAAAGACGACTACTTTTCAGATATTGTATCTCAGCAGAGATGCTGAAAAAAGAAAGAGAGAAGAATGAGGTCTTTGCAGAAAGATTGGAAGATGAAGAGGAGATAAGTAGAGAAAGAAAGCACCAGGATGGAAAAATATGGGTCTTGCCTTCACCAAATGAACTTGTGTTTCAAAACATTGTATGAGCATTAGTCACGTATGTTTGCATAGAGAGTAACTATTGCTGTTGTGGTGGCCTTAAAATTCCTTGATACTCCTCTCTTCAAAAGGTGTAACCTAATTCTGCCTCTTCTTACTTATGGGCTGGACTCAGTGACTCATTTCAAAATATGGTAGGAGTGATGCTGCCTGACTTTCAAGACTAGGCCATAAAAGGCATTGTGATATCTGAGCAAGATGGTGGACTTCCTTTTTACTTCTTTGATCCTTTTCTAGGTTAAGCTAGCTATATTGTGGGGTTATTAAAGCAGCCTTATAGAGAGGCTCTTGGGGCAAGGAACTACTAAGACCTCTTGCCAACAACCAACAGTAACTTTCTTGGCATGTGAATGAGCTACCTTGTAAGTAGATCCTCCAGCCCCAGTCAAGCTTTCAGTTAATTCAGCACTGTCCAATAACTTAACGGTAACTTCACAAGAAACCGTGAACTAGAACAACTCAGCTAAGTCGCTTTTGAATTCCTGACTCATGGAAACTGTGACATAAATTTTGGTTGTTTTAAGCCACTAAATTTTGGGGAGATTTATTACATAAAAGTAGATAATAATGCAACGTAATAATGTAGATAATGAGTAATAGTAGCATTGAAGTGAAAAACAGTGTCATATGAACTTATAAAACACAACAACTCTTGGAATGAACCACATGAAATTGCTGATTTTGTAGATCACATATCAGCCATATGGTTCAACCTTCCTTTTAAACTTTTATTTTAGATTTGGGGGCCCATATGAAAATTTTGTTACATAAACACATGTCCCAGGGGTTTGTTGTACACACTATTTCGTCATCCAGCTATTAAGCCCAGTATCCAATAGTTATCTTTGCTGTTCCTATCCCTCCTCTTTCTTCCAACCTCAACCAGACCACAGTGTCTGTTGTTTCCTTCTTTGTGTTCATAAGTTCTTATCATTTGGCTCCCACTTATAAGTGAGAACATGTAATATTTGGTTTTCTGTTCTTGAGTTAGTTTGCTAAGGATAATAGCCTCCAGTTCCATCTATATTCCTGCAAAAGAGATGATCTAATTCTTTTTTTATGGTTGCATAGCATTCCATGGTATATATGTACCACATTTTCTTTATCCAATCTGTCTTTAGTAGGCATTTAGTTTGATTCCATGTCTTTGCTATTGTGAATAGTGCTGTACTGAACATTCACGTGCATGTGTCTTTATGGTAGAATAATTTCTAGTCCTCTGGGTATATACATAATAATAGGACTGCTGGGTTGAATGATAGTTGTACTTTTAGCTCACTGAGGAATCACTATGCTGCTTTCCACAATGGTTGAAGTAATTTACACTCCTACCAACAGTGTATAAATGTTCCCATTTTTCTGCAACCTCACAAGCATCTGTTACTTTTTCACTTTTTAATAAAAGCTATTCTGACTGGTATAAGATGGTAACTCATTGTGGTTTTGATTTGCATTTCTCTAATGATCAGTGATATAGAGATTTTTTTCAATATGCTTGGATGGCTGCCTGCATGTCTTCTTTTGAGAAGTGTCTGTTCATGACTGAACACTTTTAAATGAGGCTATTTGTTTTTCTCTTGCGAATTTTTAAGTTCCTTATAGATGCTGGATGTTACACCTTTGTCAGATGCATAGTTGGCAAAAATTTCCTCTCATTCCGTAGGTTGTTTATCCTGTTGATAATTTCTTTTGCTGTGCAGATGCTCTTAACAATTAATCAGATCCCACATTTCAACTTTTGCTTTTGTTGCAATTGCTTTTGGTGTCTTTGTCATAAAATCTTTGCCTGTTCCTATGTCCAGGGTGGTATTGCCTAGATTGTCTTCTAGGGTTTTTACAGTTTTCGGTTTTACATTTAAGTATTCAATTCATCTTGAGCTGATTTTTGTGTATGGTGTATGGAAGGAGTCCAGCTTCAATCTTCTGCTTATGGCTAGTCAGTTTTCCCAGCACCATTTATTGAATAAGAAGTCTTTTCACCATTACTTGTTTTTGTCAGCTTTGTTGACGATCAGATGTTCATAGATATGTGGCCTTATTTCTGGGCTTTCTATCCTTTTCCATTGGTTTACATGCCTGTTTTTGTACTAGTACCATGCTGTTTTTGTTACTGTACCCTTGTAGTATAGTTTGAAGTCAGGTAACATGATGCCTCCAGCTTTGTTCTTTGTGCTTAGGATCGCCTTGGCTATTTGGGCTCTTTTTTGGTTCCATTTGAATTTTAAAATAGTTTTTTTTTTTTTTTTTTAATTCTGTGAAGAACATCACTGGTAGTTTGATAGGAGTAGCCCTGAATTTGTAAATTGCTGTGGGCAGTATAGCCATTTTAATTATATTGATTCTTCCTATTCATGAGCGTGGGATTTTTCTTCCATTTGTTTGTGTCTTGTCTTATTTCTTTGAGCAATGTTTTGTAATTCCCATGGTAGAGATCTTGCACCTCCCTGGTTAGCTGTATTTCTAGGTTTTCTAGGTATTTTATTCTTTTATGGCAATTGTAAGTAGAATCGCCTTTCTGATTTGGCTCTTGGTTTGGCTGTTGTTGGTGTCTAGGAATGCTAAGTGAGTTTTGTGCATTGACTTTGTATCCTCTAACTTTGCTGAAGTTGTTTATCAGTGGGAGGAGCTTTTGGGCTGAGACTATGAGGTTTTCTAGATATATAATCATGTTGTCTGCAAACAGAAATAGTTTGACTTCCTCTCTTCCTATTTGGAAGCCCTTTATTCCTTTCTCTTGCCTGTTTGCTCTGGTTAGGACATCCAATACTGTGTTGAACAAAAGTGGTGACAGACAGCATACTTGTCTTGAGCTGGTATTCAAGGGGAATACTGCTAGCTTTTGCCTATTCAGTATAACATTGACTGTGGATTTGTCATAGATGGCTCTTATTATTTTGAGGTATGTTTCTACTATACCTAGTTTATTTAGAGTTGTTAACATGAAGGGCTGTTGAATTTTATTGAAAGCCTTTTTTTTTGCATCTATTGAGATAATCATGTGGGTTTTTTTTGTCTTTAGTTCTGTTTTTGTGATGAATCACATTTATTGATTTGTGTATGTTGAACCAACTTGCCTTCTGGGGATGAAGCCTACTTGATCATAGCGGATTAGCTTTCTGATGTGCTGCTGAATTTGGTTTGCGAGTATTTTGCTGAAGATTTTTACATTGATGTTTATCAAGGATATTGGGCTGAAGTTTTCTTTTTTTGTTGTGTCTTTGCCAGGTTTGGGTATCAAGATGTTGTTGGCCTCATAGAATGAATTGGGGAGGAGTCCCTCCTCCTCAATTTTTTATTTTATTTTATTTTATTTTATTATTTTTTTTTATTATACTTTAAGTTTTAGGGTACATGTGCACATTGTGCAGGTTAGTTACATATGTATACATGTGCCATGCTGGTGCGCTGCACCCACTAACTCGTCATCTAGCATTAGGTATATCTCCCAATGCTATCCCTCCC
Source organism: Homo sapiens (assembly GCF_000001405.40). Lineage (NCBI taxonomy): Eukaryota > Metazoa > Chordata > Mammalia > Primates > Hominidae > Homo > Homo sapiens. The sequence goes on from NC_000003.12 coordinate 21,983,312, forward strand.
CCCTCCCCCCACCACACCACAGTCCCCAGAGTGTGATATTCCCCTTCCTGTGTCCATGTGATCTCATTGTTCAATTCCCACCTATGAGTGAGAATATGCGGTGTTTGGTTTTTTGTTCTTGCGATAGTTTACTGAGAATGATGGTTTCCAATTTCATCCATGTCCCTACAAAGGACATGAACTCATCATTTTTTATGGCTGCATAGTATTCCATGGTGTATATGTGCCACATTTTCTTCATGCAGTCTATCATTGTTGGACATTTGGGTTGGTTCCAAGTCTTTGCTATTGTGAATAATGCCGCAATAAACATACGTGTGCATGTGTCTTTATAGCAGCATGATTTATAGTCATTTGGGTATATACCCAGTAATGGGATGGCTGGGTCAAATGGTATTTCTAGTTCTAGATCCCTGAGGAATCGCCACACTGACTTCCACAATGGTTGAACTAGTTTACAGTCCCACCAACAGTGTAAAAGTGTTCCTATTTCTCCACATCCTCTCCAGCACCTGTTGTTTCCTGACTTTTTAATGATTGCCATTCTAACTGGTGTGAGATGATATCTCATAGTGGTTTTGATTTGCATTTCCCTGATGGCCAGTGATGATGAGCATTTTTTCATGTGTTTTTTGGCTGCATAAATGTCTTCTTTTGAGAAGTGTCTGTTCATGTCCTTCGCCCACTTTTTGATGGGGTTGTTTGTTTTTTTCTTGTAAATTTATTTGAGTTCATTGTAGATTCTGGATATTAGCCCTTTGTCAGATGAGTAGGTTGCGAAAATTTTCTCCCATGTTGTAGGTTGCCTGTTCACTCTGATGGTAGTTTCTTTTGCTGTGCAGAAGCTCTTTAGTTTAATTAGATCCCATTTGTCAATTTTGGCTTTTGTTGCCATTGCTTTTGGTGTTTTGGACCTGAAGTCCTTGGCCACGCCTATGTCCTGAATGGTAATGCCTAGGGTTTCTTCTAGGGTTTTTATGGTTTTAGGTCTAACGTTTAAATCTTTAATCCATCTTGAATTGATTTTTGTATAAGGTGTAAGGAAGGGATCCAGTTTCAGCTTTCTACATATGGCTAGCCAGTTTTCCCAGCACCATTTATTAAATAGGGAATCCTTTCCCCATTGCTTGTTTTTCTCAGGTTTGTCAAAGATCAGATAGTTGTAGGTATACGGCGTTATTTCTGAGGGCTCTGTTCTGTTCCATTGATCTATATCTCTGTTTTGGTACCAGTACCATGCTGTTTTGGTTACTGTAGCCTTGTAGTATAGTTTGAAGTCAGGTAGTGTGATGCCTCCAGCTTTGTTCTTTTGGCTTAGGATTGACTTGGCGATGCGGGCTCTTTTTTGGTTCCATATGAACTTTAAAGTAGTTTTTTCCAATTCTGTGAAGAAAGTCATTGGTAGCTTGATGGGGATGGCATTGAATCTATAAATTACCTTGGGCAGTATGGCCATTTTCACGATATTGATTCTTCCTACCCATGAGCATGGAATGTTCTTCCATTTGTTTGTATCCTCTTTTATTTCCTTGAGCAGTGGTTTGTAGTTCTCCTTGAAGAGGTCCTTCACGTCCCTTGTAAGTTGGATTCCTAGGTATTTTATTGTCTTTGAAGCAATTGTGAATGGGAGTTCACTCATGATTTGGCTCTCTGTTTGTCTGTTTTTTGTGTATAAGAATGCCTGTGATTTTTGTACATTGATTTTGTATCCTGAGACTTTGCTGAAGTTGCTTATCAGCTTAAGGAGATTTTGGGCTGAGACAATGGGGTTTTCTAGATAAACAATCATGTCGTCTGCAAACAGGGACAATTTGACTTCCTCTTTTCCTAATTGAATACCCTTTATTTCCTTCTCCTGCCTGATTGCCCTGGCCAGAACTTCCAACACTATGTTGAATAGGAGTGGTGAGAGAGGGCATCCCTGTCTTGTTCCAGTTTTCAAAGGGAATGCTTCCAGTTTTTGCCCATTCAGTATGATATTGGCTGTGGGTTTGTCATAGATAGCTCTTATTATTTTGAAATACGTCCCATCAATACCTAATTTCTTGAGAGTTTTTAGCATGAAGGGTTGTTGAATTTTGTCAAAGGCTTTTTCTGCATCTATTGAGATAATCATGTGGTTTTTGTCTTTGGCTCTGTTTATATGCTGGATCACATTTATTGATTTGCATATATTGAACCAGCCTTGCATCCCAGGGATGAAGCCCACTTGATCATGGTGGATAAGCTTTTTGATGTGCTGCTGGATTCAGTTTGCCAGTATTTTATTGAGGATTTTTGCATCAATGTTCATCAAGGGTATTGGTCTAAAATTCTCTTTTTTGGTTGTGTCTCTGCCTGGCTTTGGTATCAGGATGATGCTGGCCTCATAAAATGAGTTAGGGAGGATTCCCTCTTTTTCTATTGATTGGAATAGTTTCAGAAGGAATGGTACCAGTTCCTCCTTGTACCTCTGGTAGAATTCGGCTGTGAATCCATCTGGTCCTGGACTCTTTTTGGTTGGTAAACTATTGATTATTGCCACAATTTCAGCTCCTGTTATTGGTCTATTCAGAGATTCAACTTCTTCCTGGTTTAGTCTTGGGAGAGTGTATGTGTCGAGGAATGTATCCGTTTCTTCTAGATTTTCTAGTTTATTTGCGTAGAGGTGTTTGTAGTATTCTCTGATGGTAGTTTGTATTTCTGTGGGATTGGTGGTGATATCCCCTTTATCATTTTTTATTGTGTCTATTTGATTCTTCTCTCTTTTTTTCTTTATTAGTCTTCCTAGCAGTCTATCAATTTTGTTGATCCTTTCAAAAAACCAGCTCCTGGATTCATTGATTTTTTGAAGGGTTTTTTGTGTCTCTATTTCCTTCAGTTCTGCTCTGATTTTAGTTATTTCTTGCCTTCTGCTAGCTTTTGAATGTGTTTGCTCTTGCTTTTCTAGTTCTTTTAATTGTGATGTTAGGGTGTCAATTTTGGATCTTTCCTGCTTTCTCTTGTGGGCATTTAGTGCTATAAATTTCCCTCTACACACTGCTTTGAATGTGTCCCAGAGATTCTGGTATGTTGTGTCTTTGTTCTCGTTGGTTTCAAAGAACATCTTTATTTCTGCCTTCATTTTGTTATGTACCCAGTAGTCATTCAGGAGCAGGTTGTTCAGTTTCCATGTAGTTGAGCAGCTTTGAGTGAGATTCTTAATCCTGAGTTCTAGTTTGATTGCACTGTGGTCTGAGAGATAGTTTGTTATAATTTCTGTTCTTTTACATTTGCTGTGGAGAGCTTTACTTCCAACCATGTGGTCAATTTTGGAATAGGTGTGGTGTGGTGCTGAAAAAAATGTATATTCTGTTGATTTGGGGTGGAGAGTTCTGTAGATGTCTATTAGGTCCGCTTGGTGCAGAGCTGAGTTCAATTCCCGGGTATCCTTGTTGACTTTCTGTCTCGTTGATCTGTCTAATGTTGACAGTGGGGTGTTAAAGTCTCCCATTATTAATGTGTGGGAGTCTAAGTCTCTTTGTAGGTCACTCAGGACTTGCTTTATGAATCTGGGTGCTCCTGTATTGGGTGCATATATATTTAGGATAGTTAGCTCCTCTTGTTGAATTGATCCCTTTACCATTATGTAATGGCCTTCTTTGTCTCTTTTGATCTTTGTTGGTTTAAAGTCTGTTTTATCAGAGACTAGGATTGCAACCCCTGCCTTTTTTTGTTTTCCATTTGCTTGGTAGATCTTCCTCCATCCTTTTATTTTGAGCCTATGTATGTCTCTGCACGTGAGATGGGTTTCCTGAATACAGCACACTGATGGGTCTTGACTCTTTATCCAACTTGCCAGTCTGTGTCTTTTAATTGGAGAATTTAGTCCATTTACATTTAAAGTTAATACTGTTATGTGTGAATTTGATCCTGTCATTATGATGTTAGCTGGTGATTTTGCTCGTTAGTTGATGCAGTTTCTTCCTAGTCTCGATGGTCTTTACATTTTGGCATGATTTTGCAGTGGCTGGTACCGGTTGTTCCTTTCCATGTTTAGTGCTTCCTTCAGGAGCTCTTTTAGGGCAGGTCTGGTGGTGACAAAATCTCTCAGCATTTGCTTGTCTGTAAAGTATTTTATTTCTCCTTCACTTATGAAGCTTAGTTTGGCTGGATATGAAATTCTGGGTTGAAAATTCTTTTCTTTAAGAATGTTGAATATTGGCCCCCACTCTCTTCTGGCTTGTAGGGTTTCTGCCGAGAGATCCACTGTTAGTCTGATGGGCTTCCCTTTGAGGGTAACCCGACCTTTCTCTCTGGCTGCCCTTAACATTTTTTCCTTCATTTCAACTTTGGTGAATCTGACAATTATGTGTCTTGGAGTTGCTCTTCTCGAGGAGTATCTTTGTGGTGTTCTCTGTATTTCCTGAATCTGAACATTGGCCTGCCTTGCTAGGTTGGGGAAGTTCTCCTGGATAATATCCTGCAGAGTGTTTTCCAAGTTGGTTCCATTCTCCCCATCACTTTCAGGTACACCAATCAGACGTAGATTTGGTCTTTTCACATAGTCCCATACTTCTTGGAGGCTTTGCTCATTTCTTTTTATTCTTTTTTCTCTAAACTTCCCTTCTCACTTCATTTCATTCATTTCATCTTCCATTGCTGATACCCTTTCTTCCAGTTGATTGCATTGGCTCCTGAAGCTTCTGCATTCTTCACGTAGTTCTCGAGCCTTGGTTTTCAGCTCCATCAGCTCCTTTAAGCACTTCTCTGTAGTGGTTATTCTAGTTATACATTCTTCTAAATTTTTTTCAAAGTTTTCAACTTCTTTGCCTTTGGTTTGAATGTCCTCCCGTAGCTCAGAGTCATTTGATCATCTGAAGCCTTCTTCTCTCAACTCGTCAAAATCATTCTCCATCCAGCTTTGTTCCGTTGCTGGTGAGGAACTGCGTTCCTTTGGAGGAGGAGAGGCGCTCTGCGTTTTAGAGTTTCCAGTTTTTCTGTTCTGTTTTTTCCCCATCTTTGTGGTTTTATCTACTTTTGGTCTTTGATGATGGTGATGTACAGATGGGTTTTCGGTGTGGATGTCCTTTCTGTTTGTTAGTTTTCCTTCTAACAGACAGGACCCTCAGCTGCAGGTCTGTTGGAATACCCTGCCGTGTGAGGTGTCAGTGTGCCCCTGCTGGGGGGTGCCTCCCAGTTAGGCTGCTCGGGGGTCAGGGGTCAGGGACCCACTTGAGGAGGCAGTCTGCCCGTTCTCAGATCTCCAGCTGCATGCTGGGAGAACCACTGCTCTGTTCAGAGCTGTCAGACAGGGACATTTAAGTCTGCAGAGGTTACTGCTGTCTTTTTGTTTGTCTGTGCCCTGCCCGCAGAGGTGGAGCCTACAGAGGCAGGCAGGCCTCCTTGAGCTGTGGTGGGCTCCACCCAGTTGGAGCTTCCTGGCTGCTTTGTTTACCTAAGCAAGCCTGGGCAATGGCGGGCGCCCCTCCCCCAGCCTCGCTGCCGCTTTGCAGTTTGATCTCAGACTGCTGTGCTAGCAATCAGCGAGACTCCGTGGGCGTAGGACCCTCCGAGCCAGGTGTGGGATATACTCTCGTGGTGCGCCGTTTTTTAAGCCGGTCTGAAAAGTGCAATATTCGGGTGGGAGTGACCCGATTTTCCAGGTGCGTCCATCACCCCTTTCTTTGACTTGGACCCCTTGCGCTTCCCAGGTGAGGCAATGCCTCGCCCTGCTTCGGCTCGCGCACGGTGCGCGCACCCACTGGCCTGTGCCCACTGTCTGGCACTCCCTAGTGAGATGAACCCGGTACCTCAGATGGAAATGCAGAAATCACCCGTCTTCTGCGTCGCTCACGCTGGGAGCTGTAGACCGGAGCTGTTCCTATTCGGCCATCTTGGCTCCTCCGACCCCATCTCCCTCAATTTTTTAGAATAGTTTCTGTAGGAATGGTCGTGGTTTAACCTTACATATCAAAGCTCAACCAACTTGTTTCTTACAACTACAATTTTTTAAAATTGTAGTTATAATAAACTGGTTTGGACTGGACTTTGGTCTCCTAGGATGCATTTCTGGAATATGTTCATTATTTTCCAAATTTGCCATTCTCCAAATTACGTAGGAATACAGTTATGATTTTCTGACACAATGCACTGATGCAACAGTCGGAAACTAATTATTTGTGGATTATGGATCGGTTTAGACATGTAAAAGACAATTATTAGCAAATAATTATCATTCTCTCAAAAGGTATGTCAGTTTTGGACTTGGAACAAATATTTGAATAAATGATGAAATAGGCTTTAAATGTCTTACACAATACTAAATACCAAAAGCTATTTTATTCTTATCCTTGGAAACACTGGATGCATGTTCTTATGACATCATGTTTTCTTTCCACAATAATAATAAAAAAAAAAGGACAGCCAAACCATCCAGTCTTGTAAGTATGTAATTACCTTTGAATGTTCTCCTCATCTAAGCGCATTAAAATGCTTCAACTGACCCAGGTTACACAAAATTATATTCTTGATAACTTACTATCTTTTTTGGCACAAGCTGTGCCACTTTCACATGTCTGTTGATGGTATATGTCAAGCCGTTGAGTGAGAATTTCTTTCTGTTTCTAATCTCCCTGGAGCTTTCACATGTGTGCCTGATTTCACACAAAGATTTATGTGTAACATTTCCAGCACCCAAACACAACAATTTCCACCTATCTGTTTTATTTTAGCTTTAAAGACAAATATTAAATGGGAAATAATTTTTAAAAGGTACATTTTACCCTGACTCCAAATGCAAGATTCTGCTATTGTTTCACAGGGCCTTTGTCAAATTATCTTTTAAAAAAATTTTTGTGAGGCTATGTCAGATCTGAGCAATGATTATAGGATGCTTATTTTCTTTGAAAAGAAGAATCTCTAAGCTAAAATTCCAGATTTGCCAGTGCAATTGCACTGTCATCTTAGGGGTTTATTGGCACTGGCATAAATGTAATACTTTCTTCTTCTCATGATGACATCTAGCAAAGCCTTGGTCAACATCAGTAGTTATTTGGGAGCAAAAAGGAACTCTTCACAAATCCAAAGTTAGAAATCACTCTCCATTTTCTATCTTACCAGGCTATGAACTTACCTAACTTCCTAGCAAGAGCTCATAATATTGCCTGTGCCTTTATCAGGGTGATAAGGTTAGAAAAGATCATTGTTTCCATTTCTGCTCATTTCTATTGCTTAAAATTACTTTTATGAGTTAATATGTATTTCTATTATATAAATATGCAATTATCAGTAATTATATTTGTACTTAATATATGATGTATGTGCTATAAATTATAACTTTCTCTAAATAATAACTCTATCTGGCACAGGGATACTAGAATATATAAAGTTATCAATTAACTCTAATTTAGTTACAGAAATCTTGAGTCTTTCCCTCACTTTCTTTTTAGAGAGCTCAGCCTGTTTCTACAACATCTACAGAAAAACTGTATGAGCTGAAACACTTATTGCTAACTCAGATGGGAAAATTCTGAACTTCTTTAACTATTGAAAACTGTATAGCTTGGATTTCCTTTGAAAACAGAATGCTACATGTGAGGACAACAAATCTTCTGGCAATAACTCACATTTAACAGGTTGATACAGCGGATCTATCTTTCTAAACAACAAATGCGTGATCTAATGGCAATACCAACAGTGCACTGTACCAAGAATTAGAATGGTATATCAAAGCTTCTAATTTGCAGTGGTTTGTTACGGAGGTATAATTATCTATTTAAAATGTAAAATTCCTTGTACAAAAATATTTGAATAATTATGAAAATGTAAGTAATCATTTGCAAAAACTAATTACGGTGAGGGAGACTTTCCTTTGCTGTCAGTGTTTTATGCATGTGTTTGGTTCCATAAGCAAACTAATTAAAATGTTGCAAGACACACTGAAATGCTGGCATTTTAGATGGAAAGCAGTTGTACTTCTGGCAAAGATCGTTTCATGTTTCTAAGGGATTTTAAAATTGTAGTTATAATAAACTATTCAGTCAAGCAAACCTAAAACAAGAGCCAAAATCATGCTCTCAGCTTTCAGATCTATAGCCACATGCCACCACAAAGCCGTGAATTTTCTAAGTATAAACTGGAAATAAATCACATTTGTTTTGTTAGCAAACATTTGGGGTATGTATGTGTGTATTTGATAAAACTGTGGTAATTATGCAGCTAAAATAAGAAAAAACAATTTGGAAGTCATCTTAATATTTTGTGTTATTCCCATCATTTAGAAATCGTTGGTCAAATGGTGGGCAAAATGTTCCACCACAAATAAGAATGCTCTAGCACGACAGCTAATAAGACAAAGAACTGTATTATGGCACGTCTTCAACAGTAAATACTTGTCCTAAGAGCCTAGGAGGTAAAGGGCAGCTGCAGAATGATTATCAGGATTGCTTCATGGTCCAGATTGCATTTGGAACTTGAAATGTCCATCCTCTTCACTGTTGGGTCAGTCAGTCATGCTTTGGGCAAGATTTATTGAGGTTGTCACTTTTACTAGTCACAGTGGTAAGAAGTAGAATTTCAGTGATATATGAGTGAGTTATAGTGCATGCCTGCATGGATTTTACACTCCAATCTTTTTAAAAGACAGTATTTTGATGAATTATGCACTCCATGGCCAGACCACCTGGGCTTAAATCTTGGCTTATCTACTATCTGTGTGAATTTAGGCTAGCTAACTATTCTCTTTAGCATGCTCATCTCTGGAATGAGAATAACAGTCCTGCCTTATGTAGTTGCTGTGAGAATTAAATGAGTTAAGCTATGTGTAAATGTATAATGCCCAGCAATCAGTACATTATATTGTTATTAGCTACCATTTTTACCTCCACTCTAACCAAGCAATACCATAAATATTGCCAAACAGACAACATAATATCTAATTTCACAGAATATAGATATCCAGTAGAAGTCAAAGATCAGAAAAGCCCCTAGAAGGTATCTAGTAGCTGCAGGTATCTGAAAGCCTTCACTATTTGTTCTGCAGGCAAAACATACAAACACACTCTAGCTATTATCTATGTTAAACAAGATAGAAGACATACAAATAATAGATGACAGCAGCTGGAGGAGGTAGAATAACCGTTTCTGTGAGTTAGAAGCAAAATAGCAGTTTCAAATTATATTATCATCATCCATCACAGCTATCATGTATTCAACTCTTCCCGTGGTGCAAGTTACTAAGCTCTTTAAATGTTATCCTAATTAACCCATTTTCCATAGGAAGAGGATGAAATAGTTTAAATCACTTTCTCAGGCTATGTTAATAGTTTGTGATGAAGATATGACAAGAAAAATCTCTCTGAAGCTAAAGTTCGCATTATTATACTATATTGCTATCCATGTAATATGATGAGCATGTTCCCAAGTCATTACATTTTCTTCACAAACATGTTTTACATAGCTTTAAAGTGTTCTAGTCTATGGCTGTTTCATAATTGATTTACTCTCTTCTGTCTTGTTAAATATTTATGTTGTTTCTAGTCCCTCAGATATTTTGAATTATTTGCAATAAAAATCTTCATGTGTAAATCTTAGTATGCATAGCTGATGAGTTTCTTAGTATAAACTCCAAGCAGTGAAGTCACCAGGCTAATGGATTTTAACATTTCTAATTACCAAATTGTACAAATCGTCAAATCACCCACAGGAGTAGTATAGGAATTTTCTCTCCTTTCAGAAATTTTTGAGCTTGCTCATTTAACTGCATCCTTGCCAATCCTGAATCTGATCTAAAAGTTTTCTTATCAACATGCCAGATACATAACTCTCCTGTAGATTTAATTTGTATTTCTATTTCCACTGTGGTACTTAGGGAAAAGATATCAGCTATGGAAAACAAAGCATGTGAATAATACTTTGACATTCATATCTGTCTCTGTCGGCCTCCTTCTTGCATGCAAATTTTGGTTTTCCCTTAACAGAATGTTACAAAACTCCAAGCCCAAGTTTAATTGTAACACTATTTGGGATGTTTCCTTGAGTTGTTTTAAAAAAGTTTCTTATCTTCTCTGATCTCTGCACATGCCATTTTGTGATAATTTACTTCACTGTGGTAAAATTATTGATTGTCTCTCTCTGGTCTCTCCTAAATAATAACCTACTGGAAAATGAATAATCTTATGATTATTCAAAAGTAGTGAAAAGTCTCATAAGCACATTTAACTATCACTTCCCACAAAAACATACTGATTCTGGATTTTAATCAATTTTTCACTGTTTGATTAAACTATGCATTAATTCATCATTAATAATGTAGTTGATTAGGTACTTTGGAACATTTTTAAAAAATGAATAAAAACATCTAGTGGAATTACTTTTTTCTAAAAGAGCTATATCATGAGAAAATGAAAATTAAGTTTTGCTGGGAATCACAATGCAATGTTCCTTCCTACTAATACAAAAACATTCCTGCAGATCATTTGAAGCAGAGAAAAAAAATTGCTTCCAATGGGACACTGTCAAGACCACATATAGCGTCCTTACTCATACATAATGTTTCAGTGTTTCTGCCATGGTTATACCACAGCTGAAAAATGAGTAACATCTCCTTTTTGTATAATTTCTGCTTTTTTCCAATGCCAAACCAAGCATTCATCATGTCCCCTCAATTAAGTTACTGGATTTTAAGGTGCCCAACTGCTAAGCTGCTCTGCCTCACCAGTACCTAATCTGGAGTTGGTTTCTCCTTTCCAAGACCCTTCTAAGAATCATTTAGCATAAGCCCAAACCTACACAAAGTCCCTTCACAAACTTTCTTACTGAGATCCTTCTAAATTCTCTTACTGGGATATGGTTTTCCTTGCTGCAGCAAGCTAAACAAACCAAACTTTGACTACAGGTGTGTTCCTGGACATCTGGTAGGCTTTGGTGTTAGTTGGGTCATTAAACACATAAGATCTACATACTGTTTTTACTTAAACAGCATTCATCAGCAAATTGGAGATATGATACAGGGAAAGTGATAAGTTGAGATTATGCCAAAGTGTTAATCCTGGAAAGTTTATCTATTGTACTTGTTAATTTTATTCACCGAATTCTTTAGTTCCAGAATTTATGGGTTTTAAAAATCATATCTATCTTTGTTGAATTTCTTATTCAGATAATGAATTGTTTTCCTGAATTATTTATGTTGTTTATCTGTATTCTATTGTATCTCACTGAGCTTTATTATGATCACCATTTTATATTTTTTTTTAGGCATTTCATAGATTTCTCTTTCATTGGAATCTATTGCTTGAGAATTATTGTGTTCCTTCAGAAATGTTATGTTAGCTTGCTTTTTCATGCTTCTTATGTCCTTACATTGATATCTGCATATCTGATATAAGTCACTTCTCCCAATTTTCTGGACTGGCTTTTACAGGGAAAGACTTCTTACTATAGATGTATCAATAGTGCTGATTGTGTAGGGTGCTTTGGCTTTGATTTTTGGATGGGCATGGTAGTGTAGTCTCAGTATGATTTCTTCAGCTGTAATATGCATCAATAGTGTCTATGATTTCCTAAGTTCCTTAGGCTGTAGTTGTTAGTGGAAGTGGTGGTAAGGCTTGGCTATGTATGGGTACTTTAGATCAGCTGGTCATTGGGCACTAGTGGCAACAGCAGTGGGCTGGGTGTGTAAACACTTGAGCCCTCAGATGGCATACATGTGCAGTGATGTTAGTGGGTCCAGGTAGGCCAATCCTCTTGCCTCCAGGCAACTTTCTTGGTGCCAGCAGTGACAGCAATGGGCCAAATAAGTGGATAGGTCGTCAGGCCCCTGGGCAGTGTGCATGACATCATTTATATCAGTAGCATCAATAAGCCAACCTTCAGGCCCCTAGGCAACAACACAGAGGTGCCAGCAGTGGCTTGGGCAGGCCAGACCTCAGGCCTCCAGGTAGCATATGTGGTAGGGGCCAATGGTATAGTTGTGTCAGGGTGGCCAAGAAGGCATGCATAGGTGCCAGTGGCAAAAGGCCATGTGGGTCAATTCCCAGGCCCCCATCAGTGCACAAAGGCACTGGTAAGGGAGCACCTGGTGGGGCAGGGCTGTCCTCAGGACCCCCGAGTGTGAACATGGGCACAGGCTACAGTGAGTGAGGCTAGTTTATCCCCAGGATCTCAGATGACATGCTTGGGCACTGGCAGGCTGAGCTGACCCATCTCCAGGCCCCCTGAAGGTATGCACAGGTGTAGGTGGCAGTGAGTGAGGTGGATCAATCCCCAGGTCGCTGGATGATGTGCATGAGTGCTGGTGGCAGTGATGAGTGGGCAGGTCTTTCTTCAGGTCCTCTAATGGTACATATGAGTGCCAGCTGTGGTGGGTGAGACAAGTCCATCCCCATACCCCCAAATGGCATTCTCAAGCAGTGGCGGTTACAGTGGTAGGCAGGAGTGGCTTGTCCTCAGCCCCCAGAATGGTGCCCAAGAGGACCATTCTCCAGATTGCCAGAAGGCACATTCAGGGGCAAGGAGCCCCTACTGCTAGTTGGTAGGGAGAGTTTGCTGTCAGTGTCAGCATCGCCAGGCAAGCAGAAGCTCTAGTGGGGATACACTTTGGTTCTCTTTGTCCTAGGGGCAGCTTTCCCAGTGTGCTACATTGTCTATACCTTGGGGTGTAGGATACTGTGTGGGCTAGAGTGCTGGGGACCTGGCTGCACCACTGAGTCTAGCTGACATCGTGATCCTGCAGCCCTTTGGGTGGACACAGGGGAATGTCAGCAAAGCTCAGGGATGTGCAGGTGCAGGGGCTATTGTGCCCCAGGGTAGGATATAATCTGGTGGGCTGGGCTCTCAAAATGGAGCTGTGCTATAGCTGCTTGGGACTCAGCGTGTGTATGGGACCCAGCACAAACTACCTCTCCAGAATAATGCCATCATGTGGACTCCCAGCAGCTTCCTATACTAGTCTCAGGGTCCACAAGCATCAAGGGACTCTTCCATGGTTGGGACGGCAGGAGTCAATGGTGGGAATGTGGACTGCTGGGTATACTTCATTTACCTTTTCCCTGCAGTGGAGTTTCTCCTGGCTCCAAGTGACCGTGACCAGGATGGCTGCTTTATTTCCTTCATTTTCCATGCCTCAGAGGCTCCCTGTCACTCCTCGGCTAAATTTCAGTGTTCTCTCTCAGATGATCTATCCAAAGTGTGGTTATCTACTTACTGTTTTGGTCCTTCTTTGTGGAAGAAATAAATGACGGGTGCCATCTAGTCACCTCTACTGAAACTCATATTTTGATAGAATAATCTATTATTCTATTAGTTTAATGAGTGAGCACTCACTGTCACACATTTATTTCTCACATATGTTTCAGCTTATGTTAGCATAGTTGTAGTTGTTCAGACTTCAACTTACATACATTTTTTTAAAATCACTTCTCATTCAAAAGTATTTTATATTGGAAAGTGTAATTTTCTTTGCCAAGAATAGGAACCCCCCTAAAACTTTTAAATACTATCTTAACCTTAGTTATGAAGATGTCTATTCCATCAAAGGGTAAGGAGGATTAGCACATTCATTCATATTTCTATTGGAAAAAGAGAAGCGATTAATTTATTGCTTCTCTGCCCGAGTGATTAAGCAATAACTTATTCTGGCATCCTTGTCAACTGATAGCAATTGAGTTTGTTTCCAAACGACAAATATAAATATAAACCAAATCTATTTTAGTTTTTTGAGAGATTAAACCAATGTTATTTAAACTTTATTTCTTAATGAAACCATCAAAGGAACAGTTTTAAAAAAAAACTGTGATTTTTTTTCAATAGCAAAGACTTGGAACCAACCCAAATGTCCATCAATGATAGACTGGATTAAGAAAATATGGCACATATAAACCATGGAATACTATGCAGCTGTAAAAAAGGGTGAGTTCATGCCCTTTGTAGGGACATGGATGAAGCTGGAAACCATCATTCTGAGCAAACTATTTCAAGGACAGAAAACCAAATACCACATGTTCTCACTCATAGGTGGGAATTGAACAATGAGAACACTTTGGACACAGGGTGGGGAACATCACACACTGGGGTCTGTCGTGTGGTGGGGGGATTGGGGAGGGATAGCATTAGGAGATATACCTAATGTAAATGACGAGTTAACGGGTGCAGCACACCAACATGGCACATGTATACATATGTAACAAATCTGCATGTTGTGCACATGTACCCTAGAACTTAAAGTATAATAATAATAAAAAAATGTGATTTTTAAAATCTACTTTCTTTAAATGTAACTATCTCTGCAGAAAAAAAAAACAGTATAATATGGAGAGGAAGTAGAGAGAAATGGAGGAAAAGAGAGAGAGAGTGTAAGTGTTTCATGTGTTTGCATATCATAGTTTATTTCTCTTTCACATTTCTCTCTTTCAAGTTATCAGATTTTGTTAACTTTAGATACCAAAAGGACCATTTAACTTGTTCTACTTTTTCAAGGAAATGGCAGATAATATTATAAAGTAGGAATGTGTTAATACAGGAATTCTTAACTCAAAGTCTCTGGATAGAATCTGAATCTGGTGGGGTTTTTTGTTGATGTTGCTATTTGGCGCGCGCGCGCGCGCGTGTGTGTGTGTGTGTGTGTGTGTGTGTGTGTGTGACAGAAAGAGAGAGAGAGAAATTAGGGGAGAAATTGAGATAGAAGATCAGTAAGACTTGTTTTGATAACCCTGCAGATCAAAACAGGATGTAGCAAAGAAACCAGCCAGCCAAAACCAGCCAGGACTATGAATTTTATTAATAATATATTTGCATGCTATATGCCACTCCCACCAGTGCCATGCCAATATACAAATGCCATGACGGTGCCTGGAAGTTACCTTATATGGTTCCAGGAACTTCCTACTCCTTTCCCAGAAAGTTAGTGAATAACCTACCCCTTATTTAGCATATAATTATGGGTAGGTATAAATGTAGCCAGGCAGCAATCCATGAGTGCTACTCTGCCTATGTGATAACTCTGCCCTGTCTATGGACTAGCCATTTTGCTGTGCACCGGTGCTCTAATACATTTGGTTTCTTTTACTGTTGGCTTGCTCTTGAATTCTTTCCTGACCAAAGCCAAGAACCCTCCCAAGCTGAGCCCTAATTTTGGGGTACACCTCCATCAAAATTCCATCTTTACTTTTAGTGTCACTATGAGAAATTCAGCATATCTTTCAATTATAAATGTAGACATCAGCCACAGGGCTGTTGGCAATTCCTATGACTTTCTCATCAATAAACATCATAGGAATTTCTTGTTGCAGATATCTTTAACTATTGTTTATACTTATCAGCACCTTGAAGTATCAGTTGTTACTAGCCCAGCCAAGAGATTTGTTATTAGTGTGTTAATAACAAGAACATATTTTGAACCTATGTTAATAAACAAGAACATCACCTTTTAAAAATATTTTGAGAATGGTATTTTAATGTAATCAGTTTTCTTTTTAATTATTTGTATTTCAATACTTCAGTTATTTAAAATTATCATTCTTAGAAGTGCATAGGCTTAAATAGACTGTCAAGGGAGTTTGTTGTAACATACGCACACACATAGACACAGACACACACATGCTCACATGCACATACTGAAGAGTTCTTGGATTAACTAGGAAAATTATATTAAAGCAGAAATTTTCTTTTGTGGTGCACACCCCTTAAAAAGTGATAAAGAGGTTATCAATTACTGGCATCCAATTGAGATAGTTTACTTGGTTTTCTCGGTTTAGCCTTTTTAAAAGGCTTTACTACACCTCCTAAGTCCTGTCTGCTTTTACCAGACGTACTCATTCCATATTTGATTTTAGCCATGTAGACATACAGCTATGCACATCAGTCAGGTTCACAGAACTGCAGCATTTCCTCTGAGGTTCTGTTGTTTTTATCAATAAAAAGCTAAGGGCATTACACTGCATTAAAATGTCAAATAGCAAGGATATTTCCTCAGGTTTTCACTGACAAACATATTCTATAAAGTTAGTTTGATGTCTTAACTGTTGCACCTATCTGAAAGGATACTTGAGACAAAACAAAAATTTTTTTTTTTTGCCTGTCACATCTGATGTTATAGACAACTTTGAATGCAATCTTAGTGTATGGGATGACAATATTTAATATTGCTTGTTTGATTTAAATGATTTGCGAGTAAAATTCTTCAAAATTAAGAGAAAAAAATCAGCCAACACCAACATTTTGGGGCTTTGTCTTTGTCAATATTCTCATCAAATTCTTTAACTTCACTGTATTATTCTCTTGAGAAGAATCTATGGTCAGACTAGTTTTCAAATATGGTTCTACTTCTCATTTTTGAACTTGGGACTTTAGCTACCACCTCTGACACTCAGTGTTCTTACACATTAAATGAGATTTATACTAGTAAGACTTATAGCAGTCCAACAGATAGCTTCAAAAATAGACTAGATTAAGCAGAAGAATTTCTAAACTTGAAAGTAGTTCTTGTAAAATACCCCAGTCAGGCAAAAAAAAAAAAAATAATAATAATGAAAAACAAAAAGTGATGAAGAAAAACTGTGTGATATATGGGACACCATAAAATGACCACATATTCTAATTCTGGGCATCACAGAAGGAGAAGAGATGGGTGAAGGCAAAGAGAAACTATTTTAAAAAATAATAGCTAACAAGTTCTCAAGTTTGGAAGAGATACACACATCCAGACACAAGAAGCTCAAAAATCCCCAAATAGATTCAATCCAAAAAGGTTTTATCTAGGCCGGGCATGGTGGCTCACGCCTGTAATTCCAGCACTTTGGGAGGCCGAGGCGGGCAGATCATGAGCTCAGGAGATCAAGACCATCCTGGCTAACACAGTGAAACCCCGTCTCTACTCAAAATACAAAAAATTAGCCTGGCGTGGTGGTGGCTGCCTGTAGTCCCAGCTACTAAGGAGGCTGAGGCAGGAGAATGGCTTGAACCCAGGAGGTGGAGCTTGCAGTGAGTGGAGATCATGCCACGGCACTCCAGCCTGGGTGACAGAGCGAGACTCCATCTCAAAAAAAAAAAGGCCTTATCTGAGGCACATTGTAGTTAAACCGTCAAAGTGACCTCTGGTCATCCTCACTGCTACACTCCTACCAGTGCCATGACAGTTTACAAATGCCATGGCAATGTCAGGAAGTTACCCTATATGGTCTAAAAAGGGGAGGCATGAATAATCCGCCCCTTGTTTAGTGTATCATCAAGAAATAATATGCCCATAAAAATGGGCAACCAACAGCCCTTGGGGGTTGCTCTGTCTATGGAATACCCATTATTTTATTCCTTTACTTTCTTAATAAACTTCCTTTCACTTTGAAAAAAAAATCAAAGACAAAGAGAGAATTCTAGAAACAGCAAGGGAAAAGCATCAAGTCAAATATGAAAGAACCTCCAACAGACTAATAGCAGATTAATAGCAGAAACCTTACAGGCCAGGAGAGAATGGGATAATAAATTCAAAGTTCTGAAAGAGGAAAAAAAAACCCGTTAATGAAGAATAATATACCTAGGAAATCTAACCTTGAAAAATTAAAAATGAGTCTTTCCCAGACAAGCAAAAACTGAGGGAATTCATTACAATTAGACCAGTCCTACAAGAAATATTTAAGGGAGTTTTTTTTTTTCTACATCAGGAAGTGTAAGGAAAATTATCTGCCATCATAAAAATATAAAATAAAATAAAATTCATTTGTAGAGCAAATAAACTAGTAAGATTAAGGAATCAAAGGTTACTGAATGTTATATAAAATCAATGAACTGCAATGAGAAACAGTAAGAGAGGAAAAAAGGAACAAAAGACATACAAAATAACCAGAAAGCAATTAACAAAAGGATAGGAATAAGTCCTCACCTACCAATAATCGTCTTGAATATAAACAGACTAAATTCCCTACTTAAAAGATATAGATTAGCTGAAAGGATTTTTTTTAAGCAATAATATGCTGCCTACAAGAAACTCACTTCACTGGTAGACACATATGGACTGAAAGTGAAGAGATGGAAAAAGATATTCCATGCAAATGGAAACCAAAAACAAGCAGGAGATACTAGTATCAGATAAAACAAACTTTAAGTCAAAAACAGTAAAAAGAGACAAAGAAAGTCATTATATAATAATAAAGAGATCAATTCATCAAGAAGATATAACAATTGTAAATATGTGTGTACTCAATACCAAAGCAGCCAGATATATAAAACAAATATTACTGGATATAAAGAGAGAAATAGAGTCCAATTTCAATTTTAGTTGGGTACTTCAATACTCCACTCTCAGCACTAGACAGAAAATCAACAAAGAAACACTGGATTTAAACTGCACATTACACCAAATGGATCTAACAGACATTTACAGAACATTTCATCCAGCAGCTGCAGAATACACATTCTTCTCATTAGCATAGGAAACATTCTTTAGGATAAACCATATGTTAGGCCACAAAATAAGTCTCAATTAAAAAAAAATCTAAATCCTATAAAGTATTTTTTCAGACCACATTAGAAAACAAAGGCCACCTGAAAACTATATAAATGAAAATTAAACATATTCCTGAATGACTACTGTATCAAAAAAGAAATTTTTAAAAATTGAAAAAATTATTGAAACAAATTAAAATGGAAATATAACATACTAAATCCTATGCAATACAACAAAAGCAGTAAGAGGGAAGTTTATCACAATAAATGGCTATATCAAAGAAGTAGATTTCAAATAAACAAACTTGTAACAATATAGCTCAAGGTACTAGAAAAACAAGAGCAAACCAAACTCAAAATTAGGAAAAGGAAATAAATAATACAAATTAGAGCAGAACTAAACAAAATAAAGACTTAAAAAAAAACACACACAAAGATTAGTGAAATGAAAAGTTGATTTTCAGAAAAGATAAATAAAATTAATGCACTATTAGCTCAACTAACCAATACCAAAAAAGACCCAAATCAATAAAATCAAAATTAAAAAAAAGAGTCATTACAACTGATATCACAGAAATACGAAGAAACATTAGAGGATATGATGAACAAGTATATGCTAACAAATTGGAAAACCTAGAGCAAACAGATAAATTCCCAGACTCACACAACCTACCACAACTGAAGCAGGAATGAACAAACTAATAACAAGAAGCAAGATTGAATTGGTAGTAAAAAGTCTTCCAGAAAAGAAAATCCTAGGACTTAACAGCTTTACCACTGAACTCTACCAAACTGTTAAATAAGAACTAACAAAAACTCTTCTCTATCTATTCCAAAAATTGAAGAGAAGGGAATTCTTTCTAACTCATTTTATGAGGCCAGCAGTATTCTGACACCAAAACCAGACAAGGGCACAACAACAACTACTACAACCCTCAAATTCTGCACATCAATATCCTTAATGAACACAGACACAAAAATCTTCAGGAAAATACTAGCAAACTGAATTCAACAACACTTCAAAAGATAATACACCAGGATCAAGTGGTATTTATCCTAGGGTTGCAAGATTTGTTCAACATACACAAATAAAGAAACATGATACATTACATTAACAAAATGAAGAACAAAGCCAATGATTATCTCAATAGATGTAGAAAAATTCAACATCCCTTCATGATAAAACATCTCAACAAATTAGGCACACAAGAAACATATCTCAAAATAATAAAGGTCATATATGACTAACTAACAGCTAATATCATGCTGAATGGGGAAAAGCTGGAAGCCTTTTCTCTAAGAACTAGAATAAGAAAAGGATGCCCACTCTTACCACTCTTACTCAGCATGGTACTGGAAGTCCTAGCCAGAGCAATCAGTCAAGATAAAGAAATAAAAGGCATTCAGATTGGAAAAGAAGTCAAATTGTCCTTCTTCGCAGATGACATAATATTACATATTAAAAACAAAACCTAAATATTCCACCCCAATCTCTTAGAACTGACAAAAGAATTCAGCTAACTTGCAGGATACAAAAATCAACATACAGAAATCAATAGCTTTTCTATGTATCAATAATGAACTAGCCAAAACAGATATCAAGACCACAATTTCATTTACAATAGCTGCAAAAAAAGCATAATTCCTGTGAATAAATTTAATCAGGAGGTAAAAGACCTCTACAAGGAAAGCAGCAAAACACTCATGAAAGAAATTAAAGAGGACACTAACAGATGGAAAGACATCTTATGCTCATGGATTGGTAGAATTATTATTTTTAAGAAAGACCATAGTACCAAAGGTATTCTCTATACTCAATGCAATCTTTTTCAAAATATCAATAATGTTTTTTACAGAAATGAAAAAAATACCTAAAATTTGGCCAGGTACAGTAGCTCACCCCTGTAATGTCAGCACTTTTGGAGGCCAAGGTGAGTGGATCACTTGAGGCCAGGTGTTCGAGACCAGCTGGGCCAACATGATGAAACCATGTCTCTACTAAAAATACAAAAATTAGCCAGGTATGGTGGCAGGCACCTGTAATCTCAGCTACTCAGGTGGCTGAGGCGGGAGAATTGCTTGAACCTAGGGGGCAGAGGCTGCAGTGAGCCAAGATTGCACCACTGCACTCCAGCCTGGGCAACAAAGCAAGACTCCATCCCCCCACCAAAAAAAAAAGAAAGAAAAAAAAATCCTAAAATTCAAATAGAACCACAAAAGACCCCAAATAGTCAAAGCAATCCTGAGTAAAAAAAAACAAAGCTGGAGGCATCATACTATCTGACTTTAAAATATACTATAAAGTTATAGTAACTAAAACAGTACAGTATGGTGTTGATATAAAAACCATATAACCAATGGAACAGAATATATAACCAAAGGAACAGAACCAATGACACATAAACCAATGGAACAGAAGAGAACCCAGAAATAAATCCACATATTTATAGCCAACTGACTTTTGACAAAGGCACTAAGAATACATGTTGGGGATAGGATACCGTCTTCAATAAATGGTACTGGGAAAGCTGGACATCCATAGGCAGAAGACCCCTATCTCTCAGCATATTCAAAAAATGACTCAAATTTAAATACTTAAATATAAGACTCAATACTATAAAATTAGAAAGAAAACATAGGGGAAATGCTGCAGGACATTGGTCTAAACAAAAGTATTATGGCCTAGACTTCAAAAGCACAAGCAACAAAAACAAAAATAGACAAATGAGATTATATTAAACTAAAAAGCTTTTGCACAGCAAGAGAAACAATCAACGGAGTAAAGAGACAACCTGTGGAATAGGAGAAAGTGTTTGCAAATTATTCATCTGACAAAAGGCTAATATTCAGAATACAAGCTGGGAGCTCCTTAGGGCAAACCTGCCTCCCATTCTATTCCTAGAAATGATAGCTGTAAAGATAAAAATGTTACATACCTCCCTCACAAGGAATTTCCTTGTGGACAAAGGACAGACAGAACTCAAAGTCATCCTTCTGCTCACTGAGATAAATGCATATCTCCTCCTTTGGAAAGGCTTATCAGAAACTCAAAAGAATGCAACCTTTTGTCCTTATCTACCTATTACCTGGAAGTCCCTTCACTGCTTTAAATTGTCCCACCTTTCAGGACTGAACAAATGTACATCTCACATATATTGATTGATGTCTCATGTCTCCCTAAAATGTGTAAAACCAAGCTGTGCCCTGACCACTTTGGGCACACGTCATCAGGACTTCCTGAGACTTTTCACAGATGGGTGTCCTTAGCTTTGGCAAAATAAACTTCCTAAATTGACTGAGACCTGCCTTAGATATTTGGGGTTAATACAAGGAACTCAAACCACTCAGCAGCAAAAAAAAAAAAAAAAAAAAAAAAAAAAGGCAGAAAAGCAGATAATCCCATTAAAAAGTGGGCAAAGAATATGAATAGACATTTCTCAAAAGAAGACATACAAATGGCCCACAGGTACATGAAAAAATGTTCAACATCACTATACACCACAGAAATACAAATTAAAACCACAATGAGATAGCATCTTATCCTAGTTAGAATGGCTATTATTAAAAAGATGAAAAAAATAAGAAATTCTGAAAAGGATGTAGATTAAAGGGGACTCCTATACACTGTCAGTGGAAATATAAATTAACACAGTCATTATGGAAAACAGTGTGGAGTTTTCTCAAAAAACTAAAAATAGAATAAGGGAGATCTATTGTTCAGTAGTGTCGCAGGGTAACTATTTTTAACAACAATATATTATATATTTTTAAATAGCTATAAGAAAAGATTCGAAATATTTTCAACACAAATAAATGTTAGAGGTGATAGATATCCTAAATACCCTGATTTGACCATTGCACAATTACACACGTATCAAAATAGCACATGTATCCCATAAGTATGTATAATTATTATATATCAATAAGAATTAAAATGAAATATTCACACCTCATTATATTCTCACACCTCATTATACCCACTTGAGGAACTGTCCTCTTTAAGCTTCCCTTTGAAAATAAAACATAGTAAAGGAAGGATCCATTACACAACCTTTAGAACCCTAAGTGTGAAATACTAAGTGATATTATTTTACTGAAAATCCTCATGTCTTTGTTCTAATAGGCATTTGTAGAAATGTGAATGAGCTTTAGAGTACTTAAAAGGAACAGGAAAATATAGGTACTAAAGGTCATTATTTTTGAGTCTGTCTTCATCTCTAAGCACTATTCACAGATATTTAAAGTTCTGAAAGCTTTCTTCTTCCCTCTTTCTCTCTCTCTCTCACTCTTGAATGTGTCTTTTTGAGCTTTGACTATAAATGTAAAAAGAAAGAATAGCAGCTTTTGTGTATTTAAATACAGTCCAGGGTAGTCAGTCACCTCCTGGTTCTAATTTCATATGATGATCTGGGCTTAGATCACTCTTCAACCTTTAGATAAGTTTTTAAAAACAGAGGCAAAATGAACACATTTTAGATAAACCTATGCAGAGTTTTAATTTTTGAGAAGAGGAGGGAAAGGAACTTAACTACTTAGTGTATCTGTGGTAAGACAAACTGTCATCCTTGTTGATCTCCATTACAAAAAAGTCAATTGCAAATGGTTTTGTATTTCCTAGTTGTACAAAAATCTGGGTCTGTGTTTCTACATGTTTTTCAAGTAATAAAAAGCTTGTAAAATTAGAAATGTTCATGACACACTATTTCAAATTTATAACTCTGGGAAAATACAGGTGTTCCCAGAAATGATTTTGAAGTGATCTTTTATGATTATATACAAATGATTTGGAATAATTATCTCTTTTTGATTACAGTAATAAATGAAGAACAGGAAAAGATAGGAAAGATAAAAAGTCGGATCACAGATGGAAAATGGACAATAAAGTATCAAAAAGTTCATTACAGAAAGAAGAGAGTTAAGTAGGAATAAATTGGAAAAGAAAATAGAAGAGACATTAAGAAATAATGCCTTTATTTTTGGCAATACAGCATATTACATTTGCTGAGAAGCTTTTTTTTGTGAAAACAATAAAAATTGGATAAAATATAATAAACATCTCTTGAAATATATAAATGAGCTTATAAAGAATAAAACCAAAAACTAAAAGGGAACACAGGGACCAAAAAAGAGTGATAAGTAGAAACTGATACAAAACCAACAGAGAGACATCAGAAACCAAGAGAACTGTGTTTTATAAGTCATTTAAGGTTTGGTAAGAAGTCCTGAGTTTGTGAGGAAAAAAAAAGTCATTTAATATAGACATCAAGGCCTTAGACCTAGGGAAGGTATGAAACTGGTGATGTTGTCAATTTGATATAGCATTAGACTCAATATCAGTTTTTCAAAACTCTCACTTATTAATATTTTTGAAAAGGCAAACTGTTCATATGTTTCAAAAAAATCTACACCAAAAAGTATTCTCAGAGAAGTTTCAATCTCATCCATACACCTTCTACTCCATTTTCATCCATACCTATTAATAACCATTGTCCTTAGTGTTTGTTTCATCTCCCCTGTATTTTCTTTTGTAAAAATAAGCAATGCTCTACTAAATCTTAATTTTTTTAAATCAACATTATATCCTGGAAATCAATTCATAAGTGTTCATAAAGATCTCATACATTCTTTTTAACATTGGAATAACAGTCTTGCGTAAGTCTACCATACCATTCAAATCAGACTTTTATGGATATTTATTTAGTTTGTTTTCCAAATTTGCAATTTCTAATAACTTTGGATGAATAACCTTGTGTATAAGTTGTTTAGTATGTGTGGAGGTATATCCTCAGGGCATGTGGCTATAAATGGCATTCATTGCTGGCTTCATGGGAAATGGTTATGTAATTTTGAAAAATATTGCCAAATTCCTCCTGAGAGGGGTTCTGCAGGCCTATGAGCCATGTATGAAAGTAGGTATTTCGTCACAGTTTTGTCGGTAGAGTGTGCTGCCTATCTTTTCAATCCTTGCTAATCTGATAAGTGAGAAATGATAATTCAGTATAGTTTTAGTTTACATTTTTAAAAATTATGTTAATAATCATCACTTGTATAAGAGCCATTTTTGTGTTTTATCTCAACTGCCTTTTGATATGATATATATATTATTTTTTCCTAGTTTTTAATTTTTATATAATTTATATAGTTTTCTTTTTGTTAATACAAAAGCTTTCTTTTTATAATTCGTATGTAGTAAAATTTATCAATCTTTTCTTTATCACCTCTGAATTTTGAATTTTGTTCATGCTTTCTCATACCTATGTACAAATGAGTTGAGCCATCTTTTATTCTAGAACTTGTATAGTTTCTTTCTTTATATTTGGATCTCTGATGCATGTGAACTTTATTTTTCCAGAGTTTGATGAGAAGTAGAATCCAATTTTACTTTTTACATGATGATTTAGTTGACCCTTTATTATTATTTTTTAAACCATCTTTATTTAGATGGGTGTTGGAACCGAAGCTCCTCATAAAATTCAGAACTTCTAAGTGCTACACTTTCAAAATAAGGTAGACTAGGAAAATACACACTTGTCATCAAAGGGAGATGACAAGGAAATATGCTTTTACTGGCTAGGGTTTTGTGAAAAATACTTAATAGAACAAAAGGCAAAGTTCAACAGATTTAAAGAATCACTTTCATACAGGCCATGATTTTCTTTTTTTTTTTTGAGGCGGAGTCTCGCTGTTGCCCAGGTTGGAGTGCAGTGGCCCGATCTCGGCTCACTGCAGGCTCCGCCCCCCGGAGTTCACAACATTCTCCTGCCTCAGCCTCCCGAGTAGTAGCTGGGACTACAGGCGCCCGCCACCTCTCCCTGCTAATTTTTTGTATTTTTAGTAGAGACGGGGTTTCACCGTGTTAGCCAGCATGGTCTCGATCTCCTGACCTCGTGATCCGCCCACCACGGCCTCCCAAAGTGCTGGGATTACAGGCGTGAGCCACCGCGCCCAGCCCGGGCCATGCTTTTCTAACCACAATGCAATCAAGTTGGGAAGCCATAACAAAACACAACTGAAAACTGAAAAACCGTGTGAATATTTTTACACACACTGTGAGTAACAAGGATTAAAATAGAGAAATGTATAGAACCAAACAATTATAAAAATACTGCAAGTCAAGACAAATGGTAATTAGCTAAATCAAAGCATATGAAGAATTGTAAATGTTGCTTTTAGGAAAGTAGAATATCTGAAAATTAATGAGAGGCATGTCTAACATAGGAAGGCAGATTAAAACCACAGAATAAATCAAAAGAATATGGAAGGAAGAAAATTATAAAACAAAACAACAGGAATCAAAGAACCAGAAACATTACAAAGTCATACAAGTCCTAGTGTTGGGTAACAAGGGAGGAACTATACACAGGATAAGGGCCAGCTTGGTCAAACCACTTTAGAGAGCACATTGTAATATCTAATTTATTTAAAAACACACATATCCTCAAACCTAGCAATATCCAGTAATCCTATTTTTAGGTATACAGCCTATTAAAATTTTGTGTAAAAAATGTGATTCCAGTAATGTTTGAAACAGAGAAAAATTGTAATGAATATCCATATCCATCAACAGGAGAATAAATTGTGGTATAGTTATACTATGGAATATTATATATTATAAATATTTTTTAAAAAATAGATTTGGCTAGGCGAGGTGGCTCACTCCTGCAATCCCAGCATTTTGGGAGGCCAAGTCAGGCAGATCAAGAGGCGAGGAGATCGAGACCATCCTGGCTAACACGGTGAAACCCCGTCTCTACTAAAAATACCAAAAATTAGCCGGGCGTGGTGTCGGGTGCCTATAGTCCCAGCTACTCGGGAGGCTGAGTCAGGAGAATGGCACGAACCCAGGAGGCAGAGCTTGCAGTGAGGCGAAATTGCACAACTGCACTCTAGCCTGGGCAACAGAGTGAGACTCTGTCTCAAAAAAAAAAATAAAAAAAAAAAAGATTCAATGAGAAATCAAGGTGCAGAAGGATGTGTCAAATATGACATTTAGAAAATTTAAAATATGCAAGTTGAATATTAAATTATGAAATTTATAAATACCAAAATCTGGATAGTAGTCACTTCTGGTTGATAAAGAGAGAATTTTAAATTGATAGTCAAGGGTCATCAGCAGCATTTGTAATGTTTTATTTCTTAAGAGTAGTTATAAATATATAGATTTGTGTTATAAGCCTATAGTTCATAAAAATACAAAATTTTTAAAATTACAAAACAAAATAAAAGAAATGAAAAATATGAAAAAAATGATAAGAATAGAAACAGTAGGAAGGACATAAAAAGGGCATAAAGGAAATTGAGGAAAACAGGTAAACACAGTCACTTCTGAACTGTTATCAAAATCCCACAATTAAGCTAATCATCTGCCTGACAGTATTTGACCTAAGTAGCCTATTAAAGGAAGAAAAAAAAATCTACAAGATTCCAAGATGAGAAGATTTCATTTAATAAAAATATGAAAAAAGTATATGTTTTAAAAAGCAGCTTGGATGACGAAACAGGATGAGCATGAAAGGCAGAAGCATAAAACGTGGAATGATCAGGAGCCATTTTAGTACTTGTTGCTATAAACACCGATGTCACAAGACTTGGAATACTTCGGAAATTTACTGAAGTGGGGCAAATCAAAATTCACAAGTGTTCTATACACATAATTCATTAACAGAATCATTTCTGCCTTATCAAGAAACAAATATTATCTCCAGGATGAATTATTTACTCCCAATACCAGTTCGCCTCTAAATGTTGGAGTTTATTCAGGACAAAAAGATAAATCAAGAGACACCTATTGAGTTTCCTCTATCTAGGCTCAGACTTGCAACGTTTTCAGTCTAGAGACTGCAAGTCCAATATGACACAGTTGAGATAACTACATTTAAAGCCTAGAAATCCAGTCTAAGACTCTTCTGATTGTCTCTGAATGGACATGAGGTTCCAATGGACCTAATACTACAAAAACAGTCTAGGGCCAAAATGGATCCCAGACTCACCTCGCTCAGAGCCAGAAGAGAACCAGGTGAACTTTTTCCAGATGTATCACTATCTCCTCATAAGAATTTAACAATTTCTGAGCTTCTGTATGAATAATTATTTTGACAGATGGTGCTTTGGGTTGTTTATATTTTGAACAGGGAAATTAATGTAAGGACAGCTATTTCAATAAATTATGTCTGCAATTTTTTCTTTCCCTTTTTCCTCCCATCCTCCCACCACTCACCCTCATTGAAAATATCATCTACTCAGAACCAAAGATACATGAATACATGAAATAAAATCCTGGATAGACTATTTCAATGGATCATAATTGAAAAGGTTTTATTGCCAATATAACTCATTAAAGACATGATACATGGATTTCTACAAAATTCGTTAATGAATCATCCCCAAATTGTTTCCAGAAGCATAATAATTTCTTAGAGTTTGATTTATTTTTGTATATAACTACAGTAATTTATGAGAAAATTCCACTGTTTATTGTTTCTAAAATATGTATACGTAAGCAAAAAAGCCACCAATGAGAGAAATTTATGGAAATAAATACAAACTATGGATAGATGGTTATTTTAAAATATCTAAAATATTGAAGAGCAGTATTCTTATTTTAGAAAAAAAAGATCATGCTTATTTTCCATCAGAGCTTTATCTCTGCTTCAAAATATATCTATCATTAAAATAGTGGTAAACTGTCCCAAGAGTGAACCCAATACTGGGTTATTATTCATTTCTTCACACTGATGAGTTTGGCAGATTAAGCTCAAGGCAAGAAGAGAACAACTCTTACTATCATGATATTTAATGGACACATGGAAAAGAGAAACATAGTAATACAGTTTGATATTCCTTAGAAATTTTTCATTTTGATGCATAAAATAAGGTTGTGGATTATCTGAAGAAAATTTTGTAATCTAAATAATAGTAAATTAGGAAAGTTGTATTAATAAGTATGGTTATAAATATCTAATGATATAATAAAAGCTATAATTTATGTAACAATCATTTAATATTTACAATACTTTGAGGAAGGTGGGAAATTATTATTATCCCATTTAAGTTACTGAGATACATAGTGAAATTGTATCTTACCGAAGATCACATTTTTGGTAAGCTGCAGGGCTGAAATTCCAATGGATATCTATCTAACTGTAAAGACTGTAATCATGCTACTATTCTACATACTGCATATAGTAGCACCAACAAATAAAACATTTCAATAAAAGGGCCTAAGCAGGCAACAGGTTTTCTTCTTCCCTCCCTTCTTTTCTTCTTTGACTTCTTTCAAGTATTGTGTTTCTAGATCCACATAACATAATCAGTACATGTGCATGATATTATCAGATAGGGAATTATATCAACTTTGTGCAAGGGTTCCTAATTTGGGAACCATAGGTAGGCTCCAGGGAGCCCACCACCTTTCTGGATCAATTAGTAATTAGAGTTTTCACTTTTTTCCTGGGGCAAAGAAGTCCATTACTTCAACACCAGATTCTTGAGAGGATATATGACACACCTCTTCATTGACATTTTAAGAATTATTGCATAATGTCTTATATTTACAAGCTAAAATTGAAATACGTAGCTCTTTTTGAACTTTATTCAAGTATGGAGTCTACTAACAACTAAGATAAAATGTTTGGTCGATCCTAAGGACATAACATGCTAACTATATACCACAAATGTGTTTTAGTGCTAAAAAATAAATTACATTATTTACATTTGTCATTGTAAAATATTGCTCAAAACATTTCTCTCTCCCTCCCTCTGTAACTCCCCTCTGAGAAAATGTGTGTGCTTCAGAATATTTCCTATATTGAGGAATTTTAAAGATGAATAAATATTACCCCTAGATTGTAGTCTAATGAAGAGACCAGACTGATAATAAAACAAGCATTCAAAATGATTAACTAATGAGATAGGAATGTGGATATGATACTTTCCAGAGCTGGCTTCACTTGAACTCTCACTCAACAGGGAAGTATAATGACTATTTCTAGTCTTGGGAAACTTCATGAGTTCCCAATGGTGCCTACCCCACTGTGTTACAGCATAGGATTAAGAACATTCTCCATAAGCTGCTTAGCACATAATTCTTAGGAACTGGTAATCAGCTCCTGTCTAAATTTAAGTACTGGCAATAGATTACATTTATTTAAAATGTTAAGGTAAAACCTTGAGTTTCTCAATTAAGTAATCATAGGCTCCAGGTCAAAGATAACTGACTCAACGACCGCATTTAGTGTTTCCATCTTCCCAAATCCCATTAATATGATAGAAAAAAATGTAAAATTAAAAATAAATATTAGCTTTAGAAACTGGAAGACCATTAGCAGAACAAAAATTTAAGAAATGTATGGAAGATTTAAAGTAGATAAGCTCAAACAGAATGTAAAACCCCAAAGAGCTAAGAAATTGGCAATCTGCAGAGGTTAAGGAGAAAGTCAGTGCTTAAGATCTATAAAAATGTGTTAAAACTGAAAATATATATCTGTTGGCTTCAAGATACATAAAGTGCAAACCTCTAATGAAAATAATACTTGCTTAAATATCCTCTAGATTTAAAAATGTAATAATAGTCCAGGTTATTATACATAGTATATATATAAATTCTATTACATTTGCTAATGAAGTTAGATATTTTCACTTGGCAAGAATCCCTAAACATGATGATGATCACTGAGAAACCAAAGCCAACCATATTATGGCAGTTAGAATAGGCCAAATAATTTTTTATTAATGCTTTTATGTTTTGTACTGTAAAATATTTATATTTATTGCTGATTTAGGGACCTTTTGATGTTTGATATTTCGGTTGGTGTCTCCAAATAAAGATTTGAAAATAGTAAAATTTCTCAATGGAACTTCAAGATAACACCACTGGTGCAGGCAGCAGGATTAGAAATCAAGTCGACCACTAGGATTAGGTAGAAACTTAATTAAGAAGGTGATTAGCTGAGAATGTCCAGCCAGACTAAAAATTTACGTACAGCCTGTTAATCAAAGTGTGAGTCCCCTAAGAGACTGACAAAGCAGGTGAGAGGGCTGAAGGATGAAGCTTGGTGAAGCTCATCAGGGAGCATCTGGATCCATGTTTACAGAGGAGACTCATTCTCAGAGCACAAGTGTTCCACAGCAACCCCCTCCCCCTCCCAAAATAAGCCAACTGGGCTGAAGGTTCACTGCAACCTTATCTAATTAAGTACAAAGCTCTTCAAGAATGCTGAGTTAAGACCCTTCATCAACTGCTTTGGTCAAAGCATATATTAACAAACTGACCAAATGTTTGAGGAAAATCATTGGCAGGACAGATTGCAAAAACAAGAAGCAACCCCAAGAAATACAGATACGTCAGGAATGGGAAGAAATCTTTGAGGAAAATAAATGTATAATTTATATATTCAAAGAGTTTCAAGATGCTATCATATGACTAAATATAGAAGGTTTTAATATTTACAACAAAAAACCAAAAAGTCCCATAGTTCTTGGAAATTAAAAGCATGGCTGCTACCTTTTTTTTTAAAGGGGGAAGGAAGAAAAGGAAATGCAGTAGAAGTAAGAAATTGCCCAATGGCAAAAGACTGAATCACTGTATGGGAAGTTTAAGGCAAAGGAAGGCATTCCTCCAGATCACAGGATGCAGAGTATTAATACATCCATGCTCCCTCACCTGCCTAGACAGTGAAATCTCGAAAGATAACAATCCTACAAGATGCCAGAGAAAAGAAAGAAGATAACTCTGAAGAGCAGAAACCAATCTCATTTGTAACATGGAATGCTCATCAAACAAAACACAAACTACCAATGCAACAGTATGTAAAATGGGCTATGTTAAGAAAGTTTGAACCCCAAACCCACATCCACCTACCCCCAAAATGCAGACATTTTTATACATAAAAGTCTCAGAAATATATACTCAGAAAAATTACCACCATGAAAATTTTAAAACAAAATATGATAATATGTGCAAGCAAATTGAATAATGAATTGAAAGAAAAATAAAGACTTGATATACAAGAAATAAGAAAGTGCAAACCGCTAAGAATTGTGATTAAATATATTAATAATGAAATTTCTATGTAAATATTGACAAAATCAAAATGCACAATACAATAAATACTAAAAATGGCTGACCAAAAGTAATTCTTTGTAAACTAATTTTGTACAAAATATTTAAAAATTCTGAAAGTAAAGATCATTTACAAATTAACGTGGAAACTGATTACAGTTTAAGGCAGCTCTTACAAATATTTGAGGAGTGAATTAGAGGCAGAAGAAAGAAATTTCATTCATCATACATGTCTTTGTTGTTTGAATGTTCACAACAAGCATATATCACTGTGTAATTTCTTTTTTTTTAAATTATACACAGCTGTGGCCATAGGATGGGACTCCCACATTTATTATTTACCTAAGCAAATAATTAATAGAATAAGATACTAAAGAATTATTTCCCTGCCAATTACAGAATTCAGTTTAAAGCAAACCAGCTTACTGTCAAGCATTAAACATGATGTCAGCTGATGCGTTTTATAGCAGCACTTTATCAATTTATAATGCCTTAATTAGCATATAAATACTGATAACAGCTAAATAGATTGCAAACATGCGCATTGCACTATGATTTTCAGTTGTCTATGCACCATAATGCATCATACAGAGATATAAACCCTCTCATATCATGAACACCTAAGTCAACTTGAAAGAAAATATCTACGCTTTTCACACCTTTCAGCAGATTATCTCCTTCCTTGCCACCATCCTTGGGCAGCCCCACAGCTCACTGTCATTCATTTCCAACATTCTGCTTCATCAGTTTAGCACCTGGTGACTCTCAATCCCATTTCTGTCCATTCATCTAGTCTGGCACCCTTGTACCCACATCTCTCAGTTTGGAAATTTCAGCTGTGAATTCTCATGTGTGAGTGAACACAAACATCATCATTTCTTGTTTGTTTCTAACAACAATGGCTTTATTACGGAAGCCATCTGGCTCCTGGTCTTTGGTTTTTCTCTTGTTTTTACTACCATAGTATGTTCTTTCAGCATTACCTCTTCTAATTGCTCTCCATCTCCTGGCTTTCCTAGGAAGACTGGCTTGGATTCATGCTTATGCTTTTGATGTTTGAACCACTATGCCAAAGTTCTAGAGGAGCAGCCCAGGGCTGCATCTGCAAGATGGCACCTTGGACTGTTGTGCCCACGTTCCTGAAAAAAAGACATCTTTTTTCTGTGGAGCATTCTGTGGGAGCATATGATTTTTATCCTTTTGGGTACAAACCAAAAGAGTAAGGGAGAGTTTCTCCTATTGTTAAGAAGCATTTTTGTGCAGGTCATCAGTGAATCAACATAAATTTGAGAGTTTACTTATTCATATTTGCAGCACTTGCTACTTGTTAGAGTGCTCATAGATTTTCAATTTAGTCTATAAAACAGTTCTTCTAATTTTTCTAGATCAGAGTTTCCCAACCAGCAGTGATTTTTCTTCTAGGGGACATTTCACAATGTCTGGAGATGTTTTTGCTGTCACAGCAAGGAGATGCCACTAGCATTTGGTGGGTAGAGGGTAGGTATGCGTCCAAACTTTCTATAACACATAGGACAGCTCCTCTACCCTCAGCAAAGATTTACCTAGCTCACAATGGCATTAGTGCTGAGGCTGCGAAACCTTGACCCAGATGCTATACTTAGCATTCTATGTACTTAGTATCCCACGATGACAGGCAAATTGTGCAGACCAAGGTAAACAACTATTTCTATTTATCCTTTCCTTGCTGTCACTTCACTGTCTCTTTGAGATTAGGTATGACTATCTGATTTTCTTTTGTCACTGAATACAAAAGAGTGAGAAAATTCAAAGGGGAGAGTATTTCAGAACGGGCATGTGATTCTCTGAATCACATCTTCTCATTTTCCTTCCTGCCTAGAACAAAAGTTTGTGTTTCAAAAATTTTAGGGGCTTTCTTAGCTCACAGTGGCCTGAGGAGAGTAGCCCCGGAGAGTCATCTGGACTTCCAATTTACTTTGCAGAAGTCAGCAATAGTCCTCTGCTGTGTTAAAGCACTGAAGTTTTGGGGGTTGTTTCTGCAGCATAACCTAGTCTATCCTGACATCCATCCTTACAGTTCAAGCTCCTAGCCTGCCTCTATAAGTGGCAAATTGTAAAACGCTAAGATCTAATAAAAGTTTATTGAATTTATCTATCAATCTATCTATCTATCCTGTCCATCCATCCATCGGACACACACACACACACACACAAACACACACACACACTTTCTCATTTAATTTAAAATGGCTTAATTGGAATAATAGTTTCTAATTTTTTAATGTGCAGTAGTCACTCTTTAAATTTTTCAAATGTTATGTTATAAACATAAAAAGAGTATTAGACACCAGTGTATCTGCCAGTCAGATTTTATATAGGTTAACATTTTGTTATATATTTTTATGGTTATGAGAGCCTTAAATAATATATTAAAATTAAAACCCATTTCTCTTCTCTCAATTTTTGCTTTAGATATTTTTAGGCTATGTTGTGAAGTGTACATCTGGTTAACATCACATACAGACATAGTGAATTTTTCATATAAAATAACTCCATTCTGAGTAATATTTCTCAAATAAGATTTTATTTTATATTAGCAATGCTATACCACTGTTCTTTCGGTTCGTAGATCTCTGGCATATCTCTTTTCAGCTCTGTCAAATTTTTGTGTGTTGTCTTTCAGCTGTATCTCTTGTAAAGAAATCAAAGCTCTATTATTTTTTGTTTCTTATTCTGTCAATAATCTCTGTATTATAACTAGAAAATTAGCTTTTATATTTATTCTGAGTTAGATTTATGTCTACCATATTGTTTTGTGTCTTCATTGCTTCCTTCCTTATTCTCTTTTATCAATTTTTATTATCCATTTTTTCCTTACTGGGTTTCAATAAATAAATGTATTCATCATTTTATAATGCTTTAACAATTAAATTGAATTGTAAAGTGGTTCACTTGGCAGCAATGTCCTAAATTTATAACATATTTCTCCTACCATTTTCATTTTTATGGTTTTCTAGAAATTCTAGCACACCTTGTTTCTAACAATCTGCCCAAATTATTTTATATTTTAAGCTGTCTATACATATTTGGATCTATTAATATGTTTACATACGTATTTCATCTGAATTACTCCTTGTATTCAACTTGTTTTTTGCCTATTCAATTTATTTTTCACTGAAATATAACTTTGATATTTCTTACAGTGAAGTTCTATGTATAGAAAAGTTAATCTTAAAATATCTTCATATTCACTTAATATTGAATGATATTTAACTGGATATAGAACTCTACTATTTTTTTCCCAATAGCACTTTGAAAATAATAATTAATTATTTTCTGGCTTGATAAGAATTGGACTGTCAGTCAAGTTAATTTCTATTCATAAGTAAACCATTTTTATTGTTTAAAAAATATTCTCTGTGTTTTAATTTTTAAAGATGCGCAGTATCAATTTCTCTAGTTAGAAATAAATATGACTGTCTAAGAGGGATATGTGTTTTTTTTTAAGAATTTTTCGAAAATAACTTGTCATTTAAAAAATTATATTCTTTATTCTATTTCACTGTGGATACTCTGTTAACATATAGATTGTACATTATCATTCTCAACTCCATTTCTATTAACTTGCCTTTTATATTTATCTTGCTTTACATCTTTGTAACTTTTCCTGGTAATTTTTTCACATGTACCTTCAAAGATATTAATATTGTCTTCAAAGCTTTCAAATACACAGTTCAGCTTACCTGACTTTTAACCAATTTTTTATACAAATAACTTTTTGTTAGTTCCTAATTCTCTGATTTTGTTTCATTACATCTTCCATTATATGCTCTGCTTCTTCTCTATGACTTTAATTAATTTTTTAAAATTATTACTTAGGGTTTGAGAGTATTTTATTACACCCAGGTTCAAGTATAAATCCTCCTCTTTGTTATGTTGACCTTCTCTTTCTCATAATGGCCTATTTACACTTGTGGATTGTTTTTAGCTTGGGTTATATTTTACCAAAGATTCCTATGTACATTGGGTTGTGAAAGTAACCCTACAAAGTCATTTCACCTGTGCTTTAGCAGATTGATCCAGCTATTTCACAGAAATGGGTGGAGTTTAATTGCTAATTTTTGAGTTTAGATTCCCAATGCATAGGCTGTGTAAGTTTGGCCTCTAGGCCTACGGAGTACAGGATTGAACGTGCAATTCCTACTCCTTTCCGTCTCTACCCACAAACACCTAAAGCATTGCTATATTACTTCTTTACCACTTCCCAGTTTCATGGATAGAGTTATTTACCTTTTTTTTTTTTTTTTTTTTTTTTTTTTTTTTTATGAAGGAGGCTATCCCTGTAGGGTTCTGGCTTGCTTCAAGAGCCTTTATTCCTATATCCTGTCTCCTATACAGGGATCTATAATAAACCCAGATCTGTAATCTGTGCCAATCTGTAATATTAGCATAGGGCCAATATATGACCTGAGATCCTGCAGAGAAAGGCATTCTCACCTTATTTCTAGAATGTGAGAATTTCTTTAAGCTCAAATATGTATTCTTTTAAAATTATTGTTATACTTTCATGTATTTTTATCTCTATAAGCAGATGTGGGAAATTTCACTGTAATTCATTCACATAGATTTCAGGACAGACCATCAGTTATGTCAAGGTTACTTTTAATGTCAAGATATGTCTAACCCATCTCATATAGTAATTGTTAAATTTCTAAAATTTATGAATTCAGTAAAGATACTAATTGAATTTGTGGTTTATTAATCATAACCTCTATATGCATGAAAAATATAAGCACATATATATACACAAATGATGATCAGACTAATTTAAAAAATCCTTTTATTTGTGTCTGAATTCCTATTTTCATTGCAATAATCAAAGATTTCTTAGGTGTCTAATACCAACATGTTGAATACCAGGATTCCAAATATCCCCCAAAGTTCTGGTTAACCATTTTGGAGACTCTACATTTATGCTTAGATGTATGCCCTCTATGCAGGAACAGCTACATTAATCTATGCTGCGGGAACTGGGGAAAAATAAAAATGTGGGGCCCTTATTTGAAAATTATTGAGAACCTTGAGAGAGTGATAGAGCATTAAACCAAGCACAGGGTCCTCTATGTATAAAGTCTCTAAGATTCAGTATACCTAGTTCACTTATTTATTTAAAGTCTTTTTATGAATTTTCTATGTCCCAAATGCTGTGGTAGATAATGAAAAAAACAAGATAACTTCGTGTAATAAAATGACTGCATAAATGCTTTGTTTTAATAATTAAATTAATATTATTAACTTTATTTTTAAACAAAATTCATACAATTAAAAAATGTAAAACAAATATTTTGGTTAAAAAGAATCCTTCATTAGTATATGGACGCTCAGAAAATTCTGGATACTATTGTAACAATTCTATGACTTGTCATGCAATACATGACAAGGAATTCTTAAAGTGGTGTGGGGTACAGAATAATGACTGGGAGTTATAAACATAACAAGAATAGGAGCCAGCAAGGTCTCTACAGAAAGGACACCCAGGCAGGAGTGGAAATGCTGCATGTATAGATTTCAAGTATGTTGGTGAAAGCTTTTTTTTCTTTTCCTATTATTTTTAAATTTTTTCTTTAGTTGAACCACATGGGGAACATAAGACAAGATAAGTTCTGTGCTCCAGCAGTTTCATCAGTAAGAAGAGCTGGGACCTAAACATAGATAAGGCTCTAAACACAGCAGTTAGCATTTTCAAAAGAAGACATAAAAACGGCCAACAGGTATATGAAAAAAATGTACATCACCAATCACCAGATAAATGCAAATTAAACCACAATGAGATACCATATTATGCCCATCAGTAAGGCTATTATTAAAAAGTCAAGAAATAACAGATATTGGTGAGGATGCCAAGAAAAGAGAACTCTTATAGACTGTTGGTTAGAATGCAAATTAGTATAGCCTCTATGAAAAGCAGTATGGAGATTTCTCCAAGAACTTAATATAGAACTACCATTTAATCCAGCAATCCCACTACTGGGTATCTACTGAAAGGAAAATAATCATTATATCAAAAAGATACATGCACTCATATGTTTATCACAGCACTAGTCACAACAGCAAAGATATGGAATCAATCTAAGTGTCCATGAACAGGTCATTAGATAAGGAAAATATGGCATATATACACAAGGGAATACTATTAATCCATAAAAAAGATGAAATTATGTCTTTTGCAGCAATATGGATGGAACAGGAGGCCATTATCTTAGGTGAAATAAGTCAGACAAATATTTCAAGTTCTCATTCATAAGTGGGAGCTAAAAATGTATACCCATGGACATAGAGAGTGAAATGATAGGCAGAGACGCAAGAGTGAGGGGGATGGGGTTAGATGAGAAACTACTTAATGGGTACAAGTATATTATTTAGGTGATAGATACTCTAAAAGCCCTGACTTGCCACTACACAATCGATACATGAAACAAAATAGTACTTGTACCTGAAAACTTTATGCAAAGAAAAAAAAAGACTCAACATGTGAAGCATCCAGTGTCATACTAAATGTTGATACTTCAAACCTCAAAGCTTGTGGGGGAGTCAGTGTCAGCAAAAAGAAATGTTAGAAATCCACAACACAAATAGGCTTTCAGGCATTAGAAGGATAGAAACAAAGAATAGTGACCCTAAAATAGAAACAATATTATTACTAGAGTCACAATATCTTAGGTTCAGAGTCAAACTGACCTAGGTTTTGAATCCTGACTCCACCGCTAACTATATTTATGCCTTTGAGTAAGTTGCTTTAATTCGCTCAGCCTCAGTTTTCTTATATACTTTTGTGAGGACTGAGTGAGATAACACAGGTAGTGTTTAGCTCCATGCCAAGTCTATAACAAATACTCAATACAAGTT
This sequence comes from Homo sapiens, assembly GCF_000001405.40. Lineage (NCBI taxonomy): Eukaryota > Metazoa > Chordata > Mammalia > Primates > Hominidae > Homo > Homo sapiens. The sequence goes on from NC_000003.12 coordinate 22,021,650, forward strand.
GAAGCAGAAAAAATTTTTTTGAGAAGCTCAAATCAACTAGGGGTACTTAAAATGATGAAAACTGGCTTAGGAATGAGGAAAGCCTGGTTCTTTCCAAGCATTTCCACTAACTTAGTGTTTTGAAAACTTGTCTATATCTTGGAATGTTTTGGGGAGCTTCAGGAATTACTGATGCTTTGTCCCACTCCCTGGGATTATGATTTAATTAGTCTAGGATGCGGCCTGCACTTGGAATGTTTAGAATAATTCCCAGGTGATTCTAATGTGCAGACAAGTTTGACGGCCTCTGTTCTCACTTGTTCTGGAAAACTAACTCACTCAACTTCCATTTCCCCATCCATGCCAGGGCACAGAGGATTACAGAATAAAGGCTACGTGGTTAACAGCACTGAATTTGAAGCCAGAACTAATTGAGTGTGAGTAAAATTGTAGTAACTGATGAGTTCAGATTGTTAGGAAACTTAATTTCTCTGTATTTCAGTTTTCTTAACCATAAATACATCACCTAGAATTATAAATCTCAGAAGGTTACTGTAAAAACTAAATGAGACAACTTATACAAAGTATATAAAATTAAGTTAACTGGCACATGGTTAAGCTTCAAAGGAATGTTAGCTATTATCATGTTAACAGTTTTAATTCATAAGTTTATCGTACATTAATTACTGAATTAATGTATTGTACTTAAATTTCCACATCAATTTCTTAATTTCAACATGATTTTGAATGCTGAAAAGATCAGCTCTAATCTTTCAACTTGGAGTTATTCTATGAAATTTCTACTCTCAGCTCCTCAAAATTTCAGAGAAAATGAACAGCATCAAGAAATAACATACCACTCTATGATCCTAGTTCAACTGTTTGTACTTATAGCAAATATACCCCAAAGGAAATCAAGAAAAAAGAAATGATTTATCATAAATTCCTGTTTGGCAAATGAACAGCATGTCCACTGTGATAGCATATTCCGGATCCTACCAGAAATCTATCGTCCCAGAAAAGAGTCATATATGTCTTAAGCAAACTCAACATTGTATATTATGTATTACTTTTTTCTTCAAAGAACGAACAAGGAATAGAGACCAGAAATTGAGATGGAAAAAAATTCAAGAACATATAACATTTAAAAATATATGGAGAAATAGTACTGTTCTTTCAAATAACATATGCAAAATAGTTACCAGGAAGGCAAAACGAATATTTTTAAAAGAATTAAGTCCACTTTGGCTTGTTTCTTTGTATACTTATTTAGCACGGAAGGCAAATATGGTTGGCCCTGTGGGGATCAGGGAAGAGGCAAAGTCCTGAAAATAAAAATTGGGAGTCTAAAGAAGGCAAATAAACAGAACACAAAATAAAAGTACACAGTTCTCTGTTCCTTAAAAATAATGTGTATTCCAGGCTGCTCTTCGCAAGTGTTTCCTCCCTCCCTGAGGTCTTTTCTTATTTTTATCCCCCTTACCCATGTCTTATGGAGGGCACAGAATCACAAGCCTTCCAAATGATATGGCTGAATTGAAGTAATGATGGTAGAAGGAGCAGTCAAATGAGATTGCAAGGGATTAAAACAAAAGTGAGAATGAGAGGAAGCAGAGTGGCAACTGAGTCTGGGCAGGAATCACCTCAACTCACATTTATGCTTGGTGCCACCAATTAGCTCAGTCTATTTAGAGTCCATATGCTTTAAACTCAAAGATCAGGACTGAGTAAACATGCTCATAATATTATTATCATGCACATATCATGTTTATATTAACATTTGAAAACCCAGCGGCATAGACCACTAAAAAGGATCACACTGAGAAACTAAATCTGATTTCTTCTTTCAAATTAAAGTTTTACATCAAAACCCATCTTTGCTGAGAATAAAATGGAGTCATTGTTACAATGCTTCTTCCCTCTGCACATTTAGATAAATTACAAAGCTGCTTCTGGCTGAGATCAAATGGAGAGAATTTAATCAAAACAAACAAAAAGATATTTTAAATATGAGTTAGCAGCAAAGCAATGCTTTTTTTTTTATCAAACTGATGATTCACTAAATCTCAATAGAAATTATTTTATTCTATTATGGATTCTAATATACAGCAGGTCAAGTCATGTAGATCCTATATTGCTAAAAGGTGCACTTTATTATAGTCAAAGGCCAAAAGCAAGAACTTGGAAGAGTGCCCTGTACCTGGTACAGGGCTGTAGGATGAGGCAATGATGTTAGGTTCATTAAAGGACTCCCTGTATTAGTTCGTTTTCATACTGCTCTAAAGAATACCTGAGACTGGGGTTAACACTGAGTGTCAACTTGATTGGATTGAAGGATACAAAGTATTGATCCCCTGGGTATGTCTGTGAGGATGTTGCCAAAGGAGATTAACATTTGAGTAAGTGGACTGGGAAAGGCAGACCCACCCTTAATCTGGTGGGCACAACCTAATCAGCTGCCAGTGAATATAAAGCAGGCAGAAAAAAACATGAAGGAGCCAGACGGGCCTAGTCTCCCAGTCTATATCTTTCTCCCATTCTGGATGCTTCCTGCCCTAGAACATCAGACTCTAAGTTCTTCAGTTTGGGCACTTGGACTGGCTCTCCTTGCTCCTCAACTTGCAGATAGCCCATTGTGGGATCTTGAGATCGTGTAAGTTAATACTTAATAAACTCCCCTATATATGTGTGCGTGTGTGTGTATGATAGGATACCTATATATCCTATTCGTTCTGTCCCTCTGAGAGAACCCTAATACAGATTTTGGTCCCAGGAGTGGTTCTAGAATATTAAGGATGGAGTTATTTCCTTGGTTTTGGGGTTTCTGGAGTTGGCTGCTTGATATGATTAGACTCAAAAATGCTAAGGACTCTACTTCTAATAGTATGGAGAACTAATAGTATAATAGTTATAATATTAATAGTATGGAGAACTGTTAATAGTATGGAGAACATACTATTATATTCTTCATAATAGTATCATTAACTTCTAATTGTATGGAGAGCACTGATAGTGCTTGGCATGAACTGTTTAGAGAGTTATGCAAAATAAATGCATTTGACACTCCTGATTCACCGCTTGTGAGAGGCAAGGAGTTTAGTGACTCTATACATAATATTTTTGACCATCTGTGGAGAACCAAGGAACGTAACGAAGCTGGATGGTTGCTCCTAAGTTCAGTGAACAAAGTGATGAAAGAAAATGATGACCTCAGGGATTCTGTCTCCCAGCTTCAGAAGCAGATACTGAGCCTCAAATCTGGTAAGATTCCCTGAGTGAGAGTTTTATCTCCTGTAGAGAAAGAGCTGAAATTGTGGAAAAATAGACACAAGCTCTTATCATGCAAGTGGCTGACCTGAAACAAAAGATGCGTGCGCAGCCTCACCAGGGGTCTACTGTTAAAGTGAGGGCATTGATTAAAAAGAATGGGACCCTGCAACTTGGAATGGGGACATGTGGGAGGACCCTGATGAAGCTGGGGACACTGAGTTTGTAAATTCTGATGAACACTTTTTGCCAGAAGGAACAGCTTCCCCATCCCCAGTAGTGGCAACATACCCTCCTCACCCATGCTGCCATCAGCCTTTCCACTTCTGTCTAAGGACATAAACTATGCACTGCCTGAGGCAACAGTGATGGCCTCCCCTGAGGCAGTTGCCAGGAAAGATAATGTTGATTCTCCTTAGAAGCCACCCCCAAAACCTCTGTTTGCTTGTGGACCTATAACTAAAGTCCTAGAGGGTCCCTAGAGGTGACGTTGAGAGTGTGACCCATGAGGAGGTGTGCTACACTCGAAAAGAACTTTGAGTTCTCTAATCTATATAAACAGCAATCTGGAGAACAGGCATGGGAATGGATTTTAAGGGTATGGAATAATGGTGGAAGAAACATAGAGTTGGATCAGGGTGAATTTATCGATTTGGGCCCTGTAAGTAGGAACTCTGCATTTAATGTTGCAGCTCAGGGAGTTTAAAAAGGTTCTAACAGTTTATTTGCTTGGTTAGCTGAAATATGGATTAAAAGATGGCCCACTGTGAGCGAGCTGGAAATGCCTGATCTCCCTTGGTTTAATGTAGAGGAAGGGATCCAAAGGCTTAGGGAGATTGGGATGGTGGAGTGGGTTAATCGCTTTAGACCTATTCATCCCAGCTGGGAGGGTCCACAAGATATACCCTGGACCAATGCCTTGTGAGGGCAGCACCTGCATCTTCGAAGAGCCCTGTAATTGCTCTTCTCTGTATGTCAGATATAACCGTGGCAACGGCAGTCATTCAACTACAAAATGTAAATACTATATGAATAATTGGATCTCAAGGTGGCAGGGGCCAAGTGGCAGCACCCAACCATCAAAGGCAAGGTGGGCATAGCTACCATAATGGACAGCAGAGGCAAAGCAGCAATCAGAATAGGCTGACTCGAGTAGAGCTCTGGCATTGTCTAATTAATCATAGTGTTGCTAGAGGTTGACATTGATAGGAAGTGAAATTGTTAGAAGTGAAATTGATAGGAAGCCTACTGCATTCCTACCTACATTATACAAACAGAAAAAAATTCTAGGTCAAATGGACAGAAGACTAATTTTAATTATAAAAACAGAGAATCATGGCCCCTCAATTTCAAGACTTGACCCAGTTTACAGATCCTAAACCCCTTGAATGAAGGGGAGGCCAGAACCCCTTGAGAAAGGACCCCCCTACATTACCGACAATTTATGTGGTGAATCTTTCTCCCATCCTTCCCCAAGGAAACCTCTAGCCTTTTACCAGGTAACTGCATTGGGGAAAGGGAAATGATGAGACATTTCAGGGACTACTGGACGCTGGCTCTGAGCTGTTGATTTTAGGGGATCCAGAATGTCACTGTGGTCCTCCAGTTAAAGTAGGGACTTATGGAAGTCAGACAATTAATGGAGTTTTAGCTCAGGTCCTACTTACAGCAGATCCAGTGGGTCCTCGGACTCATCCTGTGGTCATTTCCCCAATGCCAGAATGCGTAATTGGCATAGACATATTTAGCAGCTGGCAGAGTCCTCACATTGACTTCCTGAGCGGTAGAGTGAGGGTTATTATGGTGGGAAAGGCCAAATGGAAGCCATTAGAGCTGCCTCTACCTAGAAAAATAGTAAATCAAAAACAATATTGCATCCCTGGAGGGATTGAGAACATTAGTGCCACCATCAAGGACTTGAAAGATGCAAGGGTGGTGATTCCCACCACGTCCCCATTCAACTATTTCATTTGGCCTGTGCAGAAGACAGAGGGATCTTGGAGAATGGTGGTGGATTATTGTAAGATTAACCAAACAGTGACTCCAATTTCAGCTGTTGCACCACATGTGGTTTCATTGCTTGAGCAAATTAACACATATCCTGGTACCTGGTATGCAGCCATTGACTTGGCAAATTTCTTTTTCTCCATTCCTGTCCATAAGGCCCACCCAAAGCAATTTGCCTTCAGCTGGCAAGTGCAGCAATATACCTTTACTGTCCTACCTCAGGGGTGTATTAGCTCAGATACTCCTTCTAAGGTGAAGGATAAGTTGCTGCATTTGGCCCCTCCTACAACCAAGAAAGAGGTACAATGCCTAGTCCACTTATTTGGATTTTGGAGGCAACACATTCCTCATTTGGGTGTGCTACTCTGGCCCATTTACTGAGTGACCTGAAAGACTGTTAGTTTTGAATGGGGTCCCGAACAGGGGAAGGTTCTGCAACAGCTCCAGGCTGCTGTGCAAGCTGCTCTGCCACTTGGGCCATATGATCCAGCAGATCCAATAGTGCTTGAGGAGTCAGTGACAGATAGGGATGCTGTTTCAAGCCTTTGGCAGGTCCCCATTGATGAATCACAGTGGAGGCCTCTAGGATTTTGGAGCAAGGTCCTGCCATCTTCTGCAGATAACTACTCTCCTTTTGAGAGACAGCTCTTGGCCTGTTACTGGGCTTTGGTGGAAACTGGACATTTGACTATGGCTCATCAAATCACCATGCCACCTGAACTGCCTATCATGAACTGGGTGCTTTCTGACCTGTCTAGCCATAAAGTGGGTCACGCACAGCTGCATTCCATCATCAAATAGAAGTGGTATATACATAATTGGGCTCAAGCAGGTCCTGAAGGCACAAGTTACATGAGAAAGTGGCTCAAATGCCCATGGTCTCCACTCCTGCCTTCTCTACCCCAGCCTGCAACAATGGCCTCATGGGGGGTTCTCTATGATCAGTTGACAGAGGAAGAGAAGACTAGGGCCTGGTTCACAGATGGTTCTGCACTATATGCAGGCACTACCAAAAGTGGAGAGCTGCAGCACTACAGCCCCTTTCTAGGACATCCCTGAAGGATAGCAGTGAAGTGAAATCTTCCCAGTGGGCAGAACTTCGAGCAGTGCACCTGGTTGCTCACTCTGCATGTAAGGAGAAATGGTCAGATGTACGATTATACACCGATTCATGGGCTGTAGTCAATGGTTTGGCTGGATGGTCAGGGACTTGGAAGAAGCATGCTTGGAAAACTGGTAACAAATTTGGGGAAGAGGTATGTGGATGGTCACCTCTAAGTGGTCAAAAACTGTGAAGATGCTTGTATTCCATGTGATATTAACCAACATGTGACCTCAGCAGAAGAGAATTTTAATAATCAAGTAGATAGAATGACCTGTTCTGTCAACACAACTCAGCCTCTTTCACCAGCCACCTCTGTCATCGCCCAGTGGGCCCATGAAAAAAGTGGCCATGGTGGCAGGGATGGAGGTTACGCATGGGCTCAGCAACATGTACTTCCACTCACCAAGGCTGACCTGGTTATGGCCACTGCTGGATGCCCGATTTGCCAGCAGCAGAGACCAACACTGAGCCCTCAATATGGCACCATTCCTCGGGGTGATCAGCCAGCTACCTGGTGGCAGGTTGATTATTTCGGACCTCTTCCATCACGGAAAGGGTAGAGGTTTGTCCTCACTGGAGTGGACATTTACTCTGGATATGGGTTTGCCTATCCTGCACACAATGCTTCTGCCAAGACTACCATCTGTGGACTTATGGGATGCCTTATCCATGATCATGGTATTCCACACAGCATTGCCTCAGACCAAGGCATTCACTTTATGGCTAAAGAAGTGTGGCAGTGGGCTCAGATTCATGGAATTCACTGGTCTTCCCATGTTCCCCATCATCTTGAAGCAGCTGGATTTATAAAACATTGGAATGGCCTTTGGAAGTCACAAATACAATGTCAACTAGGGGACTATACTTTGCAGGGCTGGGGCAAAGTTCTCTAGAAGACCATGTGTGCTCTGAATCAGCATACAATATATGGTACTGTTTCTCCCATAGCCATGATTCATGGGTCCAGGAATCAAGGGGTGGAAGTGGAAGTGGCACCACTCACCATCATCCCTAGTGATCCACTAGCACAGTTTTTGCTTCCTGTTCCCGTGACATTACATTCTGCTGGCCTAGAGGTCTTAGTTCCAGAGGGAGGAACGCTGCCACCAGGAGACACAACAATTCCATTAAACTGGAAGTTATGATCGCCACCTGGACACTTTGTGCTCCTCCTACCTTTAAGACAACAGGCTAAGAAGGGAGTTACAGTGTTGGTTTGGGTGACTTACTTGCACTATCAAGATGAAATTAATCTATTACTCCAGCATGGAAGTAAGGAAGAGTATGCATGGAATATAGGAGATCCATTAGGGCTTCTCATAGTATGACCATGCCCTGTGATTAAGGTCAATGGGAAACTACAACAGCCCAATTCAGGCAGGACTACAAATGGTCCAGACCCCTCAGGAATGAAGGTTTGGTTTACTCCAGCAGGAAAAAACCCGCGACCTGCTGAGGTGCTTGCTGAAGGCAAGGAAAACACAGAATAAATAGTAGATAAAAGGTAATCATCAATACCAGCTATAACCACATGACCAGCTATGGAAACGAGGACTGTTATCATGAGTATTTCCTTCTTCTTTTGTTAAAAACATGTTTGTGCATATATACACTTGTACTAAGAAAATGTCTTCCTTTTATTTCCTTTTTCTTTATCACGTGACATGAGATTTTTTGACTTCATATCACATTTAAGTGTTGTTAACTTTCTGTAATAGTATTTGGGTTGGGGATTGGTGCATTTCTAGTTGTATGAAGGGTAGTTGTATTATGTTAGGCGTAATTATGACATTGTCTTTATTTGAAGATTATGTATGATCTCGGGAGATGTGTATGGGTTCAAGTTGACAAGGGGTGGACTTGTGATGGTTAATACTGAGTATCAACTTGATTGGATTGAACGATATACAAAGTATTGATCCCCTGGATGTGTCTGTGAGGGTGTTGCTGAAGGAGATTAACATTTGAGTCAGTGGGCTGGGGAAGGCAGACCCACCCTTAATCTGGTGGGCACAGCCTAATCAGCTGCCAGCAAATATAAAGCATGCAGAAAAAAACATGCAAGAGTGAGATGAGCCTAGCCTCCCAGTCTATATCTTTCTCCCATGCTCAATGCTTCCTGCTCTTGAACATCAGACTCCAAGTTCTTCAGTTTTGGGACTTGGACTGGCTCTACTTGCTCCTCAGCTTGAAGACAGCCTATTGTGGGATCTTGCGATCATGCAAGTTAATACTTAATAAACTCATTCATATATATATATATATATATATATATATATATATATATATATATATCCTATTTGGTCCATCCCTCGAAGAGAACTCTGACTAATATGGTTTAATTGACTCATAATTTCACATGGTTTAAGAGGCCTCAGGAAACTTACAATCATGGTGAAAGTCAAGGGATAAGCAAGTAACTTTTTTACAAAGTGGCAGGAGGGAGAGAGAGAGGGAGGGAGAGAGAGAGACACAGAGAGAGAAAGAGAGTGAGAGAGTGCACAGAGGAAACTGTCATTTTAAAAAACATCAGATCTTGGGAAACCTCCCTCAGTATCATGAGAACAGCATGGAGGAAACCATTTCTGTGTTCAAATCACCTCCCACCAGGTTTCTCCCTTGACACATGAAGATTACAATTTGAGATGAGATTCAGGTGGTGACACAAAGCCAAACCATATCATTCTGCCCTGGCCCCTCCTAAATCTCATGTCTTTTTCACATTTCAAAACCAGTTATGCCTTCCCAACATTCCTCTAAAGTCTTAACTCATTCCAGCATTAACTGAAAAGTCCAAGTCCAAAGTGTCATCTGAGACAAGTCCCTTCTACCTATGAACCTGTAAAATCAAAAACAAGTTAGTTATTTCCAAGACACAGTGGAGGTACAGGCATTAAGTAAAAGTTCCCATTCCAAATGAAAGAGATTGGTCAAAACAAAGGTGCCACAGGCCCCATGCAATTCTGAAACCCGGCTGGGCAGTCATTAAACCTTAAGATTTCAAAGTCTCCTTTGATTCTATGTCTCATATCCAGGACATCCTGATACAAGGGGTGGGCTCTCAATGCTTTAGCAGCTCTGCCCCTGTGGCTTTGCAGGATTCAGCCACGTGGCTGCTTTCTTAGGCTGGTGTTGAGTGCCTGCAGCTTTTCCAAGTGCAAGGTGAAAGCTGTCAGTGGATCTAAATTTCTAGGGTCTGAAGAATGGTAGCCCTTTTCTCACGGCTCTTCTAGGCAGTGCCCCAGTAGGGATTCTGTGGGGGCTCCAAGCCCACATTTCCCTTGCATATTGCCCTAGTAGAGGTTCTTCATGAGGGGCTCTGCCCCTGCAGCAGGCTTCTGTCTGGACATCCAGGTATTTGTCTACATTCTTTAAAATCTAGGCAGAGGTTCCCAAAACCTCAGCTCTTGTATTCTGCACACCCGTAGACCCAACACCATGTGGAAGCCTCCAAGGCTTGGGTCTTGCACCCTTTGAAGCCATGGCCTGAGCTGCACCTTGCCCCTTTTAGCCACGGCTGGAGTTGGAGCGGCTGAGATGCAGGGCACCAAGTCCTGAGTCTGCACAGAGCAGCGTGTCCCTGGACTGGGCCTACAAAACCATTTTTTCCCTCCTATGATGGGCCTATGATTGGAGGGGCTGCTGAGAAGATCTCTGACATGCCCTGGAGACATTTTCCCCATTGTGCTGGTTATTAACATTTGCCTTCTTGTTACTTATGCAAATATCTGCAGCAGGCTTCAATTTCAACCCAGAAAATGGGTTTCTCTTTTCTACCGCATGGTCACGCTGCCAATTTCCAAACTTTTATGTTCTGCTTCCCCTTTAAACATAAGTTCCAATTTCAAACTATCTCTTTGTGAACACATATAAATAAACACTTTCAGAATCAGCTAGGCCATATCTTGAATGCTTTGCTGCTTAGAAATTTCTTTTACCAGATACCCTAAGTCATTTCTCTCAAGTTCAAAGTTCCACAGATCTCTAGGGCAGGGGCAAAATGCCACCAGTCTTTCTGCTAAAGCATAGCAAGAGTGACCTTTGCTCCAGTTCCCAATAAGTTCCTCATCTCCATCTGAGACCACCCCAGCTGGGACTTCATTGTCCCTATTACTATAAGCATTTTGTCAAAACCATTCAACAAGTCTCTAGGAACTTCCGAAGTTTCCCACATCTTCCTGTCTTCTTCTGAGCCTTCCAAACTGTTTCAACCTCTGCCAGTTACCCAGATCCAAAGTGGCTCCCACATTTTCACATTATCTTTATACCAGGCTGGGGAGGACTCAGGAAACTTGCAATTGTGGTGGAAGGCAAAGGAAAAGCAAGTACTTCTTGACAAGGCAGCAGGAGAGAGAAGAGCAAGAGAGCACATGTAGAGGAAACTGTCATTTTACAAACTATCGGATCTCATGAGAACCCCCTCACTATCACTAGAACAGCATGGAGGAAACTATGCCCATGATCTAATCACCACCCACCAGGTTCTTCCCTTGACACATGGGGATTACAATTTGAGATGAGATTTGGGTAGGGACACAGGGCCAAACCATATCACTCCCTATATATATGGTCCTAAGCAGTGTATAGAACTAGTAACAGAGGTGACTTTCTTAGCGCTAAGGTTAACATAGATCTGGCAAATTAAACTACACACTGACAAGTACTAAACAATTAAATAAAAGCAGGCAGTTAGGGAAAGGGCATTTAGGTAAATGGTAACTTATGGGGTCGGCTGAAAAACAATCACGATTAATAATACTAATGCTTACTGAGTACTTACTATATGCTTTGGACTGATTTGCATGCTTTAGATGTATTAATTTTAACCTCCACAATTACCCCTGAGCTAGCGTTCCCATTATCATCCTAATTAAGCATTTGAGAGTACTGAGGCACAGAGAGGTAAAGTAACTTGCCCAAAGTCCCACAGCTAGCAAATAGTAGCATGAAAGTTTGATCTGCATCATTCCGTTATAAAACTCTTGCTCTTAGACCCTGTGCTATACTGCAGACTGAGAAGAAGAAGACAGAATCAAGATTCCGAGATTGAATTTCTGCCCAAGACATTTTGATTCCATGCTGCGAGGTCAAAGAGTATAGAATGAACAGTGAGGCCGGGCACAGTGGCGCACTCTTGTAACCCTAGCACTTTAGGAGGCTGAGGCAGGTCGATAGCTTGAGCTCAGGCATTCGAGACCAAACGGGACAACATGGTGGAACCCTGTCTCTACTAAAAATACAAAAATCAGCCTGGCATGGTGGCGCGTGCCTGTCATCCCAGCTACTCTGGAGGCTGAGGCATGAGAATAACTTGAACCCAGGAGACAGAGGTTGCAGTGAGCCAAGATCATGCCACTGCACTCCAACCTGGGTGACAGAGCAAGGCTGGCTCCAAAATAATAATAATAATAATAATAATAATAATAATAATAATGCACAGTGATATGAGTTAAAGACATAAGCTAATGGAACCAGGGAAATCTTTTTGAAGGAAAAGGAATAGAATATATTTTAAAAGACCTTAAATTTCACCGAAATTATGAGTATGTCACAGAAGGAGGTAGTATCTATCAGTGTTCAGTGTAACCACCCAGAGAAATGCATTCTGAGAGCAAAATGCAAACTAAAATCACTCGATGAACTATCACCAAAGAAATTAAGGTGATTATAACAAGAACAATGTCTACTATATTCCTTGAACAATCTGTGATTGAGAATAAATTAAAGACATAAAAAGCAATTTTCCATAGAACCCCTTATTTGAGCAGTCTGACTGTAGTAGGTTACACTGGATTATCTTTACTGTTCACTTCAGTTACCAAGCACTATGACTAAAAATTCTCTAAATTAAAATCTATAATCAGGATGTAAGGTTACCAATTCATCCTACTTCACCCAGTACTTTCCTTGTTTTAATACTGAAAATCCTGTGTGCTGAGCAACTACTTTCTCCAGGAAACCTGAGACGGTTTGCTTAGGACAGTCCCTTTTTTAAAACGTAAAGTCCTGCTTTCAGAGAACCCTGTAAGTCCTGAGCAAACCGAGATGGTTAACCATCTTATCAGGATAGTACATTATATTAACACCCTGCTGTGGACTGAATGTTTGTGTTCCCCCCAAATTCATACCTTGAAACTTTATTCCCCAATGTGATTGCATTATAAGATGAGGACTTTGGGAGATTAGAATTAGATGAAGTCTTCAGGGCGAAGTTCTCGTGAATGAAATTAGTGATCTTACAGGAGTCAAAAGAGAGCTGTCCTCCTCTCTCTGCTCCCAGTCATATGAAGACAAAACAAGAAGCTGGCAGTTTGTAACCTGGAAAATGGCCCTCATGAGAACCTGACCATGCCAGCACCCTGATTTCAACTTCCAGCCTCCAAAACTGTGAGAAATTTATTTCTGTTATTTATATGCCACCAAGTCTTAGTCTTAGCGGCCCAACTAAGATACACTCCACCATAATTATTGTAAATTTGATCTCAAAAAGCAGAATTTACATGGTAAAATTCTTTACAGAAAGCAATTTAAAATGAGGAAAAAAGAAATCAATTTGAATTGTAAAAATATGTATTAATATCATATATTTAAGACATTGTACAACAAAAGAAATAGATGTTGGAGCTATCAGATAACCTCATAATTGGTATAATAAAATGTTAATACAATCCAGTTTTCTTACAGACCTATTTTAAAGAATATTATAATTTCACAAATGTTTTAATTCAAGAATAACTCAATAAATATTTAAAAAGTAAGTATCATTAGGCATGGTAGAACAGCAATAATGAGAGAAAATATTTTACATTTTAAAACTGTCCTTGATATTCTAGGTGAAAGAAATGTATATGATAATTTAATAAAAAATATCTAAAAGTCAGCCCGGAGATATGTTGAATTTATCTTACAGAATAATAGTATTTCATGATTTACATGTCAAATACTTTAAAACATATCAATAGGAAAAATTTATAAAATGGTACAATTTTTATATTGTTTTGTACATAAAATTTGTACATAAAGTCAACATTGTCGATTTATATACTGTTGTTCATGCAAGAAAATCACTGAACATTGAATAAAGTAACATTATCCTACATTTGGGTATCAATGAACTAGAAAGTGAACATAAAATGTTCTGGATGAACTGTGTTAAATCACTTGTATCATTTAGTTTGATCGCAATTAAAAATAACTGGGTTCAATACAACTGGTATGCTAAGAAGGAAAGGTAAAACTTTGCAACCTTGTCCTCATAGGTCAAAATAATGGCATTTAAATTATGAGAAACAGGGCTGGACAGTCTTGTTCCCAGTGCCCATCTAGCAATATCTTCTCCTGTCTTTTAAAAGATATTTTGAATGTTAAGCAAAATGTTGCACTAAATCCAAGTATAATTCCCTTTTCATTAAAAACAGAAATCCAATACTTATCAGTTAAGCCCAGAGCATAACAGAACACAAACCATAAAAGATAGCTTCTGAAAAACAACATTTTAAAATTAGTTTTAAAATTGGTTTGTTTTTCAATACTGTGACCTAAGTTCTGAGTGCTTGCTTAAGTAATTGTCTTTGATGAATTGTCATAATGGTAGAAATGTAGCAGAGGCAGAGAAAGTTAAGTAGCCAGATCAGCCTAACAGCAGTAATCTCTGAAACCCCCACCTAATCAGCAAGACCCCTAGAAAACAAGCAATGGGCCATGAGTGTTTCTAAGGGGAGTTTCTGAAAGAAATAAGGGGCTGTGGTTCATTCTAAGATGCAGAATGTAGACTCCAAAATTATGACCACTCTGCAGAAAAATGAAGAGGATTCTAGGATCTAAAAATATTGTGGATCTTGTTATGAGTTCCAGGCAGTGGAAACACGTAGTTTGCCAGTGGCTTGCTGATAAATGATTAGGGACACAGGTGGTACTTTCACAGTTTTTTTTTCCAAGATAAAAGACATAGTTAAAAAGAGAAAAGCAGAAATGGAAAATGAAGAGTCAAAATAAGACTTATGTGTTTTTCTGAGCCTTGACACCTTGGATAAAAAGAAGACAAGGGTATCCTGGGAGGAATCCTAACTCCACCATGAGTATTTAAAATAACATGCATGAAATTCAACGATGTACAGTAGTTAGAGAAAAAATGTGGTTATAACAGTAGAAGTTATATCAATTGAGAATCTCAGGTGAAAGGGAAAGGATTCATGGGGGTGAAGGTACTCAATTCTTCTCAGAGGTAAACAACAGGGAAGAATACAGAACATAATCACTTTTCCCCAAAGCAGATCACAGTTAATCAACCAAATATATATTTTAATGCAGACTGGTAGCTGTGACCAGAAAGATATAACCAAGTTTTGGCCCAATGAGACAAATGATTGGAATATGTCTTCTAAACATAAAATGAATTCAGTAGGAAAAGCATGTGAGTAATATCAATTGACAAGAAAACTGACCTATCGAGAAATTCACAAACCAAGGGGAAAGGAAATAGTGGAAAATACTTAACTGAGAAAGGAAAAATGGAAAGAAATAGTAGTGATATGAGTATATGGCAAATGAATTTTTTTTTAGGAAAAAAACAAATTATTTCATTTTTATAATCATAAAACAGTTTGGTTGCTTACAAATTGCAAAAACAAGCAAAGAGCACCTTCTACCATAAAACCCTTCTTTTAGAATACAATACGAGAAAGAAGAGTAGCCCTACTAGGTTTTTTTTTTTTTTTTTTATACTCTAAGTTTTAGGGTACATGTGCACAACGTGCAAGTTTGCTACATATGTATACATGTGCCATGTTGGTGTGCTGTACCCATTAACTCGTCATTTAACATTAGGTATATCTCCTAATGCTATCCCTCCCCCCTCCCCCCACCCCACAACAGGCCCCAGTGTGTGATGTTCCCCTTCCCGTGTCCATGTGTTCTCATTGTTCAATTCCCACCTATGAGTGAGAACATGTGGTGTTTGGTTTTTTGTCCCTGTGATAGTTTGCTGAGAATGATGGTTTCCAGCTTCATCCATATCCCAAAAAGAACATGAAGTCATCATTTTTTATGGCTGCATAGTATTTTATGGTGTATATGTGCCACATTTTCTTAATCCAGTCTATCGTTGTTGGGTATTTGGGTTGGTTCCAAGTCTTTGCTATTGTGAATAGTGCCGCAATAAACATACGTGTGCATGTGTCTTTATAGCAGCATGTTTTATAATCCTTTGGGTATATACCCAGGAATGGGATGGCTGGGTCAAATGGTATTTCTAGTTCTAGATCCCTGAGGAATCACCACACTGTCTTCCACAATGGTTGAACTAGTTTACAGTCCCACCAACAGTGTAAAAGTGTTCCTATTTCTCCACATCCTCTCCAGCACCTGTTGTTTCCTGACTTTTTAATGATTGCTATTCTAACTGGTGTGAGATGGTATCTCATTGTGGTTTTGATTTGCATTTCTCTGATGGCCAGTGATGATGAGCATTTTTTCACGTGTCTGTTGGCTGCATAAATGTCTTCTTTTGAGAAGTGTCTGTTCATATCCTTCACCCACTTTTTGATGGGGTTGTTTTTTTCTTGTAAATTTGTTGGAGTTCATTGTAGATTCTGGATATTAGCCCTTTGTCAGATGAGTAGATTGCAAAAATTTTCTCCCATTCTGTAGGTTGACTGTTCACTCTGATGGTAGTTTCTTTTGCTGTGCAGAAGCTCTTTAGTTTAATTAGATCCCATTTGTCAATTTTGGCTTTTGTTGTCATTGCTTTTGGTGTTTTAGACATGAAGTCCTTGCCCATGCCTATGTCCTGAATGGTATTGCCTAGGTTTTCTTCTAGGGTTTTTATGGTTTTAGGTCTAACAAAACAGCATGGTACTGGTACCAAAACAGAGATATAGACCAATGGAACAGAACAGAGCCCTCACAAATAATGCCACATATCTACAACTATCTGATCTTTGACAAACCTGACAAAAACAAGAAATGGGGAAAGGATTCCCTATTTAATAAATGGTGCTGGGAAAACTGGCTAGCCATATGTAGAAAGCTGAAACTGGATCCCTTCCTTACACCTTATACAAAAATTAATTCAAGATGGATTAAAGACTTAAATGTTAGGCACATGAAATTGAACTCCATCTGGGTTTATTTGGCACCAACCTAGAGCAAATTGCTGAACTACGAAGTGTAGGAGATAACAAGATGAATAATGACACATGAAGGAGTTTTCTTGATTGAAATTATAAAACATTCAAGAAAGATAAAAATGTGGTAGAGATGGGCTCTTAAATTAACTGAGGAAACTATAAATTGGGACTACTTTCATAATCCCTGGAGTCGAATTGCCTAGCTTAGAATACTGGCTTTCTCACTTATTATCAGCATGTCCTTGGACTTGTTACCTAATTTTTCTTGGCCTCAGTTACTTCAGTAGCACCTGTTTCACAGAGTTGGGGAAAGCAATTAAATGATATATGCAATAGTTAAAATGGAGACTGGAGCAGAGGTAGCATTGGCAAATGTTATTTGTACTGTTGTTGTCATCATTATCATTATAATCTACAGGCTGAAATAAAATTTATTCTACTAAAAGCACAGTTTGAAACACAGTCCTCATTTGCTTTTTTAACAGTTTAATCAAAAGTTTGAAAAAACTAGTGTAATTTGGAAATTTAATTCTAATTCTTTTGGATCTAATAAACAAAAAGTTAAATATGTTAGCATCAAGAATTTTAGATCTTGATAATGGATGTTAAGATTATAGATTTCATACACACTAAGGAAAAAATATATACCCTAGCTCCTGTAGTTAAGCACATTTTTAAAATGTGCACTGAAGTGATGAACATGGTCATTATTGTGTCTATCATAACAAAGATATAATAAGGTTATATTTTATTTTTATTATATATAAACATATATATTTTTTATTATAACAAAGTTATAATAAATATGATCAGGCATGACTCAATGAAGAGTATCTAAATTATAATCACATAATTTTATCTTTCATTTTAACAATACCTTGTAATTTATGTAGTGATCTGAAGAAGCTATGGGCTCTCACTATGTAATGTTAGCAAAATAATTACAAACGATCCCTATGCAGACCATGTGAACGAGCCAGAAGTGGAAGCATATAGCAAAACTATGTAAAAAGTAGCAAAAAACCTCTAAGGATGTCCATTTGACTGATGTGAATGATGAATGGAAGCTTCTAAAAATACTAGTAACAATAAACACTGTTGATTTGGCTATAATCCAAGCCAAAAAAAAAAAAAAAAAAGAGTCTATGTATAAGCAGGCTCATTGTTAGGGGCAGATGGCATGCTATTCCCAGAAAATGTCAACTTCCTAAAATCAGGCCTGATAGCATCACACCCCAGTTTTAACATTTTCAGTGGCTTCTCAACTAGTACATGGTAAATTTAGAACTTAGCATGGCATCCAGTGCCCTTATCTTCCTGTCTCCAGTCTACCATTCCAGCCAAATTTTTCATCATTCTCTCTTTACTCAAAATGTAACCTAAATCCTAGTTGCATCAGACTAGAGAGGAGTCAAGTCTAGTATATTACTTTGAACTGTATAAAAATCTAGGCATTAAGCTATTTTTGACCTACAAAATGACAATTTCATTCAACCTAATACATAATATAAAAAAGGAGAAACCGTAGCTTCATGTTAAATTCATTGCAAATCCAGGCAAATTACACCCCAGGATTCTTGGAGAGCCCGAATATTATAACTAAATAACTATTGCTTAAAAAAGAGTTCTTATTAGGGTACATCGTTTTAGGAGTTGAGTTTTTCCTGGATGTCTTTCTTCTCTTTTCTTCTTCAGTACCACTCTTCATCCTTTTCCACCCTTTTCTATGACTGAAAGGCTGATCTACATTGACTGCTAGACTGCTGCCACTGGCTCCCTTGTCCTCTGACTTTGAATTGGATGTAGCCATTACGATACCTAGCAGGAGATCAGAAACAAGGAGGATCATGAGGCTGAATATTTGGCCTCCTGCTCCCGCCATGCACCGTTGCCTCAACCTGGCCATGCATTCGTACTAACGGCCAAGTCTCAAGATTTCAGTGTGTACCTAACTCTCCTCTTCTTGAGTTTCTGCAACTGCTCCCTCCTCTCATTGTGTAGGTCTAGGGTGAGATCAACTTCACCATTACCCTCATGATTTTCCTTACACATAGCCCACATCTTTGTAAATGCTTCCTTTATTAAACCTTTTACAAATTATCCTAATTTGAGTACATCATCTGTTGTCTGCTGTAATTCTAATTGACACAAGACTAAATTCTTCATATTATTCACATTTAATTCTTACTACACTTTAAGGAAGGTTTGGTTATTACGTCATTTTATAGATAAGGGAACTTAAGTGCACAGAGACTAATTAATATGTCCAACATCAAACAAAAAAATGTGTTACAGATCAAGGGTTGCAAGCCCAGCAATGTGACTCCAAAGGCTACAGTCCTGATGGGTGATAGGAAATTGTAATTTTGATTTTCTAAAATGGGGAAAAATAAATTTCAGAAACTACACATTGATAAAAAGAAATAATGATAATCACACATTTTCTGAACAGGTTATTAAATGTGTAGTCTCAGATGGTATGATGGTATGCTTTTTGGACATGGTAAAGAATTATGGGAACAAGGTCTTAGACTTCAGGAGACTTGGCAATTTTTGGTCTACAGTTTAGGGAAACACAGAAAAGACTATCTTATTCAATTTGCTGATGCTGCAAAGCTAGGATAGAAGGCTGATAGAATCAGAATTTCAAATACATTGACAGACTAGAAAAAATAGAGTAAATGGAATGAAATACAAAGGCAATAAATATCATGCTATGTTTGCAATGGTCAAGTGTCTTGCTTGCTAGAGTCTTTTTTTGTGGGGGAAGTTTTATTTTAATTGAGATATAATTTATATACCATACAATTTTCTCTTTTTTCTCAGTGTACAATTCAGTGGTTCTTAGTATAGAAGCAGAGAATCGCATTTACTGGCTCAAGTAACTATATAACCTAAAGGACAACATTAAAGGTAAACACATGAAGGGGTTTCAAAAGATGTCATTAGGTCAGTTCTCCCGCTCTGTCACTCTCTTCTCTGTTTTCCTCTATGTTGGCTCCTGAGCAAGTTCCTATCACCAAAAGGGTTGATATTTTACCCCTCTCTGGTTCAAGTCTAGTTGAAGAGAAAAACTCTCTGAAAAATCTCTAGAAATGACACATGGTTGCATATCATTAGCTCTGAAATAGGCCATGTGTTCACATTGAACTATAGCCAGGCATCTATAGTACTCTGATTGGCAAGGCAAGGATCCCATGCCCACCCCAGAGAGAAACCTAGCTCCACACAACCACAGGAATTGCAAGTTGGAGAACTGGGGTAATACAAAGAAAATCAGTCAGAAATCATTAAGCAAAGTGTTAAAGTTATATTAAGCAAAACCACAATTAAAATGCTTATCGACTACAAAATTCAAAACAATTTTTAAAATACAGAATGTGGAAGGCATAGCTTCACTACAATATCATTACTATTAAAAATCTCTTGGGGTTTTTGATGCCATTAAACTCAGTATAAACCAACTGGGTGATCTGAACACTAAAATAGGCTCAGACTGAATTGATCAATGTATATTGTTTACAGCAATAGTGGCAATATTTATATTGATCTGCACTTAACTGATTACACCTGAAATATTGTTTTAGGTGCTAGAAACTACATTATAAGAGAGATACTGAAGAGCTGGTGTCTATTCAATTGAGATTTATAAATGTGCTTGGAGGACATAAAACTTAAGGAATGGTTGAAAAAAACAGGAAGGAATGTTCAGGTAGGGAAATGGACAGTTCAATCAGGTTATAATATCTGTGTTCTAATATTGAAGAAAGAATTTCATAGGGAAAGAAAAGTAGATTTATACAAAGCAATTATTGGTGGCTGAATTAAGACCAGTATAAACTTTTAGCAGTATTTTATTGCCTTACAAAAGTTGGAAATGTGTTTTAATAGGAGAAACATAGTGGTGTTAATTAGCGGGTAGGTAACTACTTCCTAAATATGTTACTGAAGGTTTATCAGATTGGGTCAAACATGGGACTAGAATTGGCCTTATGTATTTCCAGCTTGGAATTCAAGGAATCCTACTACCTGGATCCAAACTCTTTTGTCACGGCTCACTAGTTATGAAACTGGGAATCCTCTACAAACCTCATTTCTTAATCTGCAAAATGAAGATAACAGTCTCTTCCTTCTAGAGTTGTGGTATTACATTATTAATACCCACAAGGAACTTAGATTAGTGTATGGCCCATATTAAGTGCCCAATTTTAGCCATTATTATTACTATACAGTTGACGATGAATACTTAACTTTCTTTGCCATGCATGTAGATTTCTATACTTAGTTGTGATAGGGCTAAAAAAAAAAGTTTTTCCTTTGTGTTACAAAACATATGGTAGGTTGAGCATCTTAAGGTATCGTTCTGCAGTAGAACAGACTATAAGGTATTCACATAATTCTTTTACAACAAGCTATTTCCAAGAGCTCAATAATCATCCAGGTCCAATTTTTGGCAAAGCTATCAAGCTCTGGTGATGTACTTCTCTGCTGGGAAAGCCCATAAAACACCCATTGCTTCTCTTCCAAGTTGCACTCCTCTAAAGGATCAAAAGTCTGAGTCTTCTCACTAAGAAAAGGTATTGGCCAGAACTAAGTAAACACTCAGAAATTATTGTAAAGGTCTAATTTAAACAAGAACATCCAGATTTTGCTTATAGCTCAGAATCAAAACAAACTCTCATGCCTGATCTCGACGTGTTTGGTTGTCTTTGGAAGATCACAGACATATGTCAAAGTAAATTCTATATTACACAGGAAGTGTGAACTTTGCCATCACCAAATCAAGGGACTAACCTAAAATTCTAATTTTCTCAACTAGGATCAGTTGTAATCCTCTCATTTTTGAATCTTATTAACCCAGTCACAGACTGAAATGTTTCAGAGCTTAACAAGGCTCCAAACTGAGAAGTCCATTGTGGCTGACTGTGCCACACGATCATTCCTTGACATTTTTTCCACTCAGAGAATAAAGCTGCAGTCATTTGGTTTACAAACAACAAGGCAGAAAGTCCTTTGGGTTATTTATCCCTAATGTTAAGAAAACAAAACAATAGCACTAAATTTATCAATGATGTAATCATGGCTAGAGTTTTCAAGCCTTATAAAAGAAATCTTGCTAATTGGAAGCATTGAAAACAATGTATGGTTCAAACACCGTCAAAGATTAGAGAGTGAATTATTATGTTTCTTACAGTTTAGGTCTGTGGCCCAGATTCTAAACTGTTAATTATTTTTTAACGTACTGAAACCATGCATGCTACAAACATAGGCATAGATACAAACTGAGTTGCATTTTAAACATGATTCTATTTTAAAACAAAGGAAAGTATAATTATCAAATTTATTTATGTAAACATATTTACTTGTATATTGGTCAAAAACAGCAAGAGCAAGTAAATATTGAGTAACTATTATGTCCTATACATTGTTCTAAAGGCTGAGGATGTACAGTATAGTGAACAAGACATTATAGTCCCTGCCTTCTCTTCTAGCAGAGGAGAGAGGGTAGGTAACTTCCGAGATGCCCCACCAGTGACCCTTGCCTAAGGGTCTTCAAGACCTTGTTGCAGCCTCACCTCATTGACTGTGGCTGGACCTAGAGATTTGCTTCTAACTAATACAATACGGTAAAAATGACAGGTTGTCATTTCCAACATTAGGCTATAAAAATCTGATGAAAATCTTGCTTGCTCTCTCTCTGACTCTACTTGCATGCTTGCTTTGATAAGGCTGGCTTCCCTAAGAAGATGATCATGTAAGCAAAGAAGTGAGGGAGGCCTCCAACCAACAGCTAGCAAGGACTTGAAGTCCACAGTCCAGGCTGGAGTGGGTTGAGAATAAAAAAAGGAACATTAGGTAGAAGTGACAGCAAATATTCTCAGATCTTTAAAGGAAGTTTTGCTTTAAAGAGGAACAAAGAAACATGGTGATGAGATGAAACACGAAACCTGGGAAAAACTTTTTTTTTTTTTTTAATGTAATGGCCTCAGGATTTGGTGGGTATGCTGTGATTGTACAGAACAGCCTGCATGGATAGTCACAAAAGTACTCCTTAAAGATGAATTGGCACCAGTGAGGGGTGATGGTTCACTTATTTGTTTGTTTACTCAAAGGTGATAACTTTGTTAGGAATGGGACCAGTCGTCTTTGGAAATCTGAATTAATTGGCAGTATTTTAAAACGATTTCTCTAATGTTTAGTACATGTCCTAAAATGGCTGCTTGATCGAATCACATCCCAAACTGGCCTAGATCTGAGCACCCTTTGGCCCACTGTGTTTGGGGGATAGAGTTCCTAGAGCAAGGCAAACAAAAACAAAAACAAACATAAAAATTTTTAAAAAGACACAGGCTGAAGCACTTTAAGTATTTTAATACTGAGAAGAGCAATTTTTAAATAAAAAGCAGGAGATATTATAATGTATCCTTATGTTTTGGAGAAGGGAGAATTTTATTATGTAGGGAAGGTGGTGATGAATTTTGGAGTAAAGGTTTTTAGAAAGTTATGAAATGGGATACAGGGCACAGATTTATCCTTTGCTAAGAGCCATTTGGTTAACCTGCTCTATTGGGAAGGAAGGTGGAGAGAATGGATACACTTGCAGGCAGGCTAGTGGTGGGAGTCTTTTCTTCCAAGATCTTCAAGTTTCTCATGAAACAAAAGACAAGAACTTAAGCTAAATGTGAGAAATGGGAGGAGGAGAGAAAATGAACTCATCCTCTTTGTGAGAAAAAGAGATGATGAATGTGAAACTTTCCTTACAGTGATTTGCTGTAATTGGAAGTATGGTGCAGAATACGGAGAGGTACATAAAAAAAGACTGAGCTGAGATTGTGCCACTGCCCTCCAGCCTGGGCAACAAGAGCAAAACTCAATCTCGAAAAAACAAAAATGCTGTTAATTTTTGTTTGTTGATATTTATCCTGCAACTTTACTGTACTTGTTTATTAGCTCCCATCGGATCCCTATTGCTTTTGGAAAAAAAGCCTATTTTTCCTTTTGTTCCCTGTGCCTTTTGGGTCATATTAAAAAAAAAATAATTGCCCAAACCAATATCATGGGGCTTTCCTCTAGTAGTTTTATAGATCCAGGTCTTATATTTAAGTCTTTGATCCATTTGAGTTGATTTTTCAATGGGGTGCAATATAGGGATTAAATGTTATTATTGCTTGGTGTGATCATATAATAAATATAACATAATAAAAGCATGGAAATATTCCAGTAAAGAGCTAAAGGAGAGGGGCTCTTGAGAAATACGAATGGGAGATGATATCCAGAACTGAAGAAGAGAGGCTGGTCTTCCACAGAATTGGGAACCCCCTCCACTGTGAAGCCAGGAAGAGAGTCCTATAAGCTCCCACTTCTCTTTTAATTTCTACCCCATTTCCAGTTCCTAGCAAGGTATTTAGAAATTCAGGTGTGAGTTCTTCATGTGCTACTTTTCACCCTTAACAGCACCCGCATAGTGTAGACAGTTTTCTGTGGGTTTTACTCTCATTTCTAGTGCTGAGTAAAGGTGGTATTTTAAAAATAATTTTATGTCTAATATGCTGTAATCACTTTCGAGTATTATTCAAAATATCTCACTTCTATTTTTTTTTGTATTTCAGATTTCTGACCATTCTCTCAAACCAATGGAGCCTGGCGACACTAAGATCATGACCTGGCGATTTCTATAAGGCTACCTGGGGCCCCAGCTGCCCTTGAGAAGTAAAACTCAAAACTCGAGCTCTTTGCCACTCATCAGAGGTAGAATTATAATGGAGATCTAAACAAATTTCTCTATCTCCAAGCCCCAGGTGTAGAGCTAGGGACTATTCATATCAATTGCCTCCAGGGAAGAAAAATAATGAGGGAGGGAATCTGAATGACTGAACATTACTGAACAAGCACTTGTTAGTATAATAATTGTCAACCCTGGCAGATTCAGCTGGGAGGAAAATTGATGATAGTGGCTTAGCACAACTGTTTCAACCAAAATGACAGTGCTGTGGGCAGCAGGAGATCTGCTAAGTGGAATAAACAAATGGCCACTAAGAGGAAAAAGTCAAAGGAAAATATTCATACGGGGTTTCAATTCAAAGCACCAACACACATTTTTGTAGATTAGATAAACTTCTATTTTCTAAAACTGCTCATTTTTGCTGCAGCTTCATTAACCATATGTTACCAGTCCTCTTATTCCTCACTATCGCTATCACTGTTCCGTAATACTCAATAGAGACATTCTCTGAAAAAGAATGCCCTGACAGCCCACTATATTTTATGTTTATATAAAAAAGACATTGTAGATTGGCTAAAATTCCCTTTAAATTGTTTTGCTGATATTTAATCCGACCAAAAAATCTACTAGACATTTTTTTCCCATGTGTGCTAAGTGGAATGTTTTAAGAGCTACCACTGAAGAAAAGTAATTTTCTTGTCTTCTTCCACTAATATTAATGAAGCATCATTTTTTTCCTTTCATCTTCATTCATATAAGCAATTGCAAATATATTGAGATTTATTGAATTACATTTAACCCCTATGAAATTTAACACCTGTTCATTAATTCGCTCAAGAAAAGTTAGATTCTCACTAAACTAGGTAGAGTTGAGTGTCATCTTGATCATTATTTCATTTGGAGCAGATATTATATACTGGTCAACAAAAGGCACTTTTCTAAGTCGAATTGTATTTGGAGAAACAATTTATTTTATATTTGTAAAGTAAATGTGGAATTCATTTCATCAACTGTGAAACAAAGGAAAATATGAAATCAGAAACACTTTATACTATACTATATAAGATTCATTAGATAAGTGGGAAATATATGTCCAGATTAGATTATATCTAATTTGAATAAACAAACAACACATATTTTTGATTAATTTTCAGGTGGCCAATAATGAATTAAGATAAATTATACCAGTAACTGGACTACAAATAACAGTTCACCTGATTTCTCTGTCAACGATGAAGGCTTCTGACATTCTTGTTGATTGACAAATAAAAATTATACACATGTATGGTGCACAACATGATGTTCTGAAATGTATACATTGTAGAATGGCTAAATCAAGCTAATTTATGCATTAGTTTGATCATGCATCAGCTCACATACTTTTTTTTTGTGGTGGTAAGAACACTTAAAATCTACTGCAACAATCTACTCTCAGCAATTTTCAAGTATATAATATACTAACGAAAGTGACCATGATGTACAATAGATCTCTTGTACTTACTCCTTTTAATTGAAATTATGCATTCTTTCACCAATATCCTTTATTACCCCACTCCTCAGCCTCTAGTAACCACTATTGTACTTTCTGCTTCTGTGAGTTAAATTTTTTGAGATTCAACATGTACGTAAGATCATGTGGTATTTGTCTTTCTGTGCCTGTCTTATTTCACTTAACATAATGTGCTCCAAGCTCATCCATGTTGTTATAAATGACAGGATTTCCTTCCTGTTTAATGCTGAATAGTTCATTGTGTGCATAAATATACACATTTTCTTTATTCATTCATCATTGGTGGATATGTAGGTTGATTTCGTATCTTAGCTATTGTGAATGTTTCTTCAATGAACATGGGAGTGCAGTTATCTATTTGACATACTGATTTTATACTCTTTAGATGTATACCCAGAAGTGGGATTGCCAAATCATATGATAATTCTATTTTTAATTTTTTGAGGAATTTTCATACTGTTTTCCATAATGGCTGTACTAATTTACTTTCCCACCATTCAGATACAAGGCTTCCCTTTTAACACTTCACATCTTCACCAACACCTACATTGGTTTTTTTGCTAATATTATTCTAACAGATATGAGGTAATAGCTCATTGTGGATTTAATTTGCATTTCCCTGATGATTAGTGATGCTGAACAGTTTTCATTTACTTGTGGTCATTTCTATGTCTTCTTTTGAGAAACATCCATTCATTTTTTTCATTTCTTAATCAGGTTATTTGTTTACTTACTATTGAATTGAGTTCCATATATATTTTTTGGATAATAGTGCCTTACCAGATGGGTGGTTTGCAAACATTTTTTTCCTTTTCTGTAGGCTGTCTCTTTACTCTATTTGTTGTTTCCTTTCCTATGCAGAATTTTTTTTAGTTTGCTGTAATCCCATTTGCTTTTGGAAAAAAAGCCTATTTTTCCTTTTGTTCCCTGTGCCTTTTGGGGCCATATTCAAAAAAATCAATGCCCAAACCAGTATCATGGGGCTTTCCTCTAGCAGTTTTATAGATCCAGGTCTTATATTTAAGTCTTTGATCCATTTGAGTTGATTTTTCAATGGGGTGCAAGATAAGGATTAAATTTTATTATTTTGCATGTGAATGTCAAGTTTTCCCAGCCCGATTTGTTGAAGGGACTGTCCCTTCCCTGTTGTGTGTTCTGGACATCTTTGTTGAAAATCAATTGACAACAAATACATGAATTTATTTCTGGACTCTTTATTGTGTTCTATTGGCCTATGTGTCTGTTTTTGTAACAGTACCATGTTGTTTTGATTATTATAGTTTTGCAGTCAATTTTGAAATCAGGTAATGTGATGCCTTTGGCTTTGTTCTTTTTGCTCAAGATTGCTTTAACTATTCTGGGTCTTTTGTGATTCCAAGTGAATTTTAGGATTGTTTTTTCCATTTAAGTGGAAAATGTCATTGGAATTTTGATAGTGATTGCATGGAATTAGTAGATCACTTTGGATAGTACGGACAATAATAATTATTAATTCTTTCAATTCATGAACATGGAATATCTTTTCATTTGTCTGTATCTTGTTGTATTTCTTTCATTCATGTTTTATAATTTTTAGTCTACAGACTATTTTCTTGACTTTTTCTTTGTTGGATAGTTCATTGTTAGTGTATAGAAATGCTGTTAATTGGCCGGGCGTAGTGGCTCAGGCCTGTAATCCCAGCACTGTGCGAGGCCTATGTGGGTGGATAATTTCAGGTCAGGAGTTTGAGACCACCCTGACCAACATGGTGAAACCCCATCTCTACTAAAAATACAAAAATTAGCTGGGCATGGTGGTGGGCACCTGTAATCCAGCTACTCAGAAGGCTGAGATGGGAGATTCGCTTGAACCTGGGAGGCAGAGGTTGCAGTGAGCCGAGACTGTGCCACTGCACTCCAGCCTGGGAAACAAGAGCGAAACTCAATCTCAAAAATAAAATAAAATAAAATAAAATAAAATAAAATAAATAAAAAATGCGGTTAATTTTTGTTGATATTTATCCTGCAACTTTACTGTAGTTGTTTATTAGTTCTAATAGGGTGTTCTTTTTTTTTGGCGGATTCTTTGTGTGCAAATAAAAATGAATAGAAACAAGTGTACCCATGTCCTCCACCTTCCTTCCCATCGGATGCCTTTTATTTCTTTATCTTGCCTAATGGCTCTAGCTACAACTTCTAGTACTATGTTTATTAAAAGTGCCAATAGTGGACATCTTTGCCTGCTTCCTAATCTTAGAGGAAAAGCTTTCAAAATTTAGTTTGATGTTATTAATACCCGTGGACTTATCATATATGGCCTTTATTGTGTCGAAATAGATTCTTTCTATACCTTATTTATTGAGATTTGTTATCATGACAAGATGCTCAATTTTCAGCATCCATTGAAATGATATATTTTTTGTTCCTCATTCTGTTAATGTGGTATATTGCATTTGCTGATTTGTGTATGTTGAGCCATCTTTGCATCCTAGTAATAAATCTCACTTGATCATGGTGAGTTATTCTCTTAATAGGCTACTGAATTTTGGTTGTTAATATTTTGTTGAGGAATTTTGCATCTATGTTTATCAGGAATAATGGCCATAGTTTTCTTTCCTTGTAAAATGCTTGTCTGGCTTTGGTATCAGGATAATGCTAGTATCATCGTAATGTTTCCTCTTTAATTTTTTGGAGCAGTTTGAGAAGGATTGGTATTAGTTTAGTTAAAATGTTTTGGGGCTGGGTGCAGTGGCTCATGCCTGTGATCCCAACAATTTGGGAGACCAACGCATGAGGATTGTTTGAGCCCAGGAGTTTGAGACCAGCCTGGGCAAAAAAGGAAGATTGGGTTTAAAAAAAAAAAAAAGCAGCTCTCTGTGGTGGTACACGCTTATAGCCCCAGCTACTCAGGAGGCTGGGGTGGGAAGACTGCTTGAGCCCCAGAGGTTGACGCTCCAGTGAAGCATGATTGTGCCATTGCACTCCAGCCTGAGTGACAGAGCAAGACTCTGTCAAAAAAACAAACAAACAAACAAACAAAAAAACCACCACCACAACAAGAAAACACACACACATAAATTTTAAAAAATGTTTGGTAGAATTAAGCTGTAAAATCATCAGATCCTGGGCTTTCCTTTGACAGGAAATGTTTCATTATTGATTTAATTTGGTTGTTCTTTATTGGTCTGTTAAGATTTTCTATTTCTTCATGATTCAATTTTGGTAGATTGTATGTATTGAACATTGTTTTCTAGGTTTTAATTTCTGACTAAATGTAACTTTTGATGAAATCATTGAATTGACCAAAGGCCACATATGTTTTACCAGATGAACTCAGCAGTTTTTAATGAGTTAATTTCTCCGATTTTATCTGATTCTGAAATTATATTAATTCATTGTGTATTATGTATTTGTTTAAAAATTGTATATTTATATTAAATAAACTAAACAATCAAAAATAACGAATATCTGTTCCTGACTTTCACAATCTCTTCACTTTTCTGACCCTTAAAAATTCAATGTGTTATAATTTCTGTTCTTTTACATTTGCTGAGGAGAGCTTTACTTCCAACTATGTGGTCAATTTTGGAATAGGTGTGGTGTGGTGCTGAAAAAAATGTATATTCTGTTGATTTGGGGTGGAGAGTTCTGTAGATGTCTATTAGGTCTGCTTGGTGCAGAGCTGAGTTCAATTCCTGGGTATCCTTGTTGACTTTCTGTCTCGTTGATCTGTCTAATGTTGACAGTGGGGTGTTAAAGTCTCCCATTATTAATGTGTGGGAGTCTAAGTCTCTTTGTAGGTCACTGAGGACTTGCTTTATGAATCTGGGTGCTCCTGTATTGGGTGCATAAATATTTAGGATAGTTAGCTCCTCTTGTTGAATTGATCCCTTTACCATTATGTAATGGCCTTCTTTGTCTCTTTTGATCTTTGTTGGTTTAAAGTCTGTTTTATCAGAGACTAGGATTGCAACCCCTGCCTTTTTTTGTTTTCCATTGGCTTGGTAGATCTTCCTCCATCCTTTTATTTTGAGCCTATGTGTGTCTCTGCACGTGAGATGGGTTTCCTGAATACAGCACACTGATGGGTCTTGACTCTTTATCCAACTTGCCAGTCTGTGTCTTTTAATTGCAGAATTTAGTCCATTTATATTTAAAGTTAATATTGTTATGTGTGAATTTGATCCTGTCATTATGATGTTAGCTGGTGATTTTGCTCATTAGTTGATGCAGTTTCTTCCTAGTCTCGATGGTCTTTACATTTTGGCATGATTTTGCAGCGGCTGGTACCGGTTGTTCCTTTCCATGTTTAGCGCTTCCTTCAGGAGCTCTTTTAGGGCAGGCCTGGTGGTGACAAAATCTCTCAACATTTGCTTGTCTATAAAGTATTTTATTTCTCCTTCACTTATGAAGCTTAGTTTGGCTGGATATGAAATTCTGGGTTGAAAATTCTTTTCTTTAAGAATGTTGAATATTGGCCCCCACTCTCTTCTGGCTTGTAGGGTTTCTGCCGAGAGATCCGCTGTTAGTCTGATGGGCTTTCCTTTGAGGGTAACCCGACCTTTCTCTCTGGCTGCCCTTAACATTTTTTCCTTCATTTCAACTTTGGTGAATCTGACAATTATGTGTCTTGGAGTTGCTCTTCTCGAGGAGTATCTTTGTGGCGTTCTCTGTATTTCCTGAATCTGAACGTTGGCCTGCCTTGCTAGATTGGGGAAGTTCTCCTGGATAATCTCCTGCAGAGTGTTTTCCAACTTGGTTCCATTCTCCACATCACTTTCAGGTACACCAATCAGACGTAGATTTGGTCTTTTCACATAGTCCCATATTTCTTGGAGGCTTTGCTCATTTCTTTTTATTCTTTTTTCTCTAAACTTCCCTTCTCGCTTCATTTCATTCATTTCATCTTCCATTGCTGATACCCTTTCTTCCAGTTGATCGCATCGGCTCCTGAGGCTTCTGCATTCTTCACGTAGTTCTCGAGCCTTGGTTTTCAGCTCCATCAGCTCCTTTAAGCACTTCTCTGTATTGGTTATTCTAGTTATACATTCTTCTAAATTTTTTTCAAAGTTTTCAACTTCTTTGCCTTTGGTTTGAATGTCCTCCCGTAGCTCAGAGTAATTTGATCGTCTGAAGCCTTCTTCTCTCAGCTCAT
Organism: Homo sapiens; assembly: GCF_000001405.40. Lineage (NCBI taxonomy): Eukaryota > Metazoa > Chordata > Mammalia > Primates > Hominidae > Homo > Homo sapiens. The sequence goes on from NC_000003.12 coordinate 22,052,502, forward strand.
CAAAATCATTCTCCATCCAGCTTTGTTCTGTTGCTGGTGAGGAACTGCGTTCCTTTGGAGGAGGAGAGGCACTCTGCGTTTTAGAGTTTCCAGTTTTTCTGTTCTGTTTTTTCCCCATCTTTGTGGTTTTATCTACTTTTGGTCTTTGATGATGGTGATGTACAGATGGGTTTTCGGTGTAGATGTCCTTTCTGGTTGTTAGTTTTCCTTCTAACAGACAGGACCCTCAGCTGCAGGTCTGTTGGAATACCCTGCCGTGTGAGGTGTCAGTGTGCCCCTGCTGGGGGGTGCCTCCCAGTTAGGCTGCTCGGGGGTCAGGAGTCAGGGACCCACTTGAGGAGGCAGTCTGCCCGTTCTCAGATCTCCAGCTGCGTGCTGGGAGAACCACTGCTCTCTTCAAAGCTGTCAGACAGGGACACTTAAGTCTGCAGAGGTTACTGCTGTCTTTTTGTTTGTCTGTGCCCTGCCCCCAGAGGTGGAGCCTACAGAGGCAGTCAGGCCTCCTTGAGCTGTGGTGGGCTCCACCCAGTTCGAGCTTCCCGGCTGCTTTGTTTACCTAAGCAAGCCTGGGCAATGGCGGGCGCCCCTCCCCCAGCCTCGTTGCCGCCTTGCAGTTTGATCTCAGACTGCTGTGCTAGCAATCAGCGAGATTCCGTGGGCGTAGGACCCTCCGAGCCAGGTGTGGGATATAGTCTCACAATTAAAAGAACTAGAAAAGCAAGAGCAAACACATTCAAAAGCTAGCAGAAGGCAAGAAATAACTAAAATCAGAGCAGAACTGAAGGAAATAGAGACACAAAAAACCCTTCAAAAAATCAATGAATCCAGGAGCTGGTTTTTTGAAAGGATCAACAAAATTGATAGACCGCTAGCAAGACTAATAAAGAAAAAAAGAGAGAAGAATCAAATAGACACAATAAAAAATGATAAAGGGGATATCACCACCGATCCCACAGAAATACAAACTACCATCAGAGAATACTACAAACACCTCTACGCAAATAAACTAGAAAATCTAGAAGAAATGGATACATTCCTCGACACATACACTCTCCCAAGACTAAACCAGGAAGAAGTTGAATCTCTGAATCGACCAATAACAGGCTCTGAAATTGTGGCAATAATCAATAGTTTACCAACCAAAAAGAGTCCAGGACCAGATGGATTCACAGCCGAATTCTACCAGAGGTACAAGGAGGAACTGGTACCATTCCTTCTGAAACTATTCCAATCAATAGAAAAAGAGGGAATCCTCCCTAACTCATTTTATGAGGCCAGCATCATTCTGATACCAAAGCCAGGCAGAGACACAACCAAAAAAGAGAATTTTAGACCAATATCCTTGATGAACATTGATGCAAAAATCCTCAATAAAATACTGGCAAACCGAATCCAGCAGCACATCAAAAAGCTTATCCACCATGATCAAGTGGGCTTCATCCCTGGGATGCAAGGCTGGTTCAATATACGCAAATCAATAAATGTAATCCAGCATATAAACAGAGCCAAAGACAAAAACCACATGATTATCTCAATAGATGCAGAAAAAGCCTTTGACAAAATTCAACAACCCTTCATGCTAAAAACTCTCAATAAATTAGGTATTGATGGGACGTATTTCAAAATAATAAGAGCTATCTATGACAAACCCACAGCCAATATCATACTGAATGGGCAAAAACTGGAAGCATTCCCTTTGAAAACCGGCACAAGACAGGGATGCCCTCTCTCACCGCTCCTATTCAACATAGTGTTGGAAGTTCTGGCCAGGGCAATCAGGCAGGAGAAGGAAATAAAGGGTATTCAATTAGGAAAAGAGGAAGTCAAATTGTCCCTGTTTGCAGACGACATGATTGTTTATCTAGAAAACCCCATCGTCTCAGCCCAAAATCTCCTTAAGCTGATAAGCAACTTCAGCAAAGTCTCAGGATACAAAATCAATGTACAAAAATCACAAGCATTCTTATACACCAACAACAGACAAACAGAGAGCCAAATCATGGGTGAACTCCCATTCACAATTGCTTCAAAGAGAATAAAATACCTAGGAATCCAACTTACAAGGGATGTGAAGGACCTCTTCAAGGAGAACTACAAACCACTGCTCAAGGAAATAAAAGAGGAGACAAACAAATGGAAGAACATTCCATGCTCATGGGTAGGAAGAATCAATATCGTGAAAATGGCCATACTGCCCAAGGTAATTTACAGATTCAATGCCATCCCCATCAAGCTACCAATGACTTTCTTCACAGAATTGGAAAAAACTACTTTAAAGTTCATATGGAACCAAAAAAGAGCCCGCATTGCCAAGTCAATCCTAAGCCAAAAGAACAAAGCTGGAGGCATCACACTACCTGACTTCAAACTATACTACAAGGCTACAGTAACCAAAACAGCATGGTACTGGTACCAAAACAGAGATATAGATCAATGGAACAGAACAGAGCCCTCAGAAATAATGCCGCATATCTACAACTATCTGATCTTTGACAAACCTGAGAAAAACAAGCAATGGGGAAAGGATTCCCTATTTAATAAATGGTGCTGGGAAAACTGGCTAGCCATATGTAGAAAGCTGAAACTGGATCCCTTCCTTACACCTTATACAAAAATCAATTCAAGATGGATTAAAGATTTAAACGTTAAACCTAAAACCATAAAAACCCTAGAAGAAAACCTAGGCATTACCATTCAGGACATAGGCGTGGGCAAGGACTTCATGTCCAAAACACCAAAAGCAATGGCAACAAAAGACAAAATTGACAAATGGGATCTAATTAAACTAAAGAGCTTCTGCACAGCAAAAGAAACTACCATCAGAGTGAACAGGCAACCTACAACATGGGAGAAAATTTTTGCAACCTACTCATCTGACAAAGGGCTAATATCCAGAATCTACAATGAACTCAAACAAATTTACAAGAAAAAAACAAACAACCCCATCAAAAAGTGGGCGAAGGACATGAACAGACACTTCTCAAAAGAAGACATTTATGCAGCCAAAAAACACATGAAGAAATGCTCATCATCACTGGCCATCAGAGAAATGCAAATCAAAACCACTATGAGATATCATCTCACACCAGTTAGAATGGCAATCATTAAAAAGTCAGGAAACAACAGGTGCTGGAGAGGATGCGGAGAAATAGGAACACTTTTACACTGTTGGTGGGACTGTAAACTAGTTCAACCATTGTGGAAGTCAGTGTGGCGATTCCTCAGGGATCTAGAACTAGAAATACCATTTGACCCAGCCATCCCATTACTGGGTATATACCCAAATGAGTATAAATCATGCTGCTATAAAGACACATGCACACGTATGTTTATTGCGGCACTATTCACAATAGCAAAGACTTGGAACCAACCCAAATGTCCAACAATGATAGACTGGATTAAGAAAATGTGGCACATATACACCATGGAATACTATGCAGCCATAAAAAATGATGAGTTCATATCCTTTGTAGGGACATGGATGAAATTGGAAACCATCATTCTCAGTAAACTATCGCAAGAACAAAAAACCAAACACCGCATATTCTCACTCATAGGTGGGAATTGAACAATGAGATCACATGGACACAGGAAGGGGAATATCACACTCTGGGGACTGTGGTGGGGTCGGGGGAGGGGGGAGGGATAGCATTGGGAGATATACCTAATGCTAGATGACACATTAGTGGGTGCAGCGCACCAGCATGGCACATGTATACATATGTAACTAACCTGCACAATGTGCACATGTACCCTAAAACTTAGAGTATAATAAAAAAAAAAAAAAAAAAAAAAAAAAAAAAAAAATTCAATGTGATACAGATACCTAGAGAGTACAGTAAGAATGGGATAAAATATAAACCGTGTGTTAGTTTAGGGGCTGTCTATTACAGACCATGGCAAAGATGATAAGCTAAAATTCCATCAAGGATCATTTAGGTGGGAATGTCACCAGGTGAAAGATACCCAAGATAAAACTGTAGTGAGTATTAGGATCCATGACCCGTTATAGGGTGTACATCTTCCTAAAGCCATTCCAATTAAACAGAAAAGAAAGTTTAAAAATGGTTCTGACCAAAAAACAAAACAATAAAACAAAAAGAACTCTACAAATCAAATTCAGCTGGTGCAGTTTGACAGTTTTAATTCAAAACTATTGTTCAGTGTACATCAGCTATTGCCATAATAATGCTGTGTAACAATCCACAGAAAAACTCAGTGGATTAAAACAATTGCCATTTATTCTCATGCTTACAGGTCTGAGGGTAGATTGGAATCAGTTGATCTCAGATTGTTTGGCTGGCCTTGGCTACAGGCTGCAGGTTCAATTCAAATTAGCTCCATGTGTCTCATTGTGGAGCCCAGGCTGAATGATTAGTAACCACTCAGAACAAGAAAGTAATTATGCAATCATAAAGTCTCTAATCACATCATTTTCACCAAAATTGCATTGGCCACAGCCAGCCTCATGGCTAAGTCTGAAGGGAAGAGGTTGGAATATATACTCCGTTTTCCATGAATTTGTGTCAGAAGTGAGAAGTAAAACAGATAAACAAAATATTGAAACTAATAATTTAACCTACCACATCTGATCAGTTGCTACGTGACCCTGTGTAAGATATTTGTGTTTAAAACTCAGGCTTTAGAAACCCATACACCTGATTTAAAGTCTAGCTAATCTACTCACTATTGTACAACCTTGGGCAAGTTAATTAAATTTTCTCAGCCTCAGTTTATCTGTTTATGAAATAGAAATTACAAGAATAATAATACCCATACCTCATAGGTTATAAGCATTAAATCACATAATCATTTTAAAGTGACTAGCACTGTTCCTGGAACGCAGTTAACATTAAAAATTAACATTAGCTAACATTAACTGTGTTAGAAAGGACTTGAAGTAGGAAAATTGGTATTATGCTTTTACTATATCAACTGATACTGCAATTAAATTGGATAAAAGCAGATGCAAATTACTCCAAAACATTATTTATTTATTTTCTTTTAAAGTATTTTTTTTTTTTTTGAGACAGAGTCTCACTTTGTTGCCCAGGCTGGAGTGCTGTGGTGTGATCTCAACTCACTGCAGCCTCCATCTCCTGTGTTGAAGCAATTCTCTTGTCTCAACCTCCCGAGTAGCTGGAACGACAGGCAGGCGCACACCACCACATCCGGCTAATTTTCTTATTTTTCCTAGAGATGGGGTTTCACCATGTTGGTCAGGCTGGTCTCGAACTCCTGACCTCAGGTGATCCACCTGCCTCGGCCTCCCAAAGTGCTGGGATTACAGGCTTGAGCCACTGTGCCCGGCCTCACGTTTTTAAAACCCAATTTACTTTTCCTGACCTCCATACCCTGGAAGCAGTAAATGGACAAATAGGTAAATTGAAATAAAGACTGATGGAGAAAATCATTACAGTTCATGGTTTCACTATGACAAACATGCCATTTAGGCCATATTCTTGTTTATCTCAATCAAATAAAGTAATGGAAAATAAGTGAATGAATAAATGAATGAATGAATACATCACAACCAAACTAAAACAATTCTTGTTGGCTATACACACCCTTCTAGGCTGTGCTACACAAGCTGACAGACAGCAGAAAGGAATTTCATGCTGGTCCAAAGATATGTGGTTCCTTAAAGTATTGGTAACTCATAAGTTGATAATTCAACTTTATGGCACCATCTAATTTGATTTCTTGTTGAAAAAAGCAAACTGTATTAGAATACTTTTTGCTTCAAATGATAGAGTCAACTCAATGTTGCTTAATTGAAGAATAAAAATATACAGAAGGGAATTTGATATTAGCTAATTCAACAAGCCGCCCCTATTGTCAACAGTTGCCTCACACCCAAGCCTCCAGGATTCAAGCCAGGATAGAACCCTATTGTTTAAAAGGACTGGAGAATATGGGTTTGCTCATTCCAGCTCTCCCCATTTTATACTTACTCATAGCCTCTTTAGAGAACTGGATAATGGCTATCACACAAAGTGAGGCAATGTTTCCAACTCCTAACTGGTCAAAGGACATGAGAGGCAGATGAGATCTTGGTAGAGTCAGGAAAATGAGGGCTGTCAAATAATTTCAGGATTATAAACTAACTTGAGAGTTTTAATATTTAAATAATTTATTGATGCCTAAATGAAAAAATGGGACATTACCATTTGTTTTGTTTATATTTTAAAATATTTTAAGTACTCTAAAACATTTTTTATTGCAAATCTATACCATTTCAAATTTATATGTTAACTTTTGGAAGCCAGTCTGAAATTTTAACCATAATTTGTAATTTGCTTTGTATATTTGGTTAAAGCCCTGTGGGCTGCCCAGATTAGAAATGGCTGGTGGTTAGTGGGGACCACTATCCACCTCCATAGCAAGAAGTTTGGTGTCTTCTCTTAATCCAAATCTTTTCCTCTTTACATGATCTTCAGGAATATTTACTAGCTAAGAATATAATCGAATTCAGGGAGATTAATTTCAATCACCCCTAAACCTCCTACTAGGTCTGATTTGAGGAAAAGGAAAAGGACATTGGTAGGACACATTGTTTGGGGCGGCCAAGCAGCTGGGCAATCACTGGACTCCTGGAGGTGGAGCTGACTTGGCTCAAGAATTAACCTATCAGGAGTTATTTCTTTAAAAAGGACCCTGTGTAATCATTGGAGGTGACTGCCCTCTGGTCAGGACTGAGCATTAATTTAAAGACTTCTCATTCAGTGACAGGTGTGTGGGTAAGGGAGGAAAGAGAGAAAGGGAAAAGAAGAAGAAGACAGGGCCACAGGGACTGTGTGTGCATGAAAGGGAGAAGTGTGTAGTCTGGGTGTTGGCATTTCTAAAGCTTCCCAGGTGAGTCTATGTTGCAGCCAGCAGCAAGAACCAGAGAATTGGGGTCATTCACTTTCTTAACATCAACACCAACCTTGTGGTTGGTTTTAAGAATATTTTCTTCTAGGAAACACTGTCCCAAAATAAGATAAGCGATGAGTGACAGACGTATCTTTCTTTTGCAAAGCCAGAGAATGTCCTTTGTGATAGGGTTGGTGGTGGTGGTGGTGAGTGGAATGTATACAAAGTTGTGAATCTGGAAACATTCCCTTAAGACCCTTCATCAGCTTCTTGGAATGCCTTTGAGTTCTCCAATGGGTATGTGGAGCACATTACTTTGAAGACCCCATATAAGTTTCAAAGAGCAGAGATTTTTCGATTTTGTTTGCTGCTGTATCCCCAGGGCCTAACCACCCATAATAGATGCTTGTGAGGGTTAATTTTCTGTGTTGACTGGGCTAAGGGATGCTCTGGTAGTTGGTAAAACATTATTTCTGGGTGTGACTGTGTGGGTGTTTCTGGAAGATTAGCATTTGACTCAGTAGACTGAATAAAGAAGATCCACCTTCACCAATGTGGGCAGGCATCATCTAATCATTGAAGATCCAGATAGACCTGGATAAAAGTGAAGGGAGGGTGACTTTTCTCTTTCTCCACTGGAGCTGAGACATCTACTCTTTCTTGCCTTTGAACATTGGGAGCTACTGGTTCTCAGACCTTCAAATTCCAGGATTTATACAGCCTTCCTTGCCCAGTTCTCAGAACTTTGACCTCAGACTAGGAGTTACACCCTTAACTCCCCTAATTCCCAGCCTTTTAAATTTGGACTAAATTACAAGACTGGCTTTCTTGAGTCTCTAGCTTGCAGATGACAGATTTTGGATCTTGTCAGCCTTCATAATTATGTGAGCCAATTCCCATAATAAATCCTCCTCTTATACTGTGTATCTCTGTATACCCTATTGGTTCTGTTTCTCTAAAGAACTCTGACTAACACAGTGCTCAATAAGTATTTGTTGAAAAATTAATGTTTAACACTAAATTCAAAGTGAATTTCAATCAACCATCCACACATATTCTATTTTCCATAATTAAATGAATAAAGTAATAATGAAGGGACAGGAATAGCATAGTGAGGACTTTTTCCAAAGATGAAATTAAACCATTACTTTGTCAATAAGTTTTCATTTTGTAAAGCATGTTTCCTTTTTAGAAATTGAAAATGCACTAAATGTTCTGGGAAATTCTGTTCACATTTCCAAAACTTATTTCAACAATGAATTCATTTTAGATCTCACTTAAAATACGTTAACAGCCATGGAAACTAGTGATCTTAGAGCATGAGGAAATGAAGTTTTAGATGATTAAAATTAAAGATATATAATATAGATTATTATTGGGTTAGCACTGTTCAACTAGAAAATAAGAAAGTCTAATAAGAGAAGCCATCCACGCAAGGGTTTCTGAATATAAACAGTGAATTTTAATTTAAAAAAGAAAGTTTTGCAGTTTAGTTCTAATTGCTTCATTATTCAATTACCAGACAATTTTGGCTCTTAAGTAGAAAAATCTATAAAAAATTTTAAATTGATAATAAAGTTAATTTCATATCAAATTAAAATTAAGTAATGACATTTTTACTAAATAACTGTTAAATAAATGTATAATAACTTGATAATCATGGATATTTAAAAGGTTTGTTGATTTCTCATTCTCTGAGGGCAGTATTAATATTACTAGAGCTCGGGTAACAGGGAGAATGTTAATTTAATCACCTGATTAATTAAATTAAATTAAATTAAATAGTTGCAAAGAATTATTCTCTCAAAGTAAGTTGGTTTTCTGAAATTCCTTCTGTGGCAAAACAGTCTGAAAACATCTCAGCAGTGAGCATAAAGTATGAAGAAAAGTAGTCATTTAAATATTAACTGAATAATATCATAAGGCCAAAATCCTTTGGGTTTATTCCTTATTCATTTACTTTTCTTCTGTCCAAATGTATTTTAGTCCCCCCATTTCTTTCTACTTTTCCTGCTTCCACCTATTCTAAGACATTGTTACCCCTAGATTACTGTACCCACATCCCTGCTGGAAGTCCTGCTTAAACGTTTACCCCACAGAGTTTATTCTCTCAAGAGCAGCTAGAATCTCACTCTTAAAAGTATACCAGATTATGTCACTCTTTTCTTCTCAAGCCTCCCACAATAACTCCAAAGTCTTCAATTCCTATGGTCTCCAAGACTCAGGATCTGATCCTCAATTACATGTCCAGCCCCATTTCTTGTCACTCTCTTTCAACAGTTCATCCATACAATGAGTGTCGATTCTAGAATATATTAAGTGTTATCTTGTCAAAGAGGCCTTCTATGACCATCACATCAAAAATATGTCTTTCCTTCCTCTCCCTTTGCCCTCTACCACTGCCTCTGTACACACACACTCCACCTGCTATTACCTTTTCCTGATTCATAGCGCTCATCACAATCTGGATTACCTTTCTTTACACATCTAGTTATTTGTTTATTGATTGTCTCTGCCACTAAAGTGTAAGATGTATGAAGGCATATTTTGAGCTGTCTTGTTGGTTGCTTCATCCCCAGCACCTAAAACAGTATTGGTGAATACCATGCATTCAATAAGTATTCACTGAATACATTAGTAAATAAAATAATTTTAAACATGGAAATGCTTATTGTTGCATTTAATTTTAATTTATTTTTGAGGCAAGGTCTTGTTCTGTTGCCCAGGCTGGAGTGCAGTGGCATAATCATGCCTCCCTGCAGCCTCGACCTCCTAAGCTCAAGCAATTCTCCCACCTCAACCTCCCAAATAGCTGGGACTACCCGGGACTACAGGCAAGTGCCACCATGCCTAATTTATTTTTATTTTTATTTTTATTTTGTAGAGACAGGATTTTGCCATGTTACCCAGGCGGACTTAAACTCTCGGGATCAAGCAATCCACCCGCCTCAGCCTCCCAAAGGGCTGGAATTACAGCCGTGAGTCACTTGCGCCCAGCCTGTTGGTACATTTTAAAATAATCTTTCTTCTAAGTGGAAGAATTAACATTCATTTTACTTTATAACACTTTAAATGAGCAAGTCTAAGTTCATAACTAAGGAAATACTGCCATATAAAGGACTTGCTTCTTGCAGCAATCATGAAAGTTGTTTCAATTAGTAGTGAGCCTAACTTGTGATCAAAATTTGAAAAGTAACCATACATGCTACTTTAAAATATTTAACATTGTGGTGGTTTTAAAACATACCCACAAATTCTGACCCCCTCGCCCCCAAAGATGCACTCTATCTTCCTTCCACGTAAGTGTGGCCCAGGCTTAGTGACCTGCTTTTCAGGAGTAGAGTGTAGTAGAATTAACAATGTATGGTTTGTGGGAGTTGGTCATAAAAGACATTGCAGCTTTCTCCTTGCTGTATCTCTGGAAGATGCCAGCTGCCATGCAGTGAGGACATACACACAGCCATATGGAAATACCATGTGCTAAGTAACAGAGGTCTCCTACAAACAGCCATATGAGTGAGTCTTCATGAAAATGTATCCTTCAGCCCTAGTTAGGCCTTCAAATGACTGCAGCCTGGGTGATGTCTCCACTACAACAGAGGGAGAAATTCTAAGCCAGAACCACCCAAACAAGACACTCTCAGCCTCATGACTCACAGAAATTACACGGGATAATTTTTTTTTATTTAATCCATTAATCTGGGGGTAATTTGTTATGCAGCAATGTGTAACTAATACAGAGATATAAGGTACTTTTCTCACTAAAAGAAGACATTCCTGAATCAGCCAATATGCCATTTTGGTTAATTTTTTTAACCTTTCTGAACTTCAGTTTCTCTATCTGAATAATGGGAATATTATCTATTTCACTGGTTTACTGAAAAAATTAAACAATTTATTGTAGTGAAAAATTCCTAGAACATTGTCTGATTAATTTTGGTTTACTTCCTTTTTCATCAATGAGAAACCAACAAACATACATCATTTTGATTAATCTTCTCTTAAAATATTAATAAAAATTGAATAAAGCCTCAGAGTTACAGAGAGCCTAGTTTCTAAAAGTATCATGATACAAAATTTCATCTGCAAGCAATTTATTTAGAATATTCAATAGATTTTTACATAAAACTTCCATGTAAAATGAGTATAACACTTGAGAAGCCCACTAAAGCCTATTAAATTCTCTAAAGTCCCTAACAATAGTTACATTACAAATAAATCAAAAATAACCCTAATGATATGGTAATATATTTGTAGAGGATGCTGTGCTCAGGTCCTCTTTGAAGGATTCATGCCCCAGCTGCTAGGCATGCTGCGTGCTGATAGCCCTCAGCTCTCTGTCCTCTCCAAGAATTATACTTAGCTGAAAATAGGCGTCTCACCCAAAGTCACACCCTCTTCCCCTGGGCAGCCTGTATACCTTCACTGGTTCATGTGGAGCTATGTGTCCAGATTCCTTGCTCCAACTAAGTACAACTCTAAAGAGTTATCCAAGCTCCAGAGCTCCTTACGGGCTGGCTGAGGCCTTTGTTTTGACAGCAGGACACCTTGATTTTCCATCTGCCCAGTCTTTCCTCCTTCCCTATAACCCACAGTTATTAATCCTGAGAGCATGCCCCAATACAGTTGCTGTAAGCAAATATCCATCTCAGAATTTGCTTCCCAAGGAATCCAAATTGTGACATTTTTTATTGTAGTGCACCTCATGCTTCACACTTTGTACCTCACCTTTAGGGGACTGCTAGGACTTCAGTCTAGTTATAGGGCTAGAAATCAAGAGAAGTGGAATTGTTGGTCCTCAGAAGACTCAGTCTTGTCTTTCATGGTGATTAGCTCAGGAGAAGCCATGACAGTTTGCTCAGGCAATACAGGGGTAATCCTCTCCGAAGGGGTCAAAAGAGATTCTCTAACACAAATGGTGTTGTTTAAGGAGTAGGAAATTTAATTAGAAGAGCACAGAGGAGCAGAGATTTTTGTGATAATTTGCATGGTGATTTTGGGACAACTTCAAAAACTGTTAGAAAGCAGAGCATTTGTTGCTTATATGTATTTCTTTAAAAAATTTTATCCCACTTCTGGATATATACCCCAAAAAATTAAAATTAGTAGGCCAAAGTGATATCTGTATTCCTATGTTCCTTGCAGCACTATTCACAATAACTAAGATAGGAAAGCAATCCAGGTGTCTGTCATCAGATGAACAGATAAAGAAAATGGGGTACATATCCACAATGGATTGCTATTCAACCTTATAAAAGGAGGAAATCCTGGCATCCACAACACCACAGATGAACCTGGAGGACCTTACGCTAAGTGAAATAAGCGAGACACAGAAAGACACATATGACATGATCTCACGTATACATGGAACCTGAAAAAGTGGAAGTCATTAGTAGTATAATGGTGGCTGCCAGAGTCTTGGGCAGAGTCCTGGGTGGGAAAAGGGAGATGATGATCAAAGGGTATAAAGTTCAGTTAGAGAGGAGGAAGAATCTTTAGTGATCTATTGCACAGCATGGTGATTACAGTAAGTAACAATGCATTGTATATTTAAAAAAATGTTTTCTTAAAGCTAATGTATCAGTAGCATGGTTGACTTAGCCATGCACAAATTATATTATGACGGTATAATGTTGTAATTAAGATAGACTTTAGAACTTTAGAAATACAAGTTCAAATCCTAGTTATGCCACCCACTAGCTATAAGTCCTTAAACAAATTAGTTAGCCTTTCCTGGCTTTGATTTTAAATAGAAACATAAACAATAACTTAATACAGAAGATGAACTTATTGAGAGAGTGTGGAGTTAGTAAGTCTTAGACTCAAAGAGAGTGTTGTGTGGCTATTCTCTTGCTCTCCTCGTAGGACTGGGCAGATTTGCCAAAAGAAGCACTGATAGAGAATGAGGACTTTTAAGAAAGCAAGATGGACATCTCTCTCTCATCTAGCTCGCTGTCCTAGCTAGACAGATGTCTGCAAAGCTGCAAAAATAGTCCAATCTATGCCAACACAGTGCTGGGGACTTGACTGCAAAGAATGATGCCTGCTTTTCTAAAAAACACACAAGATGGAAGGCAGCTGGAACTCTCTACAATGGCAGGGTAGGGGCAACAAGAGGTTGCACCCTACACTTTCATGTTAGAGTGGGGCAGAGTTGCCAGGTGAGTGTACAATAGCATCCAGATGTGAGCTCACTTGATGGGATCCTTACACAAGAGGAAATTGGGCATGGTGAAAAGATCAATTTGTTGAGGAAAGGACTGAGTGTGTGGAGCTCGCAAGTGGTGAGTTCAGTTAGGCAAATACACAGGACCATAATCTAAAAGTGTATGTGTGTGCTGTGGGGGAATGGTATTCTCAAAGAACATAACACACACTGCATAAAAAAACCAGCACATAAATGTCTATCATGACTTAAGGGCACCAGTGGCCACAAATTGTGTAAGTCATAAAATATGTTTTGTCTTTTTCTTTTAATCTCTTATCTCCTCATTTTGATTCTGGAAGATCCAGAAGGGAAAAGAGATAAAGATAAAGACATCACGGATCACAGCCCAACTAAAATTGGCCAGGTGGAGTGAGGAGAACAGTATCTGAGGCTCAGTTTTGACACTGGACCACCTAAGGATTATTTATTCCTGAAAGTGAAAATTATCAAAAAATAAGACCGTTCTTACAACTGAAAGTGACAAAAGAGCTGTTGTATCTTCCAGAGATGTTGTCAATGAGCAGGGAAAGGGGAGCCAACCGAGAAGAGTTGAAAGATGTGATAGGAGGAAAAAAATACCATTTTTTTTCTGATGCATATTTTGTGTTCAGTTCATTCAATAAATTAGAGTCAAAAGTTATGCTCAGAAAAGAAAAGAGAGACTGCTTATGAAACAAGTGTAGTTTGGAAAGACCAAAAAATGAAGGAAAGGGGAAAACAATGCTTCTTTGTAGCTAAGGAGTGTGTGTGTGTGTATGTGTGTGTATTAGTAAAAAGATACTGGGCGAGATGGTTCCCTGTGTGTGTGTGTGTATGTAAAAAGATACTGGGTGAGATGGTTCCCTGTGTGTGTGTCTGCGTGTATAAGTAAAAAGATACTGGGTGAGATGGTTCCCCGTGTGTGTGTGTGTGTGTGTGTGTGTGTGTGTATGTCTGTAAGTAAAAAGATACTGGGTGAGATGGTTCCCTGTGTGTGTGTGTGTGTGTGTGTGTGTGTGTGTGTGTGTGTGTGTGTGTAAGTAAAAAGATACTGGGTGAGATGGTTCCCTATCTGTGCACCAGTGAGAATTATAAGATCAGGGCAGCTTTGGTGTTGTAGGAGGCAGTAACAAGGTTAGAAGAGGAAAATCTAGTTAGGAAGTTACTGCTAAGAAGATAAGTGATGTGCACTTAGATATTCACATTTACTGGATGTTTCCTAGTTGGTTGTTCATGACCTGAGATGTGTCTATTTCTGGAAGAGAGTAAGCCACATGAAAAAGAAATTGAAAATATATTTCCTTGAAAACATAATCCAGGTTGCTAAATAACTTTTACCTACGCTGAATGCTTCATCAAAATCAATGATGCCTATAATCAGAAGTACCCCATTCTTGTTTAGTTTCCCTACTTTCTAACATCCATCAAGTCAGCAATGGATTATGAAAGTCTAGATCACGCTCAGGCACCTAATGTGACTATAAAGAAGCGATCTTCTCTCCTCAGTGGAATTACTCTTTTAATGTTCTTCCTTTCCAATTTACATTAGTTAGAAGCTGTTAAAGTAATGGTACAGGCATTAGAAAAATAAAGAGAATATGGAAAGAAAGATTGCTTGTGTCTCTGTTTTATTCATCACACTGCCTGTTGAGTTTATATCACTGGCTTCAAATTTATCCAGTTTCTTTTCTTTTATGACTGGAGACATTAAGGGCAACCTGTCATCTCTGTAAAATAACATTTGTAGTACTCTCAATCTTCTCAGTGTAATCTTTAATAACTGTCTTATGTTCAAGTTGACAGCAAGCAAGTAATAAAATGCCTAATATCATTTTATAGGTCACATAATGCAACAGTTTATTTTAGCTCAGCAGGGCAATAACAGGTAACAGATAATGAAGTCACTATAGATTTGTATAATATAGTTTCTGAGTTGGCAACAGCTTCAGAAAAGGCTTAGAAATCATCTTTTAAGCTATGACAAAACAGAAGTGTATATCCCATTTCCTCTCTTTCTAATGATTCATAACACTAAAGTTAACTCAGAGGTGGTACACTTCAATGTTCACAGCTGATGTATGTTATTATACAAACAAATCAACTTTTTAATGGGAAAGGATATCTTTCTCCCAGAACTTCAAATTATATAAGGGAAAGAAGCAATTATTCTACAACTATTTAGAAATACAAAAATATCTGGCTGGGCATGGTGGCTCACGCCTGTAATTCCAGTACTTTGGGAAACTGAGGTGGGCGGATCATGAGGTCAAGAGATCGAGACCATCCTGCCCAACATGGTGAAACCCTGTCTCTACTAAAAATACAAAAATTAGCTGGGCTTGGTGGCACACCTGTAGCACTTGGGAGGCTGAGGCGGGAGAATTGCTTGAACCCGGGAGGCAGAGGTTGCAGTGAGCCGAGATCACGCCACTGCACACCAGCCTGGTGAAAGAGCAAGACTCCACTGGAAAAAAAAAAATCTAAGACTTCTCTGATCAATACAGTAGCCACTGGTTACCTGTGGCTTTTGAAATTGAAATAGAAATTAACTGAATTTAAGTAAAATTTAAAATTCAGTAACTTTGAGAAGGTCTTAGTCATTTATTACGGTTCATCTGCCTTACTTTATCTTCTTTATTAGTTGTAACATTGTTCTCTTAGATGCTCTTTCAGACAGTTGTACTATCACTAGACACTGTGATGCTAATTCTATTCTTTTTTTCACCTAGTAATACTGTGTCTCTTCAAACGAATTGATACTTTGCATCAGTTTTAGTTCCAGCTTAACACTCTGAGCTACACTTTACCGCCTGTCCCTTCATGAGCATTAAAACCCGAGATACTGTCCTTAAGTCCTATATCCAAGTGTAGTAAACAGACATCTGAATGTCTCTTTTTCCTTTTCTTTTTCTGTCTACTCCCCCACACCCCATTTCTCTTTCCCTCTTAAGCTCTACTAATTCACTTTACCAATTTAAAACTTTTTATTATATTCTTTTGAGGATTTCTCCTAGCAGTTGGATCTGCCTGGCTTCCTACAGGTTCAACATGATCCATCCACACTCTGTCTATTTAGTGACATTTCTTTGATCTTTCTTTGGCTCTTCTTTTCCACATTTCCTCTCACATATGTGAAAGGCCTAATTCTCATAATAAATTTCTTTTTCTACATACTCCTAGTTAAACCCTGATTGAACTCTGACTGATAACTTTCTACAGCTGACACGTGAAGAAAAACATTACATTAATATTGGCATATGCACAACTGTGAAGAAAATGCTTCTAGCAACAAGTAACATGGGGCCCGCCCAAATAACAGTAGCACAGATCACAGTGACACTTAAAGTCAATTTAACAATAAATATGGAGGAAGGTGTCTCAGGATTGGTACAGACACTTCCAGATGACATTACATATCCAGGTGCTATCTTTACTCTCCCTTACCCTCAGCTTTAACCTTGTTTTCATGCTCAGTGTTTTACTGTCACAAGATGGCTGCCACATCTCTAAAATTATATGTGTTCAACTAGTAAAAGGATATAAAGATCTGGGCTAGCTACAGGTGTTTGTTGTGTTATAAAAATTAACATTTTAATAGATTCTCTCCCAACTAACTTCTCCTTATATCTCATTGGTTAGTACTGGCTACTCCCAGCTCCAACAGGGTCTGAGAAAATGAGATCACAGTGACTGGCTCAGGGTGATGATGGATAATCTCTTGGAACTGGCAAATGGTTCTACATACCCTCACCACAAGAGATCTCTCACCAATGACCAAACAAATCAAGCTCCTGGTAGAATAAAACGAATATGAGAAGGATGCAGAATGCTTTTTGGGTAGGCACTACAACTAGTGTTGGCCTCGGGGTGGGGAGAGAGGAAATGATATATTAAACAAGAACCCCGAGGGGTGTGAATGTATAGTGCATAGGCAATATAAAGGTAACATAAACAATAATAATGGCATGCTAACATTTTGGACTTGACTCTTTGAAAAACTGAAGCTATTAGAAGCAAAAGGATGGCATAAGTATATCTGTGTTTTAGAATGGTATCTAGTGGAATTTTTTGGCCTCTAAGAATAAATACATTCTCTCCACAATGACCTCTTCATTCTATCATTTTCCCTGAAAAGGATCAGTGAAGATGAAACTCAAGGATTCTGGGCCCTTTTTTAGATGTGAAGGTAATAAGTGCACATCAGTGATAAGTCAACTGGGACTCCTCCACATGGCCCTATTGCTTTTCTTCTTCTGTCCCATGAAATAGTCAGACCCAAGCCAGCCACGTAGGAAAACCCCACTGTAGGCAGGTACCTTCCTTTGCTCTATGTCTCCTTTTGCTTTACTGCTGGTTCTGTCTGCTACAGAATGGGTTTCAGAGTGCCAAGCTCTCAGCAGCACCTTCAGAAAGAAAGCAAGCTAAGGCAAATAAGATAAAGCTGTTTGTTACTTTACTATTCTTGGTACTTTATTTTTAGTGTCACTAACTGTCTAAATTCTGAATTGTATGCTGACATTGAAAATGGCCCTTTCCTAGAATTAAAAACACATTAATTTCCTATTTTAATAATTTCCCACAAATGTTCACTTAGAACTTTAAAGATAAGCATCTTATTTTCTAACAACAAGCATTATCTACTCACATGTTGTAATTTAAATCAGTGGCCCCATCCCCTTAAAGCACAATTTAAGTCCTGGATAAAGAAATAGGTCCACTTATTTTTAAGTGGCATCACCTATAATTATATGCATATATTTCCTTTTATATATACATGAAAGGAAAGCAATATATACTACAGAGAAACGGATGCCTATGAAGTAACCCGCTTTCAAGAAAAACATTCCTAAGTTGTAAAGCTTTATATTTAATATGTCATTATATGGTAGACATTGCTAATTGTTTCTGTTGTATTTTATAAGAGAGAGTTGAGTACTTGCTTCATTATCTCAAATTTCACTTAGGAAAGTGAAATAGGTTTCTATGAAAGTTCTTCCCATCCTAGGACACACTGTGATGAAAGATTATAAAAGGATGAAACTATTTTCAAATGGACAAACATCTGTTCTAGTCATAGAAAGTACTATAGTAAGTCCAGGGTAGAGGACATGAGAAAATAGTAAATAAAAATGTTGAAGAAAAAAACAAAGTTTCAAATTTTATAATGTTGAAGCTTTATTAAGGGTAAGGGGAATCTATATCCTGAGTTGTGAAAGTAAGTCATGAAATCTCAGAAAGCATTAAAATTAATGAACAAGTTTATTTCCAATGATATAATTTATAAACAGCTTACAATTTCAACTGGCTTCAATTTAATCACTTTTGTTAAGTTTTCTTCTGTCTTCAGAAAGCACTTACTACATTGAAATATTTAAGAAATAGTCTTATTAACAGTATAGGTGTTAACCAATATTAGGAAGAATACGGCATTCTCCAGTCTGCCAAAATTGAAAGATTTTTACCTGTTCAGTTGCCAAATCTATGAAAAGAATAAAAATATTGATGCACTGAACACTTTGAAATAGAAAGGTAACATGATATTTATGACATAGCTCAGTCCTGGATACAGAATGCTCCTGTGCCTGGCTTTGCACAGCAATAAAGAATGCATATGTTTGCATTACAACTTAGCTTTCTCTTATTCTCTTTAAAAGCTAAATTCATAATATTTGACATACAAATAATATCCCAAAGGTTCCAACTCATTCTTCAGTATCTCTATATCATCTTTATCAAGCTTCTGTCCCAAAGTTGAAATCTTGGCAACATTCAAGGTATACAGCAACCTATCTAAACAGTGAAGAGCCTAATATTTTTCCCAAAGCAAGAAAGAGATTTTTCCAGAAACCTGAGGAAGAAAATATTATCCAGCTTCATACTAGAGGTCACTAGGTGATTGAAAAGAAATTGCTGACATTTATCTCTCAACTGCACTTCTGATGATTAAATCAACTACAAACCTGCCTTCATTGGCCTTTGCTCTAAGGAGCCACCTTTGAAGTTAATTTTATGCATTCCTCCATACATGCTCCTCACTTTCCCTGTAATATTGCAGAGAATAAAAATTATATGATGGGTAAGCTCAACATTTCAACATACTTAGAAAATATCCCTGATTATTTGAGTAAGCTCACATTTTCTTGGGGTGGCAGATGAATGTGAAGAAGACGAAGAAGAATGAATTACCAAAACTATCTTTTCTCTATGGACACCAACAAGATTAGTAAAAGGCCTAAATCTAGTTTTCTCCTCCTGGCCATGCAGTTAAGTGCCTAAGACAAGCAATCATACTCTTTTTGCTCTGCCATCTGTGGCTGGGGCATTTGATGATGGCCCCATCATAAACTGTCTTGACGTAAATCAAAGATTATTAATACAATGGTCTTGCAAGGTCTGGTAACTCATTCTATTTACCAAGAAACCTGAAGTAAACTGTCAAATTCAGAAAAAAAGATACATAATTCTTTTCTTGAGATGAGCAATAATTTATACCTGTAATACCCACCATGTATGTTTATTGTAGCATTACTTTCATTTATCCATATTAGTAACTATGATGAAATTAGGCATTGAAGAAACAGAATCATGAGATTATAAATTAGACACCTCTATTCTAAGTTAGTTTTATAGAAAGTGACTAAAGCCATCCTGTGGCAAGCAGAATCTGAAAAAGGATAGAATTTCTTAATTGGGCATGGAAAATTCCTGAACTAGACATGGGCGAAAGCCATGTACAACAGATGCTGTGACCTTACTTTGGCATTATATACTTCTTGGAAGTTATTTGTGAACGGAAAAATAAAAAAAAATGTAACCATATTATTAAACTACTCAATGTTTTGGTTATATAAGAGGCTTCATCTGTCCTTCAAGCAGAATGAAGCACTCTCTAAACAATCTCATCAAGAATCACTAGAACTAGAACTCGTCAGCTGCTTGCTGAAGAGCTGGTACTGAAAGAAGTATTATACTTACTAACTTTTCTTCTATGGAGATTGGTTATAGAGTTGCAATTTTTAGGAAGGAAAATGATTTTCAAATTTAAGGTATATTGTTATATTACCTAATCAAAACTAAAAAGAATCAAAGGAAAGAATGCTAGATAGGAAGGCAAGAAGGAATGGAGAAATGGAGAAAAGGAGAAAGAGGGAGAAAGGGAGAAAGAGGGAAGGACACGAGTAAAGTCAGACAAGGAAGAAAAAAGAAGAAATATTGAAGGTTGGGAGAAGGAAGGAAAAAGGGAATGCAGAAGAAATAAGGAAACAGAACAAAAGGAAAGGTAAGGACTGGATTCTTAGTGTCCTAGAATACATATTCTTCCCTGAGCTTGTGCTGTTTGATTTGAAATTGAGATTCCCGGGAAGATTCAGGGCCAAGAGAAAAGCATTTGTCCTGAGCACATAGAGAAGGGAGGCCACCTTGACTGGATTGCCTCTCAGATGGTTTCCAGGCACTTTCAATCTTTTCAGAAGTTCAGACTTCTAGCTCCAAACACCTCAAGTCACCATTAAACTAGAAAGCTCTTCAGAAGGAAAAATGTAGCAATCCATAAGGGCAGAGACAAGCAGTCCTGGAAAGGCTGAAGGTGCCCTCAGAATTTACCTGCTTGAAACAAAGCTAAGTTCTGGTCAAAATCTAGACCTTTGCTGTGTTTAAGTCCCAAATAATTAATTAAAATCATCATTTGCAGACAAATCTAATAAGATTTCCCTTTTGGATTCCTGCTTTTTATTTTCTAAATTACTTTAGGTTAAAATTAGTTTTATATGAAAAAGAAACAGACAGTGAAAAAAAAAAAAAGGAAATTCGTGTAATTTCCTCTGAAGCAGGGTGGGGTGGGTGAGAGGGTAAAATGTCATCATTTCTCCATATTTATTGCTTTATTCCTTAGGGGAAAAGAACTTTAAACTTCCAGAAATTTAATCTTTCCTGAAATTTAATAATTGCTTTATTTTTAAAAAGTGTAAAAAGCCATACACAACAACCTTTCTAGGGTAAAAATTATTGGCAAGGAATAAAAAAGCAAGGGTTCTAGCCTCATTTATGCCATGAATTATGAGATTATGCAAATAATTTAGGCTTTTTATTTTTATTTATATTTGTCTGTAACAGGAGCATAGTACCAGCTATCCTATCTTACAAGATTGTAGGGGGAATTAAAGAAATGGGGGGTTGGACAGTTTGTATTAAGAACTGTTTGCTGAATTGAAGAATACATTTGGATGCTTTCTGAATAGGTAAAAGCATACTATTTTTAGAATTTTAAAAAATACAGAAAGAGGTTATTTATTTATACTGAGAAGCATTTTCTCTTTTATAAAACAGCCTTTACGATTGTTTTATGCCATTCATGAATAGTTTCGCATCCTTTAAAAGGGCAGTTTATCTTCATGTATTAAAAGGAACATCATTATTAAAAATCTATTCCTTGTTTCTGCTTATACTAAAGTACATTGTCTTAATGTTCTCTTCATATGTCCAGGGATCTTAAAATTTGGCTTCTGATTATTCTGTACCCTAAGTAACACTTTGGAAGCATTAATATTTTCCCAGGATACTTTTTTTCTTTTTCTGTGTACCTGTAAGATGAAGACATCTAGAGGGAACTTCCCAAAGGGTTTTACAGAAACAAGTGTCAACAGCTGTGCAATTTGTCTGTGCCAGCTCATTTGCTCTGAAGAGAAAAGGCAAAGACAAGCTGATCCACAATGATCAGCTGGAGTGAAGACATTGATTATGTCGATGCAGAAATAATTAGATACATAGTTACCATAAACAGCCTTTGATGTGTTTCAATAGCTGTAATTCTATCCTTTGCTATCATCCAGCCCTTGGCAGAGAAGCCAACTCTTAATTTTTCTATGGGTGGAGCTAAGCAAAAAACATTGAGCCCAATGCCTAATACTAGAAAATTACTAATAAATGATAGTTGAACATGAATCTTGCATATTGGTTACTTCTGATTATCATAAGAGAAAATTATATAAGCAGCCTGAATGTTTCCCTTTTTAAAATTCCTGATTCAAACCTCATATTGATACTGCCTGGTATTTCTATGATATTTCCATAGTTTGTTTAATTCCACAATATAAGAAAAAACCTCCATTCTTCAAATTTTTATGCTCCCATTCTCCAATGAGGGGTCATTTGATAACCTCACATATACATCATTGAAATACTCATACCCTGGTCTTCCCGACACTGTTCAATCTTACTTGTTCCATCATCACTTTCCCTTCTCATGATAATAGATGAAGTGGGTCTCTGTCAAAAGTACATCCTTTCACTGAACTCTGGAACCCTTCCCTTTCACATCTTCATGTGGACTTTCTTCATTCTATTAATTCAGTGGTTCTCAACATGAGCAACGTCACCATCACCAAGAAACCTGAATCAGAAATGATGGTGAGAAAAGGGGGGTGCTTCTGAGGTATTCTAAAGTTTGAGAATCATATTTAAGTTAGTTCAATAGCCCTCAATATTAACTACATATTTGAAACTTGCAGAGTAATTTTTTAAAAATACTAATTACAAGGCCCCACTCCAGAGATTTTGATTAGCTGGTATGGGATTGGCCCAAGCATTGATACTTTCTAAATCTTTCCAAAAGAATTCAACGTGATACCAGAGTTGAGACCACTTATGGGTAATAGCCTTTCTCCTATGTTTTTGATCTCATTCCCACCAGTAGATTATTCCCTTCAGTTTAGATGCACACTCTAATCACTTAACTTAAAAAATTTTCCTTTCCAGTTTCCCTAAAGATTCCTCTCCAGAGGCCTAATGTGCAATCACCTCTCCTCCCTCATCCCAATTCATTCTTCAATTTCACTCTAATCTGATTCCTATTCTCAACACTCCATTGAAAATGCTCCTGCAAAAGTTGTCAATGAACTTCATATTGCCAGAGCCAAATGATGATTCTCTGCCCTCATCATCCCTCTTCACTTTCCCACTCTCTCCTTAACAAATCTTCTTTCTTGGATTTCATGTAACTCATGCCCCTGGTTTTCTCTTCCAGAATGACCACTCTTTTCTACCATCTTTTGTAAGATTGTCCTTCTCTGTTAAACTACTAAAGTTTAAAGATCTTGAAGGCTTATGCTTGAGTTCTCTTTTCTTTCTTGTACTTTCTTTCCAAAGAAGTTTTGATACATTCTCTTGGCTTTAAATATTATCTACAAAAACCCTCTCACATCTATCCCAGATTTTTCTCTGAGCTTTAGCTTCAAATATTTAACTGCATTTCCTATTCTCCTTTGCAAACCGCAGGAACATTTCTATCTTCAAATGCATAAATGAGTTCAACTATAACTCTTCTTGTCTTCCCAAACTTCGTAAATACCATCATAATCCATCCAGTTCCTTGAGTTGGATGTCAATCTCCGAATGTGGTGAGGATATTCTTCGCTTCTTTAATTCCCCATGCCCAAAAGACAGCAAGTCCTACAAATGCAAACTGCAAAATATATATGAAATTCATCCAGCTTTGTCTCCCCCATTACCAACTGAGTCTAAACTACTGTAATTTTTTTTACGTAGACTATCACCTTTTAGTTTCACTTCTCACTTCTAATTTGCCTCCTTTTCATTCCATTTTCCACTGAACTTCCAGAAGAATCATTTGCAAATCTACATCAGATCTTGTAACTCACCAATTCAAAAGTCCTCATTAGTTTCTCACTTCATTCACAATAAAGATACATTCTTTATCCTCCATTATTGTGGCCTGGTCTCTATCTGTCCGACTTCTCATGTCCTACCCACTATTCCCCAACCTTGGTCACTTCGGTCCAGTCTCTCTGGTTTTCTTTCAGTTATCCATATGAATATTTCCCATGGCCCATTAGCTGGCTTATTTTTTAATGAATATTCCCCCACATCCTATTTTTTAATCATTTGGATCTCAGCTTAAGATTCATCTCCCAAAAGTGAGGCTTCCCATAACCAAACCACTTAAAGTTGGTCCTCCAGTGTTATGCTATAACACAGTCTCTATTACTATATAATCACAAACTACAATTACGTATCTATTTGTAATTGTTTATGTTTCCTAGCCCAATTGGACTATAAGCACAAGGACACGTCTGTGGTTCATAGTTTTATCCCTAGTATCTGTCAAAGAACATAGTCCAGAGTAAGTGATCAATACTTGTTTTTTAATGTCTGCATTTTATATTCGGGTTAGGATTGTGCACCAATTACTCTTCTGTCTCTAATAACAAATTGAAAAATATAGTGACTTATTCTTGGACAAAATATTTGAAGTTCAAGATCATATTCTCCATAGATCTGATTAGGAAATTATCCATTTTAAAATTCTGTATGACTGTAAGTAATTACAGAAAAACAGATGAATAGAACAATGAACATGTGAAAAAAACACTCATCTACCTCTGAGTAACACGTTTTTAATCATATTAATATGTAAAAGCCACCTTCCAATTTATAAGGACTCTTTGGTTAGAGGCCATGCTTTAAAAATAAGTGTGAGTTATTTTCAGAAATAGCACAAGACCTTAATACCCATAATAACCATATTTAAGGAAAATTAAAAATATATATAATAAAAAGCATTAACAGTGTTAGTAAATGATTATGTAGCAGAGGTATTGCTATAGTTCAGTATTGATGTCTACTTTTTGTTCAGACTATATGAATGTTTCATTTCTTTACTCTTTTACTGTATAATTGCACTAAGCATAAATTTTCCTGGACTAGATTATGTTCCCATACAGAATTTTGGTTAAATTCTACTTCTTCCATGCCTAGTTTTACCACTGTCAAAAGAGCATCTTTTGGTGGTAAAGGTAGAATAATTGAAAAATAAGCCTAGACACAAAAGAGAAAATGAAATTAAAATTGTCCAACATTGGTCATTACCTAAATACATCATCTATGCTGATGTAATTTGGTCCAGTTCAGGCACAACTAAAATAGGCAAGATTTCTTATCAATAGATTATTCCAGAAATTGGTCTTCTTTTGTCTTAGCAAAGGCCCACTAAGGGTGAGGTTCTGTATCTAAATGCAAAGCAGACTTCCTATTTAACACTTTCCTTGATGAAAGAATCAAATAAATATTTGATGTTTTTGGCACATATTTGCTATTGTTTTGGTTCACATGTAATGATTTCCCTCATACAGAGATGCTTCTCGGCAGATGTTTTAGAGTGCAGTTGTAGCTGCCTACATAATTTCTACCTTAGAAGCTGTTTCTAACAACAACAAAAGAAATGGGAGAAACAGAATGTCAGTCTAAAGCATCATTTTAAGTAATAGGTGTGTTAGTGATAGGTTACTATTTATTCATTTTCCATGTGAGACACCCCCCACTCCACTTGTAGAAAATGCTCAATCACTCCATGTCTGATACCTGAAACCTGACTGTGGAGTATCTGCACTGATGGCTGACAACCTGAAAAGTCCTAGACAAAAGACAAAAATTGGGTTGGCCAAATAAAGATCATGTATTTTTATTGGATTTCAAAACTGAAGACAATCTATCTTAAATATGCCTGAAATTTGTGAGTACCATTTTAGTTTCCCCGGATTCCTTCTCATGAATGCTAAAAGCATGGGAGAATTTCCTAGGCTCATTATCGGAAACGTCAAACTGGATATGCAATGTTCAAAATGTTTAACAAACACCTTTTTAAAAAATAATCACAGCATAGACCCTTTTCAAAAGATATAAATGATTTGGTTGTTTGGTGTCTATATTTTGAGAAAAAAATATGTTGACAAATTAAACGCTTGAATGACTGCATCGCATTGCAATATAACCAAGTATGCTCATCATTTGGTGATCATAACAGATAATGTTGACCAGGCTCACAGAGAAAATGATCCAACCATGCAGTGCTACCATCAAGTGTGAATGTGTCCTTCTCAATTATTTATTACTTTTGCTCCTGTCAAAAGATGAGTGGATAAGGATATGGTATTGAGACATTAAGTCTCAAAGTTCACAGATGAGAGGATTTTGCAACACTGTATGAAGAAAATCAAGCAAGGCACAGTGCTTATCAAGGCAAGGAAGTTCAACAACAAAAGCAGTAATGCCTGGTCACCTTGTTGACATTATCTTCAAAACAGAAATCTCTAATAGTGACAGGTGATGGCAATCAGTGTGTTTTCAAGATACTTCTCAGGCATGGCTATCAGGAATCTGTATCATAAGTATTGGCAAGTTGCAGAAGTAAATGTCATAAATTTGAAAAAGGACTTTGAAAATAACTTTTTTTAATATAGGATATGGTTTCAAAATAATATGGATATATAAGCAAAGATAAGTTCTATAATACTGTGCATACAGACTCTTACACATAAAATTTTAAATACAATAATGTTATTTCTAACAAAGTATGCTTTGTCAAAAAATGTGTGGAAATTGACCTATTTTTCTTTATTTCAAGTGTGTTAAGATTATGTATGCTTACCTTAATTTTGGAAGGTCAAAAACTCTTAGTTTTAGAATAACCAGAGCTTACATGAAAGATGTAGAAGACAGAAGTGGAATCAAAGTTAGTCAAAAAATGTGAACAGAAGTGTGGATTAAATAGGAATAAACAGAATGAGTATAAGTGTCATGGATTACTGGTAACCTACATTAGCCAATGCTAAACTTGAGTGCCACAGTACATAAATAATTGTAACATTTTCCCCATCATTAAAATGCAATTAGCTGATAAAAGAAATATAATTGCAACAAACCAAACAAATTGATCAAATGATATATCTGCTTTGTAAATAAGCCTTCAAAGTACAAGGTGTTACTGAAAAATATAATTTAAGAATCCAATAAATAAATTACATGATTACAACATTAATTATATAATTAATATAAAAATATGAAGTAAAAATTGACATTCTGTTGAAGATCTTTTCTATAATTCTAAATGGAGGGGTTCAACAAAAGTTTAGCTTGGAAACTGGAATGGGGAGAGATTTCTGAAGTGAATTAATGGTAATTACCAATTAGTAGATGATTAGGACAAAACAAAAAAGTTCCCTCACCATTTCGCAAAGCAGGTCAGAGCTTTTTTATTATTGGGAAATGACAGCATCCTACTCTATATAACAGGGAGATACTGCACTAAAGAAGATTATTTTGGTTTCATTGATAGCATAAGGTATCCAAAACCAGATTAAATATGTCTTTATTTGTATCATTTTCTCTTTGAAGGATGGTTTTTTCCTTTGGTTTTTAAAATTATAGCAAATAGTATATCTAATGAGAAAATAAAGACCTTGGACATACGGGTATTAAAAGACATACGTATGAAATGCATACTGATGACTCTGATCTTTGTGTATGTTTTAATTTAGGTCCTTAGAGATTCAAATATGTGTGTGTGTGTATGTATGTATATGTGTGTACATATATACATATGTATATAGATAGATAGATAGGTATTCTAAAAGCACCAGAGCAGTTATTTTAAATATATGTTCAGAGAAAGAATATCAAAGTTGTTACACTTTCCTGGTAGACTGCCAACCTACACCTATGTTAATGAAGACACAAAATGTTCAGGGATCGTTTTATAAGATGTTTTTGCCATTACAGTTTGTCATATAATTACTTAGGAAGTTCTGAAATGTGCCTGTCTATGTCTTTAATAATATGGGTCCTGAAAGATAATGGATCCTGGAAAAATCATTGTGTTTTATCTCACAAATTTAGAGTGTTACTGACACAGTAGAGTCTAAAAGCACCAAAGTTCTAATGATCTTGTGTCAGTCACCCAGGAGACTTTAATGCATAAATGACAGTCATCTATGCAGCTGAGACACTTGCTTTAAACTCACATGCTGAGAACACTCATTCTACTTTTGTTTTTAGAGAAAGCAATGTTCATGATCAATAAATAAATAATCTGTTTTCACCCCATATTTTGATGGAAACTCATAAGCTTTGAAGGAAACTAAAATCATATAAATAAAAGCTTTACCAATAAGCGGCCACTCAGTATATAACAGTTATTAACTTTATAAACTCTTATACATATATGGTTGTAATAGCTACAGATTTTATATATAAAAAATTTTATATTTTATATACAAAATATACATTTCCGTATCCATTTTATATATGAAATACTTCGATAAATATCGCTATATTCTGAATGTTTTTTGTCCCCCTAAAATTCATATGTTGAGTTCCTAATCCCCAAGATGATAGTATTAAAAGGTAGGGCCTTTGGGGGGCAATTAGATTATGAGGGTGGTGTCATTTTGTTTGGGATTAGTGGGTTTTATAAATGGGACCCCAGAGAACTAGCTAGGCCCTTGCTCCACGTGAGGACACAGTAAGAAGGCACCATCTATGAACCACGAAACAGACACTCACCAGACACTGACCCTGCTGCTTCCTCAATCATAGACTTCCCAACATGCAGAACTGTGAGGAACACATGTTTGTTGTTCATAAGCCACCCAGTGGCTTATGATACATATGTATGTGTATATATGTCTATACACACATGCACACACATAAATTTCTTTTCCAGATATCTCCAACTAAATTATAAATTTTTAAAGGTCAACAACCATATCTTACACCTCTTAATGTCTCCTATATCCACTACATTTCTCTACAAAATGTAATAAATGTTCAATCTATGATTTTTATTAGATATTTGTTAAATTAAAGCAACTTATTAAAATTTTGCCCCAAATTCATCCTATCTTATTTTGTATTTCATCCATCTGTGGGTCTTAATTTCAAATACTGGGAGCTATATAGTATAGAACTGGGGATGCGAGCTTAAATTCTTATTCTCCATTTAGTAGCTCCATTCTTTTAAGCAAGCTGCTCAGCCTCCATGTCCTAAAAAAGATCCAAATTATCTAATTTGTAAGTTTATAGTGAAACACACATATACTGTAAGCAAGTTTTTAGAACTATGAAATAATGTAAAAATTAAGATGTTGTTATGATAATGGCTGAAGCGAGTTGAGCTAGCCATTCACCAAAACAGTTTCCTCTTCCTCATGAGCACACAGGCAGCCTACACACTTCCAATAGATAGACTGGTGTTTTAGATGATTAAGTGTTGGCAGCCAACTGTTGTCACAGTAAGCTGGGACCAAAGCCTGTCATCTACCCTGTTTTTTACAAGTCAAAATTTGATGGAACATACAAACCTTTCCACGGCAGCCTTTGAGTTAAAATGGCAGAGTAGTTATGACAAAGACTCTATTGCCCCAAAACGCTAAAATATTGATTCTCTGGTCATTTTTTTAAAAAAGGTTGCTTACCTCTACTTCAGCAAAAACAAAAATACAATTGTGTATGAATTCACTGAAATTCCTCAATTTGCTTGTTATAGTATATAAATGATCTTAGCTAACACAGTGATCTTATCACCTCTTAAAGCTATTGCTTCCCTCTCCCCTAGTAGTTCTAAAGGCAGTTACTTATTTTGTGGTTGGGGTTTTCTATTTTTTTTTTTTTTTTTTTGCTTGTTTAATATTTTTAATTAAATAACCAATAGAAATGACTTCGAACTGCAGTGTTAAGAATTTTCTTCTGTTCCAAACTGTCTGAATACGAACAGCTCTGGTCTGCAGCTCCCAGAGTGATTGACGCAGCAGATGGGTGATTTCTGCATTTCCAATTGAGGCACCTGGTTTATCTCACTGGGACAGGTTGGACAGTGGATGCAGCCCACGGAGGGTGAGCTGAAGCAGGGCAGGGCATCGCCTCACCCAGTAAGTGCAAGGGGTCAGGGAATTCCCTTTCCTAGCCAAGGGAAGCCATGACAGACAGTACCTGGAAAATTGGGACACTTCTGCCCTAATACTGCACTTTTCCAATGGTCTTAGCAAATGGCACACCAGGGGATTATATTCCGTGCCTGGCTCTGTGGGTCCCATGCCCAGGGAGACTTGCTCACTGCTAGTGCAGCAGTCCGAGATCAAACTGCAAGGCGGCAGCCTATCTGGGGGAGGGATGTCCACCATTGCTGAGGCTTGAGTAGGTAAACAAAGTGGTTGGGAAGCTCTAACTGGATAGAGCCCACCACAACTCAAGGAGGCCTGCCTGCCTCTGCAGACTCCACCTCTAGGGGCAGGGCATAGCTGAACAAAAGGCAGCAGAAACGTCTGCAGACTTAAACATCCCTGTCTGACAGCTCTGAAGAGAGCAGTGGTTCTCCCAGCATGGTGTTTGAGCTCGGAGAACAAACAGACTGCCTCCACAAGTGGGTCCCTAACCCCCGTGTAGCCTAACTGGGAGACACCTCCCAGTAGGGGCCGACTGACACCTCATACAGCAAGATGCCCCTCTGAGACGAAGCTTCCAGAAGAAGGATCAGGCAGCAATATTTGCTGTTCTACAATATTTGCTGTTCTGCAGCCTCTGCTGGTGATACCCAGGCAAACAGGGTCTGGGGTGGACCTCCAGCAAACTCCAACAGACCTGCAGCTGAGGATGCTGACTGTTAGAAGAAAAACTTAACAAACAGAAAGGAATAGCATCAACATCAACAAAAAGGACATTCACACCAAATCCTCATCTGTAGGTCACCATCATCAAAGACCAAAGGTAGATAAAACCACGAAGATGGGGAGAAACCAGAGCAGAAAATCTGAAAATTCTAAAAACCAAAGCGCCTCTTCTTCTACTCCAAAGGATCGCAGCTCCTCGCCAGCAATGGAACAAAGCTGGACGGAGAATGACTTTGATGAGTTGACAGAAGTAGGCTTCAGAAGGTCGGTAATAACAAACTTCTCCGAGCTAAAGGAGGATGTTCGAACCCATCGCAAGGAAGGTAAAAACCTGAAAAAATAGTAGACCAATGGCTAGCTAGAATAAACAGCATAGAGAAGACCTTAAATGACCTGATGGAGCTGAAAACCATGGCACAAGAACTACGTGAAGCATGCACAAGCTTCAGTAGCTGATTCGATCAACTGGAAGAAAGGGTATCAGTGATGGAAGATCAAATTAATAAATGAAGTGAGAAGAGAAGTTTAGAGAAAAAAGAGTAAAAATAAATGAACAAAGCCTCCAAGAAATATGGGACTATGTGAAAAGACCAAATCTATGTCTGATTGGTGTACCTGAAAGTGATGGGGAGAATGGAACCAAGTTGGAAAACACTCTGTAGGATATTATCCAAGAGAAATTCCCCAACCTAGCAAGGCAGGCCAACATTCAAATTCAAGAAATACAGAGAACACCACAAAGATACTCCTCAAGAAGAGCATCCCTAAGACACATAATTGTCAGATTCACCAGGGTTGAAATGAAGGAAAAAATGTTAAGGGCAGCCAGAGAGAAAGGTCAGGTTATCCACAAAGGGAAGCCCATCAGACTAACAGCTGATCTCTCAGCAGAAACTCTACAAGCCAGAAGAGAGTGGGGGCCAATATTCAACATTCTTAAAGAAAAGAATTTTCAACCCATAATTTCATATCCAGCCAAACTAAGCTTCATACGTGAAGGAGAAATAAAATACTTTACAGACAAGGAAATGCTGAGAGATTTTGTCACCACCAGGCCTGTCTTACAAGAGCTCCTGAAGGAAGCACTAAACATGGAAAGGAACAACCAGTACCAGCCACTGCAAAAACATGCCAAATTGTAACGACCATCGTTGCTAGGAAGAAATTGCATCAACTAACGGGCAAAATAACCAGCTAACATCATAATGACAGGATCAAATTCACACATAACAATATTAACCTTAAATGTAAATGGGCTATATGCTCAATTAAAAGACACAGACTGGCAAATTGGATAGAGTCAAGACTCATCAGTGTACTGTATTCAGGAGACCCACTCATGTGCAGAGACACATACACACTCAAAATAAAGGGATGGAGGAAGATCTACCAAGCAAATGGAAAACAAAAAAAGCAGGGGTTGCAATCCTAGTCTCTGATTAAACAGACTTTAAACCAACAAAGATCAAAAGAGACAAAGAAGGCCATTACATAATGGTAAAGGGATCAATTCAACAAGAAGAGCTAACTATCCTAAATATATATGCACCCAATACAGGAGCACCCAGATTCATAAAAGCAAGTCCCTAGCAACCTACAAAGAGACTTAGACTCCCACAAAATAATAATGGGAGACTTTAACAACCCACTGTCAAAATTAGACAGATCAATGAGACAGAAGGTTAAGGATATCCAGCACTTGAACTCGGCTCTGCACCAAGCAGACCTAATAGACATCTACAGAACTCTCCACCCCAAATCAACAGAATATACATTCTTCTCAGCACCACATCACAGTTATTCCAAAATTGACCACATAGTTGGAAGTAAAGCACTCCTCAGCAATGTAAAAGAACAGAAATCACAACAAACTGTCTCTCAGACCACAGTGCAATCAAATTAGAACTCAGGATTAAGAAACTCATTCAAAACCTCACAACTACATGGAAACTGAACAACCTGCTCCTGAATGACTACCGGGTAAATAATGAAATGAAGGCAGAAATAAAGATGTTCTTTGAAACCAATGAGAACAAAGACACAACATATCAGAATCTCTGCGACACATTTAAAGCAGTGTGTAGAGGGAAATTTATAGCACTAAATGCTCACAAGAGAAAGCAGGAAAGATCTAAAATCGACACCCTAACATCACAATTAAGAATAAACTAGAGAAGCAAGAGCGAACAAATTCAAAAGCTAGCAGAAGACAATAAATAGAATTAAGATCAGAGCAGAACTGAAGGAGATAGAATCATAAAAAACCCTTCAAAAAATCAATGAATCCAGAAGCTGGTTTTTTGAAAAGATTAATGAAATAGACCTCTAACAAGACTAATAAAGAAGAAAAGAGAGAAGAATCAAATAGATGCAATAAAAACTGATAAAGGCGATATCACCACCGATCCCACGGAAATACAAACTATCATCAGAGAATACTATAAACACCTCCATGCAAATAAACTAGAAAATCTAGAAGAAATGGATAAATTCCTCGACACATACACCCTCCCAAGACTAAACCAGGAAGAAGTTGAATCCCTGAATAGACCAATAACAGGCTCTGAAATTGAGGCAATAATTAACAGCCTACCAACCAAAAAAAGTCCAGGACCAGACGGATTCACAGCCGAATTCTACCAGAGGTACAAAGAGGAGCTGGTACCATTTCTTCTGAAAGTATTCCAAACCCTAACTCATTTTATGAGGCCAGAATCATCCTGATACCAAAACATGGCAGAGACACAATAAAAAAAGAAACTTTCAGGCCAATATTCCTGATGAACATCAATGCAAAAATCCTCAATAAAATACTGGCAAACCGAATCCAGTAGCACATCAAAAAGATTATCCACCATGATCAAGTCAGCTTCATCCCTGAGTTGCAAGGATGGTTTAACATATGCAAATCAATAAATGAAATCCATCACATAAACACAACCAATGATAGAAACCACGATTATCTCAATAGATGCAGAAAAGGCCTTCGACAAAATTCAACAACACTTCATGCTAAAAACTCTCAATAAATTAGGTGTTGATGGCACATATCTCAAAATAATAAGAGCTATTTATGACAAATCCATAGCCCATATCATACTGCATGGGCGAAACCTGGAAGCATTCCCTTTGAAAACTGGCACAAGACAGGGATGCTGTCTCTCACCACTCCTATTCAACATAGTGTTGGAAGTTCTGGCCAGGGCAATCAGGCAAGAGAAAGAAATAAAGGGTATTCAATTAGGAAAAGAGGAAGTCAAATTGTCTCTGTTTGCAGATGACATGATTGTATATTTAGAAAACCTCATAGTCTCAGCCCAAATTCTCCTTAAGCTGATAAGCAACTTCAGCAAAGTCTCAGGATACAAAATCAATGTGCAAAAATCACAAGCATTCCTATACACCAATAACAGACAGAGAGCCAAATCATGAGTGAACTCCCATTCACAATTGCTTCAAAGAGAATAAAATACCTAGGAATCCAACTTATAAGGGATGTGAAGGACCTCTTCAAGGAGAACTACAAACCACTGCTCAACGAAATAAAAGAGGACACAAAGAAATGGAAGAACATTCCATGCTCATAGATAGGAAGAATCAATATCATGAAAATGGTCATAATACCCAAGGTAATTTGTGTTTGTTGTGGCACTATTCACAATAGCAAAGACTTGGAACCAACCCAAATGTCCATCAATGATAGACTGGATTAAGAAAATATGGCACATATACACCATGGAATACTATGCAGCCATAAAAATGGATGAGTTCATGTCCTTTGTAGGGACATGGATGAAGCTGGAAACCATCATTCTGAGCAAACTATTGCAAGGACAGAAAACCAAACACTGCATGTTGTCACTCATAGGTGGGAATTGAACAATGAGAACACTTGGACACAGGGTGGGGTACATCACACACCAGGTCCTGTCGTGGGGTGGGGGGAGAGGGGAGGGATAGCATTAGGAGAATTACCTAATGTAAATGACAAGTTAATGGGTGCAGGACGCCAACATGGCACACGCATACATATGTAACAAACCTGCACGCACATGTACCCTAGAACTTAAAGTACAATAAAAAGAAAAAAAGAATTTTCTGATCGGAGCATGTTAATTAGAAAAGTGTGTAATTATGAGATCTTTTTTGAAACAGCATTATTTGATGTCACAAATTACTGAAAAGTATGTCATATTCCAAGCAAAACAGTAAAATTAAGCAATAAACTCTTTTTTTTTCACTGTGGCCACATCTATAAAATAGGCATTTGACAGAATGTTAATTGTCTACCCATATCCATTTCCTCTAAGCCTTTTATTTATATTTTTTTCTGAACACATGAACACTCAGAGAAATAAAAAGATGATATTACTCAGTCTCCCTTAAAAACATATATGTTATGGAACTATGTTCTCCCCAAAGGGAGTATATGAAAATGAGGTATTCAAATTCTAAGAAGTGTCACTTAATGAAAGGATGATGCTTTCTCCTTCCTTTGCCTAGGTCCTGTTTGCTGAAATGTAACATGATGACTGGAACCAGGGAGATTTTTCTTGGACTGTGAGGTGGAAATTAGTTATTAGTAACGATTCTTCAACAGGATAGGAACCTGAATCCCTGGGGATTTTTGAGCTATCACACCATCTCAAGACTACCTACTTTTACTTGAAACAAGAATAAACTTCAACTTTGTTAATTATTTTTATTTTGGGTTTTGTTACTTGAAGTCAAGCTTTTCTTATGGAACAGATAGGTGAGTTAGAAATTAGTGATTTATTAATAATGGGAAAAAGAAGATGTAACAGTGAGAATAATCAAAGTTTAAAAAAAGCAGAGTATAGGAATGATTATCCAAAAGCCTGTATTAAAGGGATAATAGTTTTGAACTATATTAATGACTTTTCTTTCTCATGTTTCCTTTTATCAACATTCTAATTTTCTGCCAGTGTCATTTATTTGACTGGGAAAGGTTTAGGGTTGTTACAGAAATGTACAGAGAAAGAATGTTAGTGATCAGCTGTTGACACTCAAAATCGGATTCAGCAGCTAGTATTGAAGGAGAGCTTTGTCTAAAACAAGAGGATTTTACAAATTTAAGTAATTTAATAAATCAACGCAAAGCATGGAAGGCAGGACAGAAAATACAGATTTTCTCTGAAGCAGGAGAGAATACCCTTCTGCCCATGATATTAGGCTGCAAGGCATGTTAACATGGGCACGATGAGCAAATGCTGAAGGAGAAAGTGAAAATCCAAAATCTGGAAGAATAAAAACAAAATATGTGATAAAACATGAGAGGGCTCTAAATAATCTCCTTCCCATCTTGCTCTTCATAGATAGCTTCAGAAACATTCCAGTGTATGTGCAGGGGCCTGGTAACACTCAGTCTGGTGAGCCACTTGTTTTGTTGTATCCTAGGACACTTTGAGATCTGGCTTCAGTCTGGCACCATTCAACGTGGTGTGAGAGCAAAGATGTGTATGGATGAATCTGAGGCCAGACTCCCAGTTTGCAATCATCTGAAATTGTTGCATGAGACTTAAAAATGCTCTTGTACTCCTGAGTATGGACACCAACCAGAAGAGATCTAGTGGAGTGGCACCGGGAGAACAGAGCAATAACTTGTAGATGTGCCAGAACCTTGGATGGAGCTGTGTGGGACCATACATAAGCTGCAGTGGTAGAAGCTACTGTGCCATTAAAATACAAACAACAACAAACTAACAAAGCAAAAGATTCCCAAGATAAGACCTTAGTAGTAAAAGAAGAAAACCAGACAACACTGCAGTAAGATTCAATAAGAATCCAGAAAACAGTGACCAATGAGAATTGAGATTAATCCTTCTCCAGTGCAGCTAAGTTGTGTTGCTCATATACCTAAATAGCATCAAGAGAAGACCGTAAGGAAGCAGAGATGAAAAAAAACTGAGCAATCTATTTAAAATGACTTTTTTTAAAGAACACTCTTAAAAGATTTAATTGAAGATTGTAAATTGTAACATTTACATCGTATTATTTTTCCCTTACCCAGGAGGTAGGGATCATAAGAAAAATCAAATAAGCAAAAATAACCAAGAAAAAGATACATTTTCTTCACACATCTAAGTGTGGCATGAGTAAATTGGCTAGATCCCTATATTTACAATGTTCAAAGAGAAGGCATGGCAGATATGCTTTTAAAAAACTGTCTGTAAACTGTTTACCATTAGCAAAAATACTCTCCTACTTTCTTCACATTATATTACAGTACATGTCTATACTTGCTTGGAAAAATTATCTGTAAATATAATCCTAATATAGCATTTTGTGAGAGCCATAAATTAATTGACTCTCTAGTCCAAATATACACTTCATTATTCAGTAATAATGTTGGTAGATATTAAGCTTTGTCAGTAGAGGGCACTAAAAGGACGCTGGAGGAAGAAAGGGTTTTATTTCCTGGTACCTGTGAGTTCCCAAAGACAGGCTCCTGCGGTACACGCAATTTCTGCAACACCTGGCTCCAGCAGTGTGCATGGCTTCTGTAAGTGTGCTTTTAACAGTGGCTGGTGACCAGCAGCACACAGTAACTCCCAGGAGAGCTCATGACCTCCGTGGCCTTTTTGCTATTCAGTGAGCCATGGATGCACCTTCCTCAGTGAGGTTTGGATCTCTGCCCTGAGTAAGGGGGGGATTTCCAGTTCATGATTTTTCCTTGAACATTATTCTTTGAGCATGCTATCTCAGCCCAAAGGGTAATAGTTGTTTCCTGTATATGCTGTTCTTATATTTTTAGAGTCTTTATTATGACTAACAAATCCTCCATGACTTCAACCCCATATTTTGTAATTAACAATTTTTTATTTTATTTTATTTGAGATGGAGTCTTGCTCTGTGGTCAGGCTGGAGTGCTGCAGTGGCATGATCTTGGCTCACTGAAACCTCTGCCTCCTGGGTTCAAGCGATTCCCCTGCCTCAGCCTCTCGAGTAGCTGGGACTACAGGCGCGTGCCACCATGCCAGTCTAATTTTTTTGCATTTTAGTAGAGACAGGGTTTCACCATGTTGGCCAGGATGGTCTTGATCTCCTGACCTTGTGATCTACTTTCCTCGGCCTCCCAAAGTGCTGATATTGCAGGCGTGAGCCACAGCACCCAGCTTGTAATTAATAATTATTTATGGTAAACTTTTCCAGTTCAAATTGCTACAAAATTTCTGCTCTGGGAATGGTCCCAGGAGATAGACCTCCAATGATGACATTTGGGGAATATTTTGATTTATTCCTATGCTTCATTGCAGTGCTGAGCTTCTTACTACTGGGAAATGGGATACTAGGAATCCAGGGCATGTGTGACATCACAATTAATTAATCAAACTATTGCCTGTGGTATATTGTGATAAAGTGCCAACTGAAGCCAGTGACTTAAGAGCCCAAGTGACTGCTGCCCTTGACCTTATGGTAATAATGATTATTATAAGGAGCATGGTGTGGGATAGATTTTTCTGAGTGACCCTGAGCTCTTACAGAGAAAAAAAAAATAAGCTCTCAGTTCAATTCACAGCCTAAGGGTCAGAGAGCCACCATGAGAACCATAAAAGAATATTTAGTGTAGTCACAGGACCGATATTGCTAAATTTGCACAATATTTACTTTGTGGGTTGAGTAAATTACAACAACAGTGAAATTCACCATTTCTCATGTGAAATTTAGGGTACCAATTGAAAAAGAATGAGATCTTGATACTTGGAAGGGGGACATACGTTTGAACCAAATGAAATTGACAACACTGAATGTACGAACCACTCTGAGGCCTCTGTACCAGTAGAAGTAGCTTGCTCTCCCATGCCTGAGGAGACTAGCCTTCCTTGGCCTGCAAATCTTGTAATAACCTCACCTGTTGGAGATGCCTTGTTAGGGTCTTATGACCCAAACTAACTAGTGTGAAGTTACAGCATGCTCAGGAGGAACAGGTATACACCATACAAAAAGACTACATGGCAAAAGAATTGCAAGACCATGCTAATATATACCAATAGAAACATGGTGGGGTGGGACATGTGTGGGAGTGGATTCAACAGGTGTTAGGCCAAGAAGCAGAGAATATAACACTAGATAAGGCTGAATTCCTTGATATAGGAAACTAACTAGAGATTTCAGATTTGTTAGCTTGTAAAGCTGCAGGTGGCTCTAACAACTAACTTAACTTGGTTGATTGACTGAAACTTGGACACCAAGATTCCAGACATTTAACTAGATGGAGATACCAGAGCCTACTGGTGAAGATAAACCAGTCCAGCATGATAAACCATAGCACTGAGAAATTCATTAGTGAAGAAACTTGAGCAGCTTTGCAGACCAGATACTGTAGGGGATTCTGCCATTGGGATGGATTCCCTGATTTCAACAGGGATAACAGGCTCTGGGGTAACAGAAATCAAAAGATAGCACATAATCATCAAGAACAAAGTGAGCATATCTAACTGGCAGGGATGACTAGTAATCAGAACACCCTGGTCTGTAGAGATCTTCGGCAGTGTCCACTGAACACTGTGTTCCTAGGAATGAAATACATGAGTAGCCTGCCAGAGTTATTGTTTTATCTACCCAGTAGGAAAAAAAAAGCCCTCTAGGTATGTAGCTGAAACCCTGACATAAATGGAAACAGCTTCTCACCTATTTCCTAAGTCAGTCCACAGACACAGAGCCCCC
This sequence comes from Homo sapiens, assembly GCF_000001405.40. Lineage (NCBI taxonomy): Eukaryota > Metazoa > Chordata > Mammalia > Primates > Hominidae > Homo > Homo sapiens. The sequence goes on from NC_000003.12 coordinate 22,091,688, forward strand.
CGACTGAAGGAGAAACTGGGTCCATTTGTGGAAGGCTGCACCATATGGTAAATCTTTCAAGACTAAGAAGTCTATTTTCTCTTTGCCTGTTATATGCATGTTTTTATTTGTATACCTAAACATTTGTATGTCTCCTTCTTCCTGTTTTTATTTTATATACAAGTGGTAGGTGGTTAACTTTACAACTTGGTCTTTATTTCATAGAGTATTTAGTGGAACTGTGGTGGAATTTGAGGAGTAATTAATATAGCTAGTAATGGATACAATGACTGTTGGGACTGTGTCACCTCATTTTGGAAAAGGATGAAAAATACCTTCACTTTCAGGAAGAACATTTATAACTTATTAGGTGGAAATACAGAGTTGTTTCACTTTTGAATAAAAGTTCAAGATTGAATAGAAGAGTGAATATGGAAACTGAGTAACCAAAGGCATGCACTGTCCTAGTCATCACTTTATTGTCTCTTGGTTGAAAGTTCACAATTTACTGCTTTATTTCTGACAGTGGGGCTGGAACCTGTAAACATTCCTTCTTTGCCAGTCAGGATAATGTTAAGCTTTGTTAGTAGAAGCTACTAAGGGGGAAATTGAAGGATGAATGGGTTTCTCTCCCAGGTTCTTTTATGCTTCTTGACGTTGGCTCCTACAACACAGCTTGTTTCTACAAAGCCTGTCCAGCCACATCCACAGCTTTTGCAGGGCCAGCTCCAGGTATCCAGACAGTGCTGACTCTGAAACCCCATCAGTTGCCTTCATGACAGAGTGCTGCTTGTATGACACCTATCTGTGGATGGCTTCTACTGATATCTTCCTGAGTACTTTGCAGCCTCAGCAAACCCTGCCATGCAGATGTTCATGGCTATGCCCTCTCCAATGAATCTGGATCGGTATGGTGTGTGGAAGCTGGTTCCAGACCCTCTTGCTTCTATTATGTATCAATTCAGCCTTATGGGTAGTGGCCCCTATAATTTGCTATTACTCTATTATTAACAGTTCTGTTTATTCTTTGCTAGCAAATCCCCTCTTACAGTTAATAATTTTTGATATTAAGATTACTGTCTGGTAACCTTAACCTGATGTTTATCTTCTGGATCCTGACTGATATACCTCTTACAGTTTTGATATTTTTAGTTTGAGAAAAAAAGAAAGTACTAACATTAAGGTCTGATTGTTAGTCTTCCAGGAATTATTAATTTTTTAGTTCTCTATTATTTATAACTCATCTATTCTTGAAATTACTAAAGCAAATTAGATATAATATTTTGAATGTTATTTAAATAAAATTAACGCAAATAAACTTATCAAAACTTAGCTGAGCCCAGCATCCAGGAGCAGGAAGGTCATAGCTCCCACACCCTAAAGTGGGACAACGTAGAGTCATAAGACAAAGAGTGTGGATAGTGGGAGAAGTGAAGTGTTGGTGCCAAATGAAACAATTTATTGCATTTAATAAAGAGTTAGAAAAACACCCTGAGGAAAAAAAAAGTTGTTAATTGTGTCTAAATCACTTAGTTTTAAGACTACTGACTTTACTATTTTTATAGAAATAAAACATTTTTTAGAAAAAAGTAAACCCAACATCTAAAACTTTTAGAAGGTATAGGCTTTTAATATATGCGCATTGACCTAGACATTTAACTACATATGGATACAAATAAAATATTATTAAATACATATAAAATATAGTTATAATTTAATAAAAGTGCAATTTAAGTAAAACATTAAATTTATTTTACTTAATTTAAAAAAGTTAAAGGAAATCAAAGTAAACAGAATGGCTGAACAAAATTTATCTTTCACAAAGGATAATATTAAAGGTCTATTTATTTATAAGCAAAAAACAGTTTGAAAACTACTAGAGGTTCGAGGATTATGTGGTTTAAATTACACATTTTATCCTCATTCATTATACGAGTTGACAACCTACTATAAAAAATAAGAAAGATTGTGATCACTCACCTCTGTCTTCCCACTCACCCTTTTTCCTAATTTTTATTTCTGCTACTCATGTTACTACTTTTATTATTTTTATTTTTTCAGGGATTAATAACATTTACAATCATATAATTATTATGGTCTATAATTCCCACAGTTGTTTAGCATTAGTTCCATATTAATAGGGATTCCAAGCAAGTTTTGTACTAAGATTTACTATATGTGCAGAAAAGTACACATACAGTAAACGTTAAGCTCGCTAACACTTTATAAATGAAGACATCAATATATCCACACAGAACATTACTAGCACTCCAAACAGCTCCCCACCCACTTGGTTCCATCCGTATTCCAGGGAAACTAGCACCTTGATTTCTAAAATAATACCAATTTAACGCTTTACAAATTTTAATAAGTGGGTTGACTGGATTTTATTGTCAATATTTTTAATAAAAGGCTATTGCTGTTGAATTCTCTAAGTTATTTCATGTTTAAAAATACGTGTCATTGCTTTAATGTCTTCCGGCATCAAATATTCTAATTTTCCTTTCTACCAATTATATTATTCATCTTTTGGTTGTTCATATTGCATTGTCAAGTAGCATTTTTTTTTCAAAAATTCTCATGGCTATGTGAGTTCCTCAATACATGTATTTATCCTTGAATGCACACTTGGCTAGGTATTTTATTCTTAAGTTGTACCCTTTTTTTTCTTTCAGAAATGTGCAGGCATTTTACCATTGTCTTCTGTCATTTATTGTTGATATATATATATATATATATATATAAAGGCATTTGTGTCATATGAGTCCTCCAAGAAAAAGACACACAGACAGACTTAGAAATGCCAGACATTGATTGAGGGTAACTCCCATGAAATAGAAAAGAAAGGTGGCAATCAGAGTAAGACATAGGCCAGACACACATGAAAGCAGAGGTGGAAGGAAGAAGTGAATATGAAGGGCCTGGAACTAAGGTGTGGTTTTGAGGACATCTCAGCCATCCCAGTGAGAAGCTTTGGTTCAAAGACTGCCCAGAGAGGAGCCCTGGGCTGGGAGAAGATGGCTAGTCATGAGAATACCAGACATGCTCAGTAGGTTACTGAGGTGGCCACACTGGGAAATGTGTGATTTTGTGTCAAATGCTGTCACAGATCTTTAAAAGAGTACAGCTGTAGGTTGTCAGTTAACTTCATTCCTCACAGCTGAGTGGAAAATGTTTTCTTGAAGGCACAGCCTCATGGTTGCCAGATATTATCCTTTTTCCTTTCTATGTTCCTGGAAATTCTTTCTCTATCTCTTTTTTCATGGTCTCACTCTGTTACCCAAGGTGGAGTATAGTGGCTCATGATCATAGCTCACTGTTACCTTAAACTCCTGGGTTCAAGCAATCCTCCCACCTCAGACTCCCCAACAGTTAGGACTACAGACATGCATCACCATGCCCAGTTATTTTTTCATTCTTTCTTTTTTTTTTTTTTTTTGTAGAGATGGGGGGTCTCAGTATGTTGTCCATGCTGGTCTCAAACTCTAAAACTCCTGGCCTCAAGTAGTCTTGGTCTCCCAAAGCACTGTGATTACAGGTGTGAACGATAGCACCTGGTCCCCAAATTCTTTATCCTTGAAATTAAACAATCTCAGTATAAATCGTTTTATATTATTATTTTATTTCTTTATGGACCACTCTATCTTTTTTAAATTCTGCACATCTATTTCTTTATCACAGGATATCTTTTTGGTATTCCATCATGATTTTTTCTCTTTTTTCATATGGTAACTTAGGCACTAACTTTCCTCTGAGAATCTTCTCAAATATTATCTACCTAGTTTTATTCTGGGAAGCATATCCCATTTCTATGGGACAATGCTCTCAAGCTATTGATCTATCTTCTGATTCAATATGATACTCTAGATGATGTGATCTGTGAATGAAATTCCTGTATAAAAATGCTGCATACATGGATACAATCTCCTACTGTAACTAGTTTTTCTATGACTTTTCCTGAGTGCAGTGTATAAAAATCTATTGCAGGAAATTGATTTCTTTATTTTAATTTTGATGCTATTTGTGAATAATTGCTTTTAAAATAAAAGTATTCTTTATTTTCTTTCCTTCTGAGATAATTTCATTATGTGGCATCAGTTAGCATTTCTACTGTTCAATAAAATTTAATTCACTATAAATCAATTTTTTAAAATTAATTATAAAAATATTAAGCATTTTTTAATTCAACATATATATATATACTATGCTTAAAAATTCTTGTATCATGGAGGTGATATTCACCATATTATATCTACTAATGACACAATGAACTTTTTTGAGAGATACATTTTTTAAAATGATTCTGTAAATGACTAAAGTCTTTGGTAATAAAAGCTGGAGATTGGAGGTTACTTTTGAAAATAAAGAATTTGAAGGAGAGAATGTAGAAATGTGAAGCAGAAACTTAGCCATGAGATGAAGACTAAATTGAGAACGGAATGTTCATATAAGGTAAAAAAAATATATATACATGTTTAATAATTGTTTAGAGGGGGAAGGGAGGGCAGGGAGAGAAGGAGACAAGGGTTGAAAAACCGACTGTTGAGTAGCATGCTCACTACCTGGGTGGCAAGATCATTTGTACCCCAAACCTCAGCATTGCACAATATACCCAGGTATCAAACCTGCACATGTAAACCCTGAATCTAAAAGTTGAAACTATTTTTTTAAATAAATAAATACAAATTTTTTTAAAAGAAAAAAACTGTTTATGGCTTATTGTTTAAATAGGGCTTCTTGAATTATAAAATTTCTTACAAAAACAGAAAAAATACTAATTGGCTATAGTCAAAATTTGATTTAAAAATATAGAGACATATAACTCTAATAAGAACTCTCCTCATCAGAGAGTAATGCTGACAAATGCTTTACGAATACTTGAGACTTTCTTGCTCAAAAAGTGTTGAGGAGAAATTTTATTCCTCCTCTATTTTCTGACCCCTTAGGGTTAAAGGCACCTATAGTTTGCCTGCAATAAAATCAAAAAGACACCCCTGTACTGCACAATCTCTTTGTGATGCAGTCAAAATAAAGTGTCATTTCTATCATTCCCCACGCTGTTCTATGTGTCATGGCACATGAAACAGGATGGGTTAACTAGAAAATGACTAGTATTGATATCTGCGGAGTTTTAAAAATATGGCCTCACAATTCTCTGATGCTCCTCTCATTGAGAGAAACTGTGCCTTTCCTCCTTTCAATCTGTGATTTGTGACTGATTGACCAAAAAGACACAGCTGAAATGACCTAATGTCACTCTCCAAGCCCAAATCTTCATACATTAGGAACTTCCACTTCCTATCTCTTAGGATATTCACCCTTGGAACTCAGTTACCATGCTGTAAGCAAGCTCAAGCATCCACAAGGAGAGGATCTCTAGGAGAAAGTGACTGCATTATCTTGTCAGCTATGTGAGTCATGAGAAATGAATTGTCCATCTTCAGCTAAGCAACACCAGTGACTCTGAATGAACAGAGCCATTCTGCATGAGCTGCGCTTGCAGAATCCTTTCTGAATTGTAGATTTATTGGCAAATATGATTATTTTTATTTTATATCAATACATTTTGAGGTGGTTTGTTACAGAGCAATAGATAACTGAACTGGAATTTGATACCTGGAGGTTTGATGCTTCCATAATAAAAACCTAAAATATATGGTGTTGGGTTTGGAACTAGATGGCAGGCTGAAGTTCAAAGGGCTTTGAGGGGAGTATTAGTGGGAGTCTAAGATTCTTAGATGGAGAAAGAGGTTATTGGCTAGGTCATAAATAATGATAAAGAAGTTGTTATTGGAAACTGGAAGAAATTGAGAGAAAAGTTATCACTGACAGTAAGGTATAAGTAGGAAATATTCCTAATGAATGCAAGATCTTGCTAAAGAGTTTTCCAAGAACATTGAAAGAGCAAAATGACTTCTTCTCACTGTCTATGATAAAATGAGAAATGAGAGAACAAGGATCTACCCCAGGGAAGAAAGGCCAGTATGTGATTTTCATAGGTCCATACATGGGAAATCATGCAGAATCATTCCTGAGAGGATGAAGCTGTGTGCTTGGAGAAGCAGCAGCAGCAGGCAGACTTGACAGAAAGTGTCCCCTGTGACAGGGAAATAAAAACTATGGGCACTAGGAACCACATTTCTGTCTAGATACCCCTTAAATGTCAGGACTTTGATAAAGTGGCTTGGAGTCTTTACGGCCTTGACAGGAAGAGTAATAATACCCCTAGCCCATAAGAACCTAGAGACAGTGGCATTGTCATTTACAACTCATGTGAGCTTGAACAAGGATCATACTAATGTTAACCAATGACGATTAAAAACTGTAACATTTTCCCCACAAAGTTTGAAGCTACTAGGAACTCACAGGCTAGGGAAATACCTAGAGTGTGTTGGCAGAAGAGGTGGTGGTAGTGGTGGTATATGTTGGGAAAAGACTGTCCACAAAACATGACTGAAATAGAATTTTCTCCTAGCTTTTCAGGAAGTTGAGTTCAAGATAGATTTAATCTATTACGACCAATAAAATATCACGTGATTTTCAACCTTGCATCATGGACAAAAATATGTATCCATAGCAACTCCCAGAAAACAGAGGAAGTGACCATTCAAGTTGACTTTATTGCTCTGGGAAGAATCAGACCAAGTCAAATACTTTAAGAAAATTCAAGAACTTTAAGTGTATGAGTCATCATTTAATGAACACAATTTTTTTCAAATATTTTATCAATTTAGTGTTTAGGAAAAGGGAGCATTTGGGAGAGGGGAAGATTTTCCTTCAATTCATTGGAAGAAAACACATTAAATTTATGTGGATAATTAGAAATTGATTTAATTATTGGGTGCTTAACTACTCTCTAGCTGTCATTCTAAGAATGGTCATTTTAACAACAGCAAGTAGAGGATTTTAAAGTTTCTATTTTTATTTGAATAGTCCACATTTGAAGTTCCCATCTGGGAAGGAGAGGCTTGCCATGTAGGCATGGGTGCAAATGACATGAACAATTTATTCACAAGAGAAGAAATGTCACATGATAAGTAAGCACATGAAAAATTCTCAACCTCCTTAATGATCAAAGAAATACACCCCAAATAAAGAAAACTATATTTTTAAAGTAGCAAATAAATAAAGATGAAAATAAAAGTATCACATACAGTGATACTGATAGAGTAGAAAAACAGGCGAATATAGAAAATACAATTAGGCAAAAGCTCCCTGGAAAAAAAATGGCATTATTTATCAAAAGTTTTAACACTTGCCTACTATTTAAGCCAGAAATAATTTTTATTCTAATACTCTATACTAAGGACATAATTAGAGTTATGCACAACTTCTTCATGGATATTTATCATAGGGATTTCTGTAATGAGGAAAAATAGGAAGCAAAAAAAATCCAATCTACTTGTTCAAAGTTAGGGTACTACTTAAATAAAATATGGTATTCTTAACAGAACACTAAGCAGCCAATGAAAACATCAATGTGACTATGTCAGTTGACATGGAAAAATGCTCATAATGAAGTTTTAAGTGAAGCATCAAACCACAAGATAGTATGCACAGTATTAAGCTACTGTTATGGCATATACCCACATATATAAATACATCTATATGTACATACACTGTGAAAGTTGAGTAGATAACTTGAGGAAAGGGCTGAAGGTTTGGAATAGTCATGTAGTCCATAAGAAAGGGAGCAGACCAGGTATGGATACTGTAAATAATTTCTTAAAGTATGAGTTGTAATTATTAGAACATTGTAGTGACAGCGGTCAATTGCATTAAGCAATGTTCTCCAGCTTGTCTCAAAGTCTTGCTATAAAGACTGAGAAACAAGGATAACTAGATTTATCCAGAGAGAATGGGATTTGTAGGAAATGTGTGGCTGAGACACAAGTGCTCACATAGGCTAACGAGTTAATTTGAGGGTAAACCTGATTTAGTGGAAATGGAAATAATCCCTTGTGTGCCCACAGAGAATAAATGCTAACTTAGAGATAGGTAGTCATCCTGGACTTGCAGCAGACCCTGAAGCATGGCGGGGATACCAATAGAAGGATGGAGCGTAAGGAGAGCTGAAGCCAGCAAGGGTGGGTACATCCTGATTGGGGTCTTTGTAAAGGTCAGAAGCCAAGCATTCACACTAGCAGGGAGTGGGGGCTACTACTGTAAGAATGAACAGATTGGAGCCTGGTTGTAGAATGTATAGAATATTAGGCCAAAGAACTGAGATCCTGGTAAAACCTTTATCAAAAATGTCAGGATTAAGTGTCAGTTCTTGAGATATTTTAAAAAATAAAATGAACTCAAACAAATTTACAAGAAAAAAACAAACAACCCCATCAAAAAGTGGGCAAAGGATATGAACAGACACTTCTCAAAAGAAGGCATTTATGCAGCCAAAAAACACATGAAAAAATGCTCACCATCACTGGCCATCAGAGAAATGTAAATCAAAACCACAATGAGATATCATCTCACACCAGTTAGAATGGCAATCATTAAAAAGTCAGGAAACAACAGGTGCTGGAGAGGATGTGGAGAAATAGGAACACTTTTACACTGTTGGTGGGACTGTAAACTAGTTCAACCATTGTGGAAGTCAGTGTGGCGATTCCTCAGGGATCTAGAACTAGAAATACCATTTGACCCAGCCATCCCATTACTGGGTATATACCCAAAGGACTATAAATCATGCTGCTATAAAGACACATGCACACGTATGTTTATTGCGGCAGTATTCACAATAGCAAAGACTTGGAACCAACCCAAATGTCCAACAATGATAGACTGGATTAAGAAAATGTGGCACATATACACCATGGATATACTATGCAGCCATAAAAAAGGATGAGTTCATGACCTTTGTAGGGACATGGATGAAATTGGAAATCATCCTTCTCAGTAAACTATCACAAGGACAAAAAACCAAACATCACATATTCTCACTCATAGGTGGGAATTGAACAATGAGAACACATGGACACAGGAAGGGGAACATCACACTCTGGGAATGTTGTGGGGTGGGGGGAGGGGGAAAGGATAGCAATGGGAGATATACCTAATGCTAGATGACGAGTTAGTGGGTGTAGCGCACCAGCATGGCACATGTATACATATGTAACTAACCTGCACATTGTGCACATGTACCCTAAAACTTAAAGTATAATAATATTAAAATAAAAAAAAGAAAATCACATAAAAAATAAAATAAAATAAATAAAAATAAGACTTCCAGGGTTGTGCTAGAGATTTTAGAAATATATAAAATAGTAAATGTGAAGTCAGGCAACATTTTATTGAATATAAATACTTGGACCCACAGTGCAATACATGCGCCTGTTATAAATGGGCTACCCAAACAGTTTCAATAATATGGCTTCTGAGGTACCTGAGCAAGAAGTTAATGAAAACTTAGAGAAAATGAGATTTTGTCGAATTCTAATGTTCATAATAAGGTTCTACTTGGATTAAAATTTTTACAAAAATAAATAAGTTACTGTCTTTTCTAGTAGTATTCAAGACAGATTTAAGAGATAAAAAGCACCAAAATTTCTCACAAAGTCATGAATGAAAATGCTTACCTTGTGGGAAAGTACAAAATAATGATATATAAAGGGCTATAAGTAAATATATTTATGTAGATAGAGAGATAGAAGTAGGTATAGATACACATACATAACCTTCCATGAGCATATAAGGTGCTGGCAAAAAACCAAAGCAAAGGATGCAAGTTCACTGACCAGGTTCCACGTGCCAATCTGTGTGCTGGATGTTCTCAGAGAGATGAAATAACACGTATTTGTCATATTGCTAGTAATCAGCAGATGTAAGGTTTAAACGTTAATCTAAATGATTGCAAAATAGCATATTATTACACCCACACTGAACCATTTCTCTATAAGTTCTATTTATACTGTGCTAAGACTTGGGACAGCAAAATAGGAACTGACACATTTAATTTCGCCAACTATAGCTACTAATAGAACAATAGGGGCATGTACGTTTTGCAACAGTTCAGCTACAAACCTCGGAAAGGATTCTCTGGCAAAAATAAAACCAAGTCAGCAGAGTTCTTGTGCCCATAAATTGAAGACCCAAAAGAAGATGAAATCAAATATCAAGAATGGTATACTTCTTGGAAATCTTAGAATGAATACAAGGTAATATTTTAAATCATCTGGTGACTATATATTTTCTGGTACCAATGAGTAAGCTACAGCCCAGGGAGGCAAAGTGATTTACTCAAGTAACAGAGTAAGTTAGTGGACAAATTGGGCTTCTACAGAGTCCAAGTTTCATAGGATCTAGTATCCTACTCCCTTTCCATTGCGCCACATCAGGTTTTTTTCATGACAGGATGAAAGTTAAAATGTGGTTTCTGTGGTAAAGTGTAGCCCTAATATAAAAGAAAAGCACCAAACATGACAAGTTTCCCTTTGGAACTCAAAATGCCCTTGGATTGACAATGAAGACAGAGATGAATGTGTTCTTTTCCCAGGATGATTTCTTTCATCCCTGTGTGATGGAGGGCTTGGAGTACTTCTAACATTAGTCAATGTTTTTTTGAGCACTTGCTATTTGCCAGACACTGCTAAGTATTTTACACTCATGATTTCACTTCATTCCTCTAGTTATCATATCTACAATTATTTTTATTCCCATTTGAAATGTGAAGAACCAAAAACAGAGAGAAGCAATTAGTCCAAGATTGCTTAGATAGTAAGAGTTAAAATATGAATCCCTGCAGTTTGAGACAAGAGTCCTTGCACCTCATGGCTATGCTAAACCAATTCCCTCCTTCCCGCAGTACTGAGTTTCATTGTACAATATTTTAACTCAAGATTTAATCTAAAACCAGGGAAGGCTATCCCTTGAGTTCTGAGAATCCCCCAGGAAGATTAGCAACTTCTTTGCTGTCACTGGCCAAATGAGGCATAGGCAGAGATGAGAAAAATATACATCGACAATAGGACATATTGATGACTGGGGTAGAGAATAAAGAAAAAGAATAAAGGCCTTAACCTATATTTAAACTTAGAAGGGGTTTTAACTGATCTTCAATATCCCCACTAGCTACAAGATTAAAGAAAACTCATATTCCTTTCTGTGTTTTCCCAAGCAGTTGTACAAACTTCTCTGATCACTGCGAAAGGACTCATTACTAGCATTGGGGCCTTTTTTTATTTTGATACATGTTTGTCTTCCCTAATAAACTGTGAATTTATCAGGGAAAAAAAAAAACCAACAAGTTCTCACGTATGTCCCTCACTCCCCAAAGCTGGCAAATTATTTTTACAATGTGCTTTTTATATATTTTATATATTATATACTGTATATATATAAGTGAATAAATTTCTCATGCTGCTGGCTTTTATGCAACTAAAGTCAAGACTGATTTTCCTATTAAATTTAAATAAAACTTTAAAACCATATAATTCAATTAATCATGTTAATTTAATAAGATGGATATTAGTATTTTCTCAAGATACTGCGGTTGTACAAACCTCTCTGATCACTGCGAAAGGACTCATTACTAGCCCTGGGGCCATTTTTTTTTTTTAAATACATGTCTGTCTTCCCTGATAAACTGTGAGTTTCTTGAGGGCAAGGGCCATATCTAATCACTGTGGGCTCACAAGTGCTTACGATTTTGCCTGAAACACAGTAATTTTTCAGTCAATTTTTGATAACAAAAACACCCCAAGAATAAAATTATAGACCTACAAAGTAAACATCTGCTCCACATGCTACTCAAGTCCTCCATGCTACCCCAGGATGCCCTAGAGATGATACTATTTTACAATTTTCATAAACTTGTGTTCTCAAGCTACCTCTGTTTTTCTCCAAATGGATGTGGGAAATTATCTTCAATCATTAACTTTTAAGTGGCTTGTCTGAATTTTGATGGTCTGGAGAACCAACATAATGTTATGAATCATCTGAGTGACCAACAAAATGACAACTGAGTCCTATTTTGCAACTCAATGACCCACATTTGGGTTAGTGCTTGTGGACACGTTAGTACTGTGTCAAAGTCAGGCAAAAACAATGGTGAAATAAAAATCTTATGGTAGCACAACCTCCTGGTTGTGGCAGGAAAACCCAGTCCTCTAATGGCCCAGTATCAGAATGGCAAACTATGCCTTACCATAGTTGAGGGGGGTGACTTTACACGGAAAGGGAAAATCTCATCTTGAGAAAATACTAATATCCATCCTATTAACATGACTAATTGAATTATATGGCTTTAAATTTTTATTTAAATTTAATAGGAAAATCAGTCTTGAGTTGTATAAAAGCCAGCAGCATGAGAAATTTATTCACTTATATATTACATGTACAATATACAATATATAAAAATCACATTATAAAAATAATTTGCCAGCCTTGGGGAGTGAGGGACGTATGTGAGAACTTGTTATCTTTTCCTTTGAAAGGTGTCCATGTATTATTCAAGTTGGAGACAAATTGGTCCAGCTCTGAGGGAAAATGCATTTATGCCCCTGCAGTTGCCATTACCTCCATGATGGATTCCAGCAGGTGCATCTGTGAAAACCTTCTCTCCTCCTACATATGGCATCCTCTGTAGAGTGCCATCACTCTCTCCTTTCACATTCACTAAAATTCACTGAGTGTGTCTCCTGCTACCAAAGGCTCCTTGAAAAAAAGGATGACGTTTTATTACTCGTTCACTATAATCTACTTTGTTGATTCTTGTCACATTGCTCTGCTTTAGAGGAAGACTAATGACATTCTTCTGCAGGTAGTATTTTGATGTTTAAGCTCCATTTTTTAAATCCAGCTATTTCTTCTATTTCACTAACTGTAAATGTTTCATTCAGTATTTTACAACCACATGATTTTGGCAGACATTTTTTTTTGCCGCGTTGTGTACTTCTTAGTGATTTTTCAATTCTTCATTTTTTAGAATCATGAATTTCTATTACATTCAACATAAAAACGACAACAGGCAACAGTGGCACGAAAATGAGTCAGAAGTTGTGACTCTTTCCCTACCCATAACTAGAAAGAAAAATGGTTCCAATCAAAAGCACTAGCAAATAAAGAATTGTTATGGGAGATAAATTGTACCACCTAGTAAATATGAATCATATTCTGTGCCACGAAGTATACTACCTGAAAGTCCATTGTCTGAAATCAAAAGAGTCTCTGAACTTGAGTGAATTAACTAAAAGCAGATTTTCTCCAGGGAATACAGTGACTGCTGCTGTAACTGAAGAGAATGCTGAAGAACGGTCAATGTTTTACTGAAGCTTGTTGCAACTTGCCACAACGTCTTTACATTGACCCAGTATTATTAGAGAATGAAAGGAGTTTAGAAGATTAAAACTGCTAACATGTTTAAAATTAAACACTGTTTGAATAATTTTAAAATGTAGTATTTTTTATAAGGAGATTTAGGGGCCAAGATAAGTATTCACTTTTACAGTCTAATGTACTTATCTATTTACATACATGTGGCAAGGCTATGGGAAGTAGGCAGAAGGGATATAATCTTCTGTATATCAGAACCATAAAATAGTATCATTAAAATGATACTTTTCTCTACTGAAAATATTAAGTGCCAAATAGTGTACATTTAACACACTTAATTAAACTCAGTAATTACTGCATATTGCCTTTTTTTTTTCAGAGATCAGTTGTATTAGTCAGGACTCACTAGATAAACACATATATATCTATATCTCTCTCTATATGTGTGTGTATACATATATAAATACATATATACATGTACATATACATACATACTTATATACAGAGAGAGAAAGAGAGACTTAATATAAAATATTGGCTCACACAATTACGGAGGCTGAGAAGTCCCACAGTCTGCTGTCTGCAAGCTGGAGACCCAGGAAAGCAGGTGGTGTAGTTTGAAGACCTGAAAGCCAGAGAGCTGATGGTGTAGATCACAGTTCAGGTCTGAGGGACTGAGAACCAGGACCACCAAGGGCAAGAGATGACAGATGTCCTGGCCCAACCAGTAAGGCAGAGAATCAATTCAACCTTCCTCCACCTTTTTGTTCTATTAAGGTCCTCAATGATTGGGTGATGCCTACCAACATTGGGGAGGGCCATCTGCTTTACTCAGTCCAATTCCAAAGGTGCTGTTTTTGAGAAACACTCTCACAGACAAAATAATGTTTAACTGGCTGGGCATCCTGGGACCTAGGCATTTTGACATATAAAATTAATCACCAATTAATATAGTAGTTATTTTTAAATCTGTGAATTTATCTAATTTAATAGTACACATCTGTTACTATTGTATTTTGAGTAATCATAAATAACTTTCATATTACTTTAATCATAAATAAGTTTTAGTAAATACAGTAGTATCCCTAGCATATGCTTAGTCATTATTGATAGGATAAATCACCCCTAGGACTCTGAAACTCTGACTTCAGCAAGAGAAATTCTGATTTGATAGGACTAAAGCAGAGCCCAGGTATTTGTGGCTCCAAAAATCTCCATGGGATGTTCTCACTTGCTACCTGAGTTGAAAATCACTGCCATAAATATTAGGTTGTAAGGAAACTGGTCATCGACATAATCAGGTTTTTCCCAGTAACAAACCTATGCCCTTAACACATAGTATCTATTCTACACAACACTTGGATGAAGTAAGGACAATTACTGCTTACATTTGAAAGATGATGAAACTGAGATACCATCTGCCCTTTGGTCACTGTTCTCCTAGGTCCAGCTGAAAGGACAAAAAAATCTTACATTTTCCAATCTCTGTCTCATACAATACAGAGTACCTGACTGGGCAGCCTTTTAGGACCTTTTTCCTTAAATTTCAGTGAGTTACTGGAAAAGGTTTGCTGTCTTCTTTCCAGATATGACTTTAGCTCCTGGGCATCTGATTTGATGCCCTTATTAGTCAGCTTGAGTCTCTCTCTCACCAGTCCCTGCCCCCTTGGTTTAATACCAGCTCCAGAAAGCCAAGCCGTCAACCTGAGGCCAGTTGGCTGAAGGCCTGACCTCTTACCTACTACTTGTTGGTTGTAACCCTTGGAGTTGAACCTGTCTTCCAGAATCCCTACAAATTGCCTCATGTGACGCAACTGGATCTGTAACTTGATCTTCTACCTAATGCGGAGAAGCCTGACAATCTTGGATCAGTATCAGCATAGGTTAGACTATCAACCACCACGATCCCTTAACTTGTGATTTGGGCACTCATTCTTCATAAGAGTGGTCACCTAACTCTTCCTCTACTCTTGCTAGTTATGGTTAGTTGCTGCTCTCTCTGAAACATCTCTCTGACATGAGCTCCTGGCAGGCATAACTGATTTAGCCAACTTATCTATTTATGCAAAAACTTTGGAATGAGAGTTTTTTTTTTTTTTTTAGACAGAGTTTTGCTCTTGTTGCCCAGGCTGGAGTGCAATGGAGTGATCTTGGTTCACCACAACCTCCACCTCTTGGATTCAAGCGATTCTCCTGCCTCAGCCCCGGAGTAGCTGGGATTACAGGCATGTGCCACCACACCTAGCTAATTTTTTATTCTTAATAGAGACAGGGTTTCTCCATGTTGTTCAGGCTGGTCTCGAACTCCCGACCTCAGGTGATTTGCCTGCCTTGGCCTCCCAAAGTGCTGGGATTACAGGCACGAGCCACCGCACCAAGCCTGGAATATTAGTTTTTAAAAGGCTATTTTCCTCTTGTCAGAAAATTATGTTAAATTTTCTAGATTTTTTTCTGAGAGTCAGGACTGTAAAATCATTGATACATGGGGAAAAAAGCAAAGTTTATACATGGAAATATATTTTAAAAACTACTAATCTTAAAAAACTCTAGATTTTCTGATATAAAATAGGGTAATAACTGAAGACTTTATATGCAAGTAGGAACCTAACCTGAGATGACTTCTTTAGTGACTACAAATTACATAATTTTATTTAAAGTATAGAAACAATATATGCTTACTGCAGGAAAATATACAAAAATATGCATTAAAATATTAAATAATCCTATCAAAAGCTGTTTGCCAATTGTTGATATATTTCCTTCTAGTCTTTTTTCTGTGCATGCGCTGTATGATGTCAACTGTATGTATATATTTCTCTACAGGTAAATTTTACATCCATATGTAGTGTGGTATTAATAGTGCTTGTTTATGTCTATATTTATATATGGAATGGCATGGTTTGAATGTGTCTGCTTCAAAATTCAGGTGTTGTCAATGTGATGGTATTATAATGGGGTGCCCATAATAGGTGATTAGGCCGTGAGGACTCCTCCCTCATGAAAGTGATTAAGGCCCTAATAAAGAGGCTTCAAGCAGCTTTTGGCTATCTCCTGCCCTTCTGCCTTATACCATGTGACGATGCAGAAAGAACGCCCTTACTAGATGTCAGTGTATTGATCTTACACCCCCAAACCTCCAGAACTGTGAGAAATAAATGTCTATTCTTTACAAATTACACAGTGTCAGGCATTCTGTTACAGCAGCATAAAGTGAACTAAGACACAGAATAAACTGAAATATTTGTATGTCTGCATACATACACACATATATAGAGGACACAATGTTTTACTTTGCTTTATTTACAGTAGCAACTTCTTACTCATTTTAATCCACAATTTTGGTCAGAACATCTGTCGAGTGTTCGATTTTCTTGGAAGATGTGTTTATTAACACAGAAACTATACATATAATGAAAGGTTTTTTTTGTTTTTTTTTTGCATGATCTGTCAAAACACAAAACTTCCTTAAGAGGAAAGAAGTAAGGGTATGAAATGCAACTATAGCTTCCTGATGACAGGGATTAAAAGATTTGAATGAGTGCACACATTATTAATCTTGGCCATTTCATGAAATGACTGGCAAATGAGTGCAATGCATGTGGAACTAAGGATTTTACATCTGGATAAATCAGTTCAAATTCAAACTTTGCCACTGACTAAGAGAGGGGCCTTAGAAAAGTTACTTAACCTCTCTAAGGCCAATTCTCTCATCTGTGAAGTGAACGTAGTTTATAATTACTTCACCAAGTTATAAAGTCTAAATAAGATGAATATAAAAAACATGTAGCAGGCTAGGTGCAGTGGCTCATGCCTGCAATCCCAGCACTCTGGGAGGCTGAGATGGGTGGATCACTTGAGGTCATGAGTTCGAGACCAGCCTGGCCAACATGGTGAAACCCTGTCTCTACTAAAAATACAAAATTAGCTGTGTGCGGTGGTAGGTGCTTGTAGTCCCTGCTACTTGGAAGGCTGAGGCAGGAGAATCGCTTGAACCTGAGAAGCGGAGGTTGCAATGAGCCAAGATTACACCACTGCACTCCAGCCTGGGTGACAGAGCAAGATTCTGTCTCAAAAAACAAAACAAAACCATGTAGCAATAATGCTTGTACAGACGAACGACGCAATACATAGTAATTATTTGTCTCCATCTATAATAACCCCTCTTCACTGAGGTGTGCCTATTAGGGAAGGAAACCATATTTGACTTCTGCTCCTTCAAGCTGCAGATAACTAAAATCAACTCTTGCTGATGGCAGGCCATTTTTGGAAGGTGAATGACTCAGTCAGAGGTCCAGTCCTACACATTTCATTCATTCACTTATCAACTCAATAATAATTTATTAATCTTCAGTATGTTTGCTAGGCATTACAAAAATATGAACATATAAGGATACATACAAGATGTCACCTTGTACATGGACATTTAATGTAAGTCCCTAATGTATCACAGCTTATAGCTACCACTACAGAAGCATGTATACAGTAAAGCTTGAGCTATCTGAGGACAACATTACATCTTCTTGCTGGGTAGTGGACAGAAAGCATCTTAGAGCTACTGATGTTTGGAAATGAATAAGTATTTGCCAGATAGATGGGGCTGAGGCAAATAGGGTTTTTCTCAGATGAAGAAGTGAAGGTGAAGAGGATTTGAAACAAATGTCTCCTATTATTATTGTGTGGGAGTCTAAGTCTCTTTCTAGGTCTCTAAGGACTTGCTTTATGAATCTGGGTGCTCCTGTATTGGGGGCATATATATTTAGGATAGTTCAACTCTGGGCAAGGACTTCATGCCTAAAACACCAAAAGCAATGGCAAAGAAAGCCAAAATTGACAAATGGGATCTAATTAAACTAAAGAGCTTCTGCACAGCAAAAGAAACTGCCATCAGAGTGAACAGGCAGCGTACAGAATGGGAGAAAAATTTTTGCAATCTACTCATCTGACAAAGGGCTACTCATCTGACAAATATCCAGAATCTACAATGAACTCAAACAAATTTACAAGAAAAAAACAAACCCATCAACAAGTGGGCGAAGGATATGAACAGACACCTCTCAAAAGAAGACATTTATGCAGCCAAAAGACACATGAAAAAATGCTCATCATCACTGACCATCAGAGAAATGCAAATCAAAACCACAATGAGATATCATCTCACACCAGTTAGAATGGCAATCATTAAAAAGTCAGGAAACAACAGGTGCTGGAGAGGATGTGGAGAAATAGGAACACTTTCATACTGTTGGTGGGACTGTAAACTAGTTCAACCATTGTGGAAGTCAGTGTGGCGATTCCTCAGGGATCTAGAACTAGAAATACCATTTGACCCAGCCATCCCATTACTGGGTATATACCCAAAGGATTATAAATCATGCTGCTGTAAAGACACATGCACACATATGTTTATTGCGGCACTATTCACAATAGCAAAGACTTGGAACCAACCCAAATGTCCAACAATGATAGACTGGATTAAGAAAATGTGGCACATATACACCATGGAATACTATGCAGCCATAAAAAATGATGAGTTCATGTCCTTTGTAGGGACACGGACGAAGCTGGAAACCATCATTCTCAGCAAACTATCACAAGGACAAAAAACCAAACACCGCATGTTCTCACTCATAGATGGGAATTGAACAATGAGAACACATGGACACAGGAAGGGGAACATCACACTCCAGGGCCTGTTGTGGGGTGGGGGGAGTGGGGAGGGACAGCATTTGGAGATACACCTAATGTTAAATGACAAGTTAATGGGTGCAGCACACCAACATGGCACATGTATACATATGTAACTAACCTGCCCGTTGTGAACATGTACCCTAAAACTTAAAGTATAATAAAAAAAAAAAGAAAAAAATGTCAAGGAAACTATAAGTACAGTGTGATGTGTGAGGTGCTACTGAGGGGAATATGGTAGGATATAAGGCTGTCAAGAGAGGTATAATTTAGCTGAGAGTCTTGAATATAAAGACAAGAAATGTAAAATGGATTTTACAGATGATTTTGAAAAGTGATGTCTGAAGACTTTTGTGCTGTGGTATTTAGTTTTATCAAACTGAGAAAGGTCACTCTAGTGTCATTGTTAAAGGCAAATTAAAATGCTATTAATTCAGACGTTGTAACTGAGACTATCACAAAGATTCAGCCTAAAATGGATGAAAATCTACAGTAAAGCAGTAACATATTGAGGCTCCATGTTGGATTTTTTTTTTTTTTTTTTTTTTTTGTTTTTTTTGTACTCTCAGGAGACTGTTTTGTGCTTTCCAAATTTGGAAAGCATCTATAAACTGCTATATTTACTTACGAGTATTCAAGAAAAGATTAGAAACTTCTAGAAGGCAGAAATCTGCCCTGTGAACTTGGTAAATGTAAGTTTACTAAATATGTATGAGAGCTTCAATTTAGTAAGTTCAAGCAGATGCTAGCAGAGCAGTAATCAGGATGAGGACACATGGATTGGACAAAGCAGAAAGTGAGCCCTACCACAGGGATTGGCAAACTACTGGGGTACGCACATGGTGACGCGATCATCAAATGTCATTCTGTTCACACTCAGAAAAAGCCACATGGAAGTGATAGAAAACTGTTGGATGAGGCGCTGTTCAGTGCTTTTCCTAATTTACCATCTTGGCATTTTGTTCAACCATTGCTGATTCCCTATATATTTCCTTTCACTGACTTAGTGAATTGAACACATGGTTTTGTTGTTAGACTTACGCTGTCTTCGTAGATGGCAGGCTTAAATCATAAAAAAGTAGAAGACATCGGATCAAACTTTTATTTATTTTCTCTTTTATCCCTTCTGACTATTTTCCAAATGCTTTTGCTTAGGACTCTTGTGAAACCCTGAACAGTGAAACATAGAGCTAACTCACTGTTCTATTGGTTTTATAAAGCACAGAGAGCTGGGTTTACAGGACAGAGAACAAACTACTGAGAAGTGAAAAGCACAGAAGAAAATACATTCAGTTCCAGTGCTGGCTTGTCTACTTCCATCAAATGCAGCCAAGTCGTTAAAAAATAGAAAAGTCGGCTGTGCTAATATGCATAAATTAATCAGACATTTTACCCTGCTCTACTCTAATCTTAAAGGACCACAACAAAATTTACTTTACTTGAGCACTGATAAAGAGCAGTCAAGCTGCTGCAGCAAAAGCAAATAAATTAACATGTAAATGCAAGCAAAGTGTCAGTTTTTTAAAACTTAGGAACTGTTAAGACTATTGTTTAGCAGAGTATTATTTATTGTTCCTATACCTGATTAGCTTTAGCTGCGTATTTAAACCTCTCCTTTTTGCATGGATTATAATGAGAATAATTTCTGAATCTCATAGTCTGAAAAATTAAAATAATGAATAACCACAAGAAATCTCTGCATTGCCTAACAATTTTAGACCAGTCATAGTCCTCCAACCATCAGAAATCAGAGGAAATAATGCACAAAAATATTATACAGCATATACTTTTTAGAGGACGTAAAAAGAATGACAGCGGTGGGTGACAGCATTACCAAATCGTACCAGTAATTCTTAATTTCTTGTTGATAAGCAAAATTATATTTATCAATTTATCAATGTATGTAAATCTATTAATATTGCAGTTTTGTAATTATCCACATCAGCTATGTAAGTGTTATGACTTAGTATAAATATTTTGATACTTAGCTTTATTCTAATTCTTTATAGATAAATAAGGGTTTGATATATGCAGATGCAATCTGGAACAATGAACAAGGGTGATATAGGGAGAAAGCTACACATAGAAGATGAAGAGTCATGAGTTCCATTCTCAGGAAAGGCTAAAATCTTTGAATGGAATGTCAAGAAATACAAACTTCATTGTTTGTTAAGCCTGTTTTACTCAGGGAATGAACTGTCACCCTTCCTATGGGGGGGAAAAAAAACAGAAGCAATTTTCTACCCAGTTCAGGTCCACTTCAGTAAATCCAGAGATGAACAAATGACAGTTATATGTTATACATTGGTAGAAAATGTGAACATGCCTCACAAGTATAGAACTTTAGTCTCTTCTTCAACTAACTAGCTGTGTGGCCTTGGTCAACCCCAACAATCTCTCGGTCGCATTTGTGGAAATGAAGTAGATTGGACCCAAAGTGACAAATCATTTACACATCAAGTGCCAACAATGAGCTGTAAGAAGCTGCTTGGTGCTATGTGTTGAAATAGAATGTGTACTTGTGTCACGGCTCAACAAGTAAGAATGGGGGTGGGCTATGGGCCTTTGCAGTTCAAGTGCTGCTATTTGCTACTCCTGAATTGGTTTATTTCTGAGTAATTTCTCATTCTAAATCTTTCTGACTCTATGATTTAACATGAAGATAATAGGTAATGCTGAAACACCAAGGAAAGCAGGCTTTAGGAAAGGTTCCAGTACCTAAAAATATCACTTTCAACTATACTACCTTATATAGTGTTTAAATTTCTCTAATCGTTCATTTTTTCTTATTTAAGGCAATGAATTATCAGAACTATACCTTGGTTCAAATGAATTGATGAACTTAGCTAACCTAAGATGATAGAAGGCCTGGGGAGAAATTAGATCTATAATAAACATATTTGTGTAAGTAAAAAGAAGAAAAGTTTCATAAAGAACTTTTGGGACATTACTGTCAATAAAGGTAGTGCTGACTGAGACAATGAGCAGCACAGCAACCGGGAAACCACAGGACTGGTCTTGTTGCCAAATACTAGGAGTGTCTTAGAAGCCAGGGATGAGGTATTGACCAAATACAAAAAAGATACACAGATACAAATATAAAAGAAAGCTCACTTTGGGAGGCCAAGGCGGGTGAATCACGAGTCAGGAGATAAAGTCTCTTCTGCTAAAGGAAGTTGAGACAATTTGGTGCTTTTTCAAGATTGAATACATCAATAGAGATCATTCCTATTACCCAGAATTACAGCTCATTTTTCTACCTTGCTAAATCTAGATAGAAAGGTCTAAATAAAAATAATAGGGTACATTCATTGGAACTAGAATCACCAACCACATCAGTTTACCTTTAACATAATTAAATTGAGAAAAGTAATATATTTGATTCTATAAATGTTTTAAATATTAACAGTATTAAAAATCATTAACATTTAACAACGTTTAAGTGAGAAAACATAAATCATATGCACTACGACCATTTAAAATGAAAATTTACAGTAACTGGATGAAAACACAAAACTTCATCTAAATGTCAAATATCTGTTAAAGACTAAGTGAAAATTATTATTGTTTGTATGCTTACTTCTCGCTGTTAAACATTATGGATAAGGATTTACATAACATTAAATATTTATATTGGTGAAATATAAATGATTCTTAATTCACATAACATTTGCATATATAAAATGTGATACGTAGAAAACTGATAAACAGTCTGTATTTGGTAACCTAAATAAAGGCATGATTTACTCCCATCTACCTATCCATTTGTTCATCATTTAACCAATATGTATCTTGGTACATATCATGTTTTACATTGTGTTTTCCCAGAAATAATAAAAAGATAATGACTAGAGTAGTGCAAGTAGTTTATTTGGGAAGTGATCTCAGGAAGCATTAGGTATTAGGGAAGAGAGACAGGAAATGAAAAGAAGCCAGTGGAAGGTACATTAATGAGCAGATCACTGTTGTGAGCAAATGGGGCTCAATCCCACTGGTGGCCATTAGAAGACAATTTGTGTGGATTATATCTCAGAGTTCTCCCAGGTCAGGGGTGAAGATGCTGGGGTATTTTTCTACTAACTTTGAATAGTTATTAGTAAATTGCTAAAGTGTGAATGTTTGTGTTCCTCCAAAATTCATGTTGAAACTTAATCTCCAATTCAGTAATATTAAGAGGTTGGGCCTTTAGGAGGTGACTAGATCATGAGGACTTTTGTGAATGGGATTAAGACATTCATAAAAGAGCCTTTACAGGGCATCTGGCAGCCCTTTGCCCTTCAGCCTTCCACCATGTGAAAGCACAGCAAGAAGGGCCTCAACAGACACTAAATGCTAGCTTCTTGATCTTTGACTTGGCAGCCTCCAGAACTGCAAGAAATCAATCTCTTCTCTTTTCTGTATAAATTAGCCAGTTTCAAGTATTTCAATACAGTGACACGAACAAACTAAGACAGGGTGTCAACTCACTGGCACTTCTAAACTTGCCCACTGTGTATTCTCCCATGGCCAGAGAAGTCTTTCAAGCAGACCATTACAGGGCCTGACAGACAAGAAGTCATTGGTAGAAACTGATCACCGAGCAGATTTGGTCAGGCCATGAGCAAAATTTACAAGAACCAGGGAGAATGTTAGACATTACATAGAGAAAATTGAAACAGAGACTTTGCCTTTGTGAAGTTTCCAGTAAAATGGGTAAACTTTGGAAATCAATGATTATAATACAATAGGGAATGACCAAAATGAAGTTTGTGCACAAGTAGAAAGAGAACATAGGTGTCCTTTGGATTTTATTTAAAAATTACTTCAATATTTGAGCCCAAATTATTTTATGTCATACAGTTGCTGCCTCTCACCTTTAATTTTATAGAGAATGAAAGAAAATGGTCATTTTCAAGATTTTCAAGTGATGAGACAAAATGCTGTATGGCAGCTATAATTAATAATGGCAAAGATAATTGATTATATGTTGTCAGTTACATCAGAGAAAGTTAAAGACATTTTACTGGAGTTGAATCTCATAAGATTCCAGTAAACCATATTGAGAAGTTTAGTAGCTTGGTTAGCTTTTCTGCAAAGTGTAAAATGTAATGTAGTAGTAGATTTCCTAATGCAAAGAAAAATATGTACAGCTTTAGTCATATGACCTCTGAAGCACT
The DNA here is from genome assembly GCF_000001405.40 of Homo sapiens. NCBI lineage: Eukaryota > Metazoa > Chordata > Mammalia > Primates > Hominidae > Homo > Homo sapiens. The sequence goes on from NC_000003.12 coordinate 22,115,783, forward strand.
TTGGTGATTTAATCATCATCAGGAAAAACCGCTAGCAGGAAGGTTTAACCTACTAAGAAAACAGGTTTTTGTTTCCTTAAAATAAAACTATCTTTGCAATTTTTGATCTTGTCAATACTTTAAAGCGAGCTGATGCCTATACCAAAAGCTGTCCGAGGTTGCAGCCACGACCACTTCCAAACTGAAGCTGGAAGCTAAATAATGACCTACTGGGGATAAACTTTTACATCTCAGAAGCAGAATTAACTCCTGTATTTTCCTGTGTTCATATAAAAAGTTCAAGCTTTGGAAACTATCAATATTTACACATAAGTATGATTTTAACCATGCTACGGTAGGATAATAATCTTTATAAATCAGTGAATTTTTATAATAATATGTATTTAAAATTAGAGAGCTTTTAGAAAAAAGCTCTCAAGTTATAAATTTTTCTTTGTATTCTCTCCTGAATCTATTTTATATAGATTTCCCGGATGTCTACATTTGACACTTAACACCAAATAACACTTTTTATTGAAGTCACATTTACTGAAACCCATGGAGTAACACATTCAGCAGTCAACATACTCCTTTTTTCCATTAAATTAAGAAGATTGCTCCAATTCAAGAACTACTCAGATTATTTTGTTCATTACCTGCATGAATGAATGCATTCTGTAACATTCTCTAAAGGAAAGAAGGAATTTAAGGCATCCTGCAAAAATGTACACAATAAAATGTAGTAAAAGTGGGTGAAGAAAACAGAAAAAAGAGAAAATGTATAGAAAGGAGAAGATATAAAGAAATGTGAGAGACGAAATTACACAAAATTTCTTAGAACTGAGGCAACATTTGAATGTAAGCTTTCTAACAACTAATGCAAAGACAGAACCATCACACATAGTTGATTTGAAGAGATTATCAGATAAAACCAAAATTTGTCAGTCTAACCTTAAATGTAATGCAAAATTTAGAGACACATTTATTCCACAAAGCCTAGCATATATAGTGACAATATCCTCAAAATTACAGTTTTTATAAATATGATGAAAGGTTTATAAGGCTATTTCTGATAAGCTCTTTATAGAAATTGTCTGTAACACTAAAACTTATAATGAAAACACTGAGTTGTCACCATGTGCTAGTCACTTTACTAAGTGTTTAGGTCATTTGGCCATCATAACCACCCTATACAATGGTTAAAATTTGTTACCCTCTTTCAACAAATTAGGAAAATAGCTTAGGAAAGTTAAATAAATTGTCCAGGATGGTATATCTGTTAGAGGCATGGAAAGAATTCAAACTGACCCCAAATTCAGGCTTTGAGATGCCAGGCTTTAGGAGTTCCCACTGGTGAGGCTTTATGTCATGGTATCTAAAACATACTTATGTTAACAAACAGAAAAATCCAGCAATATGGAGCTTATGTAAATATTTTAAATTATTACAAGTAGAAGTGTGCTTTGGCTCTCATAGGATTTGGGCTCCCTAGGGGATTAAATAGGAACTCAGAGCAATATACTTTGAGCAATATAACTTCTTAATGTTCCTTCCAAGATAAGCAGGTTGCAAAATGGGTTCTCTGAAACTGAATGAGTAAACCTGTTTCGTATGAGTGTTAGTTGTGAGCTAACTAAATTATGGGGAATGGTTACACGACTTATGATTTTGAAATTAAGAACAGGCTTATCTCTCTGGCTTGAGGAGGAAAAGACAGGGAATAGGCATCTTGTTCAACCAAAATTGGCATGAAATGATTAAATAACAGGTTAAATAGGAAAGGTATCTGAATTCACACTGATTTATTCCACTATTTTTTTTTTACAAAAAAAATGATATTCTTTTAACTTTAAATTAGACTTAAATTGAATATTTTAGATATTTACTTTTAAATAAACTTAATGGTTACAAATTTCTAACTTGATCAACATTACTGGTAATATTACCATTGATTATTAATAATGATTAAAAAGTATTTACATGAAAGGATGTCCATTATTCCCAATAAAAGAAGAAATTAAGAAAAATATTCACTTTTCTATATTACAGCATTTAGATGACAAAGGTAGAAATCTTTTTATCTAATATAATCGTAACAATCATTTAAAGGATTTGTGGATTTTAAAAACGTAATTTCATGTGGCACAATTTCTTAACATCTGAACATGGTACTCTACTGCCCTCTCATGGATATTACAGAAGTAACAAGAAGAATAAAGTCAACTTAAAAAGGGTCAACAAAATGAACTTTGTTTAAATAAAACCTGTGATTTGTAACAGACGCACAATTAAATAAGTATTTTTATGCAGAATATCGCTTTTATGAAATGTCATAAAATGTTTAGACACAGGTACTTTAAATAATTATGAAGTAAAATAAATGAAGCGTACTTTACTTATAGAATTGTGAACTATGGAATTGCTAATGTCTCTCTTATTCCAAAATCCCATTGTTCTAAAGTATGCCATTATTTCCCTGAGTTTAGTAGTCTCAGGTGACTGCCATAGAGAAAATAACTTTAGTTTGGTAATCCCTCCAAACCATAAATTGTTTTGCCATGATTGATAAATTTCTTCATGGAACAAAAAGTAAGAAATCTTAGAAAACTGTAAATATAAATATAAGTAGAAATCCAAGCATGATGCTTAACATCTGAGATTGCATTTGTGAGGTGAGGGAGGGAGTGAAAACATGGTTGCTGCATATAGTTTTACAGGTTGTAGACTGTACATCTCCAAAGGGTGTTGCCTAGATAAGACATTTTAAAATGATTGCCCACATGTAAATTACACCATTAGGTATACTTCTAGTATTTTGAATTAAGCAATTCAACTTTTTTTTCCCAATGATATCGGTAAGAGGTTAGGGAAATTCATTCATGTTGGTGTGGAAGAACAGCCTCTCGATGGTTAAGACAAACAAAGAGCAGATAGCTGTTTTGTCTCTGAAGCCTGATATCCTTGATCTGACCTAGCACCTCTTCTGTTAACAGTCATAGTTCTGGGTTTAGAATTTCACAGGCCTTAGGAACATGATGTAAGCACTATTTTAACACTGTTTCTTAATTCATTTCATACATACAAATTTGAGCATTTCACATGTACTTTCCATTACTGCTTTGTAGATAAAAGTTTTTAGAAACATTTGCAAGTCTTATAACATTATCGACCAGACTGAAAAATTTTTAGTTTTTAACATGGAATATGATCAGAGACATAAGAAACTATCACCTGCTATTGTACTGTTTTTTCAGGGATTACCTAATTCTAAAAAATTGAATATTAATTATCTTAAATATAAAGGAATCAAGTCCAGATTAACTGTTCTACAGGGGCTACAAAGCCCAGGGATAGGACGTCCTGTGGTGCTGCCAAGAATACCACCCGCCTGATGAACTTTGCCATTGGCACTGGCTTCAGAAGGAATCTGCTTGGAACTTAATATAGAAAAAATACCTTGTCAGCTACTTAACATGGATTAAGAATATAAATCAACATCTTCATTACTATAAAATTAGTCAAAAGAAATGTTAAATAAAAATACAAGGCATTGACTTATGTCCGAGGCCAAATCTGTAAAATCATATCTTCTTGTCATATAAACTGAAATGCAGTCTAGACTAATTTACTACTATTTTAATCTTAAAATGTTATATTTAGACATAATTTGTTGGGGGGAATATGCTTTTGTTTGTGAATGCTTAAATGATTTATTAATAATTCTTATCACCTTTTATTGCTCTATCCTCTACTTTTTCAACTGGTTTTGATTCCATAATGGCCTTCTCCTCTAGCTTCTTAGAGTTGCTCTGTTTTGAGTCACTGTCTCTCCCAAAATAGGTTTTGATCATTTGCTCTGCTTTTATAGCTAGCTTATGGTTACTTCAGCCACTGTGCAGGACAGGTTGCTGGAGCCTCTTAGGCAGTGGTAGATTGGAAGATATGCTGTTTTACTATCTCTCCAGTAGATTTTGTGTCACAGGATTCCCTGGGATTTCTCTGCTGAACTGTTTTAGGAGATATCTGATGAGCTTTTACTAGTGAGTATTTATTCAGCATCTACTGCATATTAGGTATTGCGGCTTTTTAATTTTTTCATTTTTTGAGACAGGATCTCACATTGTAACCCAGGCTGGAGTGCAGTGGTATGACTTTGGTGATCCTCCTGCCTCAGCCTCCCAAGTAGCTGGGACCACAGGCATGCTCCAACATACTCAATTTTTTTTCTTTTTTCTTTTTTTTTTTTTTGGTAGAAACAGGATCTCACTATCTTGACCAGATTAGTCTTGAAGTCCTAGTCTCAAAGCACTCAATTCATTCAACCTCCCAAAGTACTAGGATTACAGGTGTGATTCACCATGTCCTGCTGCATTTTTTTTTAATGTGGGGGACTTAATGAAGGTAGAGTGCCTTAGTTTACTAGGGCTGCCACAACAAAATACCACAGACTAGTGGCTTAAATAACAGACATTTATCCCTCACAGTTGTGGAGGATAGAAGTCTAAACTTCAGGTGTTGGAAGTTTGGTTTCTCCTTTGGCCTCTTTCCTCAGCTTGCAGATGACACCTTCCCACTGGGTCCTCACAGGACATTTTCTTTGTGTGCTGCATCCCTTCCTCTTCTTATGAGGACACCAGTCATGTTGGATTAAGGACTATACCCTTATGACCTCGTATAAGCTTAATTACTTTTTTAAGAGTTCTATCCTCAAATAGTGTCACACTGGGGATTAGGGCTTCAACATATCTACTTGGAAGAGACACAATTCAACTCTTAATACACAGCACAACACTTAAATATTTCAGCTTTGAGTTCAGACCACCATAGTCTGAATTCCATCTCTACTCTTTACTAGCTGCACGATACCACACAAATCATTTAAAAGAAAACTAAGCTGTCTGAACGTATTCACCTAAATTTAGTGAGTAATAATACAATCTAGCTTATAGTGCTATCACTTATTTCAATTAATACTAAAACAAAAACCTCTATGAGGCAGTTCTTGAGAACAAGCTTTAAATATGTTTTCCTAATTACCGTTTATAACCATAAGACATTTCATAGGAACCGAAACAAGCCCTTGAAAAGTATTTTTAAATGAGTACAATATTAAAAACAATGACTTTTAATGGCAGAAGAGAACTTTGAGACCATCTTCTTTACACCCATAAACCAAAATGAATCACCAAGTTGTATTTTTCTTCTGACTAGACCATATTCAACATCTGAAAGACTACTGAAAATAACACATAGAAATGCAAAGTTGCTTTATATCTAAATTATTTTTATTTAAAGACAGCCTGATAAAGCTGCCTGGTTGTTGCCTACTGTGAATTATGTTTCTCTAAAACAATGTGTTTTCATTTTATCAACTTCATCAGTAAAGCCAAAATCTGAAGAAGCATAATTTCAACCTTCCTCTTTCACTTACTTCTAAACACTCACTGTCTTAGCGATCTGTAAATAATTGACCAGCCAAGCACTGAAGCACAAAGACAAATAGATCAATAGTCCTCCTGCAAGCGCTTACAGCAGGGAGAGAAACCGTTTCCCTTCATTTCCTATCACACAGGACCTCATGCATGAATCAATCTGCAGTCTGCAGCCCCCAGATTTAACTCAGCATGCATAATCAGCAACAACTGCTGAAGTCTTTGATTAAACTTTTAAATTGCCTCTTAATATGATGTAAATGGAAAAAGGTATTGATTAAAGAACCTTAAAATGGTAACCTGTTAAAATGAGAAAGGACAAACGCTTTGAGTTGGTGAGCCTGTACAGAAGGATGACTAGCGTGCACAATGCACAAAGGATCTCCAAAGCACAAATGCAAAACAAACAGTAATCATACCTACTGGTCCTCATGTTCCTGGGCTTGCAAAACTTAGGGGAAGTTGTTGAATGATGTGATTTTTTTTTTTTTTTTTAAATAATGACAAGTGAGAATTGCTGGGTAAACACAATCCCCTGTACCTGGGCATTTTAAAAGTTTTCTTTCCCTTTCTCTTGGGTTTCATTATATAACCTTGAAGCAAACTGCAACAGCTTTTTCCTTTAGCCTTAAAATAGACTCTACATCCCTCACTTTCTCACTGTATATATTCCCTTTACATTTATCTAACTGTATGTTAGTATCTATGTGTCTTAGAAGTTCAAGGGGCTAATCTTAAGACAGACAGATCAAGTCTGGAGACCCAGCTACAGAATTCCAGAGATTAATTCAAACTGGCTAGCTAACAACCTGATCATTACTGAGATGACACCAGCCCAAGGTCAGGTGGACTGATAGCCACTAGAGCAACATGCACAAATATCGTCTCAGCCCAATTTTTGCCTGACTTCTTTATCAAGTTTTCTTTTTTTAAACCCCTTCCTTCCCCCTCAAAATCAAAGCTGTTACCTTGGGTAAAAATCTGACTGCTTCCCCTTTACTAGTTTTAGTTAATAAGTTTACCTTCTTTCTACCAGAACTTGCTCTTACTAATTGAAGCTTGCAAGTGACAAGCATCAGGACCTGCATTCGGCTGAAGTCATCAAAGGGTTTCCATTTTTACCCTAAAAAATTGTTTTTTTTCCACTGTAATTGATTCTGGATTTTATAGAAGTAACTAGTTGTGGATCTCATTTCCCAATAATAGTATTTTCTCAAACATAAAATTATAGTAAGTATATCAAATGAAATATTGTCTACTATGAAAAATGTATGTATTGACTCTAATCATACTAAAAATATTGAGCACTAAATATATGTCAGAATCTTTTCTAGGTGCTGATGACACAGCCATAAAGAAAAGTGACAAAGCTCTCTGCATTTGTAGAGCTTAATTTCAAAAACAGAAAGAGAAAAAAATAAGATAATAAGTGTCATATAGGGTTTCTTGAATAATAAGTTCTATGGAAGAAAGAAGAACAGAGAGTATATATATGGGGGAGGTAACAATTTGGATATGGAAAGTACCAAGAAAGGCCTACTGAGACGGTGACATTCGAGTCACATGCTAAAGGGGGTGAAGAAATGAGTCATGCATGCAGTTTTCTGAAAATACTTTAAACAGAGGCAACATCAAATGCAAAGGCCCTGATGTAGAAATCAAGCTTCCTTTGCATTGGCAAAAGATGAAGTAAAGCAGTATGGGTGAACGCCATAAGTGACTGGAAAAGGAGCAAGAAATGATTTAAGAAAAGTATTAGGAGATAAGATCATATAGGGCTTTGGAGGCAACTTTAAAGACTACTTTTATTCCAAATGCAATGGGTTGTCATGGAGGACAACCATGACATTCTTTCCTTTGAGCAAAAGAAGAATAGCATCTGACATCTGTTCTGATAGAAACACTCTGGATGATGAGTTGATAGATTGTTGGGAGTGATTAGAATAGCATAAGATGAGATGCAATGGGATGAGACAGGATGGAAGAGAAGAGAAGAGAAAAGAGAAAAAGTGGAGGGGAGAAGCGGGGGAGACTGAATTACCAAGAAGGTAGGAGGAGTAGATCTTAAAGTGAGAAGTTCAAGAGTACAGTTTTACACAAGTTATATTTGAGATATTTATTTATATAATTAGTTTTTAAAATCTTTATGGGTACATGGTAGATGTATATATTTACGGGATATTTTGGTGTATATATTGATGAGGTAAGTGTATATATTTATAAAATATTTTGATACAAGCATAAAATGTGTAATCACACCACGGTAAATGGGGTATGCATTACCTCAAGCATTTATCATTTCTTTGTTACAAACTTTCCAATTGTACTCCCTCAGCTATTCTAAAATGTATATAAAATGTACAACAAAAAATTATTGCTGACTGGGCCGGGCGCGGTGGCTGACGCCTTTAATCCCAACACTATGGGAGGCCAAAGTAGGTGGATTACCTGAGGTCAGGCATTCAAGACCAGCCTGGCCAACATAGTGAAACCCCATCTCTACTAAAAAGTACAAAAATTAGCTGGGTGTGGTGGTGGGCACCTGTAATCTCAGCTACTCGGGAGGCCGAGGCAGGGAGAATTGCTTGAACCCAAGAGGCGGAGGTTGCAGGGAACTGAGATTGCACCACTGCACTCCAGCCTGGGCAACAAGAGCAAAATTCTGTCTCAGAAAAACCAAACCAAACCAAACCAAACAAAAACAAAACAAAAACTAGAGCTAGACTCCATCTCTCTCTCTCTCTCTCTCTCTCTCTCTCTCTCTCTCTCTATATATATATATATATATATATATATTGCTGACTGAACTCATCCTGTTGTGCAAGCAACTGCTAGGTCTTATTCATTCTATCTAACTATTTTTGTGTGCATTAACCATTCCCATTCTCCCTCACCCCTACAATTCTCAGCTTCTGGTAACCGTTATTCTACTCTCTATCTCCCCGAGTTCAACTGTATTAATTTTTAGCTCCCACAAGTGAGAATATGTCATGTTTTTCTGTGTCTGGATTATTTCATTTATTATGTCCTTCAGCTTCATCCATGCTGTTGCAAATGACATGATCTCATTCTTTGTAATGGCTGAATAGTACTTCATTGTGTATAAGTACCGCATTTTCATTATCCATTCATCTGTTGATGGACACTTAGGTTGATTCCAATTCATAGCTATTATAAATACTGCTGCAAAAATCATGGGAGTGCAGATATCTCTTTGATATACTGATTTCCTTTTTAGGGTATACATACTTAGCAGTGGTATTGCTGGATCACACAGTAGTTCTATTTTTAGTTTTTTGTGGACCTCTATACTTTTCTCCATAGTGGCTGTACTAATTTATATTCCCACAGTGTATGAGGATTCCTGTCTCCACATTCTCGCCAGAATTCATTATTGCTCATCTTTTGGATAAAAGCATTTTAAATAGGGTGAGGTAATATATCGCTGTAGTTTGGATTTGCATTTCTCTGATCAATGATGCTGATCATATTTTCATATATTTGTTTGCTATTTGTATGTCTTTTTTGCGAATTGTCTATTCAGATCTTCTGTCCACTTTTAATTGGATAAATATATTTTATCCTATAGAGTTGTTTGAGCTCCTTATATATCTGGTTATTAGTTTCTTGTCAGATGGATAGTTTGCAAATAATTGTTTCCCATACTGTGCGTTGTTTCTTCACTTTGTTGACTGTTTCCTTGGCTGCATAGAAGCTTTTTAATTTGATGTGACCCCATTTGTCCAATTTTGGTTTGGTTGCCTGTGCTTGTGGGGTATTATTCAAGAAATATTTTCCCAGACCAACATCCTGGAAAGTTTCCCCAAGGTTTTATTTTAGCAGTTTCATAGTTTGAGATCTTAGATTTAAGCCTATAATCGACTTTAATTTTATTCTGTATGGGAAAAAAGATAGCAGCTAGTCCCATTCTTTTGCATACATATGTTCAGTTTACCCAGCATCATTATTGAAGAGACTATCCTTTTCCCAATGTATGTTCTTGGCACCTTTGTTAAAAATGACTTCATTGTAGGTGTATAAATTTATTTCTTGTTTCTCTATTCTCTTTCACTAGTGTATGCATCTGTTTTTAAGTCAGTGGCATGCTGTTTGGGTTACTATAGCTCTGTAGCATAACTTGAAGTCAGGTATGTGATTCCTTCAGTTTTGCTCTTTTTGCTAAGAATAACTTTGGCTGTCCTGGGACTTTTATGGTTCCATATAATTTTTAGGATTTTTTTTCTATCTTTGTGAAGATTGTCAATGCTATTCTGACAAGGATTGCATTGAACTTGTGGATTGCTTTGAATAGTATGAACATTTTAACAATATTATTTTTCCAATTCATGAACATTCTAATCCATAAACATAGATTATCTTTCCATTTTTATGTGTCATCCTCAATTTCTGGCATCAACGTTTTATAGTTTTCTTGTAAAGGTCTTTCACATTTTTGGTTAAGTTTATTATCAGGTATTTTATTGGTAGCCATTATAAATGAAATTATATTCTTGATTTATCAAATTGTTCACTGTTGGCATATAGAAATGCTAATGATTTTTGTATGTTGATTTTGTATCCTGCAACTTAACTGAATTTATCAATTCTCATCATTTTTTGGTGAAGTCTTTAGGTATTTCCAAATACAAGATCATATCATCTGCAAAGAAGGATAATTTGACTTCTTCGTTTACAACCTGGATGTCTCATTTCTTTCTCTTCCCTGATTCATCTAGCTGATACTTTCAGTACTGTGTTGAATAACAGTGGTGACAGTGGGCATCCTTGTTGTGTTCCAGACATTAGAGAAAAAGCTTTTAATTTTTTTCCATTCAGCATGATAGTCTCTATGAGTATGTAATATATGCCTTTATTTTGTTGAGGTATGTTCCTTGTATACCCAGGTTTTTGAGGGATTGTATCATGAAGAAATGGTGAATTTTATCAAATGCTTTTCCAGCATCAATCGAAATGATTATATGATTTTTGTCCCTCATTCTGCTAATATAATGTATCATATTGACTGATTTGCATATATTGAGCCATCCTTGATCCATGCAATAAATCCCACATTGTGGGATTTAAGATGCATCATTAGGTTATGTATTTGAAAGTTGTTTTTTTTTTTTTTTTTTTTCACTTTTTTGGTGTAGGCACTTGTTGCTATTAACCTTCCTCTTACTAAGGTTTGGGTATGTTGTGTTTCCATTTTCATTTACCTCAAGGAATTTTAAAATTTCCTTTTTAATTTCTGGTCATTCAGGAGCATATTGTTTACTTTCCATGTGTACACTTTTCAAACTTCCTCTTGTTATTGGTTTCTAGTTTTATTCCATTGTGGTCGAGAAGATATTTGATATTATTTCAATTTTTCTGAACGTTTTAAGACTTGTTTTGTGACCTAATGTATGCTCCATCCTTGAGAATGATCCGTATTCTGAGGAGAAAAAATGTGTATTCTGCAGCCATTGGATGAAATGTTCTGTAGATATATATTAGGTCCATTTGGTCTATGGAGCAGATTAGTTATAATATCTCTTTGTTGATTTTCTGTGTGCATTATCTGCCCAATGCTGAAAGTGGAATGTTGAAGTTTCCAACTATTATTGTATCTCTCTCTTTAGCTCTAATAGTATTTGTTTTCTATATCTGGGTTTTCCAGCATTGGGTGCATATACAGTTATAATTGGTATATCATCTTGATGAATTCATTCCTGTAAAATTACATAATAAAGTTCTTTGTCCCTTTTTTGTGATTTTTGTCTTAACAATTTCTTCTATCTGATGCAAGTATAGTTATTCCTGTTCTTTTTTGGCTTTCATTAGTATGGAATATCTTTTTCCATCTCATTATTTTCAGTCTATTGTGTGTCTTTACAGGTGAAATGTGTTTCTTATAAGCAATAGATCATTAGGTCTTACTTTTTATCCATTCAGTCACTGTTTTTGATCAAAGAGTTTAGGACATTGACATTCAATGTTATTATTGATAACTAAGGACTTACTCCTGACATTTTGTTATTTCTTTTCTGGTTGTTTTGTGGTTTTCACTTTCTTCCTTCCTTCTGTCCTATATTCTTTTTGTGAAAGTGATCTTCTCTGGTAGTATGTTTTCATTTCCTGCTTTTTTTTTTTTTTTTTTTTTTTTTTTTTTTTTTTTTTTTGAGACAGAGTCTCACTCTGTCACCCAGGCTGGAATGCAGTGGTGCAATCTTGGTTCAATGAAACCTCTGCTTCCTGGCTTCAAGCGATTCTCCTGCCTCAGCCTCCCTAGTAGCTGGGATTACAAGCACCTGCCACCACACCCAGTTAATTTTTGTACTTTTAGTAGAGATGGGGTTTCACCATGTTGTCCAGGCTGGTTTTGAACTTATGACCTCAAGTGATCTGCCCACCTTGGCCTCCCAAAGTGCTAGGATTACAGGCGTGAGCCACCGTGCCTGGCCCTAAATGTTTTCTTGATTTGAAATTCCCATGAGGCTCACAAATATTATCTTATAATCTATTATTTTAAATTGATGACAAGTTAACTCTGATTGCAAAAACAACCAAAGAAACTAAACAAGCAAAGGAAAAACTAAAGACATTCTACACTTTAACTTCACCTCTCCCACTCTTTAACTTTTTGTTGTTTCTGTTTATATCATACTATACTATCTATGTCTTTAAAAGTTGTAGTTATTATTTTGGTAGTTTCATCTTTTAGTCTTCCTACTAAAGATATGAGTAGTTTACATACCAGAACTGCAGTGTATCTGTCTGTGTACTTAATATTACCAGTGAGTTTTGTACCTTCAGGTGATTTCTCATTGCTCATTACATCCTTTTCTTTTAGATTGAAAAACTCTCTTTAGCCATTCTTGTAGGTTATGTACAGTGTTGATAAAATCTCTCAGCTTTTGTTTGTCTGGGAAGCTCTTTGTATCTCCTTAATCTTTGAAATATATTTTTGATGGATATACTATTCTAAGTTAAAAGTTTTTTTCCATCAGCACTTTAAGTATATCATGCCACTCCCTCCTAACCTGTAAGGTTTGCATTGAGAAATCTGCTGCCAGATGCATTGGAGCTCTTTTATGTGTTATTTATTTATTTCTTTTCTCTTGCTATTCTTAGAATCTTTCCCTTATTCTTGACTTTTGGGAGTCTGATTATTAAATTTCGTGAGGTACTCTTATTTGGGTTAAATCTTCTTGGTGTTTTATAACCTTCTTGTAGCTGAATATTTAATATCTTTCTCTAGGTTTAGAAAGTTCTCTGTTGTCTCTCTGAATTAACTTTCTCACCAATAGCTCCTCTTTAAGATCAATAACTCTTATGTTTGCACTTTTTAGGCTATTTTCTAGATCTTGTATGTGTGTCTTATTATTTTTTATTCTTTTTGTCTCCTCTGTGAATTTTCAAATAGTCTATCTTCAAACTCACTCATTCTTTCTTCTGTTTGATAAATTATGCTGTTGAGAGACTCTGTTGCATTCTTCAATTTGTCAATTGAATTTTTACAGAGCAGCAGAATTTTGAAGAGCAGCTCCAGAATTTCTGCTTGATTCTTTTTAGTTATTTCAATGGCTTTGTTAAATTTATATAAGATTTTGAATTCCTTCTCCTGTGTTTTCTTGGATATCACTGAGCTTCCTCAAAACAGCTATTTTGAATGCTGAAAGGTCACATTTCTTGTCACTCTGAAATTGGTCACTGTTGTCTCTTTTAGAAGAACTAGGTATTTATTCTAATATTTGCAGTCTAGGCTTGTCTATACCTGTCCTACTTGAGAAGGTTTTCCATGTATTGAAAGGGAATTGAGTGTTGTGTTCTAAGTCTTTGGTCACTGCAGCCATATGGGCATTAGGCAGCACCCTATGCCCAGCAACTCTAAGACTCTTGCAGACTTGTATATGTACCACCTTGGTGGTCTTGGGTAAGATCCAGGAGAATTCCATGGATTACATGGGAGAGTCTCTTGTTTTCTTTCCTTACTTTTCCCCAAACAAACAGAGTCTCTCTCTCTCTCTGCTGAGCTACCTAGAGCTGGAGGAGTGGTGACACAAGCATTCCCATGGCCACCACAGCTGGGACTGTGCCTCGTCATACCTGAAACAAGCTGGTTCTTGCCTAAGGCCTGTTGTGACTATTCCTTGGATACTGCTGAGTTTGTTCAAGGCCCAAGGCCTCTGTCAGCGGGTGATGAATCCTGCCAGGACTAAGTCTTTTCCTTCAGTGCAGCAGGTTCCCTTCTGGCCCAAGGTGGGTCTAAAAATGCCCTCCATGAGCTAGGGACTGGTATCAGGGACTTTAGGAATTGGCTTGGTGCTTTCTTTTACTGGGGTTGAGCTAATACTCAGGTTGCAAGACAGAATCCTCTTTACTTATCCCTGTCCTTTCCTGAAGCAGAATCTCTGCCCACGGCCATAACTGACCCAGATTTGTGGTGACTGTAGCCTGGATATCACTGGTGTTTATTCAAGACCCAAGGGCTCTTTAGTCATAAAGTGGTGACTTCTTCCAGGACTCAGTCTGTTTTTTCAGGGTAACAGGCTTCCTTCTGGCCCAAGGTGGGCCTAAAAACACTCTCCAGGAGCTAAAGCCTGGAAGTAGGGCATTTAGGAGTCTGAGTGGTGCTTTATTTTACTGTGGCTGACCATGTGCCAAAGTTGTAAGACCCTTCCCTCTCTTTTCCTCAAACAGAAGGAGTCTCTTCTTATGGTCACCACAGCTGGGAGTGTCCTGGGTCACACCTGAAGCCAGCATAATATTGGGTCTTTCCCAAGGCCCATGGCGACTGCTGCCTGGCTACTGCTGATGTTTATTCAAGGCTCAAGGATTCTTAAGCCAGCAGGTTGTAAATTCTGCCAGAACTGGGTCCTTCTCTTCAGGCCATTGGAATCCTTTGTGGCCCTGGGTGGGTCTAAAAACATCATCTGGGAGCTATGGCCTGGAATGGGGACTTCAGGACTCTGCTTGCTGCTTCATTTTTACTGTGGCTAAGCTGGAATCCAAGTTGCAAGACAAAGTCCTCTTTACTCTTCCGTCTTCTCCCACAGTTGCAAGCTGCACTGCCTAAAGTTGGGAGAAGGGTGATGCAAGTATCCCCTTAGCCAACCCAGCTGGTATCTCACTAGGTCATATGTACCCAACGTCCAATGGCTTCAAACCCAGCACAGCACCAGACCTTCCCCAGGAATTAATTACAATCCTTGTGGCCTAGACTGCCTTTCAAGTTTATTTAGAAACCCATTGTGCTTTAGCCCACTGTGATGGGTACAGCTAGAACTCCAGTTCTGATAACTGGGACGGATGATTTCCCCTTGGGTAGCGCTGGTCTAAATGCTTCCTCCAAGCTGGCCAAATCTGCTCCGTGTTGCTTTCTGCTGTGACAGGGCAGCACTGAGTTCCAATGCAAACTTCCAATTTCCCAGTGAAAACTTCACTACATTTTCCTTCCCCCAAGAGCACAGATTCTCTCTTCCCACACCATTTGACACTGCTGGGAGATAGGAGAGGGGCGGTGTAGACAATTCAAGACTGCCTTTTCTACCATCTTTCCTGCTTCTTTCCTTGATATGATGTTAGAACTGGGTACCATGATTGCTCACCAGATTTTTGGTTCTTATGAAGGTACCTTCTTCTGTGGATAGTTGTTCAATTTGATGTTCCTTTGGGGGAACAATCATTAGTGGGTTCTGTTTGGCCATCTTGCATCACCTCTATTTATTTATTTTTATTTATCACATACTAGTGTAGGCATTAATTAGCTATAGACTATCTGTTTCTGGAGCTTGGAAGACAGATCCAGGCTAAAAAAAAATATTGAGAATCATGCATGCTTAGAGAACAGTTAAATTTATGACATTCGGAGAAAATCTATAAGATAACACAATAAAACAAAATAACAGTTAAATTCATGATGTTTGGATAAAATGTATAAGATAATGGAAAAAACAAAGAAGAATTCCAAGAACTAAGCCCTGCAGCACTCCAACATTTAGAAGTCAGGGTGGGCAATGAGGAACTAGCAAATAAGACAGAGACGATGTGGTCAGGAAGACTGGCAAAACAGTCCGGTAAGATGAGGACTGAGCTGACCTTTGGATTTAGCAGCATGAAGTCATTGGTGACCTTAAAAAGAAGAGTTTCAGTGAACAGGTAAAGGAAGCAATGCCTATTTGGAGTAGATTAAAAAAAAAGTTTAGAAGAAAGAAAGAAAGCTCTTTCAAAGTGTTTTTCTATAAGGGGAAAAGGAATAGGTGGGGTTGAAGTAGAGAGAAAAATGAAGTGAAGAGAATATTTTTAAGATAAAAGAATAGTGTATTTTCATATTGATGAGAAATACCCAGTAGAGAATGAAAAATGATGTATCAGGAGAGAATGGAAGGAACTGTTACAGGATGGAATGGGACTAAAAAGAGGACAGAGCAAAGGTATAAGTGGAAGGGAAGGCCACTGCAAAGAGAACAGATGTTTATCCAGAGGTAAAGGAGTGATGGCAGAGCATATGACTACAGATCCAGGCAGCTAGGGAGATATCACAGAGGGAGTTTTTGAAAGTTCATGTTGATCGCTTCTACTTTTATAGTCAGAGTTATCTCCTGAGAATACAGATGAGAGAAAGCTATTAAACCTTAAGGGAAAGTATGAAAGAATCATCCAGTGGGTTGAGAGAAGGTATAAGTCAGGGAAACATAATATGATTATTTTGTAGCATTAAGAACTCACTGGAGGCTGATGCTAATGAATTTAAAATAAAACAAGCCAGTATGGAAGTCTGAACAAACATATTAAGTATGTTCACCTGTAGGGGTGCAGGCCTGAAGTAGGAGAATTGCATTATATAACTAGAGTTGACATTTTGTTCATCAATTGATAAAGAGGAAAAAACGTTTAGGGTATATGCAAAGAAGTGATTATAGTGGTGCTATGGTCTGAATATT
The DNA here is from genome assembly GCF_000001405.40 of Homo sapiens. Taxonomy (NCBI): domain Eukaryota; kingdom Metazoa; phylum Chordata; class Mammalia; order Primates; family Hominidae; genus Homo; species Homo sapiens. The sequence goes on from NC_000003.12 coordinate 22,132,122, forward strand.
AGTGTCCATGTCATATTCATTTGTTGAAATCTTAACCCCTGTGGTGATGGTATTTGGAGGCAGGATCTTGGGTCACAAGGGTAGAACCCTAATGAATGGCAATAGAGCCCCTATAAAAAAAGGAAACAGACCTTTTGCACCTTCTAACATATGAGAACACATGAAACAGTGCCATCTATGAACTAAGAAACGGACATTCATCAGATACCAAATCTGCTGGTGTTCTAATTTTGGACTTCCCAGCCTTCAGAACTGAGATAAATACATTTCTGCTATTTAAAATCTACCCAGTTTATGATATTTTGTAATAGCAGTTCAAACACACTAAGACAAATGATAAAATACACAATTTAAGCTGAATAAGGAGGGAACTAAGAATAAGATATAGGTAAGTTTCAGAGGATAGTTGGCAGAATCAATGCAAAAAATTAGCCCAAATTTATTTCAACATATGCCTCAATATACTATAAGACCAATGTTTCACTGAATTCATTTTCTGAAAAAAATTCCTCTAGATGAACTGTAGAAACGTTACTTAATAGTAATAACAATTAATGGTCTTTATTAATATTTCAGATTGTTTAAAGATCTAGTGCATAAGAGATAGTAATATTATAAATACTTAATAATTTACCCATGTCTTTATCTAAAAGGCACTAAAAGTATATTTATACTTAATTGTGATTTCTTTCTATTCTGAAATTCTAAAAAATATATCTTATGTAAAGCGCTAAAGATATTTTAAAATTTAAGGAAGAGATTAACCCAACCAAGTTATTCACTGAGTATTCGGTTAACTTATGAAAATGTAACTCAAAAGATTCAGACTGTGTAAACACTATAAAGTTACTGTAAATTGTTCTGTTTTAAAATGAAAGGGTTAGACTAGAAAATTTCTATAGTTTCCCCAAGGACTAAAATTATAGGTATTTATGAAAGCTAATTGACTTATTAAATGAAAGTGCAGCTAATTTATCTCTTTTAATAAAAATAAAGCTAGTTTTACAAGAATAATCTTTAAAAAATACCCTCAAATACCCTTCCTGGAGATATAAACAAAGGATTTGGATTCTTAAATATCTCCAGCTTTGGGAAATACTTCGTATCTTCAACATCCTTCTTTTTTAATTTCACAAGAAAATTTCCTTAATATCCTTCTTAATAACATGAAAATCTGAAGTTTAAAAAAGCAGTCTCCTCAGATTATGCAGTAGAATACTGAACATAAACTCTCTATATCTCTATATGGGGTGTGCCTGTGTGTGAAAGACAGGGAGGGAAGGAGAGGCAGGAAAAGAGAAGAGGAGGGAGAGAGAAAGGTTATATAACAGACATATCAAAAAAACTGCTATAATTGTATGCTAGAATACAGCATTATAATCACATTAAAATAAGAATGATTAAATTTCATACAGACTGCATATCTGGTTTGAGGCAAGATCAAGTAATAAGCACATTACTTAATTTTTTATATTAATTTTTATTTCTACTTAGAGGACTGGGGGGAGATACTCTATTCTTTCTACTACATAGAACTGAAAACCATAGACAAAATATATCAAGCAACTATCAGAAGACTCTGAAAAATTCAGAAAAGAAGTAAGACTACACAGAGACCTCAGTACTCAAGGAATGGCTTCGAAGCCATTCCTTGCTCTGCACTAAGACAAGCAGAGGGGCCATCCTACTTTTCTCCACAAACAAAGCATCTGTGGAAATTGCTCTTAGCACCCCCCGACTTCTAACTACTAAGTGAAGGGATAATTGTGACAGATAATATTGCCAGAAAAAAAAACAACCTCTTTTTGTATGAAAATCTGAACAGCTCCATGAGTGGTCCATATAAGAAACTGCATAGAATGTTCTGTAAACTATAGAAAGGCAGAAAAGGGGAAACAGACAGAAAATCAGGGAGAACAAACAGAAAACAAATGATCAATTTATAGACTTAAATACTAAAGTATCAATAATTTCATACAATATAAATTGCCTAAATACACCAACAAAAACAGATCATCAGAATGACTAAAACCTAACAACTATATATTATCAATGAGAAATGAACTGTAAATATTATATAGGTTAGTTAAAAGGAAAAGGACAGGAAAATAAACACTAGTCAAAGAATACTGGAGTGTTATATTAATATTAAACAAAATGTAATTCAGAACAAAAAAATTACAAAGGCTCAACTTACCAAGAAGATATAATGCTAAATGGATATGTCCCTACCATGGAACTTCCAAATGCTTGAAGCAAAAATGGCAAAACTGAAAGAAAAAAAATTATTAGGGACTTCCAAACCTCTCTCTTAGCAATCATTAAAACTACTAGACAGAAAATCTGGAAGAATATGGAAGATCTAAACAACATCGTCAACCAACAAAATCTAACTGACAATTACAGAACACTCCACCAAACAGTGGCAGAATACATATTTTTTCAAGCATACATGGGACATTTACTAAAAGAGGCCATACCTAACATATAAAACAACTCTCCCTGTTTTAGTTCATTTTGTGCTACTACAACAGAATCCCTAAGACTGTATAATTTACAATGAACAGAAGATTATTTGGCTCACAGCACTAGAGGCTGAGAAGTCCAAGATTGAGGGTCCATAGCTGGCAAGGGCCTCCCTGTTGCTTCATACCATGGCAGAAGGTAGAAGGACAAGAGAGAGAGATAGTGATAAAAGAGGGGTCTAACTCATACTTTTATAAGGTACCCACTCTTGGCCATAATCGCATTATGACAGAACCCTCATAGCCTAGTCACCTCTCATTAGGTCCAACCTTCCAACACTAGTACGTAGAAGATTATGTTTCCAGTGCATGAATTATGAAAATGACTGCATTCTACAAATTAAAAATAATTAACAATCATACAAAGTATATCCTTTGATCATAAGAGAATCATAGTAGAACTCTTAACCAGAAAGAAAACAGGAAAATCTCCAAACACCTGATTAGCCACTTTTCCCAGTCCTATTCAACAGCATACTGCAAATCCTAGTCAGTATAAAGAAGCAAGAAAAGAAAAGACTTACAAATTGAAAAGAAACAAAATCATCCTTATTTATAGACATATTGGCAACTTCAAAATTTGCAAAGAATGTACAAGAAAGCTCCTATAACTAGTAAGAGAGCTCAGCAAGTTCAGCAGATATAAGGTCAACACACACACACACACATACCCCAACATACACACATACCCCAACATACACACATAACTTATTTTTGTATACAAGCAATAATAATTGAAAACAGACATTTAAAATACAATTTATAATAGTTTCAAACACTGTAACACCTCAGTATAAATCTAACACTCCAGGCACTGTATGTTACATCTACAAAGCCTTAAATAAATGGAGAAACATACAACATTCATAGAATGAAAGACTCAACATAGTAAAAATGTCAACTCTTCTTAAATTGATCAATGGGTTTAATGCATTCTTATCCAAATCCCAGTAAAATCTTTGTAGATTTAATAAGCTGACTCTACAACTTAAGGGAAGAAAAAGAAATTAAGTAGCTACAACAGCTAAAATTATTTTGAAAAAAGAATAAAATTTAAGTCACCAAATTACCCACTGTTAAGACTTACTATAGAACTACAGTAATTGGCCATTGTAGTTTTGGTAAAAAAGTATAGACACAGACCAATATAACAGAAGAGAGAGTCCAGAAATTGACCCACACAAGTACAGCCAACTGATACTTGTCAAAGTTGCAAAAACAATTAAATAAAGAAAGGTTAATCTTTTAATAAATGATACTAAGACAATTGCACATCCACAGGCAAAAATAATAACTTTAACCTCACACTTTATATAAAAATCAACTGAAAATGGGTCACACCCTTGACATAAATATGCTACAAAATTAGTAAGAGAAAAAAGAAGAGAAAGTCTTGTGACCTAGCGTTAGTGAAGGGATCTAAGACATGACAACAAAAGGATAATCCGTATAAGAGGCCAGGCGTGGTGGCTCATGCCTATAATCCTAGCACTTTGGGAGGCCAAGGCGGATGGATCGCCTGAGCTCAGGAGTTTGAGACCAGCCTGGGAAACATGGTGAAACCTCATCTCTACTAAAAATTAAAAACAAAATTAGCTGGGCATCATGGCATAGGCCTGTAGTCCCAGCTACTCGGGAGGCTGAGGTACGAGAATCGCTTGAACCTGGGAGGCAGAGGTTGCACTGAGCCAAGATCACACCACTTTATTTCCGCCTGGGCGACAAAGTGAGACTTTGTCTAAAAAAAAAAAAAGTATCAACAATCTACATATCATCAAAATTAAAACCCTTTCTCAGTTAAACACATTGCTAAAAAATGACAAGTTATAGATTGAGAGAAAATATTTCAAACCCACATTAGAAGCAAATGATCCATTTTCAGAATATATAAAGAATGCTATAAAATCAATAATAAGGGTAGGAAAAATCCAATTTACAAACCAGAAAAAGAGTTAAACAGACATTTGATCAAAAAAGATATGTAGATAACAAACAAGCATATCGCTTTATTAATCATTGCCAAAACGTGGGAGCAACCATTATGTCCTTCAATAGGAGTATGGATAAGCAAATTGTGGTACATTCAAAAAATGAAATATTATTCAGTGATAAAAAGAAGAGAACTGTCAAGCCACTAAAAGACATGGAGGAAACTTAAGTGCATTTTCTAACTGGAAAAATCAATCTGAAAAGGCATACACTGTAGAATTCCAACTATGTGACATTACGGAAAAGGCAAAACTATGAAATCGGTAAAAAGATGAAGGATTCTAGAGAAGGAATAGAGGGATGATTAGATAGAGCACAGTGGATTTTTAGGGCAGTAAAACTATTCTATATGATCATGTAGTGGTGGATATATATCATTTAGCATTTGTCAAAGCCCATAGAATGTATAACACAAGGATTGAGCCCCAGTGCCAACTACGGACATTAGTTAATAATGTACTATTACCTAAACTAATATTTGGGGAGCTGCGGTATATAAGATCTTTCTGTGTTTTTTACTAATTTTTCTGTAAACCTCAACTACTTAAGAATAGTTCATTAAAAGTCCAGGACCAGACGGATTCACAGCCGAATTCTACCAGAGGTACAAGGAGGAGCTGGTACCATTCATTCTGAAACCATTCCAATCAATAGAAAACGAGGGAATCCTCCCTAACTCATTTTACGAGGCCAGCATCATCCTGATACCAAAACATGGCAGAGACACAACAAAAAAAGAGAATTTTAGACCAATATCCTTGATGAACATTGATGCAAAAATCCTCAATAAAATACTGGCAAATCGAATCCAACAGCACATCAAAAAGCTTATCCACCATGATCAAATGGGCTTCATCCCTGGGATGCAAGGCTGGTTCAACATGTGAAAATCAATAAACGTAATCCAGCATATAAACAGAACCAAAGACAAAAATCACGATTATCTCAACAGATGCAGAAAAGGCCTTTGACAAAATTCAACAGCCCTTCATGCTAAAAGCTCTCAATAAATTAGGTATTGATGGGACGTATCTCAAAATAATAAGAGCTATCTATGACAAACCCACGGCCAATATCATACTGAATGGACAAAAACTGGAAGCATTCCCTTTGAAAACTGGCACAAGACAGGGATGCCCTCTCTCACCACTCCTATTCAATATAGTGTTGGAAGCTCTGGCCAGGGCAATCAGGCAGGAGAAGGAAATAAAGGGTATTCAATTAGGAAAAGAGGAAGTCAAATTGTCCCTGTTTGCAGATGACATGATTGTATATCTAGAAAACCCCATCGTCTCAGCCCAAAATCTCCTTAAGCTGATAAGCAACTTCAGCAAACTCTCAGGATACAAAATCAATGTGCAAAAATCATAAGCAATCGTATACACCAATAACAGACAGAGAGCCAAATCATGAGTGAACTCCCATTCACAGTTGCTTCAAAGAGAAGAAAATACCTAGGAATCCACCTTACAAGGGACGTGAAGGACATCTTCGAGGAGAACTACAAACCACTGCTCAATGAAATAAAAGAGGATACAAACAAATGGAAGAACATTCCATGCTCATGGGTAGGAAGAATCAATATCATGAAAATGGCCATACTGCCCAAGGCAATTTATAGATTCAATGCCATCCCCATCAAGCTACCAATGACTTTCTTCACAGAATTGGAAAAAACTACTTTACAGTTCATATGGAATCAAAATAGAACCCGCATTGCCAAGTGAGTCCTAAGCCAAAAGAACAAAGCTGGAGGCATCACACTACCTGACTTCAAACTATACTACAAGGCTACAGTAACCAAAACAGCATGGTACTGGTACCAAAACAGAGATATAGACCAACGGAACAGAACAGAGCCCTCAGAAATAATGCCACATATCTACAACTATCTGATCTTTGACAAACCTGACAAAAACAAGAAATGGGGAAAGGATTCCTTATTTAATAAATGGTGCTGGGAAAACTGGCTAGCTATATGTAGAAAGCTGAAACTGGATCCCTTCCTTACACCTTAGACAAAAATTAATTCAAGATGGATAAAAGACTTACATGTTAGACCTAAAACCATAAAAACCCTAGAAGAAAACCTAGGCAATACCATTCAGGACATAGGCATGGGCAAGGACTTCATGTCTAAGACACCAAAAGCAATGGCAACAAAAGCCAAAATTGACAAATGGGATCTAATTAAACTAAAGAGCTTCTGCACAGCAAAAGAAACTACCATCAGAGTGAACAGGCAACCTACACAATGGGAGAAAATTTTTGCAACCTACTCATCTGACAAAGGGCTAATATCCAGAATCTACAATGAACTCCAACAAATTTACAAGAAAAAAACAAACAACCCCATCAAAAAGTGGGCAAAGGATATGAACAGACACTTCTCAAAAGAAGACATTTATGCGGCCAACAGACACAATGAGATACCATCTCACACCAGTTAGAATGGCCATCATTAAAAAGTCAGGAAACAACAGGTACTGGAGAGGATGTGGAGAAATAGGAACACTTTTACACTGTTGGTGGGACTGTAAACTAGTTCAACCATTGTGGAAGTCGGTGTGGCGATTCCTCAGGGATCTAGAACTAGAAATACCATTTGACCCAGCCATCCCATTACTGGGTATATACCCAAAGAATTATATATCATGCTGCTATAAAGACACATGTACACATATGTTTAATGCGGCAGTATTCACAATAGCAAAGACTTGGAACCAACCCAAATGTCCAACAATGATAGACTGGATTAAGAAAATGTGGCACATATACACCATGGAATACTATGCAGCCATAAAAAACGATGAGTTCATGTCCTTTGTAGGGACATGGATGAAGCTGGAAACCATCATTCTCAGCAAACTATTGCAAGGACAACAAACCAAACACCTCATGTTCTCACTCATAGGTGGGAATTGAACAATGAGAACACATGGACACAGGAAGGGGAACATCACACACTGGGGCCTGTTGTGGGGTGGGGGGAGGAGGGAGGGATAGCATTAGGTGATATACCTAATGTTAAATGACGAGTTACTTGGTGCAGTACACCGACATGGCACATGTATACATATGTAACAAACCTGCACGTTATGCACATGTACCCTAAAACTTAAAGTATAATAAAACAAAAAAAAGAATAGTTCATTAAGTAGAGATATAAGTTGTCAAGCAAACAACAAAACACATGAGAAGATAAGGGACATCATTCGTTATTTGGAAAATGTAAATAAAAGCGTGAAATAAAAGATAGTGAAATATATCTACACTCCCATTAAAATGGCTAAAATGAAAAGAATATACTGACAGGTTACATCAAGAACTGATGAGGATATAGAGAATCTCTCACATATTGTTACTGGAAATATACAATGGTACAGCCACTTTGGATTCATTGTGGCAGTTTCTTATAAAGCTAAACATATATTACCACCCAACCCATCAATTTCATTCCTAAATATCCTAGAGAAACGAAAATTTATTTCCTCACAGAACTCTGTACATAAATGTTTATAGGAGCTTTGTAATATTCAAAAGTCTTTCAACTAGTGAATGAATAAACAAACTGTAGTACATCATCTATACAATGAAATAATACTCAGCAATAAAAAGGAACAGATTATTGATAACACAACATAGATCTTAAATTCATAATGCTGCCTAAAAGAAACCATTCTGGAAGAATAACATTATATGCTGTGTGGTTCTATTTATACAACATTTTCAAAATGACAAAATTATAGCAATGGGGAACAGGCCGAGGTTGGGGAAAGGGAGTTAGAGATTAGTGTTATGAAGATGTTAGGAGTAGAGCAATTGTGTATCCCGGTTGTGGGCATGGTTATGAAAATGTATCTATGTGATAAAATTTCATAGAACTATACCCCCCCAAAAACATGTAAAAGCTAGTACAATCCAAATAAATTTGTAGTTTAATAGTATACCAAAGCCAGTTTCCTCATGTGATAAAGTACTATGGTTTTATAAGGTTAACATTACCTTTGGGGAAAGCTGAGTGAAGGGTACATGAAAACTCCCTGTATTATTTTTTGAAACATCTGAAATTATTTCAATAAAAAGCTAAAATGCATTGGAAAAATAACATACATTTTGTGGGAAAATTTGAATCAATATAAATTCTCAAGGTATGGCCATTTCTAAAATTACTTCCTTGAAGGCCAAGGGGCAGGGCAAGGTTGTCCTAGAGTTAATTAGTTCCATTATTATCAGAAGACAAATGAGACAATACAATACCCTACTTTTTTAGTCATCCAGGTTTTGGGGTTGCTGACCCTTAGGTTTACAAAGAATAAGGTACACTGAAGCTCAAACAATTGTTGAACTTAAACACAAATTGTATATCAATATCACCAGGATTCATGTCCTGAGCAATTTATAGTACAACAAATTCTCAGAGATTAAGAGATTTACTGTAGCCCATTTGAAAGCCAACTATTTAAAAGGCAACATATTTCATTACTTAAAAACATAAGAGAGGTTTATACTGTTCCTAAAATAATAAGAGAACACAAAATAATAACAAATCATTCTCTTGGATGCCGAATGTACAACAATAAAGATTTACCAATTCTTCAGAGGGTGGCACAGCATTGTTCCCAATGCAATATTTCATTAAAAAAAATTAGCTGGCAAGACTAGTTTTCAAAGAACATATTCTCTTTCTCCTGAAATCATCTTATAAATAGAGCAAAATGACACAAAAATACATAACTTCATTTGAAATGTACACTTTGAAAGAATATGAATTGTTTTCACACTTACACTGTTATAAATCTTGATTTTGTTTACATCTTGAGAAAGACAAAGAAGGAATCCTAGCTAAACTTTGCTGAAATTTCCAAGATTAAGAAGGCCAATCCTCAATTATTTGCACCAATGGAGGAAAAGACCATCATGGACTTCAGCCTTAAGGGTCTCTGTGGTGGGACCCGCGGTAGTTCACTGGCCTGCTGTTCACCTTGTGGTGGCAAGAATTAGGTTAAGAACCAAAAGCACCGCCCCTGGGGGAGGAGGAGGAGGAGGGTAGCACATCAAGAATCAGAAATTAGCTCTGGTGAACAAATACCTTGTGTCAATACTTACTACCTGTTATCTCTGAATTTACAGTGATCTAATGAAGTCGTTATTCAGTTTTCAATTTTATAACTGAGGAAGCTAAGGCCTAGAAACAGTAAATACCTTGACCAAGGACAATTAGCAAAGTTCAGTGATCTTTATCCCAAAGACAGTACTGTTTGCCTTGTGGCATTTTATTGCCTCTTAAGCATGTACGTATTGGAAGACAATGACTGACATTGCATTTCAACATTTAACCACATGACTTATGGTTAAATGATAGCCAATTTTACAGACAGTTAGAAAGCATCATCAGGTTGACAGTTTATTGTGAGTAACTGAAACATGAGAAGAAGACTGTAATTCTCAGGCACAAAGAGCTTGAAAGAACCTTGGAAAACACCCACACCTAACCCAGGATGAAATGTTTAGTCCACAGTATTATTGGGTGTTGTTGTTTCACTGTACCATGTTATATTTTCTTCAGTATGTTCTTTACTAGTGTTTTTACTATGTGTTTTTAACTAAAAAAAATTTCTTTACCAGCTTTTTACTAGGAGTTTATATGTATAATAAATTAGATTTTGGGAGATTCATTTCAAATTCAACAATTGTTATTTCTTTGGTTTATTCGATATTATCTCCATAGCTCTTTTCCTTATGGTTTGAAAACAAAGCCAAATTTAAATTGGTGACGTATAATAAAAGTCCAATGTAGAGAACGAATCAAACCAGATGGTTTAATTCTGCTGAAGTTATGAACAAAAGCAGCTATAAAATCAATTTGTTTGTATACATATTTATTGCTTTATTAACATTTTAATTTGTTTAACCTGTAGCTGCTCTCTCCTTCCTCCTCTACGGTGGTCTCCAACCCGAGAAACATATCCGCACAGATTGTGTTAATGGTATAGACTAGATCAATCCAAGTCATTGCTCTCTGGAAGCCATCAGCCAAACAGCCTCAGCAGGTGATGAGTGCAGGAAAGACGAATGAGATCAATGAGGTTACTAACCTTGTGGAGTTTATTTCCCAGCTTCCTCCTTGTAGGTCACATGGGTCTGCCTGTTTTCCCAAGCCTAAGGACACAGCTTCTCTCAAAACAGCCATCTCCACAGGATATTATCCTCCCCGGGTTCCAAAAAGTTCTCTCCTCTTACCCCATAAAGAATAGCAATAGTAACCCTCACTATTAACAGTCCCAGGATACTGCACTATTACTTGTAGTTTCCTTTTTCACTGCCCGTAAGTTTGAATGAGTCATTTGTTTCCTCTGGGGTCATGAATGACAATAATAATAAAAAAAAAAGAGATTCATTTGATATATTCTATTAAATCGGTTGTGTGTGTGTGTGTGTGTGTGTGTGTGTGTGTGTGTGTGTGTGACGGAGTCTCACTCTGTCGCCCAGGCTGGAGTGCAGTGGCACGATCTCCGCTCACTCTAAGCTCCGCCTCCCAAGTTCACTCCATTCTCCTGCCTCAGCCTCCGGAGTAGCAGCGACTACAGGCGCCCACCACCACGCCTGGCTAATTTTTTTGTTTGTTTTAGTAGAGACGGGGTTTCACCGTGTTAGCCAGGATGGTCTTGATCGCCTGACCTCCTGATCTGCCCGCCTCGGCCTCCCAAAGCGCTAGGATTACAGGCATGAGCCACCAAAATCGGGCATGTGTTTTACGCATTTAAGTTAAAATAAAGACAACTAAATGCAAAGTAAACAGGGGAAGACCTTTTTCACACTCCCACACCTCTGTGCTCTCCAGAAGTACCCACTATTTACCATTTCCCATGTATGCACTAGACCTATTTCTATTGATTCATACACACACTTGCAGATAATTGTTCTCTTTGGCATACTGAGATAACACGATATATATTTTTCTGTGATTTGCCTTTAAATATTCCTATATTGATGGCCTTTTAGATTTATTAAACTTTCACACTGTTACCAACAGTAATGTAATGAACATCAACATATTAACAAATTCCTCCAAAATTTTTACTTAAGATTATGTTCTTAATTTAAACAATTTTATTAAATGTCTGATCTAGTGATTAAATTTCATTTGGAGTTTGAATTCATCTTCCAGCCCAGTAAAACTTTCTGATCTTAAATTCATGTACTATTGTAACTACACAATGTATTATTTCTTTGTCATTAACATCATACACACTAATATCTTATTCATTTTTAATATTAACAGCTTTCCAGAAGAATTTTTAAAGGCTTAAAAATGTATAATAGGGGTTCAAAGTAAGTATTGTCAGCTACATTTCATGTTATCTTTGATTTTGAACATGAGCATTTTATAGAAAGACTGACTGAAGAGTGAAATGTTGCTGGGGATATTTGTATAATGTTTTATAAAAGAATGTGGGAAAAATATTTGATAAAAAATTTGCATGAGCTTTGACAACTACAAAAGAATTCAATTTTTAGCTAAATTTAAGTAGTTATAATTTTACAAAAAATAACTACAGAACCAGGAGTTCAAAAATAGAGACAACATTTACAGGACAAATATAGGTTTAAATTATTTTAAACTTGAAGAGATTTTATACATTTAAAGAATGTGGTCAGGCATGGGAGCTCACACCTGTAATCTCAGCACTACTGGAGGCCAAGGGTGGCAGATCACTTGAGGTCAGGAGTTTGAGACTAGCCTGGCCAATAGGGTGAAACCCCCTCTCTATTAAAAATACAAAAAATAAATTACCCAGGTGTGGTGGTGCATGCCTTCGAGCTACTGCGGAGGCTAAGGCAGGAAATTGCTTGAAGACAGGAGGCAGAGGCAGCAATGAGCCAAGATCATGCCACTGCACTCCAGCCTAGGCAACAGGGTGAGACTCCATTTCAAAAAAAAAAAAAAAAAAAAAAAAAAAAGAACGCCTTTCAAACACTTACTTTTATTTTTAGTGAATAGCAAATTTAAGTTAGTCATCATTAGTAGATATCACCAATAGTACATAGTGATCAGCAGTATTCAAAATTTTTATTTATTATTATGTGTACAATTATTCAAGTAAATAAGCAAGTTCATATTCACAACAATTATAAAATAAAATACATTTATTCTCTTAGCTGTATTTTCAAAATCAAACTCCTAAAGATTCAAAATCAAAGGCTTAAAGATCATTTACAGCTTTATCACAACTTTGGTTCATGAAATTATGGTTAAATAAGTTTGCTTGATGAAAAACATATAAAATATTTAGACATGTAACACTTCCTTATTTAATAGGTAATCATAATCAAGACAGAGCTAACTAGAAATACAGTGTTGAAGATACATATGTGTGTGTGTGTGTGTGTGTGTGTGTGTAGTCACAATTAGTTATCAGTGATACTACATACTTATCAGCAGTACTCAAAATGTCCTATGTACATACACACATACATTTGTATATATAAAAGGTGAGCTATTACTAGAGACTTTCTTTGAGCTTTAGCAACTATAACATACTTTTTAATTTTACCTTCTTTATGGATATGTTCTCTCTATGCCTTGCAACCACCATAAATAAAGTTATTAGGTTGGTGCATTAATGGCAAAAACCACAATTACTTTTGCATCAACTTAATACAATTTGTGAATCTGATGTTGAAGATACAGAGGTTAAGAAACTAAAATGCCTAAGCTTATACAGCCTGCAAGCAGGCCTTTATTTGAATGCAAGTTTCTTCTCTTTGAAGAAGTCTCCTCTCTTCATACACCTTGCTCTTTGAACTACCAATGCTCTTTACACACTAGACAGACTCTTTGCCTATGAAGGCAATTTAGTCTCTAGTAAGACTAATGACACATGGAAGAATACTATTTTTTCCCATCCCTGACCATGTGGCATTTCCAAATTTATGTCTAAAGGAATGAATGACTCTACAGGACAGAAATAACAAATATATGCGATTTTGGGGTTTTGAGTTACAAAAACTAGCTTAACTGGGATGGGGATGAGGAGTTAGCAGGAAGAAATCAGACCTAATCAGTACATTGATAAGAATAAATAAAGATTTAACTATTCTGTATTTATACCAGGAAATGATGCTTCAGAGAGTAGAGAGCCTAAGAGTGGAGGCCAGTGGTTTCCCCATCAAAGAGCTCTGTGTCTTAGCCACTGATCACTCTGGCCACTAATCCAAATCAACATGAGGGTTCCCAAACCTCCAAGTAGTTGGAAATAAGAGAGAAATGAATCATTTTCCCAATAAAACAGCAATGGAAACATTTGCTGTGATTATTAACAGCAACAGGATTCAAGCCAATGCATAGAGTCTAGGTGGTCAGTGAAAGATGAGTGAAACAGTATCTGCTGGACTGATGACCACAACACATCCGCAGGGCCCTGAAATGAAGCAAGCTGTGAACTGCATCAAACACAATAAAGGTACAAGTACTTCAGGAGTCATGCAAACATTCGAAGAAAGGATTAATTAGTCTAAGAGGGAACCATCTGGTCTACTAAAAAAGTAGCAAAGTTTCATTTGTACTTATAGGATTTCACCTCACAGTTCTACATTGTTTCACCAAACAGAAATATTCAGTAATATTCGTTTAATAGCTATAGTTAGAATAATTTTATTTCCTGTTAATTAAGCACGCTAAAATTAAAAGCATTCCACAGGTATTTCCCATTACCATCATTAACTGCAATAAACTGACAGACTACAACAGTGGGTTGTATAGAATGAATTTTTTTGTATGTTTTTGTTTGCTTTCCCCTTTGTCTTAAAGATTGTGACTAGAATAAATCAAACTGAACATTTGAAGTAATATCTACTTAGGTCCTATTAAATATTATACCATGTATTATTATAATTTACTTTTTATGGTTGTCCATTTTTATCAACTGCCTGTACTTGCTAAATTATAAACTCCATGAAGGCAAAGATCTTTGCCTGCAAAAATAATAACTTTTCTCTAATATTTGTAAAATCAATGAATGAATAAACACATTATATAACACTTATGATTTTACCTAGAAATATTGATTCTGACATTTTAGTTTTCCTGAGACTATAAACCTAAAATTCATTAATCAATAGAATTACATTAATAAAACACTAGATTGCTGAGTAGACCAAAATAATACACTTTGATGATACTCTTATGAAAATAAGGGAATCTGTAAGCCAATGTGTCTAAAATTTCTCCTAAGTTCTGAAACATATTTGGGAAGTGTATTGTTTTGTCTCGTTTTTACATGAGACTATTTTGTTGTTCACTATTAATGGAGATAAAACAGAAAATAACAGTAAGCTAATCAAACGAAACAAAATTTGGTAACAAAAAGCTACACTCTGGTTGTTAGCAAATCTGACATTGTATTTAGAGTTACCCAATTAAAGGTATAGTAGTAAATATTACTCTTGACATTCTACAAATGCTTGTAATTAGAAAGAGACCAAATAAATAATTTAGAACAAGTACTAGGGATATAGCCATGGTGTTAGAATCAAAGTTGAAAGAACTTTTAAAATAAATAGCTGTTATTCTGGCTTTCCTAAACCATTTCATTCTCTCCTGGTAAGATATGAATTTTCCTTGAATAACCATGTCTCTCCTACTTTTATAGGAGGTTTGTGGGGGATTGATGCCAGTTCCAACGGTAGGCATGGGAACCACACCTGGCTTTTCAGAGCAGTACATATGCTTTCGGGCCATGGGAATTGGCCATAGCCCAAATCAGTTCCACGAATGCTATCCTGAGGCTTTTGCTGTATTAACTGGGAAAGAGATATTCTCTTTTGCTGATGGTGGTGTTGGTAAAAGGGAAGCCTGGAGTTCCTGGTAAAGATGGTGTCAATACAGAGGAAAACCCACCTGAGAAAAGGGGATTTGGAAATGAAATATTAATGGTAATATCATATGCTTACTATGTATGGGATCTCACTCTAGGCACCTTATATGTATTAATACAACACCACTCGGAAAAAGATAATATTAGGCACATTAGGCAGTCAAGGATACTGAGGCCCAAGGGCATTAAGTAATGTGTGCATTATAGAGCTCAGCAAATATTTTCTCCACAATGAAAGAGTTAGGATTGAATCTAGATCCTACTACTCATTGTCCCTAATTTTGCATTGGCCACAGATTCCAGTGATAAAGTTTTTGCTGCAGAAACTAGGAAAGAAATACTCTCTTTTGCTGAGCTTGAATTTGGGAAAATGGAAACCTGGAATCATGAGCAATCATGGCTCCAATACAGAAAAAAAGTCGATCTAAAGTATGAGGATTTAGCAAAGATGTTTCTGAGGCTGACATGGAGTAAATACTTCATTTCTGGGATAATTGCTTTATAACTCCTTATTATAAAAATGTAGTTTGATTGTGGCTTATTTTTAGTATTTTATCCCACTTTAACAACTTTATGAGTGGAATTCCAGTTGTGTAAAATTTATATAACAACCCTCATATAGAACCATATAATTCAAGGAAACTCAACCAGAATTAGAATTTGTGCTTTGTAAATTTGTCTTTAGCCATGCATGATGGAGTGGTCAAATCCAATTAAGTACCAATTTGCCAGACCTAAAAGAGCCATAGTCCAGAAGCAGTAAAAGTCTTATACTTAAGTAGATTTGACTTAAATAAGTTGTGTTATTTCTTCTCTGTCATACCACCATCTGTAAACACTTACCTGTGTTGGTTATAGGACAGAACTGCTTATTCACCACCACCCAGATTCTTCTATTAAACTGTAGACCATATTTTTAATCCATTCATGGAAAACCTGTGAAACTACTGAAGGATGGGCCAGCCACAGTTTAAAAATAACTATCAAGCAATTCCACTTGATGGCATCCATGTGGCTACAAACCAAGAATCTGTGTATATGAGTAAACAAGTGAAACTCAGTTTATCTTCAAAAGAGGAGCTGCTCTTGAAAAATAGCGTGACAAGTTTACTGAGCAAAGCAGGAATATGAGCTCCTTCAGATGGTTTAGCAAAGTAAGATCTACATGGTCGTAATTAGTATGGCTTATCAATTGGATCTGTCCTACCTTTTATAGGGTCCAGCAGTACTACCTGACTATCTCCAAAGTTAGGTAATTAATGGAAAATGACCTTAAAACTTTAAGAATTTATGACTGCTTTTCAAACTATTCTGTCTGAGAAGTATTAAATTGCTTCCTAAAGAAAGATAGACGAAACCTACATACAACTCAAGGGATGAGATGACATGAACCACAGGGTCTCAACTTGCCACCCACCTTCTATCCTATGATTTTGCTATGAATACTCAAACTTCTATCTAATATTGCTTTTAGAGCTGCAAAAACCAGTTAAGTGGGAGTAAAGGGTGCCATGGGCTGGATGGATGCTAATCAAACTGTGATCCCAGGACCAGCAGCCGCAGCATCAACTAAGAGCTGGTTAGAAATGCAGGATCTCATACGCAACCCCGGACCTGTATCAGAATCTGCATTTTAGACCCCCGGCTGATTTGTATGAATGTTAAAGTGTAAGAGGAACCCTGAAATATTTCTCTAAGAATGTTACATTTCCTAAAAGTCTATATTTATATACATGTTAGTATCCCAACCTTGATTTTTCTTCCTGCTGATTGTAGCATTTAACAAGAACTAATAGTAATTACAGATAACACTTATTTTGTTGAAGGTTAACTATGTTTGCACTAAATACATTACCTAAATTACCCTATTTAATGTTAAAATTATTGCTTCTGATATGTTATTTACTACATAGGGCAGTGATTCTTAAGCTTGAGCATGCAACAGAATCGCCCAAAGCGTTCTTTAAGACACAGATTGCTTGGCCTACTCCTAGAGTTTCTGATACAATATATTTGGGGTAGGCCCCAATAATTGAATTTCACCAGGTACTCAGGTGATGCTGATTAAAGCCACGACCATAGAGGTATGAAACACAAGTGTCTGTGAATTCAACTACTTGGGTCCATATCTGAGATATAGGCTATTTGTTACTTACACTCTTTTAAAACAATTTACTGGTTAGTTAATCCTAGAAGTTCTGTTTGTATTTCTCTCCTTCCCAGAGTTGTTGCTGATTTTCTCCCTTCTTTCCCAGACCACCTGCAAAAGACAATGCGCTTTTCTCACCTTTCTCCCTCTTTGCTATCCTTAAGTCTCAGACTTTTTTTTGTCTTTGATGTTATCAGTGCTAAGTATCAATGGGTGATAAGTATTTTTTGTATGTAAGAAACATTCCAGAAATCTCATAAGCTCTCAGAACTTACTCTCTTGACTTTAATTCCATGTTTTAATATTGAATTCCTAAAGCCCTTTATGTCCAAATAACTCAGTTATTTCAGATGAAATAATGAATTAAAATTCACATATTCGTAAGAAAAAGAGATTGCTGAAGTACTTTCATCTGCATTACTGCATTTGCTTTTCCCAAGAATCTCATTAAATAAACAAGGCAAATAAGATAATGCCAGAAATAATTAGAAAAGCTAGACACAAAGTAGCAACAGGAAAATAAGTCTTAGTTTAGGAAGATCCTCCTTTCTTAATGTCCATATTTCCAACTTTCCCTCTATGTTCAAATAGGGCCTCATATACATCTCAAAGCTAGGCATTAACTGCCAGATGGCTCCTAGGTTATATATGTATGTATTTATAAAACATGAATAGTTTTGCTTTATTTATATAAACATTCTTCAGTGAGAAAGAGCTGTATTCATACTAGATTTTACCTAAAGAAACAAAGTGTTAGATGCTTGGGTTAACACCCACATGGATATAAAAATAGGCCAAAAAACCCTTCAGATCAACAATTAATAGTGGGAATGCATACCTACTTTTTTCTCCCCTAGGTTTTGAATAGAAGTTATTTACATAGAAGGCATACCCACTGCAATGAGCACTAAAAAGAAGATAAATATTTCTAATCTCTTCCTTCAGGCTACTAACTCAATTAGTCCACTAACGTTAAATTACAGAAGAATAAGGATAGTAGTTAAGATATCTTATCTAGCTTGTCATCAACTCATATATGTCTTAAAATATATTTAATATTCTAAGAGAAGCATCCAGACTAAAATTTAAACATATATATATAATTAGTAGAAGCTTTAGCTTAATCTGATGTATATTCATGTGAAAATGCAGACCCATATAATCATGTGTAGAGTGCATATAAGGGTGGGTTCCTCAGGAGATTATTTAAGGGAACATCGAGCTTCCTGGGAAAATTTATGTCATAACGGACTAGAGAGTAAATCATTCTGGGAGTGTTGAAAAGAAAGGATGATTCTCAGATTGGCCCAAGACCCAGCCCACATGGACTTCTATCTAGAGAGAGAAGCTGTGAATTACGAAATAAAATAAAATCTTCTTTTTTAGATTCACTAGTGCAATGTGTTCAACATGAACATGATTTGTCTCAACTCTGGATGTGTCTTCCCTTATGCCATGGAGAATACTGGAAAGGACATCACACATCATTTCTACTTCTGATAGTTTCATGGGGCAGGGGCACCCCTGGAGTGCATTGGGGCTGGGGAAGGAACATCACAGACACATTTGGATATGCTGGCTGACGGTGGTAGCACTATGCTGGCAGCTAAACAAGACTTACCTGTAATGAATCAAGAATCAGAGAAAGAGAGAAAGAAAATGTCTAATGTCAGGTGGAAACCAAGAGTATTATGTTATTAAATACCCACAAGAAAGACAGCTTTTGGCCTCTTTCAGACATTGTGGGTTGAGGAGGTGAATAATTAGAGTTTGAATAGAGATTGCAATTCCTACAGTTGATGGATTATGTGTACATTGAAGTTCCAAATTCACTCAATTTAAATTTCAATGCATGCATTATTTAGGGTTCTCCAGACAAACAAACCAACAAGGTCTGCGTGTGACTAAAGGCAAGTCAGCTGGCAGAATTCCTTCTTGCTTGAGGAAAGTCAGTGTTTGCTCTATTAAGGACTTCAACTGATTGGCTGGGGCCCACCCGAATTATGAGTAAAACGTGTTTTACTCAAAGTCCAGCGATGGAAATGTTAATCTCTTCCAATAAACACCTTTACAGAAACATCCAGAATAATATTTGACCAAATATCTGGGTGTCATGGCATAAAATTAACCACCGTGAGCCCTTTAACCACAAGGGCTAGAAGAAAATTCAATTTACCTCACTCAGTAACTTTTTAAACTTTTATTTTAGGTTTAGGGGTACATGTGCAGGTTATATAGGTAAACTGGGCAACATAGGAGTTTCTTGTACAGGTTATTTAATCACTCAGGCACTAAGCCTAGTACTCAGTAGTAATTTTTTTCTGTTCCTCTCTCTCCTTCCACCCTCCACCTTCAAGTAGGGTTCAGGGTTTGTTGTTCCCCTCTTTGCGTCTGTGTGTTCTCATCATTTAGCTCCCACTTCTAAGTGAGAACACAGGTTTTTGGTTTTCTGTTCCTGCATTAGTATGCTATGAATGATGACCTCCAGCTCCACCCATGTTCTTGCAAATGATATGATCTCGTTCTTTTTTATGGCTGCATAGTAATTTAAACAATTGCATTGGGTAATACTTTCAGACAAATGCTTAGTATTCCCTATCCTCTGCTCTCTTTTAAAAGAGCAACAACAACTGCATGGGAGGGTGAGTACTTGCTTGACCTCATACCACTTAGGAAAATGACGGTATCTGTATTAGTCTCCTATCATTGCTAGAGCAAATTACTACAAATTTGTTGGCTTAAGACAAAACAAATTTATCATACAGTTCTGAGGTCAGAAGTCTGAAATGGATTCTATGGGGTGAAATCAAGGTGTTGGAAGGTCTGTGTTCCTTCTGAGGGCTGTAAGGGAAGAATCTGTTTCCTTGCCTCTTTCAGCTTCTAGAAGCCACCTGCATTCCTTGATCCCTTCCTCCATCTCCTAAGTGCGTCGTCACTCTAACCTCTGCTTCCACAGTAACATCTCCTTTCTCTCTCTGACCTTCCTATCTTCCTCATAAAATGACTCTTGTGATTCCATTTTTCCTACCCAGATAATGCAGGATAACCTCTTCATCTCAAGACCATGAATTTGATCACGTATGTGGAGTTCCTTTGGCCAAGTTAGGCAACATATTCACAGGTCTCAGGGATTAGGATGTATACATCTTTTGGGGAGTATTATTTGGTCTACCACAATATCCTTCTACTTATAAGGGTCCCTGTACTATACTCTAAACCCATTGGCCACACTTACAACCAGGGACGTGGTGAAATCTTGCACTGGTTTTCAACAACCAATTGTGTGTACCTCTTATCTACTCACTCTTCCCTGATGACACATTGGTAGCTTAAAATGTGCCATGGTGAAAAATAGGGAGATGTTACAAACCATGGCTTTTATTCTCAGGAGAGCTGATGGTTAAAACTGACCAATGTACTACTGCATACAACCATTTTCTACATGGTTATTGGGCTCCCTTCCTGACCTCTGCTGTACAAATCTGTGACTGGTGAACTCATATTCAGTTTTCTTGCTTTGGGAATGGTCCAACAGAGAATGAGCAACCTCCTGTCTGCTGATGGTGCCCCACTTCTGCCCTCTTAGGTACTCTATAGTTCCCCTGAGGTCCAATTAGGACTCCTATCACCTGCTGGGCTGAGTGGTCTCACCAGTGGCCATTGTCCACAGAGCCAGATCCTCCCTGATGCTGTAACATCATCAGGCAAACTCTGTAGTTTGTGCAATCATGGGCACAAGTTCCTGCATTCACAATGACCCCGTGCCTGTTTTAATTCTGTTTGTCACCATGAAATTCTTCTTTTTTTTTTTTTTTTTTTGAGACAGAGTCTCTCTGTCACCCAGGCTGGAGTGCAGTGGCACGGTCTCGGATCACTGCAAACTCCCCCTCCTGGGTCCAAGCAATTCTTGTGTCTCAGCCTCCTGAGTAGCTGGGATTAAAGGCACCCACCACTATACCCTGATGATTTTTGTATTTTTAGTAGAGATGGCATTTCACCATGTTGGTCAGGCTGGTCTTGAACTCCTGACCTCAAGTGATCCACCCACCTCGGCCTCCCAAAGTGCTGGCATTAATCCTGAAATTCTTAACAGATTTTTAGCAACGGACTCTGCATTTTTCATTTTGTAGTGGGCCCTACAAATTGTGTGGCTGGTCTCATAGTCAGCTTCCTCAGCCATATTTTAACAGAAACTTCTGGATACCTTTTACTCCCACACCATGTGGGAGACAGCAGAGCTGCAGATTAACATTTAAACATGCTAATCATGGTAGCACTCTCTCCCTCTGTTAGTTCACATGTTCCCATTTAGATAACTCATCACCTTTAGTTTTAGCATCCAGTCCTTTAGCTTACTTTCCATTTCATTTTCTTGTATCCCAAAGGGTTTTTGGTATATGGAATAAGCCTTATGTGAATTGGGAGTAAGGATCATCTCTGGCCTCCTAATTCTGGTCCTCGGGAATATACTGGCTGATATCCACTGGGGTGTGGTTGTTTGGGTGCCCAGCTAAGGGCATTCTGCCCTGTTTATTGTTGAAGGCCTGCCACTACAATTGAAGCTCATTTCATTTCCAGCTCTATCAGATAATAGGATATTTTCCTGGCTAACCTCATCCTGTATTGATTCATGTTGATGCTGCAAACTACCCTGAGTCTCTGCTACATCATTAAGTCAAACCCATGTCTAGAAGGTGGGGTTTTCTTGCCTCTTACCTTCCCAGGATCCAGAGTAGGACCAACATTTCTCAACTCAGCTACAGAGGGCTTCACCACGTAAGAAAACAGAAGAAAATCTGAATTCCTCCTCTCTGCCAGAAGGCAACTGAGGAATACTCTAGAGTGCAAATTAAGCTCTGTCTGATCTCTTTGCTTTGCACAAATTCACCATACAAAGTGGAATAGTCCTGGAGTCCTAAATGAGGTATGAGCCATAAAGCTCCTTCAAGCCTTGGCATCTCTATGAATCTCTTTAATGTACATACCTTGCCTCTCTGGGGCTTCATGTCTTACTTCTGGTTTTCTCCTATTCTGCCCACCTCCTTTTAATTTTTAACATCTTCCCAAATCACATGTGATAAACAAGTCTCTGGCATTGCTCATAAGAGTAAGTAATGCAGGAATACTTCAGATAACTTTATTCTGTTTTAAATTTTAAAATCTTTTAACTATTGGATTCCTAATAACACCACCTCTCCACAGAAAACAGGAAACATTCATCTTCCATGATATCAAAAGGAGCATGATATTATACAAATTGATTGTAGTTGAACCTGAAAGAAATTGATATACAAGATTTGGTGGTTGACTACTATATTAAGTGAATTAAGGCAGCCATTGAACAGTGTAAGGGAGAACAGGCAGATTTTTAAACATCATTGTATAATTGATCTTATGTGAAGGACAATGACAATATTATTATTGACAGAATTGCAACTTCTTAATTGCCCTGATTTGATCATTACACATTGTATGAATATATAAAAATATCACGTGTACCCCGTAAATATCTATAATTATTGTGTATCAATAAAAATAAATAAAAAGATCTATGTGAGAGAAGTACAGAAAAACATTATTGATTGCTGTGGTAAAGAAATTATTTCAGAATCAGTCATATGGGATGTGGGGTCTCCGCTTTGATTTTTTTTCCATCAGAAATGAAATGAATTAAAATAGTCCCTGATGCTTGTATTAGTGAGAATATTATATACTCTTAAGATTTTTTTCTGGAACTAAAGAGATTTCTTAAGGAAATTCTATATGAAGGGAAGGAAAATATTTTATGGCAGTAGGAATAAAAACAGAATAGCAAGAATTACAAACACTGGGACACTTTTGTTAGTGATTAGGCAAAAGGGGTCCTTGACTAGTAAATAAAATGAGACTGACAGGATTATGATCATAAATTACTATCTACTGAGCACACATAACACATATTAGCTTATTCTGACACTTTCCTGATTGTCTCAAATGTAAGAACTCCTGTTAAAATAGTTAATAAAGAGAACATGTCCCTACTTTTATAATATTGTAATTTTTCTGCCATAAAAATTGGATTTTGGTAGAAGAATTATGTATGACTCTCCAAAACCTTATATTGTCTTCATTAAAAAACAATGGAGAGCAGTCACTTCTCAATTTTTGTTAAAATAAGGATAGAAGAGTTTGTTGTTAAAAGTTTTTAATTTGGGTCTCATTTACAGTTAATAACATGTAAATTACACATAAGGAAAGTTAAGAGTATTCAAAATAGTATTCAGATACCCCAGGGTAAAAATCAGTTTATCAAGGACTTTGAATTTTAGATGGAGGATGAAATGAAAAGAAAAATATGAAAGACAGCTTGTCCCAGTAACTCCCATGTATGACATCCTAGAGTAGGGATCCTAACACATATGTGACTTGTATGGGAAAAGAATAAAGGAGACATAATAGAATACTTGGCATTAACACATTCCTTAATAATTGTGCAATGAGTACTTATCAGGTTAAAAATATAAATGTACTTCTAGGAAAAAAATTACCACCATATGAAGACACAATCCTCAAGTGAAGGTGTAACAAGAAACAAGAAAAACACATAAAATATTGCTGAAAGGAAGTAATTTGGAATAAAGTATACATACTCGGACACTCTTTTACAATGAAGTCCTAAAACTTGATGGTCAGAATGCCAAGCAAAAGAGCAAGACCAGATGCAAACTGTGGTGTACACAGCCCCCCTGCCCCTGCACAGATGGATTACATGCTCTTCAAATTAACTGCAATGCTCAGGATTGATTCACAACCACCAGAGCTAGGTTTAGAGAGAGAGAGAACGCTACTTGCTTTCATGACTGGTAGATCGATGACAGTTCCTAAAACATCGCTGAAAATATAACAAGAAGGAATCACTTTGATGAGTCTCTTGGGCTGGCAATTAGTTTTCCCCCAGTACATGTTAGAATACAAACAGATGGTCATGAAATGCCTCCATAGCAGACTTTTCCTTGCCGACTGAGGTATGTAAACTGAGCCACAGCCATCTCTTTCCTCTTCCTCACCCTTTTTCCCTTACTGACTTTCTCTATTTCTAACTAAATGTTACTGTAGACTCCCATTTAAAGGACCGAACGCATACCAGGGAATCTGAATTTTCATGAAGTACCCAAGGTGATTCTGAATCAGGGATTTTAAAGACCAAAAGTCAGAGAAACACTCTACTTCTCAACACCTGATTTTGCTTTACCCACTTCATTTAAACAGCTTCTCAAAGATAATCTATCATTTTACAAGTTCCAGATCTCCCACAGAGTTCGCCTATTTTAACCTCTCTGAAAAAACTCTTCAGCACAAGGTAGACAACCACTTCCTCTTTTTCTGAAGCTCTCTCCTCCTTTGGCTTCTGAATCAAGGAGCAATCCAAGGTAGCCTCCAGGCCTGACAGCTATTGTAACATCATGAATATGCGTGTGGACTCTGGAACCAGCTTGCCAGGCTCAGGGACTGGCCCTACCTCTTTCCAGTTACATGACCTTTGGCAAATTTCTTTACTTTCCTTTGTATTAGTTTATGGTCTACATAATGTATACTAATGACTGTATCTAAATCATAAAATAAGAGAATCACATTAATTATACACAGAATTTTTAGAATAAAATCTAGAACAATGTAAATGCATGAAAAATGTTACTCATCATTTATATTTTTGATACCTTTATTATCTGCTTAGCAGACCCGTTGTCTTCCTCCTATAAGACAGGAATTAAATTTTAAGGTTGTTTCCCCTTTTCTTCTTTCTTTTTGTTGTTTTTTTTAATAACACCCCCAGATGTAGCTATTCTACCAGTGAGAATAAGATCTAGGTCAGAATTCTTATTCCTTACAGGAAGTGTTTATTAAGTATTTGTTAAGGAAATTAAATATTCTTGCATTAATTCGGCTTTTATTACTCTCCATTTAAAACTACAGTTTTTTAACCTCTTATGCATTGATTAGTTCACATATTCTCTAACTTTTTATACTTCTACTGAGTCACTGAAATAAAATCTTGAAGTAAAAATCACACTTTTTCTCAAGTAAACTATTGAATTGAAATTTATGTACACATATTCATTCCTCTCAGGGTTGGAAAATTGGAAACGAGTAGAAAATATGACTTGTTCATATCTTTGATTTCAACACTGTACCTGATACAAGTAGTTGTAAACAGATAATACATATATGGTCCAGCTTTTATTTTTGTACCTGCACACAAAGTGCCAACCTTAACTGGAATAGAGTCTAGATGTCCTTTACAAAAGTTCCCTGGGAATAACTCTAATCTCACGTATTTTTAAATTAGTGAGTAAGCAAAGTCAGCTTTACAAGCGATTCCAGATGTAAGATGAAAGAGGGAATTACAGCGCACATTACAAAGCCAACAAATTCATAGCAGATGTGTCTGTTCCCTCTATCCTCTCCTATCCTTGATCTCATCAGGACATTCACTTTCTGACATCTCCGGTTTATAACCCCCAGATTCATGGGTTCTTTATTTTCACTATTAGGCTGGGCAGGTGAGTTATATCTGAGTTTCTAACTGCACACTAGCATAAGTAAATTCATCACAATTTCCATTAAACAATGCATACCACCTTTAAGTCTACTTCAGAGTAATCTTAGAGATATTCTGAAGTTCTATTGGAAACCAGAGTTATTGGGCGCTTTTTCCCTGACTTTATAGGTTTCCTTACTTGTGTTTAGGTCCAGTGTTTTATCTCATTTTTATCCCATTTCTTTTACTCTTCCAGAAATCCCTCACTATTTTATTCTTAACAAGTTCACAGTGCTGCTATACATCTATTTGCTTTTATTTTCAAGTTTCTTACAAAATACTATCGCAATTTTGGAAGCAAGGAAAGAGAAGACATGTATCTGGGCTGCTATTTTTGAAAATTACTTTCTGATCTCTCCTTGAAAAACTCAAAATTAATATTTAAGGAAACTATTTAGTGAATTGAATCTGTAATACCATCTTACACACACACACATACACACACACACACATTCATGCCATTGCTTAGTGTTTCTGAGAAACAAACAAAAAACACGGTGGTTAAGAGAAGGAGTGCCAGGCCTGGTGTAGATCTATAGAAACTAGAAGCCAGTTTCAAAAGGGTGGGCCTCAGAATGCAAAATAACTTGTTAAGGGCGTAAATCAGGAAAGAAAAATTCATGCATACAAGAATCTCACCTTTATTACTACTAGCTCCATTACCTTGGGAAAATTACTTCTAGGGGAAATGTAAAGGAAGGAAAACAAAAGTTAAAAAGCTTATACTTTCAAACCTAGAAAAGCAGAGGAGTGATTACTTTCCTAAGATTATAGATAGGAAACACAGGGACTGGAAGATGTTGTCGGTGGACGTGATTAGTAACTGAAAGAGGTAAAAGATGAAGAAACAAGGTAGCTCTATGTGTACTAAACAGATTTGAAGTTCACACATTAAAAAAAATTCTGCACTCTCATTTCATACTACCAGTGCTGTAAGCTGCCAATACCTTCAAGTTCTTCAAACTTCCCTAAACACACTCACTCCCACGCACATACATGCAGAGAAGCACAAATGAAAATCTCCTCTATCTCAAATAGATTATATTTCCAAGCTAAACGTTATAAATTTAATTCATTCTCTTTTCTTTTTTGGCTTCACTTAATTTTCACTTCATCTAGCTCTTCAAAACAATGGTCATGAAAAACTAGAGTATACTTCATCTTGGACAGAGTAACCTATTGGATGGATTCCAGACAGGAGTCGGTCTGGATTATCAGGCTCAGGTTGTAAAACCTCATCATTGTCCTAGTACACAGGGTTTCTCAGGGACAGAGATTGCACAAAGAAATCTCTGTGTTGCAAAAGACAGTGCCCTTCAATGGAATTCATATTAAGTCCAGGTAAAACAAATAGCCAGTGGCTGGAACTTTAAATAACTGACATGTTTTCTTTTTAGGGTGAAAAAAATTGGTAACAAAAGCCAGAAACATGATCCAAATTTGAACACAGTGAAATTAGCATTTTTCACTTTCTTCTACATTTTTATCCTTCAATGATAAAAAAGGAATTTACTTCAGTCAAACAAGAATACAGTGTCTTATTATATATTTTTGAACAATTTAATATCTGCATTTTTTCATGGCCTCCCCTCGGCTGAACTTCTGAAGGATATGGTCGGTAAGAGAAAAGTATGAGGAAAGCGCCACATTTCAATATATCATATGCTGATATGGTTTGGTTGTGTCCCCAGCCAAAATCTCATCTTGAATTGTAATCCCCATAATCTTTACAATCCCCACGTGTCAAAGGAGAGACCATGTGGGGGTAATTGAATCATGGGGCCAGTTTTCCCCATGCTGTTCTTGTGATGTTCATTCTCCTTCCTGCCACCTTGTGAAGAAGGTGCCTTGCTTCTCCTTTGTTTTCCACCATGATTGTAAGCTTCCTGAGGCCTCCCCAGCCATGTGGAACTGTGAGTGAAATCTTTTTCTTTTATAAATCACCCAGTCTTGGCCAGTTCTGTATAGCAGTATGAAAATGGACTAATACATATACTGATATAGATAAGGTATCATTAAGAAAGAAGTTACCATTATGAAATAAAATTATGCCAAAAGAGATCACTGTGAAGCCACAAATGTTCTAGCAAGTTCTAATTTGTCTACTGACAGTCAACAAAAGCACAAATCGTCCTTGGAGATCAAAAGGTGAGACAAATTTATATATAAATGATAAATATATACATAAAATCAAGGCCTGAAGTACGATAAAAATCTATGAAGCTATTTTATTTTCATTAACTATCAATGTTGCAGGAGAAGAAAATCTTGTAAATTGAAAATCTTCTGACACTTTAAATATCTTCTGGGGCAATCAATGGAAAGAAAAAAGAATAGATCAGTGAGAACTAGAAATTAAAATTCTATTTAGCTTTTCTGTTAAATGAAAGAAAATTTAATGCTAGCAGCAAAGATAAGGGCAGCAATACTCTGGATTTATGTGCTACAAAACAATGAACACCAAAAGACTCTAGAATACTTGCAGATAAAGCTGAATTATTTGATAGCAGTTTCAGCCCAATAAAAATAGGAAACCAGGCTTAATAAATTAACCCAAATATGACAAAGATAGTGTGAATAAAATAAAGCTGACACGGTAGGTCAACTTGTTACTCAATCCTTCAACAAGCATTAACAACAGCTTAAACTATGTTGAGCACATGAAACTGAATTAATTTGCCATAGAAGGTTTAAACATCCTAAAAGTTATGCCCCTTGTAATATGTCTTTCAAAATGCTGCTATGAATCAAAGAACCATTCTTAATCTAATCTTCAAATTTCTGTTCTTAGACAAAATCCCTTATGATACTTTAATACTTCATTCTATACCTCATAATGTTAAAGCTTTTCCATTATAGAATATATCACATAATTAGAAAACAAAATGGCAAATATGAGTAAAATCTTAATGCTTACCTAGAAATCTCAACTCCACTACTAATTTCCTATGGTAATTAAAAAATATATATCATAAAATGTAGTGATATACAAACATTGTTATAATGCTTGTAAAACTGTACAAACAATATTTCTTATTCATACTTGCATTCTTGATGAATTGTGACAAAAATTAGAAGTAAATATTTTTATAGAATGTTGGGGACTTTTAATTTACATTAATACATTTGTATGCAGTATATATTAAACCATTTTATAACAGCAGAAAAATAATCTT
This sequence comes from Homo sapiens, assembly GCF_000001405.40. Classification (NCBI taxonomy): domain Eukaryota; kingdom Metazoa; phylum Chordata; class Mammalia; order Primates; family Hominidae; genus Homo; species Homo sapiens. The sequence goes on from NC_000003.12 coordinate 22,161,419, forward strand.
TATTTGTAAAGCTCAATTGCATCATAAATATAAAATCAAAGGCCTTTTTAAAAGAGGAACTTAGTCATGCAGTCTGTATTGTTTCCTAGATCTATAATATTTATGAGAGGGTGAATCATGAGATCTCTGGAATATGGAAAAGTCAACACATTTAGTCAACTTCTAATATAGAATTCCTTTCTGCCACTTCTTTATTCACATCTTCAAAAAAGTATGCTAACAGAAAAAGATACATTTCTGGCATGATAGAGAATATATAGTGATAAATTATCAAATGATCTATTTACATGACTATTTTATTCGGCACAAAATATTCTCAGCAGTTAGAGTTGTTGATGAAAATTTAAGGAAAACATCAGCTTTGCTGTAATAATATAAGTGATTTAAGAATGACATAAACTCAATAACATAAGAAAATACCCAAATGTATGGTATAATTTTGTTGACAGTAGAATATAAGTTTGCCAGGGAGATTAATGAGTTGTCAATAATGTAGACCTGGGCAGTTCTGAAGACAAACAGCTTTACTGGCAAGTCTGTTAGGTTCTTTGATCCTTGGCTATGTTATTTTCAAAACAGAGGTAATAAGACTTTGTAAGACTGTTGATTGGGATTCAACAAATGATGTATATGAAGTACTTGGAACAGTTGATGCTAGTTCCCTTCTCATTTCTTTTGCATTTTTGATGGCAAATCTTAACTCACAGGTATCAAATGGAAAATAAGAGTTAAGGAAAGTATTAAATCGTGTTGCATTTGCACAATAAAACACATTGTGCATATTTCTTACTGAGACTTTGAAGGAAACCAGAATATTTTACCCCAAAATATATTTCTTTGGCATATTTTAAGATGCTATTCAGAGGGGCTACAGACTACAGGAACAGCTTTGAAAAGCTGTCTTTTTGTGGGAGGGTTTACATCTGTATAGAAAATCTACATTAGTAAAGTAAACAGCAGATGCAAACAGGCTTTCTCTGAAGCCCCCCTTATCTGCCTTACCCAAAACTAAGATTAACTCAAAGAAAAAAAGAGACTAAAATCTAACCATTTTGAAGTTCTAACAGAGACATTTTAACACAGGCCACCATCTATACTTTCTGAGGGCAGCTCTGAGTTTACTTGAGAGATTTTTTATAGGCATAACAAGACAGCCCTACCTGCCATGCTTTCCTTCCCTCACTGTCCTATTACCTGGGACTCCACCCCCCTTGCACTACGCAGTAGGCAGCCATTCTTTCTATAACCTCAGGATAAGGTATAAACTTCAACCATTTGGCCTCTCCTTTGAGCCTCATATTTTGTATGCCTCCCAGGCTTATGCATGTTAATACATTTGTATATCTTTTAATCTGTTAATTGACCTCTCTATGGTCAATTGATGTCAACAGAATCAGAGATGAACCTTCAGAGAGAGAGGACAATTCTCCTTAACAACTTTAAAAATCATTGGTAGTGTCTTATTTGGATTCCCAAGAAGCAGAGTCTAAGATGATTTTGTGTGCAAGTAGTGGGCTGGAGATCTATACCTGTGAAGCGTAAGAAAAGCAGGACATAGTAGAGAGTGAGGTTAGCCTGTGATAGAATTGAAACAGAGACATCAGCAAATCTGAAGCTGGAATGGACTTTCAGAGATGTCTACCCACTTTTGAGGCAAGGAGCTGGGACTTTGTACCTCAGCATTGACTAGCCATTGGACACAGGCTGCTATAAGAGAAGGAACGAGCTCAGAGGAGGTAGTTCCCATGAGCTGAAGGCAATGCTTGTGGAGGAATTTAGCAGGCAAAATTCCTGACTGAGCTGGAGGGACTTTAGAGATTCTTGAATCACACAGATTCTTGAATCAATGAATTCTAGCAGAGCATGAATTCAGGTGGTATACATGCATTCTATATACCTTTATTTCTGCATAACGTACATCGCCGTCAGAAACCGAAGTTAGTCTTAACTGCAGGAACAATAGCCCCCTAATTAATTTATATACATCAGATAGCTTTTCACTGTGATCTTCAGAAGATCATTTTCCTTAATAAGTGAGATGACACGTAAATATGTAAAACATATTTTTCTCAGAAATGTGAAAAACATTTTAGATATGATAATGCTCTTGCTTATTCAAGTTTTTTTTGTAGTATATAATAGACTATGCCTCAAGGCATATAATCACACAATATTCAAATATCAAATAATGATATTTTACCTGTTAGGCAATCCTTAAATGACTGCTAAAAATTAATCCCATATGCATTATTTTATTTGCATCCTGAAAATACTAAAGTACCTGTTTGGATAAATTTAGGTAAAAATCTCTATTGTTATTTCTTTCTTGACATACCATATTTAATTATTTTCCATTTGAAATCTAAATTGTGGTGAAAAGTTTGTGAAGATGAAAGTTCAAAGCAATCATTTTGCAATTGTGCATGTTTAAGGAGAAGAATGAAAGAATTCCCATATCTTTTTCTAAATAACCTAAAAAGGATGATGTGCTTACTAAGAATTTACAGGATCTATTATTTGTACAAATCAACATTTTTAGCTAGGTTTCTGTGTAGGTAAACAAATGACCACTAATAACTGTGTAAGGCTTGTAACTGGGTTCATTTCTTATTCCCAATAAGCCTGCAAAGGCACATTTTAATAGTGGGGATATGGGGGATAGGTAAAAGAAATAATATGTTTCTATATTAAGGTAAAGCACTAATTCGCTTGTGAAATTTATGGCATATAACTAGGCCCACCTATAGTTATAAGTGAGCACTCCTTTTTACACACTATAGGTAATACAAAAGGAGCACTTTTTTTTTTTTTTTTTTTTTTTTTTTTTTTGAGACGGGGTCTCACTCTGTTGCCAGGTTGTAGTACAATGGTGCTATCTCGGCTCACTGCAACCTCTGCCTCCCGGGTTCAAGTAATTCTCCTGCCTCAGCCTCCAGAGTAGCTGGGACTACAGGCATGCGCCACCACGTCTAGCTAATTTTTGTATTTTTAGTAGAGACGGGGTTTCACCATGTTTGCCAGGATGGTCTCGATCTCTTGACCTCGTGATCTGGCCCCTGTGATCTCCCAAAGTGCTAGGATTACAGGCATGAGCCACCATACCCGGCCAAAAGGAACACTTTTTAAAGGGAATTGAGAAAGAAAAAAGGGCAGAGGGCTAGGTTATCATCTACAATTTGCCCAAAGGGACTTTTTTTTTTTTTTTGAGTGAAACCACTTATAGTTTTTCTTCCTGGAAAAAGTCATCTCAAGTGGATAAATTGTTTCCCCTCTGTTGTATAATGCTTTAATTACAACACCCTTTCACCTGATAATCATCAGAAAAGTATGATATAGCCATAGGACCTCATGTGGCTGTGTTATGGGAAACAAAGTGTCCGGATAATTTTTATTTAAAAGCAGGATAGTTCGATGCTAAAAAAGGAATGAGCTATCAAGCCATAAAAAGACACAGAGAAAAGTTACATGCATATTACTAAGTGAAAGAAGCCAATATAAAAAGGCTACATAGTATGTAATTCAAACTTTATGATATTCTGAAAAAGTCAAAACCATGGGGACCATAAAAAGATCAGTGGTTATGAGGGAGGGAAAGATGAATAGGCAGAGCACAGAGGACTTTTAGGGCAGCAAAACTATTCTGTATGATGTTGTGATGTTGGATACATGTCATTACACATTTTGTAAACCCACAGAATGTACAACACCAATGGTAAACACTCATGTAAACTATAGACTTTGGGTGATAGTGATGTGTTGATGTAGGTTAATCAGTTGTAACAAATGTAGCACTGTTGTGCATGGTGTTGATAGTGCGGAAGGCTGTGTGTGAAGGAGGGGATATATGGGAACTTTACTTTCCACTCAGTTATGCTTGAACACGAAACTATTCTTTAAAAATAGTCTATTAAGAAAAAAAGCTGAGTAGTTTGGTCTTTGTCAAGCACCGGTCTGATGGCTGTGGAAAGATGACAGTTTACTATGCTAGGAATCTTATGGGAGCTGATCAGTTGCAAAATAATGTGTGGCCTGGCAGGGGGCTGGATAAGGCAAAAAATACTCAGCAAAATCATGTGGGAAAATATTTTTATTTGTATTCCCACTTACAAATACCTACTGATGGCAGTTGGCAGTATTTAAGAAACTCTTTATCCTACTAAATGTTAGGGTTTGAAATAAATTAGGTTTGCTTTCATAACTCTGAGATTTAGTACAGGAATATAGCATTTCTCCTAATGCTTAAGAAGTTGATTAAATCTTTACACCATTATTTCCATCTAGTTTCCAGCAAATATTACTGGTCTTTCTTAGGAGGAGACCCCAGAACTCAGCTTTATTGAAATTTGAACCACACTGAATTCTTGGCAACTCTTGCCTCAACACAACCCAATCCCACAGGCCAGGGTCCTTAGAAACTTAAATTAACTATTAAGGATTACTACAGAATTTTCTGACCTACTTCAAGTATCATCACTTTCTATTGATTCCTGCTCTTACATTCATACACCAGATCAAATATCTTTGAAAACAGATGGAGCCCAGATTAAGGCCAAATTCATCATACCCTCTCAGATAATGTGATTGACACTTTTGGCTCCAGGATCTCCCCTAATTCCTAGTCACCAAGACTTGGCCCTGATCCTACCATTCTTGACTTTTCTCATCCACATGTCCACCATCCTCTGAAGTATAATTTCAGACCAAACCAATATGACCTAAGATGACCAAGTATTCCCAGTAACCATGGTTGTTTTTCGTGGCCTACATCATGTTACTAATATTAGTAATGAGAGGTCACTGAAAATGTTCTTACTAACATGACGATACTTAAAACGTCTTGGGGAAAAAATCTGAATAGGAAATCCAGCAACAAATATTTTGTTGAATAGTATATTAATCAAAGAATTTGAGGAATATATTAAAATTTTAATTTTTAAATGTTCTCCTAAATGATTTCTCTGTTTGAATGAAGAAAGGCATAGTTTGTACAGAATATTCACTTTGGGAAACAGCCTTTCAAAGTACAGATACTTAAGTGAGTAAGACCAGGGTTTCATTGCAAGTTCAACTATTTAATAGCTGTGTGACCTTCAGCATAGTATTAACTGATGTTATCCTCAATGTCCACATCTATAAAAGGAATATAACAAGATCACTTTGGTTGGTTATGAGGAAAAATTGAATAATAAAATGTATATAAAGCCTTTAATAAAGTGCTAACCTCTAACTGTACTGATATGATTGTTTAAAAATACTGAACTTGAGTAAACTCATACCTACTATCGTGGTTTGAAAATCTTTGGCTATTCTAAATTATGCTTGGGACTAACTCTGATTTGGGTTTCTAAACAAGATGTATCTTTTGTTCTAGTTTTGTTCTATAATGTTGTTTATTACTTCTCCAAAAGAGGTTTGTGACTATCAAGATAGGTGAAGTATAACGCCAAAGCTTATGCTATCATAACCAATACAAACTTAAAGAAAACAACTTGGAATTGAATCGTGCTGTACTTGAGGTGGTTTCACCTAGAAGTTAACAATAAGGAGTAGATTTTTCTTAAGAAGTCTAAGTAGAGACTGAAATATACATTTTAAAATCATGACTTACTTTGCTAGTGATAGCGGTAGGAAGCAGACAAATGCCTAGGCAGATAGGGGCAGGCCCCTGGTGAAACCCCACCTCCAAGCCAAAGACAGCTTAAAGCCTGAAAGCCAAGCTACAAGTCAAATCCATGGACTGGACTGAGAATCTGTCTTCCCATCTGGTGTGCTTTCCTCTGATTGATCCCCACCCTTTACCTATTTTACAAATACCAACCCTTTGCTAATTGGTTTTCTACACTTCTATGCCCACCTTTGAGTGATGCCTTTGCTTTAGCCTTTCCTTGCACACTCACAAATATATCAGCATGTACTCTCCTATTCTGAGCCCATAAAAGCCCTAGACTCAGCCATACTGGGGGAGAAACTACCCAACTGTGGGGGTGGAGGACCACCCACGCATCCCCTCTCCACTGAGAGGTGTTCCATTGCTCAATAAATTATTCTCTACCCTTCTCACTCTTCGTTTGTCAGCATATCCTCATTCTTCTTAGACATGTGACAAGGGCTCAGGACCCACCAATCATGGGTACAGAGAAGGCTGTAACATTGTGGCCCTCTGCCCTCTAATAAGCAGAGGGCAGCCAGCCCACATGACAGAAACAGCAGTGGGGCAGAGCCAGCCCCAAAGCCGTGGGCCGAGGCAGAGCAAGGACATTGCTGGCCAGGTGTTTCTGGCTGGCAAAAGTGATCAAGAAATGTCCTGTGTCACTAGGTTTATCTTATGCCTATAGAATTTAATAGTTCTCAATTACTTTCTGACCACAATTTTTGTTTCTTATATCTCTTTGACAAATAACATCTATAATTAACTAAACGTCATACATTTGAAAGAAATAAAAAATCCTTTCCAATAGAATACTACAGTTCATTCATACTAAAATCAAATAAATGAAAACCACATAAAGCAATGCAGAAGCAATTTCTACTTTAAGAATGTACTTTTATTTTTCTTCTCATCATTTGGCCACCTTGAAGCAAACTACAAAATTATATTAAAAATCTTTATGATGTCAAATATAGGAAGAGATTGACATTCATTCACATTTTTAAATGTCAGTATAATTTAGATGAATTATATTTATCAAACATGAAACATCTGATCACAATATAATATTGTAACTCAAGTTGCAGTGAGTTAGCTCTCTAAAGTCTCCTCTGTACGGGCCCACCCTCCTCTCTTCATGTCTCTATATTTTCTAATAACTTTCCATTTCTTCCCAAAGATATTTTTGTGCTATTTGAAAAATCTATTCACTCATAAATTCAACACATACTTTTAAAAAGTAGTCTAAAGTTATTAAATAAACCATAAATTTTCACTAGGAAACTCAAAAGTCTGTACTAACAGATCATAGTTTATTGATTAAAACACCTATTTGAAAAGATATGCATTATTTCAAACCAATTGCAGTGTTACCAACCAATTGAATCCTGAATATCTGCAGGAATAAAAAAATAAAAAACAAAAACCCACTGTCCTATACACTGTAAAAGGATGTCTATTTCCACACATAACTATACTGAAGGCACACATCAAGAAACTCTAAAACTCTAACAACTCAAAAATAGTAAATTTTCTGCAGGTCACAACCCTAATACAATTAAGTATGCAAAATTTCTCCTTCACTCTCAAAGAGAAATGATGTATTTTAATGTACTCTGCTGATAAAAATTTTAAGTAATATTTTTCCTGGTTTAAAAAAATAGTTCATTCTTTTATCCTCACATCTGCAGGTACACAAATAACTTAAATTGATGATGTAAAATTGAGAAAATATTTTTAGAAAAGCTTACCATTGTCATTTTTCAGCGTCCCATTGCTGAGTTGTTTTAATCTCTTTTGATGTGATTTGCCATTGTAGTGGATTTGTGCTTGAGCGGCTGAATTCAGCTGAATGTTACATACATTGCACAAAGTAAAGTTGGTATGTTTCTTTTCTCTTTCTGGTTTTTCTTCAAAGTCATCAGGTATTAATTCAGCCTCACTCTCGCCATCGTGTACACAGGTGAAATCTGAGGGTGCAAGGAAAATTATGAACAAGCAGATCAAGATTTTTAGATTACTGCATATTTATTAAATTGGGTGGCAAATAAGGATTGTTCTACACACAAGAATTAAAAATTTCTATGTACTCTCATTTTAATAGATTGCTTTCACACTATGCTAAAGTAGACAATCTCTTTAATGGAATATAAATGGCAAATGTTTAACTTTTTATCTATTCCCAATACTGTGCTATATGTTTTTATTACTTCATTTAATTATCATAACAATGTAATAAGCACTATAGTATTCCCTTTTTTATAGCTGAGGAAACTAAGTTTTAGAATGATTAAACAACTTGTCTAAGGTCACACAGCTAACAAGTGGTATAGCTGTGATAAGCATTCAGTTTATCTCTAAATCCAAAGTTTTTAATCATCATGTTCTCTAGTATGTAATAATGAATTAGATTATTTTGTTTTAATTCAACTAAATAAAGTTCTTATATTCCTTACTAGTTAAGTAAAGTGACTTACATCTGGATGGACACATTCTACACATGCAAAGATACTAACACTCTTTCAATACCCCAAATTTTATATTTTATACCTGACACACAAGAGAGGCTTTGAATACCCAAGATAGCCTTATAATCAGGGTACAAAAAAAGTGTGACTGAATTATGGCTTACATTGGAAAGCATTACTTCTGGATAAATGTACGCTTTGTATACTAAAACCAAAGAGAAAAGGTCAACCCATAATTTCAGTATCTCTGGCCTTAATATGACATTTATTTCTTTATTTGAGACAGGGTTTCACTCTGTCACTTAAGCTGGAGTGCAGTGGCATGATCTTGGCTCAGCACAGCCTTGACCTCCTGGGCTCAAGCAGTCCCCCCACTTTAGCCTACTAAGTAGCTGGAACTACAGGTGTGTGCCACCAATTATTGTCCAGTAAGATGGCAATAATTAGAGTAACTATTGTAATCTATATTTAACATCCATTCATAAGTAATTTAAAATAATAATACCTCATTTCTAAGTTTTCTCTACTTCCACTACCCAAGCCTCTCTAGCACACTATGGTCCAGATAGGAGTTCTCCATTCCAATTCTCCCAGTTCTTTAAGGAGTTATTTTAAAGTATTTGAAAAATATTAGCAGAGAAAAACAGTCATGATTTTAATGTGCATTTATGAGCTGACTGCTATGTGACAGCGTCCTCCTAGGTTCTGGAGTTAAACTGACAAGCATCACAAAAGTGGTCCTTGCAATTATACAAACTTAATGATACAAAAGCCATGGACTTTGGAATCAGGTAAATGAGATAACAAATGCTGAAATGTTTTTAACAACATGTAAGTATTATCAGTTTGCCAATAAAATTTTAAAGAAAATCAAACTAGTGAACTCCACCAAAAATGGCTAATACTTGAATCTATTTATGGGTATTGAAGTCACTATCCAAATTCCAAAATGAGTAAAAGGTTGGTCAGTACATAACGCATGCTTTCTTTGTGAACTAATTCATTTAAAATATATTAACTTCCTTTTAAAAAGGAAACTCTATCTCTCTTACTCAGATAACCTTGTTAAAATAATTTAAATATGCAATTTAAATGGTCATTTTAAAAGAAAATTTATAGACTTTGTAAAATGATTAATTTTAATCAAAGGAAAATATGTAAGCATATCAGCTTTCCTTATTTTATATAAATAAAAAAATGTAAGTATCTATCCAGGTTATAATCAGAACATTTCAAAACTTCTTTTGTCTAGAGTTGATTTATGCTTTTAAATCTTTTATCTCAAATATTGTTAAGTAGTAAAATGATTAAGTAAATGATGGTGTGCTAAAATCACAATATGCATAGCCATTAAAAGCAGATCAGGAAAGTTTTATAATATGGGAAAATATTTTGTGTATAAGTAAAAACCAAAAATAAGATGTAAATTTACGTAGAGTATATTTACTACCATATGAAGCACAAACTTGACTTAGAAAAAGTATTAGAATTATTTCATTCTGAGTGGCAAGATTAGAGTTGGCTTGGTTTCCTTTAGCATTTCTGTATTTAAAAAATTGCACATGATGACCATTTATTATGAAAAAATAAATCAATAAATTTCAAAGAAATAAGCCAAAGAACTTATTTCCTCCAGCGTGAACAGCTTAGGTTTGCCAGAATTAGGCAATGCTACAGAGATAGTCACAGTAGGTGTGCCCTTGTAACACATCATTTTTGCTAAATGTATGCATATATTTGGAAGAAAATATTTTCTTATTTGATTCACATTTCCATCTTGACCCACAAAATAAGAACATGTGCTAACAATTTAGCAGGGGAAAATATTGGAGAATTTTCTTTCAAGCCTCTGAGATTTATTTGCTTACACATGAGAAATTCCCTGCTCACCTGAGAAAATAAAGACTATATTATCAGGCAATGTCAACAATTAATTTTGTACTAAGTTGCAAAAATGACAACTTTAAAAGGAAATAGAAAATATGTGGTATTGACACTAAGGAAAAAAGAGAACCTCAAATTATTGTGGCTGGGGTAGGACATCATAAAACATTTACAGATGCCCGGGCACGGTGGCTCACGCCTGTAATCCCAGCACTTTGGGAGGCCGAGGCGGGTGGATCACAAGGTCAGGAGATCGAGACCATCGTGGCTAACACAGTGAAATCCCGTCTCTACTAAAAAATACAAGAAATTAGCCGGGCGTGGTGCCAGGCGCCTGTAGTTCCAGCTACTCGGGAGGCTGAGGCAGGAGAATGGAGTGAACCCGGGAGGTAGAGCTTGCAGTGAGCCGAGATCACGCCACTACATCCCAGCCTGGGCAACAGAGCAAGACTCGGTCTCAAAAAAAAAAAAAAAAAAAAAAAAAATTATAGATTTTGCAGGAAAACTGCAGTGGCTCAAATGGCACTCTCTGAAGTAGGAGGCAATATTCGTAAGCAATTTTCCTCCCCAATATGGTAAAAACGACATGCTTAAATTTTTAAATGGAAATTTGACATATTTGAGTTCCACTGAGAAAAAGTTCAGCAGTCATACATAAACGTTAGGTGACTGTCTTGGAACCCAAAATAATTTATCAATTTGTCCACTTTTTTCCCTCCTAACCTTCACCCCTCAGAACCATTAAGACACTGGAAAGATGTCTGGCTTAATACAGTAATGTAGGTATAGACAGCACTATTTAACATGTTCAAGAACTGGAATTATCCTGAGAGTAATTATCAAAGGAATGAGGTGTTTGTTTGTGTGAGTGTGTTTTAATTTTCTAGATGTGGATACTGATTTACTCTTGCAGACTCACAGGAATAATTAAAATGTGGCACACATAAGATGACTCATTTTTAGTAAGCTATATTAAAAAATGTATGTGAGTTAATTTGAGAAAAAATAAAAGTAGAAACAATATTTTTCTGGGATGCAATGTGGTTCTTGCAGTTGATTTATTTAGTGCACTGTTCTGACGTAAGCTGAAATGTCACCACCTTTGCCAAAGGACCAGCTGTTGGTATCAAGACTGCCCTGAGAAGTGCTCATCTTCTCTAACCCACGCCACCCCTGGCATGGGTCTCTGCTGGACCCTACAATTCGTGTAACCTAATTAAGAATCAAAAGTTGTAGACACAGAAGCCAACTGAAAAAACTCCGAAGAAACAAAGCTGGAGCAACTTGAGCAATAATCAAAGCAACATATTATTGGATTAATACCTAAAGTATAAATTTCAATGAGTATATACTGATATAAATATAAATGAAGGAGATAGATACCAAACTCTCATTTAGAAGTATTCCAAATAACTTAAATAGACATCCTCCATTCAAAGCGGGATAGGGCACAACACTCTTCTTCCTCTTTAAGTATAGGTTATGCTTAGTGACTTGCATCTAAACAGTGTGGTACAGAAAGAGGAGAAAAGTAGCTTTATAGTGAAGAAACCTGACAAATAATACTTCAGCCACATCAAGTTTCACATCAACAGTGACAGGTCACATTGATAGCAAGAATCCTTAATATGACGTGCTAACAATGGTATTTCACCTCTGTGATCTTCCTTACAGAAATAATAGACAAACACAAACTAAGGAACAGTATACAAAATACCTGACCAATATGCAAAACTGTCAAGGTCATCAAAACTAGGGGAAGTCTGAGAAATTGTTACAGCCCAGTGGAGCCTAAAGAAATACTAAAACTAAATGAAATGTGGTATCCTGGATGGGGCCTTGAAATAAAACATGGACATCGGAGGAAAAATTAATGAAATCCAAATAAAACGTAGAGTATCATTAATAATAATGTATTATTAGTTCGTTAGTTGTAATAAATGTACCGTATTTACAAAAGATATCGACAATAGAGAAAATTGGATGGGAGGTCTATGGGAACTCTACCAATTTGGCAACTTTTCTGCAACTCTAAGACAATTATACAGTAAAAGTTTTATTTAATATTTTTTAAAATTTGGAAAATAGAGCAGAGACCATTTTCTCTCCTTGACAATAAAACAGGAACCTCTTGAGAACTTGTGTGCTCTGGGAAAGAACTGAGAAAGAAACTTCTGTTCTCTTTATCCCTTGCTCATTCATCTCACGGTAGAAATAAATTATGTGATTTGAAGAATGAGGGAAACATTCACTGCTTCATGTGCGGTCCACCATCGGATGGCTCTTTATCTCAAATTTGCCTGAAATGACCTTCTCCTATCTTCTTACTTGCCGTATACAAACTTACAATGGAAAGGCTCCCCAGCCCTCTGTGAAAAGCTCAGAATTCTCCTGCCTGTGACTAGGTAGGTAAATTCAATTCAGAAAAGAAACGGTTGAGGGTTGAAAAATCCAATATGGAACACAGTTGTAAGTCATTTTATCTAATTCAAATTTTCCTTCTGAATAACTGGGCTACCAACCCACTAACAAAAAATCTAATACACCTCAACTGATTCCTTCTATTTATTATCAGTTTCAATTAAGATTATAAGCCATTTACACACAAACACACACACACACACACACACACACAGAGATATCCAAGCCAACCATCACATAATTAACAATTTATAAACTTCATATTTGCTTTAGTGTTTTAACCCTATTGCAACTCCCACAATCATTAATATAAAATGAAAGTATGTAAAATAGTGTATTTTAGTTGACAACCAAACCCAATTTTAATGAGTAGAAAACTTTCCCTGCAAATAGTGTGTTTTATCTCAACTTTAACAAGCCAGGTTACATCGTTTTGTCTATGATTGCCTTTAGTCACTGTTCTTGCATCTGATGCCTTGTCAAAGTGGCAAACCTCTAAAATCTCCAAGAATCTCAAGTTTCTAAGACAATCTGAATTGACAATGAAACGTCTGTAGATGACAGCCACTAACAGACAGTTTAGTGCACAATAAACCACAGTGTAAGTAGTTTTACAAATGACTTACAAAGTCATACGACTCTAAATGGTATAAACCAAAATATTCTTGTTTTACAATGACTTCTCCCACTGTGTAATTTTTTTAAAAGTTGGCAGATAGGAATTTACATATCTAGAAGACATTTAGCACAGACACTCTCATATAAATAGTGGTAGAGACCAAGGCTAAACACTGAAAATTCCTTTAGAAATCTTGATATGATAATATCTCCAGAAATTATTTTTGGTTCAACGGAAAATAAAATAAAAATCTAATCTAGAGATACTTCATGGCGATAACACTGAAATACAACTAGTCAGGGTAGATGACAGCTGGCTATTTCATTACAAAGTCAAAATTACAAGTTTATTTGGTAAGCAGCTTTATATTCTTAAGTTTTAGTAATATTTATACAGAACACAACAGGTGACAGATTTTGGCCATTTCTTTAAAAATAACTTCATTGAAAAAATAAAATTTAATGTCTAAATATTCCCCAAATTTTACAAAAGTTTTGCTCAAAAAAACTTATTCTGAAAAGAAGAATCCACCAATACTGACTTCCTTATAGAGTCTCTTATAAAGAGTTCTTAAAATTGCTTTATTATGGAAAAAAAGTACTGTATGGGAAGATATCAGTCTAGTCCATTTCACAGAAGGGGAGTTGTAATTTGTATGATATATACAAATCCTAATGGAGTTTATAATTCTTATACAATTTTCTTGACCAGCTCATAAAATGAAGGTAAAAATATAACAAAGATTTATTATTTGTAAGAATATGATGATACAACTGCTACTGTAATACGTCATTTTGCAGAAAGCATTTAAAATCACCTTTAAAAATGGTAAAAGGTTGTGGAAATCATGAATAAGCATATATAAAGTAAAAAGAGAAAAATACTGTACTCATGTCATGGGATTAGATACTGCTTACTTGGAATATAATTTCCAGAGACAATTATCATAAGTGGATTTTAAAAGCACTAAAATTAATTTGAAATAACTTAGAAAAAATGAGAAAAAAAAAGCTATTAGGTGATTTGAAAGGTGGCTCTAGCCACACATTGCCATTCAAAGTTGCCCATGCAGGATTTAAGTTAAATTGCTTCAGAAAATTAAGACTAGTAATGAACCATTATAGGCAAATATTTTTAAATCTCATTTTTATTCATAAAACTTGTGAAAGAAATTTGGCCTTTTTTCGATGAAAAAAATACGTAGTAACTTTTATTCAGCATTTCCTTGTATTAGGATTTAGAGAGTATTGCTTACATCTGTATATGCATATACATACTGTATATATGTGTATAAATTATACATATGCATATATAATGTATATAGATTTTATGCATCATATTTGGAATACATATATATATAAATCAAATAAACTACTTCAGTAGTGAATCTTCCTCTATATTCAAGACTAATGTAGAAAAATTTATTTTACTGTTATGGTAAAACATTAAATATATATTATATATAATATATAAAATCATATTTATAACATTAGCATTTGAGAAAATTATAGTGGGTCACAATATCTTCTATATTTCACTATTAAAATTGTAAATAGTTCACAAGCTGTAAAGTACCATTATAAAAATAATTTTGCTTTGATCTAATTCCCCACTAGAGTGCAGTGTGAATTTAAAATTAAAACTACAGCATCTGGAAATTCCCAAGACATAAAAATGGCATTACTATAATTCTGTAAATATCTAACATACACATATTCTAACACAACATTCAGCTTCAGTGGTGTGTGTGTGTGTACAGCACAGCTAACGAACTCACCAATATTTAGCCACACAACTCAGATACTAAAGATAAACCAGGGGAAAGTCACAGAACAGAAGATAATCTAAACTGTTTGTCACATGTTATCATAAGTTCTTTACTAAAAAGCATTAATTGTTTTACATCACCTCCTAACTTAAATATCACTTAGGAACTTCAAAAATGAGAACATTTTAATTAGGAACATCTTACTTTTATGACAGGAAATTACATTATAGAAGACTACATAAGGCAAATGAAGGTTAATGGATTGCATTTCAAGTACAGTTTTTATCACATCACAGCATCACATTAAATTTGTTGGTCTCAATACAACCATGGCTTTTACAAGTTGATGGAAGTCTTAACTGAATATTTGCAGACTCACCTACAAAAATTAAGCCCAGAGTGGCAGAATGAGATACAGAATGGAACTTTTAAATGCATTCCTTTCTTCCTTTTAAGCAGTAGACTTTTTAGAATTGTAAGCTTCAAATCAGAATTTCTATTTTGAGTCCTCAGTTTCAAAAAGAAATTTTACCTTAATCTTCAAATGACTCACCATGAAAGCACTAAAATATTTTTGAGGCCAAATGGGAGCCCATAGTTTAACCTCGAAAATAAAAACAACAACATTTTGTTAAAAAAGGTAAATCATTCAAGTAGAATCTACTACTATATAAATAATAGATCAGATATGTCTTAAATTTCAACGTCACGAATGTATTCCTCAAAGTTTCAAAGACCAATGAAAAATTATATTATATTACTATTATTACATTTTTTTAGCCAACAGTACACAAATCTTTTCCTGTATTCTGACCTACTGTTCCTATTTTAGGGATATCTTCTTGAATCAGTCATGCCATCAGGGCCTCCTTGGCAAAACATGATCCCCCTGGAGTTATGCCACACAGCGTGTCTGCCATCACACCAGGGATGCTGAGGCTGCACTGTGAGTCCTGCTCTTGAGTTCTCAGACCAGATTTTTTTAAAGCTACTTTAAACATCAACCCTATTTTCTTGAAAATGCACCAAATATCTTTGTGCTTTCAGCTAGTTCTACTCTACTTTGGATCTAAAACAGCTTACATAAAACTTAAGAAAGGTTTGCCCCAGAAAAATTTCTGAAGACCTGAGTTAGAGAATGATTGTTCTTATGTATATCTGGTGAAAAGTTATGCCAAGAAAAAAAGTAGGCACCCTACAAGTTATTAAAAAGTCATATGACAAATATATGTTAAGTACCTGCCATGTGCTAGCACTCGTTTAGCCACTTAGGATATTTGTACATCACATCACACAATACCCTAGTTCTCTGTGAAGTTTGAGAAGAGAGAGATAATGTAGGCTAGACTGACTATGACTTTTTTTTATTATTATACTTTTAAGTTTCAGGGTTTAAGTGCACAATGTGCAGGTTTGTTACATATGTATACATGTGCCGTGTTGGTGTGCTGTAGCCATTAACTCGTCATTTAACATTAGGTATATCTCCAAATGCTATCTCTCCCCTCTCCCCAAACCCCACAACAGTCCCTGGTGTGTGATGTTCCCCTTCCTGTGCCCATGTGTTCTCACTGTTCAATTCCCACCTATGAGTGAGAACATACGGTGGTTGGTTTTTTGTCCTTGTGATAGTTTGCTGAGAATGATGGTTTCCAGCTTCATCCAATGTCCCTACAAAGAACATGAACTCATCCTTTTTTATGGCTGTACAGTATTCCATGGTGTATATGTGCCACATTTTCTTAATCCAGTCTATCATTGTTGGACATTTGGGTTGGTTCCAAGTCTTTGCTATTGTGAATACTGCCGCATTAAACATATGTGTACATGTGTCTTTATAGCAGCATGATATATAATTCTTTGGGTATATACCCAGTAATGGGATGGCTGGGTCAAATGGTATTTCTACTTCTAGATCCCTGAGGAATCGCCACACCGACTTCCACAATGGTTGAACTAGTTTACAGTCCCACCAACAGTGTAAAAGTGTTCCTATTTCTCCACATCCTCTCCAGTACCTGTTGTTTCCTGACTTTTTAATGATTGCCATTCTAACTGGTGTGAGATGGCATCTCATTGTGGTTTTGATTTGCATTTCTCTGATGGCCAGTGATGATAAGCATTTTTTCATGTGTCTTTTGGCTGCATTAATGTCTTCTTTTGAGAAGTGTCTGTGCATATCCTTCACCCACTTGTTGATGGGGTTGTTTTTTTCTTGTAAATTTGTTTGAGTTCTTTGTAGATTCTGGATATTAGCCCTTTGTCAGATGAGTAGATTGCAAAAATTTTTCTCCCATTCTGTAGGTTGCCTGTTCACTCTGATGGTAGTTTCTTTTGCTGTGCAGAAGCTCTTTAGTTTAATTAGATCCCATTTGTCAGTTTTGGCTTTTGTTGCCATTGCTTTTGGTGTTTTAGACATGAAGTCCTTGCCCCCCATGCCTATGTCCTGAATGGTATTGCCTAGGTTTTCTTCTAGGGTTTTTATGGATTTAGGTCTAACATGTAAGTCTTTAATTATCTTGAATTAATTTTTGTATAACGTGTAAGGAAGGGATCTAGTTTCAGCTTTCTACATATGGCTAGCCAGTTTTCCCAGCACCATTTATTAAATAGGGAAACCTTTCCCCATTTCTTGTTTTTGCCAGGTTTGTCAAAGATCAGATAGTTGTAGATATGTGGCATTATTTCTGAGGGCTCTGTTCTGTTCCATTGGTCTATATCTCTGTTTTGGTACCAGTACCATGCTGTTTTGGTTACAGTAGCCTTGTAGTATAGTTTGAAGTCAGGCAGCGTGATGCCTCCAGCTTTGTTCTTTTGGCTTAGGATTGACTTGGCGATGTGGGCTCTTTTTTGGTTCCATATGAACTTTAAAGTAGTTTTTTCCAGTTCTGTGAAGAAGGTCATTGGTAGCTTGATGGGGATGGCATGGAATCTATAAATTACTTTGGGCAGTATGGCCATTTTCACGATATTGATTCTTCCTACCCATGAGCATGGAATGGTCTTCCATTTGTTTGTATCCTCTTTTATTTCATTGAGCAGTGGTTTGTAGTTCTCCTTGAAGAGGTCCTTCACATCCCTTGTAAGTTGGATTCCTAGGTATTTTATTCTCTTTGAAGAAATTGTGAATGGGAGTTCACTCATGATTTGGCTCTCTTGTGTGTCTGTTATTGGTGTATAAGAATGCTTATGATTTTTGCACACTGATTTTGTATCCTGAGACTTTGCTGAAGTTGCTTATCGGCTTAAGGAGATTTTGGGCTGAGACGACGGGGTTTTCTAGATATACAATCATGTCATCTGCAAACAGGGACAATCTGACTTCCTCTTTTCCTAATTGAATACCCTTTATTTCCTTCTCCTGCCTGATTGCCCTGGCCAGAACTTCGAATACTATGTTGAACAGAAGTGGTGAGAGAAGGCATCACTGCCTTGTGCCAGTTTTGAAAGGGAATGGTTCCAGTTTTTGCCCATTCAATGAAGGCAGAAATAAAGAAGTTCTTTGAAACCAATGAGAACAAAGACACAACATACCAGAATCTCTGGGACACATTTAAAGCAGTGTGTAGAGGGAAATTTATAGCACTAAATGCCCACAAGAGAAAGCAGGAAAGATCCAAAATTGACACCCTAACATCACAATTAAAAGAACTAGAGAAGCAAGAGCAAACACATTCAAAAGCTAGCAGAAGGCAAGAAATAACAAAGATCAGAGCAGAACTGAAGGAAACAGAGACACAAAAAACCCTTCAAAAAATCAATGAATCCAGGAGCTGGTTTTTTGAAAAGATCAACAAAGTTGATAGACCACTAGCAAGACTAATAAAGAAGAAAAGAGAGAATAATCAAATAGATGCAATAAAAAATGATAAAGGGGATATAACCACCTATCCCACAGAAATACAAACTACCATCAGAGAATACTATAAACACCTCTATGCAAGTAAACTAGAAATCTGGAAGAAATGGATAAATTCCTCGACACATACACCCTCCGAAGACTAAACCAGGAAGAAGTTGAATCTCTGAATAGACCAATAACAGGCTCTGAAATTGAGGCAATAATTAATAGCTTACTAACCAAACATGTACAGGACAAGACGGATTCACAGCCGAATTCTAACACAGGTACAAGGAGGAGCTGGGACCATTCCTTCTGAAACTATTCCAATCAATAGAAAAAGAGGGAATCCTCCCTAACTCATTTTATGAGGCCAGCATCATCCTGATACCAAAGCCTGGCAGAGACACAACACAAAAAGGGAATTTTAGACCAATATCCCTGATGAACATCGATGCAAAAATCCTCAGTAAAATACTGTCAAACCAAATCCAGCAGAACATCAAAAAGCTTATCCACCATGATCAAGTGGGCTTCATCCCTGGGAGGCAAGGTTGGTTCAACATATGCAAATCAATAAGCATAATCCAGCATATAAACAGAACCAATGACAAAAACCACATGATTATCTCAATAGATGCAGAAAAGGCCTTTGACAAAATTCAACAACGCTTCATGCTAAAAACTCTCAATAAATTAGGTATTGATGGGACATATCTCAAAATAATCAGAGCTATCTACGACAAACCCACAGCCAATATCATACTATGACTTTTAACAGTAAGGCTAAGAGGAGAATTGTGATGAAGATTTCGGCTTGTAAATCCAGTAGCTATATGCTTTTGTTCTTTTTTTTTTTTTTTTAAGAGACAGCTTTGCTTTCTCCTTCTCTCATTTATAATGCTTAAAGTCTCAGGTTTTCTTTCTTTTCTCATTGATTCTGTCTTCTTAAAATATATTTTAATACTTTGGTGATTTCAACTGCTGTCCATGCCTAGTCTTTTTGTAATATAGACTTTCTTATATTATCTGCAACCAGTTTTTCCATAACAATTCTTATAAATGTCATAATTACTCTTAGATCAATGTTTCCTTTTACAGTTTTCTCCCTTTCACTATTAAAGGAGAAGAGCAGATACTAACGATTCAGGATATCTTCAGGCTATATGAGAATATTTTCTTATACCCAGATAAATTTCCCTGAAAATTTACGCATCCTAACAGTGGCACATATACTCTAGGATGGCCCCTCTAATTTCCACCTTGAGGTAATCAGACCTTTCCACAGTCCACTCTCCTGGAGGGTAGAACCTGTAACTAGCTTCTACCAATAGAATATGGTAAAGGTGGCCGGGCGCGGTGTCTCAAGCCTGTAATCCCAGCACTTTGGGAGGCCGAGGCGGGCGGATCACGAGGTCAGGAGATCGAGACCATGCTGGCGAACACGGTGAAACCCCCTCTCTACTAAACACACACACAAAATTAGCCGGTCGCAGTGGCGGGCGCCTGTAGTCCCAGCTACTCTGGAGGCTGAGGCAGGAGAATGGTGTGAACTCAGGAGGCGGAGCTTGCAGTGAGCGGAGATGGGGCCACTGCACTCCGGCCTGGGCGAAAGAGTGAGACTCCGTCTCAAAAAAAAAAAAAAAAAAAGAATATGGTAAAGGTGATGGGATATACATCATGAGTGGGATTATGTTACAAAAAGATAGTAATGCCCATAGACTCTCCTTCACTAGCTTTAAAGAAGCAAGCTGCCAAAGCTTTTTCATGTTGTCTTACATTTCACTTCTACAATTTGAAAAAAATGTGATCTTATTATGAGTTTCCCTGTGAAGAGGATCATGTGGCAAGGATCTTAGGGTAGTCTCTGGCCAACAACCAGTCAAAAAATGAAACCATAATAAGCAGCTGAATGCCGCAAACAAACATATGAGTGAGGAGGTGGTTCCTTCCCCAGTTGAACGATAGATGAAAACACATCCCTGCCTATATCTTTATTGTAGCCTGGAAGAAGTCCTGGTTAGGCAATGTGTGGACTACTGCTCCTCAGAAATTGTGAGCTAATAAATGTGTGTTGTCTTAAGACATAAAGCTTCTGTAATATTATTATGCATAAATACATAACTACTATACCAATTAACTCTCTTGCAATAATTAATATTAAAATTAGAAAGTAACCCAAATTTCCAAGGAAAAATATTTGTCAAGAAAATGTCTTAAAACAAATTACCACCTAACCAAAACCATGTTTTTTAGTTAAATGAATTAAATATCCCAGCTGTATCCCTAATCCCAAACATACTTGAGTAAAAGTTGAAAGAAATAAGTTAACTCTTTCCCATATGAAGAACTTGATCACCTGATGCACATCCATGACAGACATAACTAATCAATTATGACAATCTTTCCTTCAGAGGCTGGATTTGGTTTCACAGGACACATTGCAGGGATCCACAAATTACTCAGATTTACCATATAAGAAGAAATTTATTTGCTATACTAGATACATTGACTAATGTATCACTATCGAATTTGACTTAGAGAGAGTAGAAACTCATTAAAAAGATAAACTAGGTAGTATTCATTTTTCACTATGGTACCATTTAACATATTTTTCTATTATCCAAATAAGTTTGAAAGATTGTTTAATAAGTTTGTAGAACTAAGTCTAGACTGTTAAAAGAATCCAAATTGAAAATTACTTATAGCAGTTATTATAAATAAAAATGTACTGCAGGGTAGTAAATTTAAGATAAAAAATAATTATACATATACAATAGAGATTTTTTTCATATGTAGGAGACTTTAGTAAATGTTTTGTTATATTTATATTTTGCAAATGCATTATATTTAGATTTAAGCTCCAAATAGAGAAATGATGGATATGGATAGAAATATAGATCTAAGAAAAAATGTGAAAGATTAAGTATTAAAATTAAATTGTAAAAAACTGGGTTTCTTAGACCTGAAAAGGAGGCAAGGAAGAGCCTTAATAAAAGTCTTAAAGCAAATAAAGGAATATTATTAATTGAAGGTGGTTTTTAGCTTCTGTCCACTTCTATTAATGAAAGAAAAATAATGAGTTAAAACTATAGCATGAATAGTTAAGTTTACATATAGTATTAAGAGAGGAAGTTCCTTGGACATTTTTTGTTTTTATTTTTCACAGTCATCTAACTCGGGTAGTTAAAATTAAATTATCTTAAAAATTATCTTAAAGGTAACAGTATGCATTCTGCTCTTCTCAAGTGCTTTGATCTTCAGAGAATGAGAAGTTATTTATTTACTTATTTTTTTAATTTGAGATGGAGTCTCACTCTGTCGCCCAGGCTGGAGTGCAGTGTGCAGTGGTGCAATCTTGGCTCACTACAACCTCCGCCTCCCGGGTTCAAGCGATTCTCCTGCCTCAGCCTCCTGAGTAGCTGGGACTACAGGCACACACCACCATGCCCAGCTAATTTTTGTATTTTTAGTAGAGACGGTGTTTCACCATATTGGCCAGGCTAGTCTCAAACTCCTGACCTCGTGATTCACCCGCCTCGGCCTCCCGAGAATGGAAAGTTTTAAAACCAAGGATTCTTTATGAAAGTTACTTATAAAAGTATATTTCTATTGTATCATTAATACATATATTTTCATTTAAAAATGGGTTTAGTAGATTATTAAACTATAATTGCCCTTTTGAATGTTTCTTTATAATTAAAATGGAACTTGGCAAAATGGAGGTCTTAGAACTATTAGTTATTTTTTCACCTTTTCTGTAGCTTTAGTTTTTTTTTTAAATTTAGTTTTCAACAAATTTTTTTTTGCATTTTTTATATTTTACTTTTATGCTGTGAAAGAACTGTTAATTAAAAAAAGGAAGTTCCGTTTTTTATTTAGGTTAAGATTTAAGAAATGTAGGGTACAAAACTATGAGTTTCACTTTGTCAGTATGTGAATTTTAAACTAAATATCAACTCCAATTCTCTGGTGAATTCAAAGATCACTTTTAGGAGTTCTGATCATTAATTTACTTACAGTAGTGGTACAAAAAGCAAGGATTATCAAAGTGTGCTGACTGTAACATGTTCAAGTTGTGTGGCCTCCAGCAAACCCTTCACCCCTCTGACTCTGTTCTCCCATTTGTAAGAAGGAGGTGAACAAATGATCTCTATTCCCTTCCAATGCAATAAATCCTGGCCCACTTGGAAAAGTGATATTTCACACTCATGTTCATGGAACCATTATTGACGTCAGGGCAACATGGTGTTTTGTCTTTAAAATATATCTTAAAAATTTTTGTTTGCTTTGACTTCAAGGGAGATAAATCATTTCAACATGTTTTATCATTTAATTTTCCTCTCATTGTGGCAGATCTCAAATCTTCAATACTGTGTGTGCTAATGTATAAAACTTTTGCATTTGATGATGCTCTCAGAATTCAACTACAGAAACAAAAGACTTGATGGTACTAGATTCAAGGATAGACAAACGGGGCCAGGTACAGTGGCTCATGCCTGTAATCCCAGCACTTTGGGAGGCCGAAGAGGGTGGATCACCTGAGGTCAGGAATTCGAGACCAGACTGTCCAACATGGTGAAACCCTGTCTCTACTTACAAACACAAAAATTAGCCAGGCGTGGTGGCAGGTACCTATAATCCCAGCTACTCAGGAGGCTGAGGTAGGAAAATCGCTTAAACTGGGAGGAGGAGGTTGCACTCCAGCCCGGGTGACAAGAGTGAAACTACGTCTCAAACAAAACAAAACGAAAAAGGACAAATGGACTACATTGCCATGAACTTCCTTCACATCTAAGATGTTATAGATTTGTGGCTCCATAGATACCTGTTTTTAAAATTTGTAGTGATGTCACTTGGCCATTTTTTTAATCTTATTTTTTTTTTAAATCCTGCCTTGTCCTGAGTTTTTAGGTAGGTTAAAATGTGTTTTAAATAAACATGAGTTTTCTCCCAGAAATGCTGAAATCAGGAGATACCTTGCTGTACATTGGATATTGTTATTTACTATCAACTTCAGTTCACTGTATCTATAATCTACCAATGAGAGAGCAATCTACTTTACTCGATCCAAAATTCCAGTGATAAAAACTGAAAAGGTTGTAGAAACTTTAAAATTGCAAGTTTCAAGTAATAAATGTATAGATCAATAATAACGGGACAGAAACGAAATACTAAGAGAACATTTGAGCCAAATTAAATGGCATAATAGGCAAATGTTTAGATATAATATTGTGTCATACTCGTTTGTAATTCAATGGTGCTCGTTAGTAAAACAACTATTATTGCAGGCTTAATGCAAGCTAAACTACAATTTTATGCGCAAAAACCATGGACAGTGGCAATCTCTTTTTCCTAAAACAAATAATACATGTATTTAAATATGATCTACCCATTCAATGTTCACTTTTTCTTTCTTTTTGAGATGGAGTCTCACTCTGTCGTCCAGGCTGGAGTGCAGTGCGATCTTGGCTCACTGCAACCTCCGCCTCCCGGGTTCAAGCAATTCTCCTACCTCAGCCCCCTGAGTAGCTGGGATTACAGGCACCTGCCACCACACCCAGCTAATTTTTGTATTTTTAGTAGAGATAGCGATTCACCATCTTGGCCAGGCTGGTCTTGAACTCCTAACGTCATGATCCACCCGCCTTGGCCTTCCAAAGTGCTGGGATTACAGGTGTGAGCCACCATGCCCTGTCCACTTTCTTTTTTAAAAATAAAAGATTTCTGTCCCACCTGGAAAAGCACCCTGGGGAGAAAGATGTTATTTTGTCTGAAATCTGTGCAGATAAAGGGATGTTATTGCTGAGTGTATTGTACATTTAACCACGTGTTAACCTGATAACTTCATTTATTGCATGACAGGACAGTGGCAGAAGGTGGCATGAAAGGGTAGATCTCTACTCAACTCATGTTGGCTTGTTTTAGTTCAACTTTTAATAATATTTTACTAAAATTGTAAATAGGCACAACTTGGGACTTTCCTGGACAAACACTCACACACTCTTAAATAATGTTTCCAAATTCTACTAGTTTTGCATTCTGATTGCTTAATTAAGCAAGTTTACTTCACGTAATTGGAGTTAGAAAGTGAGGTTTTTCTTTAGGAACTTCAAAATAAGAAAGGTCTCTGAAGAATTAATCTTTGAAATCAATACATAATGTATCAGAAAAAAAATCTTCAAAGTCATCTTGGAGAGAAAGAATGCTCCCAGACGAGCATGAGTTCAGAAGTAATTTGACGTAACTTGAATAAACACATCCAGAGACATGAAGAAATACTGACTTCAAGGAAATGGTCAACCATGGAAACACAGGAACAAGTCACAGAAGGGAGTGTCACCTGGGTTTGTTAAAGCACTCTTCAGTGGAGATAAGTCTTGTAGTTAAAACTTGGCTAGTGGCATGACCATCTCTGTCGTCAGAGACATTGCAGGCTGCCATGTCCTGAAGTTATAAAATTATTGTATCATTTCACTTTACCTGTCCTGATTTCATGACCATCATGCAACCTTCTGATTTTGATCTGACTTTCCTTGTAAGTCTGTATACAAGGGGCAAATGAGCTGGGTCATAAGAATTTGATATATTTTTGGTCTCATGAGAATAATTTCCTACTGAGATCTCAGCATCTTACTTAATTTCATGCTCTTACTAGATAGGTTAGACCCCAGTATTCATAAAATATGTCTTGTTCAAAAGAAGTATTTAGAGTAACTGGCACCAATACCGTATTTGAGATTGCTCATAATCAACTGGTATTTTATGAAGGACATTAATGAAAATGTCAGTATTTTTAGTGTTTGTTTATAAATGATTATAAACACTTAAATAATGTTACTAACTACAAATCTAATTCACTTAATACTCAAAGCACTGCCAATGAGGTAGGTACTGTAATTATCCCCAATTTACAGATGAGAAAACTGATTCACAGCCAGCAAGTCGCAGAGCTGGGTTTTGAACTCAGGCACTGGCTTTAGACTCAGGGCGTAATGACATACCAGATTATAACAAACGAGGAGATCACACAATCTAACATCTTCCCACATATAAAAAGACATGAACAAATTCTTCAAAAATTTCGTGGCCATTCTTCACTAATATTTCTTTGTTTCTTTGTTCAGTACCTTTTTCTAGCATCAGCTTTTAACTGGCATCTTGTACTGTGGAAGTACACTGCAGTCATTTATTTAATCGAAGTCTATTAAAATAAGAGTGCTAAACACTAATCAACACCATATGTTTTTCAATTAACTGGTGATACATATCTATTTCTCAAGCTCATGATAACTAATGGAGCACTTTGGGTGGCTTAAACTATTTAAGACCATAATTAATTTAGAAAAATCAACTTATAAAATATGAAAACTTTCCTATGGTGACTTTTTTTCTCTCCCTCTCACCCTATACACACACACAGATACACACACACACAAAGACATATATGTACTTTTAAAATATTACATAGATATTCCATTTCATTCTTTTTGTAAGGAGAATGAAGTTAGTGAAGAAACCAGAAGGGAACAAAGTTCTCATGAGGAATACTTACACATTTTACTCAAAATAACATTTAACATTAAACTTGAAAACTTTATAATAGATATATATTTAATTAAAATTAGGAAATATTATTTTAACATTGGTTTATAACTTGTGGAGTAAAATAGCAAAGGAGGCTCAACTGTGTAGAGTCGTATGTTTATTCGGACAGCGATGGTAGCTGTCCACAATAATGTAGAGTTGTCACTGGGATGCAGTTGGACACTGAGAGACTATCTTTCCCAGCCTTCCTTTCTCCCAGGGTAGCTGTGGTAGGCAGAATGATGCAAGCTCCACACACAAGAATGTCCACACTCTACTCTCCAGAACCTGTGAATATGGCAAAGGGGATGTTGCATGTCATTAAGTAAGTGGGTCTAGAAATCGTGCACCCTGTTAGAATTCATGAAGCTGCAGTCAATAACCTAAACTTCACCTTTCAATACCAGAAATGGAGTGTACACAGGAATCACGGAGGAAAGATGGGAAAGGAAGAGCCTTAAGAGGCAGAAACCTAATTTTCAAAGTTTATTCTGTGGACAAAGACGAAACCGAATTTTCAAAGTTTATTCTGTGGACAAAGACAAAGCATTAGATTTATTTTAGTAAGTAAAATGATAGATTTGTAGTTTCATAAGATACTGCTGGCAACACTATGGAGAGAGACTCGGAGTGGAGAGATGAAAGACCAATGGCAATTAAAACAGTATTTCGTGCTAAATCCTACCTATAATAGTCTTGCTTCACATGGGAAAGTGCATTGAAAGAAACACACTGATTCTGCTGTGTGTTTTAGCAAGTTATTGTGCGAATGTGTTTACATACAAATACGTGTGTATACTATTTTTTTTTTTTTGAGACGGAGTCTTGCTCTGTTGCCCAGGCTGGAGTCCAGTGGCGCGATCTCTGCTCACTGCAAGCTCCGCTTCCCAGGTTCAAGCCATTCTCCTGCCTCAGCCTCCCGAGTAGCTGGGACTACAGGTGCCTGCCACCACACCCTGCTAATTTTTTGTATTTTTTAGAAGAGATGGGGTTTCACCGTGTTAGCCAGGATGGTCTCGATCTCCTGACTTTGTGATCCGCCTGTCTCAGACTCCCAAAGTGCTGAGATTACAGGCATGAGCCACCGCGCCCAGCCGTGTGCATACTTTTTAAAATATTTTCAAATATCTAGAGAAATATCTTCTCATGGTATTAGGAACTTTTTGCTTTTAAGCATTTCTATTTCATTTCTTTTTTTCTTTTCTCTTTAGGACTGGCAGTTCAGCTCTAACACTGGTTACAAAGACAAGTAAATAAAAATAAATATCCAAATGGAATTAGAAACAATCCAGCTGGATTGCTGCTGAGCAGAGAATATACGCTGATTTAGAGCAAGTTCTCTTAGAAAGCCCAACAGCCTCCTAGGCTTAGCAGAAAAACCAGCATTTTTTTTTCTCTTCATTAGGTGTACAATCCATTCCTTAACTGGTAACTCCAACATTTCTACAGTTTTTTTCAGGTGGAATTCTTGTCTTTTAGGGTTAAGTTTTGCTCATATACTAAAGTTGGCCCCAAGGTCATCCCTGACTTCTTATGAACTGTGTTTCTCAACTGGGATTCTGAGAGAGGATCCATTAGGTATGACCTATGGCATAAACTGCAAGTGATGGATTAACTTCCCTCTTACATATCCAGAATGGCATAGATAGGAACCATACATAGGGCAACTGAGAAAATGTCACTGGAATCATCTCTTCTGTGGTTCAGACAAGGAAACCAAACTAACCAGAGCCTAACACAAATATATACATTGCTAGCCTCAGTCTATACCTTGAGATCTTATATAAAATATTAATTTCACAGACTTATGACAATTCATAGTATTCAAACCTCTGTTTAGAGACACAAGTGAGAACTGAGGGGAGATTTGAATCAGGAATAAGGGAACCCGAAAGAGAAGAAAAAAGGAAGGTTCAATATTATTGAGCAAATTTGGACTGGTTTGTAGATTTGCAGATCTAAAGTGTTAATAAATTCTTTATTACTACCTAGAAAGAGGCATTACAGAAATACTTGTCTTTATCTTCCTGCTCACCACCAAAAATCTGATATTTTTAGATTTGTATGCCTTGTATGTTAGGTGATAACAATAAGCCAAATTTAAATAGCTCAAACTTGTTTTGCTTGGCATACCTCAAAACAGCCATTAATAGACACAGACATGGGCCCAGCCAATTCTACATTGCCTTGTGTCCTGTTGAAAGTGTCCTGTTGTTCATTAAGCACAAGCATTTCCTTCCAAATGATATTAGGATATTCCAGAAGTGAGCTCTACTTACAGAGCTATATATATGCTAACCCTCATATTACCATCTGTTATTCTTTGCTAATTCTAACACACTTTTGCCCTGATGTGTTTGTATTGTTTGGAAAAATGAACACTTACCAATTAAATTCAACAATAAAAATGGCCCAGTGGGTGTAACGAAGCAATAAAAAAACAGTATTCTTGGTAAGTGTTGCCATCACAGTTTGAGATTTTATATTGCTGCTGAGGAGTAATTTCTAAAACAATTACTTGTGGGCAAATATATTAATAATATTCAAATACAGTCAAAGTTGAAAATCAAATCTATGAGATGGGAAATTTTAAGTTCAGGCTGACATTCTGTCCATGATATGGTATATCCTCTGGGCTCACATACTGCAGCATGTATTAATTTTATTCCAACTGTGCCCTCTTGATGACAGTGCATTTACAAGAGATAGTAAATAGGTTTTGTTGCAGATAATTCTAGTTTTAAATTCATGTATTAGTAACCTTAATTGCATTTCAAATGAGTGGTAAGTTCCTTTTGAAGTGTCTAGAGGAAATTTTTCCAAATATATGTGTCAAGGAATTTGTCGTGGTCACTGAATATAATGGCTAGCAGCCACAAGTTCATAAAGTAATTGCTAATATCGTTAAGTTCTGAAGGACAAGGTTATATAAATACTAACCTAGTGATATGGGACAAGCCAACTAGGACCGTCTGGAGTAATCTGGTATTGAAGGAAAATTAAATATCAACATACAAAACTGTCCCCTATGAATAACCTTATTTCTTTAGTATTTTTTAGTGAAGGTGCAATCCTTGAAACATATCCATACACAGGAAATACTAAGTTCTGTAACAAAGGTACAGGCTATTTTTTTTTCCTCTTTACACTAGATAGATTTCCATTCTTATAATTTGGGGTGTAATTTAATCTAGTTTAACATGATAAATCACATGACCTACCACTTTACAGTAACTATAAAGGATACTCTGTGAATTTCTAAAATGTAAAATCATCTATGAAAAGTACCTAAAAGTCATATTCAAACAAGTTTTTCTCCCTTAAATTACATGGCTGTTATTCATCTATAAGAAATACGTGTGTTTTTAAAGAAATTGGCAGTAATTATTGTTTAACATGGTGAATTAAGTTAAATACAGAATTATTTTTAAAAAAATAAACATAGGAAGTCCACAGCAGAAATTGCTTTTTCTATTGTTAATTGGGTTAAATAATTATTATTGGTCTAATTATTTTTAAATAGTGTGCCATATTGACCTTATAAGACAACTTTGCAGCCGGGCGCGGTGGCTCACGCCTATAATCCCAGCACTTTGGGAGGCCGAGGCAGGCGGATCACCTGACGTCAGGGGTTTGAGAACAGCCTCAACATGGAGAAACCCCGTCTCTACTGAAAATACAAAATTAGCCGCGCATGGTGGTGCATGCCTGTAATGCCAGCTACTCAGGAGGCTGAGGCAGAAGAATTGTTTGAACCTGGGAGGCGGAGGATGCAGTGAGCCGAGATAGTACCATTGCACTCCAGCCTGGGCAACAAGAGTGAAACTCCATCTAAGAAAAAAAAAAAAAAAAGGACAATTTTTCCTAATGTGATCACTTAGAGGTGTTACTAGAGCATATTCTTCTTTTAGAGTTAATTCTAGGTGTAGAATATGTATGATAAAATATGAACATTCTGTTCTTACTAAAGATCTATTGTCTTTAAATGTTTAAGCTGATGAAGTTGTTCTTCAAAAATTAAGAGACACTAACACAATGTGTAGTACTTGTACTTGTAAAACAGTAATTAATGAATAAATGGTTTGACTCATATTCTAAAGAATCATAAAATAAAGACTATCATTAAAATATTTCAGTGAAGGAATAAAATAACCTAGGTCTTATTAAAAATTACCACTTCATGAGAAAAACAAGGAGAATGTATCAATATTTTACTTACTACTGATGCTTATTAAATAACTCTGAGGTACCAATCTATAAAAAAACAATGGTAATTTCCAGATTCATCTAACAAAGCATGATTCCTCTTAACTCTGTCTTGTTTAGGAATTGACATAATGATGAAGAGGATATGATTTTTTTCGGCCCATCTACCCTGAAATGGCTCCATCATTCATCTCTTTCTCCATCCCACTTACTCAAGTGATTCTTTCAACGATAGTGCCCTGTCCCTAACCTCAGGGTTTAGAAACATGGCCCCAAGACTAACAGATTGCAGTAACTTAGTCCAAAGGAGGACATATGAGCCACACCAGGTCAGAGAAGTTCTGAGAGATTTGGTGTTCAGATGCTGAGAGTTGCTTTCTTTTCCCCTCATTTGCAAGCTGAGATGTCTGCAATGAGTTGCCAATAGCCTTTGTTTCCCCAGAACAAAGAAATCATATTGTAGCCTGAGAAAATGAAGCTGTTCTAGCCACTTCTAAGATTGTTCCTACTGAACCTCACCTCTTGGTATTCATGCTGTCATATAGTCCCCTTCCATAATAAACAGGGCTAACATATGTAACCAATAGCACACATTGCAAAAATGATGGTGTGTGACTCCTCAGGCTAGTTCACAAGACTTCTGCCTTACACTGTTTGTCTTAGATCATCTCTGAGGGAAACCAGCTGCCATGTTGTGAAGACACTCAAGCAAGCCATGTGTGTGAACTACCATGTTGAAAATGGACCCTCCAAATCCAATCAAGCCTTCAAGAGATTATTGATGTCATGGCCAACATCCTGACTACAACCTCATGAAAAAACCTCAGCAAATGCTTCCTAACCAAGCTTCTTCTGAACTCCAGACCTATAGAAAATGTGTGAGATAATTGTTCTTCAGCCCAGTCAAGACCCTAAGAAGATGGGGGTGGAATTCTGCCTCCTCTACACAAATTCTTGCCACGACTTAGTGACACCTTTAATGAACCGAGCACTGGGTTAAAGTTTTCTCTAATTCTTAAATAACTCTGCTAGGTAAGTTGCCATTATTATGATCAAACCATACTGAATGTTTGAGTACCTTGACTAAGAAATAAAACTGGGTTTTTGACAAAGGTCTATTTAATACCAATGGCCAAGTTCTTTCCACCATGACTCCACGGTTCCTAGTTTCATATACTTACATTAATCTCAGATAAGACAAGAGTAACCGTTTATAACACTCTTCATTCAAAGAAAATTCTTAGTTATCACAAATTAAATTTTAATTGTTTGAAAATTAATAATTCCTTCTTATGAATAGTTTATATCTCAACCACATTGAGGAAGTACTTTATTTGACACCTTCCTTCCATATTTCCCCTCCAGGCAGAATAAACTCTTTCACAGTGTAGCCCTTAGTAATTAAAAATGGCTTTCTCTTCCTAATGGATTATAAAATATTGAGGCAGTAATTTGAGCTTAGTCATTGTTTGTACACATTTTTCTATTACAAAGTGATACAATCATACCAATTTTGAAATAGATCAAAAAAATTAAAATCCTAACCTATTTACTCACTTATTTTCCCAAAACTTATTATATATGATATTAACGAATATTACATAGGATGCATGAGATCTAAGTACAAATTAACTTGGAAAAATATGGGTTAAATGAATTTTAGCAGAATTATTTCCTGTAGAATCTTTACTGTTTTGGTTTGTATTGTAACTTCAAAATTGAAGATTATGTGCAGTTTTTCTAATCTATTTGACCACTGAACTCTTTTATCATAAAGCTTCTGGATTAGTGTTCCATGAAACTTTAGGAATGAGTTCAATATTCTATTATATATTGGGGCTCTTCTCACTTTTGTAAATAAGTCCAGGATAAATATCCTTAGGCATTTACATTGTGTTTCATATGTTTTGGGAAATTCTAGGGTAAATACCCAAAGCCTCAAAGATATTGTTTCAAAGATTATTAGCAACTTAAGTTTTTCATCTATATTTTTAAATGGCTTTCAAAATGATTATAACCGCTTTTAGAATACAATCAAGTCATGGGAATGTCAGTTTTATTGAACTATTATCAGCATTAGGTAGTGCATTTTTTCCTTAATTTTGCTAGTGAAACAAGTGGAAAATGATAACTCATAGCTATGACAATTTTTATTTTTGATTAGGAGGTAGAACACTTCTCTGTATGTTTTATTAGAATTTCCTCTTTATGCAACTTATACTACCGAACTTTACACATGCATGAATGGTAACACAGAAGAATTATTATTTTTAAGAGTTTTATAATCTCTTATGTTTAGTACATAACAACTATCAGATTTTGATTGTTGATAAATTTTTTATTAATTTTTAATTTTGCATAAGCCATTTTTGCCAAAATTAAAGTATTAATTTTGTCATATACATCGGTGCTATTTTATTATTCCTTCCATATTACAGATAAACGCAAACTATATTTACCCTAGGGCTTTGTTGTTGTTGTTTTGGGTTTTTTGAATTAAAATTTAATTCAATCTGACAGGTATTTTTGGTGCATAATATAGAGTTAGTCCTTAAATTTTCATTTTCCCTCAAATGGCTAACCAATTATACAGAGAAGATTTGTTTTTTAAAATCTTATTTTTCCATTTATATCTTTCTTCTTTAATCCACTGCTTTTAGTTTTCAGTTTGCAGTAAAATTCACTGTCATTTTTGTAAAATTCCATAAATTTTAACATATATTTAAATTTGTGTAATCACCAATAAAATCAGCACATAAAACACCACATCACCCCCCAAATCTTCCTTGTGTTATTCATTTGTAGGCATACCCTTTTTACACCTGGCAATTACTAATCTGTTCTATGTCATTCGTTTTTTCTTTTCAAGAATGTAGGTAGAATAAAAAAGTGTGTGCCCCTTTGAGACTGGCTTTTTAACTCAGGCTGATGGTTTTTAGATACTTCCAAATTATGTGTATTAATAGGTTGTTCTTTTTGTTACTGAGAATTT
This sequence comes from Homo sapiens, assembly GCF_000001405.40. NCBI lineage: Eukaryota > Metazoa > Chordata > Mammalia > Primates > Hominidae > Homo > Homo sapiens. The sequence goes on from NC_000003.12 coordinate 22,194,852, forward strand.
CTCCATAGTATGAAGATACCACAATTTGCATATTCATTCACCCCTTGAAGGACACTAGCGTTTTTCCAAATTTTTGGTAATTATAAATCCCTCATACAGGCTGTTTTGTGAATTTAAGTTTTTATTTATCTAGAATAAATACCAAGGGCAATATTTTGGTCATTATATGCTTAACTTTATAAGAAACTGCAAATTATTTTCCCCCCAAGAAAGTATTATTTTGAATTTCTACCAGCAATTTATGAGAGTTCCAATTGCTCCCCATTGTCATTAGCAGTTTGTATCATAAGTACTTTTTAAAGTTTTAGACATAACTAATGGTTTCTAGTGGAATCACACCGTGGTTTTAATTTGCATTTCCTTAATGACTAATGATATTGAACACTTTTTTTCTTAACTCCTAGTTCAAAGGAAGAAACATATTTTAATGTGTTTACGTGTCATACATATATTCTCTTTGCTGAAGTATTTGTTCAAGTCTGTTGACTGGAGTTTTGAGATTACGTACCCACACATACACACAAACATATATATATTTTTTCTTTCTAGATATAAGTCTTTTATTGGCAGGGCCACCCTGAAGGTCACTCATTAATTCTTTTCTTTAATATACTATGCTTTTTATGTCATATATAAGAACACTTTTTCCTGATCCAGTTCATAAAGATTTTCTCGTATATGTTCTACTAAAAGTTTTATAGTTTTACATTTTGAAATCTGTGGTCCAAACATTACGAGTGACTTACAGGTTTTTATTTATATTCTGAAATTTTCAAAAATGACTATACTTTTTACACTACTAACAAAGCATGACGATGCCAGTTGTATTGATCTCTAACCAGCATTAGATATTATTTATTTTTTAATGTTTGTTTGTTCATTGCAGCACTATTCACAATAGCAAAGACATGGAATCAACCTAAATGCCTATCAATGATAGACTGGATAAAGAAAATGTTATACATATACACCATGAAATATTATACAGCCATAAAAAAGAACAAGATCATGTTCTTTGCAGGGACGTGGATGGAGCTGGAGAGTATCATCCTTAGCAAACTAACACAGGAACAGTAAACCAAATACTGCATGTTCTCATTTATAAGTGTGACCTAAATGATGATAACACATGGGCACATAGAGGAGAACAATACACATTGGGGTCTTTTCGAGGGTGGAGGGTAAGAGGAGGAAGAGGATCAGGAAAAATAACGAATGGATAGTAGGCTTAATACCTGTGTGATGAAATACTGTGTACAATGAACCCCGATGACACAAGTTTACCCATGTAACAAAACTGCAATTGTACCCCTGAACTTAAAAGTTAAAAAATAAATAAATAAATGTTTGCTAATCGAATAGGTGGAAAACAGTTACAGCTATGCATGTAGGTTTTGAGTATTCTTATCTGCATTCTTATTGCTATACCGACTTTGTTTTGTTCAGCATTTCACAGAATATTCTTTGTCATTCTTTTACTTCATATCTTACGTTTATATTTAGAGTGTGTATTTTGCAACAATAGAAGTAGGATTGTCACTTGATTATATTATTTACATTTGAAAACACATATATTTGAATTTAAATCTATGTTCTATTTGTTTTCTATTTTCTCCTTTCATTCTTTTTTCTTTCTCTTGCATTTTGACTGAACTATTTTGTTTTTATTGCATTTATTCTCTGTTATCTTGTTGATAATATTGTGGTTTATTATTATTTTATTTCTTATCCCAGAGATTACAATATCTTTCCTCTACTTATTAGAGTCCATTGCAGATTGCTAATTTTACCATATATTGGAAAATTCCAGAACCTTTCAACACTTTGATTTTGCTCATGTTTCACTTGTTTTACGTCATTTATTACAATTCTACATTTGTTTAAACCCCAAAATACATTGTTGTCATTTTAAAGTTATTATTTTTTAGTTTTACTACACATTCACCATTTTGATGATTAGTTCCTTACTGTACTAACCTGCTTTTATCTGAGATCATTTTCCCTCACTCTAGAGATTGTCCTTAATATTTATTGAGCATGGGTCTGCAGGTGGCAAATTCTTTCACTTTTCTTTGCCCAAAAATATCTTAAAGTTACTTTTATTTTTGAAGGATGTTTTCAATAGATACACAATCTATTTTGGCAGGTATTTCTATTTCTCAATTTGTAAGTATTATTCCATAAAATTTGGCTTCCAATTTTTCTGTTGAAAAGTCAGCTTTCACATAATTTTTCACATAATTTTTAGTCTGATGTTTTGTTTTCCTTTTGTCTTTCCCTTTTAAAGGTGGAATTTTTTAAAAGATGTTTGGTGCAATTTTTGTTGAATTTATTCTGCTTGGTGTTTTTGAATTTGTAATTTGACATATTTTGGCAGTAGGAGAAAATTCTTGGGCAGCATTTCTTTGACTATTACTTTTATTCTAGGCTCCTTCTCCTCTTCTAGGACTATAGTTACACCTGCATTAGAACTTTTCATGATGAACCATGTATCTCTAATATTTTTCCTGTATTTTTCCATATCTGTTTCCTACCCATGATTTGTTCCAGATATTTTAGTGAGTTGTTTACAGCTCATGAAATCTCTCCAGCTTTGACCAATTGGCAGTTCGACTCATCTATATTTGATTTTGACGTATTTGTTCAAAATGGTGAAAAATGCTTATACAATTTATAAACTACTCCAGAAGACGTTTGCCTCTTCCAGGGAATGGGCTTTGGGCCCTTACTCCTAGAGTGCAGGTCTTCAGGAGAGTCAGGTGAAAGTCTGGAGCTCTACCCAAGCTTTTGCTCCATACCATAAACTCCAGTGTTTTTCACTCCTGTTGTATGAGTCAGCCAGATGCTCTGCTTATAATAGCAGCTTCCCTTCCCCTGCATTCTGTTCAGATTCTGGGACTCATGACCCTGCATGGTTTAGGATAAGACAAATGACTTGATGAACAAAAGCTGCTTAAAATATCTACCTTACTTCCTTTTGGTTTCCTTTCCTCTAGCATCTTGCCTTCAAAAGACTTGCTTTCCTTTATTGTGCTCAGACTTCAAACAGCTTTTTGTTATCATTTTATGTAGCTTTCATAGCTGTGTGGAGGGAAGACTGGCTTCATACAACCACTTTGTCATAGTTAGAAGGCGATGTCCCCTTTTACTTTCTACCCTATATATCTGTGTATTGCTTTTCAACACATATGTATTCATTAATTCTCATATACAATTTTTAAAGGAAAATAAAAGGTTTAATAATCAGGATTAAAAATGGAGAACAGACACAGAAACTGTGTATACAGTAATGCGGTTATGAGAATATTTAAGACAAGAGTGTCAAAATAAACAAAGAATTTCTAGTAGCTGGATTTGGCAGGTTTACCTAGTAAGTTTAAAACTTAAGATTAAGTTTAAAGATAAAGATTGTATATTTAGAAATAAGAGGACAATAATATTCTTAGTTTATGATGTTGAGGCAACCACTGATATTTGCAGCAAAAACATATTAGGATTGACTTGTGAAAGGATTCTCAATGAGAGAAAGCTTCAAGATAATTAATGATCTGGTACTAAGCATTGTGGAAGAAAGCTCTAAGTCTTTTACACATGGGAAATAATTGATGGGACCTTGTTTATAGAAATACACTTTCATAGAATAAAGAAAACAAGAGAGAAGTTATGTTTTCTAATATTATTGAATTGTAGGTATTTGTAAAGCAAGAACATTTTGAAAAATTTATCTCAACCAAAACCTGGCCTCGACATATTTAAAATCTTTCAGACCTTTAATTTTTTTCTTACATTTTATGCTGATACATAATTTAAACAAATGACTACATATTTGTAATACTATTATAAAAATGTGTACATGGCAGGAAGACATGGTAAGTGAACACACATTCACTATAAAATTAAACAACTGAGTAAACAACCTTTCCCCAATCTTCATATATGAGATCTTGTCCCATCATTAACTTTCTTAAGTTAGATTTCACCACTTCTTTTAAAGAGAAATCAGCTGTTATTAGATTCATCATATTCCCCTCGTGATACACATTAACTGAAGGAGTGAGCAGCAACTTCTTTGCTGAATGGAATTGCTGTACATTTCAATAAGTCTGTCTTAACATCTGCAAAATATAAATTCCACATCTACTACTGTTTAATAAGTCTCATGATTATTGATCTTTACAAGTATCTATGCTTATTGATTGGTCTCGTATTTTACTTCTGCTCTTTTGTAACTCTCAGAATCTCTTAGCTCTGAGATTTGAAAAGCAGGCAAAAAAACCAAACACACAAAAAACATAATCTCATCTCCACATTGTTTTTGCCATTTTAAGGTCTGAAGTTTTAGTTTCTGTCCCCTCCACCCTGCTTTTCCATCCCTTTGTTTCACTAAGCTATAATTGTCTGCCCAATGTAGATTACATTTTACATCTCAGATCAGAGAAACATGTGGAAGGAAATGCAGAAGTTAAAAATAACATGATTTGAATGTTTTATTCAAGGCATACTTAAATAGGCAGCGTCATTAACAACACTGATTGACAATATGGCTGAATGCAAAAGCTATCCAAAAAGGGAGTGTTTGCCCCTGCAAAACAACAAGATGTTAGGCCATGGTAATATTAGGTTCAATGTTTCACTTGGCAGCTTCCATAGAGTCAGGAAATTTGGCTTTCTGACTTCAAGTTTAATATTACTGAAAAAGTCTGTAATGTACACTACAGAAGGGAAAAAGGAAGAGAAGTGGCACATACGGATTGTTACTACTGGAGGAGAACTGTGCTAATCCTAGAAGATTTCTTATCGTTAGCCTCATTGTTCAGATGGAAACACTGTAGTAAAAAATTTTAAGTCAATTTCCTAAAGCAGCATACCCTTTTAAAGGGCTAAATCTAAATGAGGTATGGCTAACTGTAAGGCCAAAAACTGAAGAGAATTAATACCCAGTCAACAAAATATATGCATATATGTGGTGTATACGTAAAATTTATGAATTACATTTTTAAACAGGATAAAATGTGAAATTTTATAAAAAGAGACCCAAACAATAACAATAGCAATGACTATTTAATATTATGAATGCTTATTATATTCTAGAAACTCTTAAAAACTTTACCTGCTGGATTTATTTAATCATCAAAAAAACTATAAAATAGGCACTAATATTTTTCCTATTTTATAGGTGGAGACTGTGTCAGCACAGAAAGGTTAAGATCATACAAGTAAAAGCTGTCAAAGACAGAATAGGAACATCCAGAATCCTTGCCCTAACCATTACAACACAGGGCCATAGGATAATTTACATATCATAAATTTGATTAGGAAATTAATAGAGGGAGGTCAATTCACTTTTCATTAAACTTTCATCCTGGCAAGATTATCGGGGAACATGCCCCGATAGTCATGTTGGTTCTTTTCTATTTTCCCTAAGCATTGGCCGGTTTGAGAAGTAAAGGGACAGAGTACAAAAGAGAGAAATTTTAAAACTGGGTGTCCGGGGAGACATCACATGTCGGTAGGTTCCATGATGCCCCACAAGCCGTAAAACCAGCAAGTTTTTATTAGGGAGTTTCAAAAGGGGAGGGAGTATACAAATAGGGTGTGGGTCACAGACATCAAGTACTTCACAAGGTAATAGAATATCACAAGTCAAATGGAGGCAGGGCAAGATCACAGTACCACAGGACCACGGTGAAATTAAAATTTCTAATGAAGTTTTGGGCACCACTGTCATTGATAACATCTTATCAGGAGACAGGGTTTTGAGAGCAACTAGTCTGACCAAAATTTATTAGGTGGGAATTTCTTCTTCCTAATAAGCCTGGGAGCACTATGGGAGACTGGGGTCTATTTCACCCCTACAGTCTACAGGCCATAAAAGATGGCCATGCCCGGGGGGACCGTCTATAGACCTACCCCCAGGCGCCTATTCTCTTTCCCAGGGATGTTCCTTGCTGAGAAAAAGAATTCAGCGATATTTCTCCCATTTGCTTTTGAAAGAAGAGAAATATGGCTCTGTTCCACCTGGCTCACCAGCGGTCAGAGTGTAAGGTTATCTCTCTTGTTCCCTCAACACTGCTGTTACCCTGGTCTTTTTTCAAGGTGTCCAGATTTCATATTGTTCAAACACACATGCTGTACAATTTGTACAGTTAATGCAATTATTACAGGGTCCTGAGGTGACATACATCCTCCTCAGCTGACAAGATTAAGAGACTAAAGTAAAGACAGGCATAGGAAATCACAAGGGTATTGATTGGGGAAGTGATAAGTGTCCATGAAATCTTTACAATTCATGTTTAGAGACTGCAGTAAAGACAGGCATAAGAAATTATAAAAGTATTAATTTGGGGAACTAATAAATGTCCATGAAATCTTCACAATCCACGTTCTTCTGCCGTGGCTTCAGCCGGTCCCTTCATTTGGGGTCCCTGACATCCCGCAACACAAGATGACAAAGTCAACTGAGAGAAAATTAAATAAATAATATCTAAACACTGTTTTCCACTTCTGTAACCATAAAAAGTTTTTACTTACTTGTGAAAAAATAGTAGAGGTAGCTATCCTGATTTAAATATGTTTACATATACATGTAGAAGAAAGCTCTAAGTCTTTTATACGTCGGAAATAATTGATGAGCACTTGTTTAGAGAAATACATTTTCATAGAATAGATACAGAAAAAAAGAAAGAAGTTAGGTTTTCTAATATTATTGAATTGTAGGTATTTGTAAAGCAAGAACATTTTTAAAAGTTTATCTCAACCAAAACATTGCCTTGAGATGTTTAAGTTCTATCAGATGTTTAATATTGTTTTTCTCTCACATTTTATGCTGATACATAATTTAAACAAATGACCACATATTTGTAATACTGTTATTAAAATGCATACATGCAGGAAGGCATGGTAAGTAAGCACACATTCACTATAAAATTAAACAACTGAATGTGTGTGTATATATATACATATATATATATAAATTTAATACTTTTGACAAAGCTGAATTATTTTCTCAGTTCTTCATTGAATTTAAATATAATCAGTTGCCTACTGGAGAAAAGAACACATACAAAAATATCCCAAGCAAAATAAAGATCAACAAGAAAAAATTGAGTGTGTTAGATAAAATGACATATTAAAAGAGTCCAGAAACATTTAGTTAAGGTTTCTATTGGTGGCTTTTGCACCTAAAGTTTTTTATTTCTATTTGAGTCAGGAAACTGGGAAGTTGGAGGACCTCAGTCTGATTATTTGCCTTTCTTTAGTTCAATTTTTTAATTTTATTTTTTAAAATCTATGTATTCATAGTTAACTATTACTATCTTACTGCAGTGATATAAAAACTAACTGATTTCACATACAGCACTTAAGAAAGCTCATAGAAGAACCTATCAATAAGCTTTATTTGTTTCTGGCATCTGTTACTGACATTGTAAAAGGTCTTTGGAAGAAGTGAGAGCATTTTCTAGGAAGTGTTCAGATTCAGCCATGTCTCCTTCTCCTCAGAAGCAAATGGAAGGACTTTTCAGAGAGATCACAGAAAATACTAGCATAATCTCCTGGTGCCATACAGGGAAGTGTGCCTGGGGGAGGTGAGTAACAACAGGGTGGGTGCCTTGAAAATGTTCATTGGATGGAGGCAGAGCAAGATGGCCAAATGGAAGCTTCTACTGACTGTCCTCCTTGCAAAAATACCAAATGGAACAACTTTCTGTACCAAAAAGCACCTTCATGAGAACCAAAAATCAGGTAAGTGATCACAGTACCTGGTTTTAACTTCCTATCTTTGAAAGAGGAACTGAAGAGGATAGGAAAGGCAGTGTGGAATTGCCAGTACTTCCCCTCTCTCCTGTCCCCTAGCAGCAGATGCAGGATATGGACAGAGAATCTGTGAGCTTGGGGAAAAGACAGCACATTGAATGTGGGACTTTGCATGGGCAGGCTGTGCTCCCAGCACTGAGCAGAGCTCATCTGGTGCCTATAAAGGGAGCATTTAGATAAGCTCTAGACAGAGGGGAATCACCCATTCCATTGGTTGAAACTTGAGTTTTGGCAAGACTTGCCACTGTGGGCTAAAGTGTTTTGGGGTTCTAAATAATCTTGAAATGCAATCTAAGCCACAAAAATTGTAACTCCTAGGCAAATCCTAGTGGTGTGCTGCGCTTGGAACCAGTGAATGTGGGAGACATGCAACCTAGGGAGACATCATCTGGGTGTCTATGGGAGTGCTTCTGCTACTCCTCCCTCAATCCCAGGCAGTGCAGCTCACAGCTCCAAAAGATAACGTCCCCTCCACTTGAGGAGAAGAGAGGGAAGACAAAGAGGACTTTCTCTTGCAACTTGGACACCAGCTTAGCCACAACAGGATAGGGCAATGGGCAGAGATGCGAGGCCCTCATTCTAGGGCCTACCTCCCAGCTGACATTTCTAGAAACACACTGGGACAGAAGGGAATATGCTGCCTGAAGGGGAGAACCCAGTCCTAGCAGGATTTATCGCCTGCTGATTAAAGAGTCCCTGAGTCTTGAATTATAAGCAGTGGTAACCAGCTAGTACACACAGTGGGCTATACCGGCTTCAAAGTTGTGGTGGCTACAAGGAGAGATCCCTTCTTCTTGAGAAAAGCAGAGGAAAGAATAAAAGGAACTTTGTCTTATAGCTTAGGTACCAGCTCAGCCACAAGGATAGAGTATCGAGGAGGCTCTTGGGATCTGCAGTTCTAGGCCTTGGCTCTTGGATGGCATTTGTGGACCCATCATGGGCCAGAGGGAAGCCCACTGCTTCCCACAGTCACCACTAGCTGACTGAAGATCTCTTGGACCTTAAGTGAACATCAGCAGTGGCCTGGCAGTAGTCCAAATGGACCGGTGGTTGTGGTGGACATGGAAGCAGACTCCTCTGCCAGGGAAAGGAAAGAGAAAAGAAAAGTGGGAATGACTTTGTCTTATGGTTTCAGTATTAGCTCAGTCGCAGTAGAATAGAGCATCAGGTAGATTTCTGAGATTCCAACTTCAAACCATGGCTTCTGGATGGCATCTCTGGACCTGCCTGGGGCCCAAGGAAACTTGTTGCCCGAAGGGAAGAAAAGAAGTCTGGTTGGCTTCATAACCTGCTGATTATGGAGCCTTAGGGCTCTGAGCAAACATAGGTGGTAGTCAAGTGGTGGTTACAGTGCACCTTGGGTGAGACTCAGTGCTGTGCTGGCTTTAGGTCTGATCCAGCACAATCCCAATGGTGGTGGCCACAGGGTTGCTTCTTACACGACTTCCCCAGCTCCAGACAGCTCAGCAGAGAGAGGAGACTCTGTTTCCTCTCTGTTTGGAAGAACGTAAGGGAAGATAACAAGAGTTTCTGTCTGGTAATCCAGAGAATTCTTCTGGATCTTATCCAAGATCACCAAGACAGTACCTCAACCAGTCTGTAAGAATCACAGCTTTACAGGGCCTGGGGTGCCACCTAATGCAGATAACAGCTGTAGTGACCAAGAACTTGTATGATAAAAGACAAGTTCCTCTGAATACCTGGAAAATCTTTCCCAGAAGAATGGAAACAAACAATCCCAGATTGTGAAAACTAAAATTAGCACTACTTTTCAATGCCCAGAAAGCAATGAACATCCACAAGCATCAAGAGCATCGAGAAAAACATGACCTCCCCATACAAACTAAGTAAGACACAAGGGACCAATCCCAGAGAGACAGAAATATGTGACCTTTCAGACAGAGAATTCGAAACAGCTGTGTTAAGGAAACTCAAAGAAATTCAAGAAAATACAGAGAAAGAATTTAGAATTCTACCAGATATATTTAACAAAGATACTGAAATAAGTAAAAAGAATCAAGCAGAAATTCTGGAATTGAAAAATGCAACTGATATACTGAAAAATGCCATATATCATTCTTACCAGAATTGATCATACAAAAGAGAGAATTAGTGAGCTTGAGGACAAGCTATTTGAAAACTCACAGTCACAGGAGAAAAAGAATAAAGAACAATGAAGCATGCCTACAAGATCTAGAAAATAGCCTCAAAAGGGCAAATCTAAGAGACACTGGCCATAAAGAGAGGATAGAGAGAGAGAGCCTGGGGTAGAAAGTTTATGTAAAGTGCTATAAAAGAGGACTGACCAAATCCAAAAAAAAAAAAAAAAAAAATCAATATCCATGTACAAGAAGGTTATAGAACACCAAGCAGATTTAACCCAAAAACAATGACTTCAAGGCAAATCAAACTCCCAAGGTCAAGAATAAGGAAAAGATTCTAAAAGTAGCAAGAAAAATGAAATAAATGGCATCCAATGAAGCTCCAAAATATCTGGCAGCACACTTTTCAGTGGAAACTTTAAAGGCCAGAAGAGAGTGACATGACAGGTTTAAAATGCCGAAGGAAAAAATATTTTATCCTAGAATAGTATATTTAGTGAAAATATCCTTCAAACAGTAAGAAGAAATAAAGATTTTCCCAGATAAGCAAAAGCTGAGGGATTTCATCAACACCAGACCTGTGCTATAAGAAATGCTATAAGAAGTTCTACAATCTTAAAGAAAAAAAAAAGAAAACATTTATGAGCAACAATAAATCATCTGAAGGTACAAAACTTGCTGGTAATAGTAAGCACACAGAAAAAGACATAATATAGCACTGCAATTGTGGCATGTAAACTATGCATATCTTAAGCAGAAAGATGAAAAGACAAACTGATCAGAAATAGTACAATAAGATATAAATAGAAATAACAAAAAGTTAAAAAGCAGGGGAATGAAGCTAAAATGTGGAGTCTTCATTAGTTTTCTCTTTGCTTGTATGTTTGTTTATGCAACAGTGTTAAGTTGTCATCAGATTAAAATATGGGTTACAAGATATTATTTGCAAGCCCCATGGTAACTCCACATCTAAAATATTATAACAGATACACAAAAGACAAAAACCAAAAAATTAAAACATAGTACCAGAGAAAACCACCTTCACTAAAAGGAAGAAGGAAGGAAAGAAAGAAGGAAGAGAAGACCACAAAGCAACCAGAAAATAAATAGCCAAATGGCGGGAGCAAGTTCTTGCTTATAAGTAATAGCATTGAATGTAAATGGACTAAACTTCCCCATCAAAAGACATAGAGTGGCTGATTGTATTCAAAAAGACCCAACTCAAATCTTGCCATATACAAAAATCAAATCAAAATGGTTTATAGAAACACACTTTACCTGTAAGGACACACATGCTGAAAATAAAAGGATGGAAAAAGATATTATCTGCAAATGGTAACCATAAAAAGGCAGGAACAGCTATACTTACATCAGACAAAATAGATATCAAGACAAAAACTATAAAAAGAGACAAAGAGGTCATTATACAATGATAAAGGAATAAATTTATGAAGAGGATACAACAATTGTAAATATATATGCATCCAACACTGGAACACCCAGATATATAAAGCAAATATTCTAGAGCTAAAGAGAGAGATAGACCCTAATACAATAGCCGCTAGAGACTTCAACATCCCACTGTCTGCATTGGACAGATCATCAAAACAAAGGATCAACAAAGAAACATCAGACTTAATCTGCACTACAGACCAAATGGACCTAATAGATATTTACAGAGAATTTCATCCAGTTGCTGCAGAATACACATTCTTACCAGCATATGAATCATTCTTAAGGATAGACCATATGTTAGGCCATAAAACAAGTCTTAAAACATCCAGAAAAAAAAGAAAGAATTTCAAGTATCTTCTCTGACCACCATGAATAAAACTAGAAATCAATAGCAAGCGGAAGTTTGAGAACTATACAAATGAGTGAAAATTAAACAATATGCTCTGAGTGACAACGGAGTGAATGAAGAGATTAATAAGTAAATTGAAAAATTTCTTGAAACAAATGATAATAAGAACACAATATACCAAAACCTATGGGATACAGTAAAAGCAACACTAAGGAGGAAGTTTATAAATGCCAACATCAGAAAAGCAGAAAAACTTCAAATATATAACCTGATAATGCACCTTAAAGTACAAGAAAAGAGCAAACCAAAGCCAAAGTTAGTAGAACAAAGAAATAAAGATCAGCATAGAAATAAATGAAATTGAAACAAAAAATACCGAAGACTACAAAATGAAAAGTTTTTTTGGATATATAAACAAAACTGACAAATCTTAGCCATATTAACTAAAAATAAATAAATAAAGAAGAGCCAAATAAATAAAATCAGAGATGAAAAAGACATTACAACCAATACTTCTGAAATTCAAAGGATTATCAGAGGCTACTATAAGCAACAGTAAGCCAATGAATTTGAAAACATACAAGAAATGGATTAATTTCTAGACACATACAACCTACCAAGATTGTATGCAGTAGGTTGGTACTGGCATAAAAATAGACACACAGACCAATGGAACAGATACGGTCTAGAACAGATTTGCCAAAACAATTCCATACATCTATAGTGAACCATTTTCAACAAAGGTGTCAAGAGCATATTACACTGGGAAAAGCACAATATCATCAGTAAATGGTGCTATGAAAAACTGGACACGCATATGCAGAAGAAAACAAAGCCCCTATCTCCTGCCCTACACAAAAATCAAATCAAAATGGATTATAGACTTAAATCTAAGACCTCAAACCATGAAACTACTATAATAAAATATTGGGAAAACTCTTCCACACATTGGACTGGGCAAAGATTTCTTGAATAGTACACAGCAAGCATAGGCATGCAAAGCAAAAATAGACAAATGGGATGACATCACGTTAACAAGCTTCTGCACAGCAAATGAAACAATCAACAAAGTGAAGAGACAATCAACAGAACAGGAGACAAAGGACTAATAACCAGAATCTGATAAAGGACAAATAACCAGAATATATAAAGAGCTCAAACAACTCTACAGGAATAAAATCTAGTAATCCAATTAAAAATGGGCAAAAGATGTGAAATAGACATTTCTTGAAAGAAGACATACAAATGGCAAACAGTGCCCCATATCATTGATCATCAGAGAAATGCAGATCCCAGCTACAATGAGATGTCACCTCACCCTAGTCAAAATAGCTTTGGTCCAAAAGATAGACAATAACAAATACTAGGGAGGATTGGAGAAAAGGGAACCCATGTACACTGTGGATGGGAATGTAAATTAGTATAGCCAATATGAAGAAGAGTTTAAAGGTTCCTCTAAAAACTGAAAGTAGAAATACTATACGATGCAGCAATTCCACTGCTGGGCATGTACACAAAAGAAAAGAAATCAGTATAGCAAAGAGATATATAAAATAACATGCTGCTCACATTTATTGCAGCACTATTTATAATAGCCAATATTTGAAAACAATCTAAGTGTCCATCAAGACTCAAATGGAGAAAGAAAATGTGCTACATATACACAATGGAGAGCTATTTGGTCATAAAATATATGAGATCCTGTCATTTGCAACAACATGGATGGAACTGGAGGTCTTTATGTTCAGTGGAATAAGCCAGACACAGGAAGAAAAACTCTTCATGTTCTCATTTATTTGTGGGAGCTAAAAATTAAAACAACTGAACTCATGAACATAGAGAGTGGAAAGATGGTTACCAGAGGCTGGCAAGTGTGGGGTGGGTAGATGGGTGGGGGGTTAACCGAGTTGGTTAATGGGTACAAAAAATAGTTGGAAAAAAATGAATGTCTACAGTCAATAATAATTGTACATTGTAAATAAATAAAAGTATATAATTATATTGTAACAAAAAGGATAAATGCTTGATGTAATGAATACCTCATTTCCCCTCATGTGATTATTACACATTATTTGCCCATATCAAAATATCTTATGTACCCCATAAATATACACACCTATTATGTACCCACAAAAAGTAAAAATTAAAAAAAAAATTTAAAAAATAATTATTCAGTATGCACAATACTTTTCTAAAATGTGTTATCAGCCATGTGATGAGGCATTGTCAGCAGTTTCCAAAATTTACAAGCTGGCAAAACTAAAGAGAGAATAGAATTGAGTCATAGTCCTTGATGCTGAAAAGGCTCCTAGAAAATCATGGAAGGCTTTGTAATGAGGTATCAGGGAATCTTTGTTGTCAGTTTTGTAATGTTTGTTGCCAGTTTATATTTCCACTTGCAGATTCCAAGGTGATCCCCCACTTTATGAGACTATAAATATTAAGTGTCTCAGTCTTTGATATGGCCACCTGGAGTCACTGAAAATTGTATTACAGCACAGAACTGCAGGCCATAAAGGCATTCTGCTCCTCCGATTCATTCAGTAAGCCCATAATATTTACTCAAGGCACACTGTGAACAAAACATTGTGATATATACATATCTCTGGAGAGTTACAAAAAGAGAGCAGATATGACACATTCCCTTGAATAGCTTAAACTTATAAAAAGAAAGCTTGTTATAGACATGTCACAAATGTTCCTATTCATGTTTAGTCTTATAAATACAATTAAATAAGCTGTTAAAATAAACTTAATAGTGGAAAGTAATTAAAGTGAGTGGCGAATACAATAGGAGTTGATTCAACTGTAGAATCTATTAACACTTTGAAGGCATTCACATTTAGTAAAAACATTGTGTACATTTTATTATTAATGATTTTTAAGTCCTCTACCCTACATATGGTGTTGTGTTATTTATATTAGTGTATTTATATACTAAATATGGCTTAGGAAAAAAATATAAACATGAACTATAAGCAAACCACTTATTTTTGTTCCATGCACTGGTAAATTTTATTGCATTTTTCCAAGACTATTTATCATATATATTCATTTCATATGAAATACCTTTATTCTTTTGCATTTATTTTTGAAAGCTTTAACAACAAATCATTACTGCTGATTCCACCAACATCCTTTAGGTACACTCATTTACTTGGCTTTCATTTATGATTTTAAAAGAACAATCATTTTTTTTTTCACTTAGCTAAGCAATAATATAACCACATATACACAAAAGTCAACTCAGAATATATGTGGTGATTATAAGCTAACTGTATATTCAGCCTTATCTTTGACAGCATAAATAAGCATAAATATTAATTCTGGAAGACCGATTGTTTACCTTAGTAACGGGACACAGACAATTTCTTAATTTCTAGATATTGAAAACTTCTTTATTCAAAATTATATTCAGTTATATTTAATTAATAGTATTATATTCAATATCATATTTTGCCATGTACCGAGAGGTTTGAAATAAAAGAAACCTATAGGAAACTTAAGATGTAATTTCAAACCATTTATACCAGCCAAGTCCCAGGAAAAGATTGTGTGGAAGGCAAGTGAAAGAGTCATTGTATGATAACTGCACTGCTGTGCTTAACGCCCATTTAGAGAGCTGCATTAATAATCATAAAGATATAGCTTCAAATGTTAAACACATATCATTTTTACATTAATTAATACCTTACATAACTAATGTCTCAACAGGGATTTTTTCTTCTATTTTAGATAGCATGAAAAAATAATAAAATTTGAATGGTGGTTCTATACTTACGTCTTGGAAGGAAAAGAGGCAACCACAGGTGAGTTGAGAATTAGGCAAGTATAATTTTATTTAACACGAATCAGCTTAAGGACTTAGTTAAAATATATTTACTGACCATCTAAAGAATCCATACAGCTGAAAGAAAACAAAACGTGTATCTGAAAATACCATGCCAAGAAAGAAATGATTTGGGTCAAGAAAATATATAGTTCTTGATCTGAAAGAGTCTCCAATCCATTGGACTAAAAATGGATATAGATAAATATAAAATCAATACAAACAGGATGTTTCTGGCATTACATTTTTATTACACATCTTTCAGAAATTATTTTCAATACATGAAAGGTTCCTTGGAGATTAATTAATCTCTCACCTACTAGCAAACCATTTCCCTCTACACCATTTACACTTTAGGTTCTAGCCATATGGAACAAGAGCTTGTTCCCTCACCACTCTGGATCCATGTACTTGAAAGCAGGCCAAAATATACTCTAAGTCAATGCACTGAATTACAAATTATCTAAACATCAATTTCATCAAATGACTGATTCAGCAAAATAATACTAAGTATACATCCATAAACATAATATACTCACATGAGTGGTACTAAAAAATGATATTCCTTAAAACAAGTTTTGAAAATAGGCAGTTTGGCATATTGATCCTTTGGTGAGTTGTTCTCACTTGCTTTTCCAAGAAATCTTTTCTAAATTCTCCAAAACTCTTTTTATGGTACTTGTGCTTACCCAGCTGAAGAACTGATTTAAGTAGAAGGAGTGTGTTTGCAAAGTTATTCCTCAAGCTCAGGAGATTATAAATTTCTCAAAAGTGGGAACATAATAAGCATAAATAATATTTATAGTTATTATTATATCTGTAGTACATACCAGATACTTAATAAAGCAGTTGATGAATGAATGAATATTCCTCAGTATTAACAATTACAGACTGGAAAAGCAAAAAATGTTCTGAATATGTCAGTAGCCACTTTTCTCATCCTAGTCTCCCATCTTTTCAAAAAATCTAGTTCCCTGAGCCCTCCTGAGTGGTCAGTAGATCACATAACCTCACTGCAGAGGTCACAGATCTCATTTGTGTTATGTGTGGTTAGCTGGTCCGAATAGAGACAATCAAATTATCTTACATGAGCATTTGGAATTTAGTTTCAGAGACTAGGCTCGGATTTCATTTGGATAGGTGAACCAGGAGATGATACCAAGAAAGGGCAACTGTATGTGTTCTTCCTGTATGTGTTGCAATAAATCAAGTCTATATAGAAAGAAAGAAAGAGTGCTGCCTTGGGGCAGAAAGAAACAGAGAGAAAGACCAAGGGAGAGGGTAGGAAAACAGGAGGATAGTGGATGATGGTGGGGCAGAGAGTGAGAGAGGGCAAGAACAGTCCTGGTGGTACCTGACTGTCATATTTCTTGACTACACTCTGAGACTTTACTGAATTTCTTGTACTGCAGTGTATAAATTACCCGATATACTTCCAGTAAATTCCTTCGTCTTCCTTTTCCTATCTAAATCTAGTTTGACTATGTTTTTAATTCAACAATATGATTCCTGGCTTTGACAGAAGATGCCTAAGCAATGTGTTCCATCCAGATTTGTTTTTCTTTTCAGAATTTTCTCTGCCCTACAAATAATTTGGGGATATGTGACTATAATTCACAAATGGTAATCCTCTAAGATGTACTGCAATAGGGAAAGTGTAGTACTTTTGCAGCACCAGTATGTTTAGCTTTTTTCTTCACAAACCTCTGTTTTCTCCTTCAAATGTCAAAAAGTTGGGCAGTTTCTTGCCCAGTTATTCCCAGAAGAGTGCAAAGGACTGAGGAAGAGGGAGAAAAGACAGGTGGAAGAAGGAGGTGACCATCAAACGCTGCCTCATCCCACCTCCTTATCACAGCACAGTTTCTGCTGTACCCATCTATCAATCCTTGCTCCACATAAAGACAAAAACAACAGAGTCTCTGTGCCTGCACTTCTTCATGCCATCTTGCTATATTTCCATATGCATATGTCTTTCTGCAATGGTTTCAAATTGAGAAGATTGGAGGGCAAAAGAAATTGATGAGCCCAGATCAAGTGGCTCTGATCCACCTGTTACAAAGTAATACATTGTTGACCTTTTGGAAGCACGTTAGCAACGTTTCACTTAAGAGATTCTCTTCTCTTGGAATTAATATGTCTCTAAAATGTCAGGTTTTATTCCCTCATCATTAAACAAATCAAGCTTAATGTGTTTCTCCTTTCAAGTGGCTATTTTAAATAAGTCAAAAAGGCCATTCCTAATGCCAATATAAAGATGATTTAGGTGGGAAAATGTAAAGGCAAATAAAAGCTCATCTTAGGGTTAGGTAAAGCATAAAGCCTGTTTTTAAAAAATAATTATAAAAAGAAATATTAGGACAGAGATAATAGTATAGCTATAGTTAGCAAAGAACTATTTAAACTACAACATTCGCTTGTTATCTTATTTATGGCCTTTCTGAGAAGAAATTATTAAGTAATACTTAATTTCAAGACACTAATTTAAGATGCACAGCCAAATTGATAACCTTAACTAAGGAAAAAAAATCAATTGTATTAATTTAGAACCAATAGACTGTTTAAACATAATGGTTAGAGTGCATTTATTTAGAGGTGGTGAATAAGATACTATTTTTTCTGGCTTCTGCTGAAATAAATGCAAGTTAATATGTGGAAGTTTATAAGTCACATTCAGTTTATAAATTTCCTTTTATATTAAAAGGACATTTTTTCAAAGAACAGACATAATTATTAGAAGTTTGTCATGTGACAATAGAATTGGAAAATTATAATAATGTCATAGTTTGGCTTAGAAATATAAGGGGGATTTGACAAATGCTTTCTCTCAAAGGACAGATAGGCTTTGTGGGCCACATACAGTCTCTGATGCATATTCTTCTGTTTTTGTTTTGTATTTTTTATATTTACAACCATTTAAAATGCTAAAAACAATTTGTATCTTACTGGTAGCACAAAAACAAGACATGGACCAGATTTGACCATTGGGTTATAGTTTGTGGATCTAAAGCAGAGTGATTGGATTGTCACATAAACAGATGTGATTTACTTCTAGAAATAGAATACTTCCAGTGGTATTCTCAGATTCGTGTCAACTTCTAATTAAAGAAATATTAGTTTATGTCCTATCACTACCAAAGCACAGGATAAACACTCTAGGTATCAGTATGAATCAGTCTTAGATCCAGTATGCAAAGTTGAAAGCTTATTCTAATGTACCACTTAACTATAACACAAGTTAAAAAACCTCCTCATGTCAGTGATGTTGGCATATTGTTCATTAAGTCACTATAACTCCAAAAGTTTGAGGACAAATTTTCCATGGACCAAATTCTGTTCCTCAGTAAGACATACTATCTCATCAGCACACCAGAAGCAAGAAGTCTCAGGAAGACTAACCATCAACTAAAATCATAAGAGACTAATTAAAATCCTAAGTCCCAAATGTTTACATCTTTGTGACATGTGTATTCTCTCCTTCTTAAGGAGAGAATTTACACCAGAAGAAAATTTATAAAGCGAGCAATAAAATTTAGTTTATTGAGTCAGAATTTCCAATTAGTAAAGACCTATTCATCACACATGGGGTACATTTGCCATAGGTTGGACAGTTCTGTGGGTCACAGTAACCCTGTCTTAGACAATGCTATGTGTTGCTGGAAGTCAGGGACTTCGAACGGAGGGACTGGCTGAAGCCATGGCAGAAGAACATGGATTGTGAAGATTTCATGGACATTTATTAGTTCCTTAAATTAATACTTTTATAATTTCTTATGCCTGTCTTTACTGCAATCTCTGAACATAAATTGTGAAGATTTCATGGACACTTATCACTTCCTTAATCAATACCCTTGTGATTTCCTATGCCTGTCTTTACTTTAATCTTTTAGTCTTATTATCTGTAAGCTGAGGAGGATGTATGTCGCCTCAGGACCCTGTGATAATTGCATTAACTGCACAAATTGTTTGTAGGGCATGTGTGTTTGAACAATATGAAATCTGGGCACCTTGAAAAAAGAACAGGATAACAGCAATGTTCAGGGAACAAGAGAGATAACCTTAAACTCTGACCGCCGCTGAGCCAGGCGGAACAGAGCCATATTTCTCTTCTTTCAAAAGCAAATAGGAGAAATACTGCTAAATTCTTTTTCTCAGCAAGGAACATTCCTGAGAAAGGGAATGCGTCCCTGAAGGTAGACCTCTAAAATGGCCGCTTCAGGGGGTGGCCATCTTTTATGGTCAAGCTGTATGGATGAAATAAGCCCCAGTCTCCCATAGCGCTCCCAGGCTTATTAGGACGAGGAAATTCCCACCTAATAAATTTTTGATCAGACCAGTTGTCTGCTCTCAAACCCTGTCTCCTGATAAGATGTTATCAATGACAATGCATGCCCAAAACTTCATTAGCAATTTTAATTTTGCCCTGGTCCTGTGGTCCTGTAATCTCGCCCTGCCTCCATTTGCCTTGTGATATTCTATTACCTTGTGAAGCACGTGATGTCTGTGACCCACACCCTATTTGTACACACCCTCCCCTTTTGAAAATGACTAATAAAACTTGCTGGTTTTACGGCTCAGGGGGCATCACGGAACCTGCCGACATGTGATGTCTCCCCCAGACACCCAGCTTTACAATTTCTCTCTTTTGTACTCTGTCCCTTTATTTCTCAGACCGGCTGACACTTAAGGAATATAGAAAAAAACCTACTTGAAATATCGGGGGTGACTTTTGCCTGATATCTAGCTGAATTTTCCCCAATATCTGGCGCCCATGTGGTCTTTCTTAACTGCACAAATTGTTCGTACAGCATGCGTGTTTGAACAATACGAAATCTGGGCACCTTGAAAAAAGAGCAGGATAACAGCAATGTTCAAGGAACAAGAGAGATAACCTTAAACTCTGACCGCTGGTGAGCCAGGCAGAACAGAGCCATATTTCTCTTCTTTCAAAAGCAAATAGGAGAAATATCGCTGAATTCTTTTTCTCAGCAAGGAACATCCCTGAGAAAGAGAATGCATCCCTGAAGGTAGGCCTCTAAAATGGCTGCTTCAGGGGGCGGCCGTCTTTTATGGTCGAGCTGTAAGGATGAAATAAGCCCCAGTCTCCCATAGTGCTCCCAGGCTTATTAGGACAAGGAAATTCCCGCCTAATAAATTTTTAGTCAGACTGGTTGTCTGCTCTCAAACCCTGTCTCCTGATAAGATGTTATCAATGAAAATACTTGCCCGAAACTTCATTAGCAATTTTAATTTTGCCCTGGTACTGTAGTCCTGTAATCTCGCCCTGCCTCCATTTGCCTTGTGATATTCTATTACCTTGTGAAGCATGTGATCTCTGTGACCCACACCCTATTTGTACACACCCTCCCCTTTTGAAAATGACTAATAAAAACTTGCTGGTTTTACGGCTCAAGGGGCATCACGGAACCTGCCGACATGTGATGTCTCCCCTAGACACCCAGCTTTACAATTTCTCTCTTTTGTACTCTGTCCCTTTATTTCTCAGACCGGCCGACACTTAAGGAATATAGAAAAGAACGTATGTGAAATATCGGGGGTGAATTTCGTCCAACATCTGGCTGAATTTCCCCCAATAGCTATGGAATTGCTCCCAGTTCTGCTCCTATGACTTTGCCATAGTCTGTGTTCCCAGGCAAAATATATCCCTACTGACTTCTTCTCCCTTTGTCTCCTCTGACTCACTTGTCTCTGTTAGTCCTTAAAATTTAGATTATTTCCTCTGAAACAGATATTTCAGGAAAGTCTGACTTTGATCACTTTGTCTCTCCTTGCCAGAATATTTTTTCCTTATGTTAATAAAACATTTTTATACTCAAATTTTGTAACTTGATAAATGTTTTGATTTAAAATTTTATAATTTCATGAATATAAATATTCAGTTTACAGCTTGGATCTCAGACTTTCATTGCAATCTTGTTAACAATACTACCATTATGGATAAATTGCTATGGGAACGCAGAAGACTGAAAGCCCCTTTCATTTTAATTTGTGGAATGTACAGGAAACATTCCATGATGGCAGTGGTGCTGGAACTAGGTCTATTAAAATAACTAGCGTTCTTCATGAAAGCTAAGAGTGAGGAGGTAGAGGTTTCAAGTAACAGAAAATCTTAAGCATTGACCCAGATGTGAAAATACAAGGAAAACGTGGAGAAGAAGCAATATTTCGTTTTGATTTAAAAAGTTCATAAAAGGGATAAGAGTGAGGAATGAGTCAGGAGAGTAGATTGAGCTGTGTCATAGAGAAGATGGAATGTCATGTAGTAAAGTCTGCTTGCAGCTTACCAATATACCTCATCTTGTTCTAAGGCACTCGGAGGGACCACACTTGCGAATTTCCTTTGCAGTTAGAAGTGGCCATGTGACAGAGGTCTCGTCAATGAAAAATTATTGGCAGTGATGTGTGGCCACTCCCAGTCTTGCCCAAAAAAGCCTCCCATGCCTAATTCTTCATTTTATTTTGCCTTTTGTGGCCAATTTGAAAGTCATATGATGAAGATGAGTGAGCCACAAATCAACACTGGAGAGAGAAGTGCCTGCCAAGTAGAAGCATCTGTCTTGAATTTTCATAAACAAAAAATAACATCTATTGCATTAAACATTTTAGATTTTGCTATGTATCTGTTGGAGCAGCTAGCATTACCTTAACATTTTGGCCTTAACCTATAGGTAAAAGAGAACCATTAAAGGACAGTGAATTTGCAAGAGAGGAAGAGACCAATTAGAGTACTATTCTAATATTCTGCAAGAGAATATACTCTTCCCACAAATTGGAATACAACTTGATCAGCCTATTCTTTCTGCCTTGCTCACTGCTTCTCACAGAAACCACAATAAACACTTTTGCCCATGTTTTCCCTTCCCTTTTTCTGCTCCCTGACATGGGTGCCCCATCATGCGACCCTCTGTGGTGTGCCCTGCCTTCTGTTTCTAAGGAACTGTGAACACAAACTTCTTCCTTCAAAGAAGGCATCTCCTTATCTGTTGGCCTCATCATACCTGATTAAAACAAAATTCCAAGTACATTTTAATACAGAGGTGCACTTCACTCCAGTATGACCTCTTAACGAATTACCTCTACAATGACCCTGTTTCCAAATAAGGTTATATTTTGAAGTACTGGATGTTGGGACTTTAACACATGAGCTTTTATGGGATATAATTGAATCTGTAACAGAGGTAAATTACACTTATTTGTAGATATTTTGTGTTAAAAGATTTGTAAAAATCATAATTAATAACATTCTAAGGTACATTACATGTTATGGCAAATATAGAGAGCATATTTTGGGGAGAATGATAGGCTGAAAAGAAGGAGTAGAGAACAATGAAAGCACAGCAGAGAGCTGGAGAGATGATTTCAAGCTAACTTATGTGTGGAGATGGGAGGATTTCTAATGATTTTACCTGTACAATATTTCCTGAATTTTTCTCCACCTCTAACTGCACAATCTCCAACTTGCAGGAAAGGGAATGTATTCTCTTGGAGAATATTAGAACAGCACTCCAATTGGTCACTCCCTCTCTTTCAAATTCACCGTCCTTTTATGGTTCTCTTTTACCTATAGGTTAACGCTGAAAGGTTAAGGTAATGCTAGCTGCTCCAACAGATACACAGCAAGTCCTTTCACCTTATAGTTAAGAGTGTCTTGACTTATCTTGGTTATTTTAAACTTCATATAAATCATTCAACAAGACTGTAAATTCCACAGCTATCTCGTAGGAATTTTTACTTACAATTTCATCAAATCTTTAGATCAATTTGGAAAAATTTACACCTTTATATTATTGAGTCTTCTTTAATTTTATTTAGCATCTCTTAAAAACATTGTAGGCTTTTCAGCATAGCCATCTTATTCACCTTTGACTAATTGTATCCCTAGTATTTACTTTTATGTATTTTTATAAACTATATCTTTTAAAAAATTATTGCTGGTAAACAGAAATACAATTGACTTTTGAAAACTAACTTTGTATTCTGTAACATCATAAATTATAATAATTTATTTGAAGACCCCTTGAATTTATATATAAATATATGTATATATATGTGTGTATATGTGTATCTATGTACATATATATACATACACACACAACTGTATCTGCGATAATGGCATTTTCTCTTTTTGCTTTTAATTGGCTGCTTATTATTTGCTTATTGCACAGACCAACTCCTTCAGCACAACATTGAACAGAATATTAGAATCTTTTTCTTGTTCCTCTCCTGCTGGCCCAGAAGGTTCTTAAGGCTTCCACTCTTCACTCTTGATAGACTCTGGACTTCAGTAACTGGGTGAATATTATTAATTGTCTTTCTCCTGGCTCTCAGCAACATGGGTTTTTACTAACTTTATAGTTGTTCATTGCCTTCAAGAAGATTTTTTAATGTATATATTTTGTCCAGTTTTTCTATTTGTCCTTAATGTAGGGTTGATCTGAGATATCTAGGTAGCCATTACTAGAGGGCTCACTTTTTTCATTAAAAAATACATTTTGTAGATCATTGCATGTTAGACTGTAAGGATCTATTCTACTTATTCACACTACAGAGAATGACATGGTACAAAGATATCATAATCTAGCAATTCCTCTTTTTATGGGCATTTCAATTGACCATTCTCAAAGCTTAAACTACAAAGAAGGCAAATCAATTAACATAGCTCAGTTAAACTCTATGGTGACGATCTGTTACTTTCTTAGCTCTTTTTGGGCTGAGACAGATTTATATTTCTGTTTCAAATATCTTGGAACTGACTATGAAGACATATTATTCTTTGATTATTTGTCACAATTTCTGTAAAAATTCCGTTTTCAGTGCTCTCCTAGATGTGTCTCTGATATTTCTAGTCTTTTTTTCATATTTCTACCTCAGAACTCCCTGCCTCTCTCCCCAACCCTGTTCTATGTATTAAGAGTATCCTAATCAGGAGGATATCATAGCTAAGTAGGAAAATAGAAAAATTCAAATATATTCTTCCCAATCCACACTTGAGTTAATCACTGATCATTGTGCCCTGTCACCATATATTTTACAACCTATTCTCCAGGGAATTATCAGAAAGGTCATGCTAGAATTTAATAAAGCTGTTTTATCTTTTAAGAGACTGTCTGACATCTTATTAACAAATAATGTATCATTAAATAGTACTGTAGGTCCCTAATCCTCATCTGAAACCCGTAGGACTAGATGTGTTTTGGTGTTCAGAATATTTCAGGTTTCATAAAGGTAACTGAGATACACATAGCATTTATAACATTCTCAACTATTTCTAGAGGAATGACTCATAATTAAACAAATTAATATTTCTAATTCAAATATGTGATTTATACTAAATGGAATGAATAAAGATTTTGAATAGTCTTGGATCAGTTTAAGTAATGCTTTGTCACTAAGTGAGTTTGGGTAACTGGTGAAGAATTTTCCGGTTTCAGAGACTTTTAGATCTTGGAATTGTAGATAAACAATTATGGACCTGTATTCTATGCCTCTTTTCTCAGATCCTCTTTTCTCAATATATTCAACAAAATGGGTTCATTTTATTTTCTAATTAACTTTCAGTTTCTTCTCTACCATAATTTTCTTAGTAAAACCTTTGTCTTTCTCATCTGGAAAGTTATGATTACTTCTATTTTCTTTCTTCCTTTTTTTTTTTTCTTTTTTTGAGACAGGGTCTTGGTTTTGTCATTCAGGCTGGATTGCAGTGGTAGGATCATGGCTCACTGTAGCCTCAACCTCCTGGGATCAAGCGATCCTCCCACCTCAGCCACCTGAGTCACTGGGACCACAGGCACGTGCCACCACACCAGGCTAATGATTTCGAGTTTTCATAGAGACAAGATCTCACTATGTTGCCCAGACTGGTCTTGAACTCCTGAGTTCAAGAGATTTTACAACTTCTGCTTCTGAAAGTGCTGGAATTACAGGACACTTTAGGAGCCACTGCCTCCAGCAAAAAGTTATCTCTGACTCTAATTTCTCCAATTTCAATCAGAACTCCATAGCAACAATTACAAAGTAACCATCCAAATCTCAACTGGCAATATCACAGCTCGGTTTAAAAACGTCAGTGGAACCTATTTCCCACAGGGCAAAAGTCCTTGATCATCTGAATCTCTCTGATTTTCTAGATTCTGTTATTGTCATTGTCTTTAGTACAAACACTATTCACAAGTCATGTAAATTTACTTTTAGAATTTTGCATAATAATTGTATTTCATACTTCTGAGTCTTCACATGTGCCAAACACTTCTGTATGAAATTTCATTTTAACTGTGATTACATAGACTCTTATAGACTCATTCAATGTTACATTCCTGAAGCCCTCATCCTTCCATTTTCAACACAATCTACCACTACCGTCATCACTTTCCCTAAGTATTATTTTCTACTGTGCTACTATAGCTATTTGCAGTGTATTTTACAGATATTATCTTTAATAGTTTTTGTTCTACTCCCAAAAGTATGATATACTTATATTCCCTAAAGACTTTACCTGAAAAATGCTTTTCTTTTTTAAACTTTCCCTTGGAAAGAACTGATTCTCATATGGAGAAAGCAATCTCTATAAACAAAAATAAAATTTCCTTTCATCTCTACATATGGTAGCTTGATTTATTCCAGAACATGACAGCAATAGCATATAATCAGATCTAATGCAGTTATTTACCATGCTATCTAGTTGGCAGTGATGTATGTGTGCGAGTGTGTGTGTGTTTGTGTATCTATTTACCTATCTATATAGGTACACACAGAAACATATATGCATACCTACACACAGATACATGTATACATACATTTGTAAATATAAAATATGTGTATATACACCTAATGTCTACAGAGAATATTAGAATCAACTTTTTCTTGTTTTTCACTTTTCTTATGTAAGAAAACTTGTTATAAAACCTGTGTATTTATTTCTCAGCTTCAAAAGTTATCAATTCATGGCCAATCACATTGCATATATACCCCCCCACCTCATTTATTTTGAAGCAAATCCCAGACATAACATTTAATTAATTTATATGATAATCTGTACGCACATTAAAGTTTGACAAGCATTGCGTTAGAGTGTTCTTAAGACTGAAAATCTTCACTAATTTTTAAATGCACAGAGGCAATTTTGATAAAAGATGCCTTAATTTCATTTCGCTTTATATCATCGGGGTTTCTCATCACTTCAGGGTTTTATGAAAAATACATTTCTTTGTAGCTGTGCGTTTTTGATCCTTTTAATAAAAAAGACAACTCATTTGTTCTTTTTAACTTGTTAATATAGACATACTAATGGTTTGCAAAGCTGACAAAAACTAAATTACAGAGTATTTGTACAAAAAGCTAGTGCAAGGATTGAAAAAGCTAGAATTAAAACTAAATTTAAATTTATCTTTGTGTGGTTAAGTTTTGTCTCCTTTATTCATCAAAACCTCTAACATATCCATAAAAGAAATATTTCTATGACAGAGTAGCAGATGTGAATGCCTTCAGTGAATGCATACAGAGAAACCATAGGTTTTCTAGGATAGTTTTCAAAACTACTTAATACAGAAGATTTCATTAACCATTCCGATTTTTTTTTTTAAGACAGTCTCATTCCATCGTCCAGGCTGGAGTGCAGTGGTGCGATCTCAGCTCACTGCAACCTCCACCTCCCAAGTTCAAGCAATTCTCCTGCCTCACTCTCCCGAGTAGCTGGGATTACAGGCACATACCACCACTCCCAGCTAATTTTTATATTTTTAGTAGAGATGGGGATTCACCCTGTTGGCTAGGCTGGTCCTGTCCTCAAATGATCCACTTGCCTTGGCCTCTCAAAGTGCTGGGATAACAGGCATGAGCCACGTCCGGCTAACCACTCTCAATTCTGCTGGCCATAAAAAACACATAGTCTTCACCACCCAGCCCCAAATTTCAAAAAAAGAAAAAAAAATCTAAGATAATAACCTACTGAATGAAAAAAACTTGTATCTACTTATTTTAGAAATATTTACTTTATTAAAGAAAATTAAGTTCTGGGGTCAAAGATATTCACATTAAAGGCCCTCAAAGGAAATGGTCATTTCTTCATATATCTACAAAAGGATGATGACAATAAGAAATGCAGCAATCAACTTCATTTTGAACTTGCTTTATCTCTGGACTTGAACTAGGCTTGCATAACAGGAACTAGCAGGACAATGGACTAGCTATACGACTGTGGGGAAGCTACTTACTGCTCTGAAGCTCAGTGTTTTCATCTGTAATATGGGAATAACAATAATCCACCTTCCATAGTGTAAAAGCCAAATGAAAGAACGGATATAAAAGTGCTTTTGAAAATTATAAAGCTCTAAGTAAAATGTGAATTTTTATTATTAGATCACTTAGAATATTCAGCAGTTTAGATAAAGAATGACATAATTGCTCTGTATTGCTACCAAAATAAGAACCACGAGTCTTTTTTAAATAATAAAAATCTTGAAACTCGAAAGGCCTTTTTTGCTGTTAGTGCTCATTTAAATATTCAGTATTGATATTCAGTTTTTGTGTGGCTTTGTTTAGTCATTGATAAGTATCCCTGAAGTCTCCCTTCATCCAACCATCCTTTTTCCAAACTGGGTTCAGCTATGCCATTATTTCCATTTTTTAAAGATATTAAGGGTTTAATCTATACTTTCTTGGATATTATCATTTAAAGTTTTTAATGTAAGAACTATGATAATTATATTTTAGTTCTCTAGTTTCTCATAGCCCTCCTTCAGTTTTCAGAAGCAATTATTTAGGCTTTAATTATAAATGTGTTCAGCTCATCTTAAATCAAAGAAAGCCAATGAAAAAGAAACAAGAAATTTAATATACATATTGTACTTATTTGTTTGTCCTTCGTGTTTTCTCTATCTCGGTTGTTTGTTGTATAAGTTGTTGGCAATTTTCATAAGTATAGTAATGGCTTCTGACAAACTGACCTACTATGTACAGTGTTTAATAATGTAGGCTCTGAAATGAAATAAATCTTTATTTCTGCACTGTATCACGTACTTGCTGAACAATATGGGATTGAACACTATTTTTTCTGGGCTTCAAATTTCTTATCTGTAAATTGGGGGTGTAATAGTGAGTACATCATAGGATTGCTGTGAGAATTAAATAGAGGTGGTTGAAAGTATGTGGCAGGGTTCCTATTAGCAGAACATAATGTATTTAACAATAATAAATAGTGTTAATTAAAAGCATACTATGCACCAGCCACTATGCTTAACACTAAATATATTTTAATAATTTTGAACGAGACAGATGCACAAGACAAAGAAACAAAAATGTCCAACAACGTGTCAAGAGAAAATAAGGTGAGTGGAACATTTTCATGTTAAATTGAGTGTGTGTACCATAATGATTTCCGACATTATTCATGAAATTATAAGAGAAGCTCTACATTTTCATGTAGTTCCTAAGGTATCCTAGTAATTCTGATTGGTTTATTTATTTTTTTACTACATGCCACCCTCACTAGAATGAAGCATGTAAAGTCAGGGACTTTGCCTATTTTATTCACCATCATACATGGCCTATTTCCAGCATTTGGTGCCTGGTTCATAGAATAACTCCACAAATGCCTGTACCCTGAAATAATACATTACAGTATGAAAAAATCCTTCTTATCCCAAGTATATGCAAGACACTTGCCTAAATATTTTGAGGCAGTCAAAGATAAACTGGTCATGAATTTGACCCTCAAAAGAAAGAATGAGGAGAAAGAACATTTGTAATGAGATAATAAAATATAAGTATAAATGAATTCAGTACAGGTAGATTTCAGATGAAGAAAGTGTTATTTCATCCATGAAAAGAGATATAATTAAACTGAAGTTGCTACTTATTTGTATTTTTAATCTTCTTTGGAGTAGTAGTGTAATCAACATGCTACTTACCAGCTTAGTGTGCCTCATAGATGTATTTTATTTGGATGAGTGTTGTAAATATCTGAGTTCAAATATCTTTAGTTGAAGTATATATTCTTATTTTACCTCAGATTCTATCTCTCTGTATTATAGTTATACCTTCAAGAAACTTCAAATGGTTTTACTACTGCTCAGCCCCTGAAGGCATGGTAGACAACCCACAGTGTATATTAAACAAAACTGCAGCGACTGGCAAAGGATAATGAAATGATAGGAAGCCCATGGAGAACACAGTGGAGATACAGTGATGTACAAGCTGGGAACCCAAGGAAACACTATAGGAAAGGCAGTAAGGTGAGACAATCTTTTGTCAGCAGGTTATTGCAAGATCCAACCAAAGTGAACTATTCCTATTAAAGTGATCCCATCACTACTCACTGATAATGAACCTTGGGACACCAATTCCAGAAGGTTGAAGACCTGCCCCTAAGTTGGTCCAACTTTCTGGGCACCCACTGCTCCCTGCGTGGGGCACCATGGACCCACTCTGGAGCCAGAGTTGGCACCTCTATTCATGAGAGTTTTGCTATAATCTTTGTCCATCAGCAAACAGGGATGCTTTTTTACTATGTCTTCCTTGTGCTCTCATGAATAAAACATATAATCAGAACATCTGATTTCTGAAAACACACCATGTTCCTAATAGTGCTTATTCTCAAGAAAGAAATTCTGATAAATCTCTAATTATATTAACAATGCAATATTTGCAATTACAGATAAAATTATGTTCAAAAAGCTTTTTGTCACACTTTTACACAAAATTCCTGACTTTATGTAGTGTTAATTTGCTCCCTTTACTTCCCTTCTTATATTCAAAAATAATTTTGATTGAGTAGAATATGCCCTTAGGAAAAGATAACGTGTAAACTGGAATTCATTATTAGAGTATGTAGCAGACACTGTTGGTGCCCCATGTATATCCCGTCACCCTTGCTACTTCACTGAGCACTAGCCTGAGGTCCATTTGTCAGGGCATGTGTTTCTTTGCCTGAGGCTCTCGTGTAACCCGCGTCCACCCTGCACCCACTTGTAACCCGAGCCCACCCTGAACCCATGTGGCAGGTCAGAAGTGCCAGAGAATTAAATTTCTTTCCCCACTGAAAGCAGCTTTCAACCAATGGCTGGCTGGGGGTAGATGTATAAATATCCGTTAGTATGGATGCATGTGGGGTTAGGTATGTGGGGAGGTAACACTGAAGTATGTATTCTACACTGGCTCCCAGAGTTTCTTCAGTGGCATCAAGCAACAATTGCCCACTGTGGTAGCTGCATTATAACACATCCTAAAGGCTGTCTTTCCTTCCCTGTCTCACTTTCCCATTTCTTTACTAATAGTTTCTGGATTCAACAACCAAATAAACTACTTAACCTTAAATTCTTGTCACAAGGTCTTATTCTAAGCAAACCCAAACTAAGTGTAATATCAAATTTTTACACTCATCTCAGATATAGTAAGCATTTATTTGCTAGATTTATACAAATGTGATCTTGTGAATATTTATCAAATTTTCTTGGCCAGTAATACTACATTCAGTGTGTTTAGTTTAGGTCAAATTGTTGTGCACGTGTGCACATATGTCTCTTTACAAAGAGCACAGGAAGGTTCTGTAAGCCACTCCCTCAATCTTAACCCATCTCCCATTCCCATTGAATTGAAAACCCCACCAGCTACTTCCATATGCACAGTACTGTACCTTCACTGTAGGACTCAACATGAAAAGAAACTATATGTGGAAAAGAATCTTCTCTCTCCCAAAGTAAATGGAACTAAACAAAAAAAAAAAGTTAGCTAAGTACTGTTCATTTTATATCAATGTTTCCATTTCCAAGTTTGATCCTATATAAAAAATATCCTCAATTCCTTTTTTAAGAGTATTCACTTTTACCACAGCTGGACACAAGAATTATAAGCAAGTTCTCAACAGAGATAAACGCACTTGGATGCATGGGGCCTCAGCACGACAGACCAGTGGAATCTTAGAGTCATAAACAGACAATGGGAAGGACTGCCATTTCAGAAAGCTACCCAGCACGAGCAGAGAGAGCTCAGCAGAAAACAGACAAAGATTCCCTGATCCCAAGATTATTGTTTCATACAACTTTGACAAGTTGTCTTCCAAAGTTCAGCTGTTTTGTTCTCCTATCTATAGGTGAAAAAACACTTTTAAATTGTGAAAACAGTAATCTAGGAAGCATATATGTAATAATCATTTTTGTTTAAGAACCTGTGATTAAACTTACCAGGCAGAACATAAAATTCATTTGTTTATGATATGCTTTGCTATGATATTCTTTCCCTAAGCAAGCTTTCAACACTTGCCTCTTTTGAAGTCTAGGTCATCCATTTATAGCATCCTCTCCAGGTACTCATCAGTCATGTCTTTATTTTTGTTCCATTCTTTCACCCTCTTCACTTGTCTTGCTTTTCTCTGTACCCCATTATCTGTCATTTGATTATATGACATTAGTTAGCAGGTAGGTTGATTTTCCTACCTAATGTTGTAATCCTGACAACTCCTATGACCTTAATATTCTCTCCATTCAATCTTGAATCATATCATTGAGTTCATTCTTCCTTGACATATTTCTGCCTGCAAATGCCAATATGGAAAAATACAGGCTAGACTCTTGTTACTCATGGTGTGATTCAAGCACATGCATTCAGCATATTTTGGTAGCCTTCTAGAAATGCACATTCTCAGGCCCAAGCCCAGACCCACTAAATCAGATAAGGTGTCCAGCTATTTGTATATACATTACTATAACATATTATGATTATATAACATAATATTTTGATCATATATATGTGTGTATATATATGTGTATGTGGGGCGGGGGGGGTGTAGGTGCTTGTCATCCAAGGTTCCTAGTTCCTAACTCCCATAACCGTTGTTACACTCTTTTTTTATGATGTTGGGGTGCTTTAGACTCATAAGCAGGCCTCAGAAAACACAATTTTTATTTCTTCTGTCCTCCTGCCATCTGCCCAAGGAAGGACGTGAATCTGATTGTGTGTCATAAGACCCTCATTTCAGAGAGGGTCCTACTCCATACTATGGAGGAAGGAATGCTTCCCAGAAAGACCAAGAAGAATCTGAACAGACATGCCTTGCTGTGTTTAGATCATGTGCTTTTCGTTTGATCACATTTTGACACAGTTGTCTTGGCTTCAATCATGAACAACAAATGAAGTCTCCATAAAAGGCCTAAAGTGAGGTAGGATGCAGAACTTAACTAAGAGCTGGAGCTCAGCCACCAGACCAGATTGAGGACTAGTGATGGCAGGGAAGAGATGAAAGCACCTCTCCGTAAGACATGCCCACCAGTGTGCCATGTCATGATACCATTGCCATGGCAACACCCAGAAGTTACCAACCCTTTTCATGGCAATGACTCTAATGACCTATAAGTTACAACCCATTTTCTAGAAATTTCTTCATTATCAGCCCATTAATTTACATATAATTAAAGTAGGTATAAATATGACTGCAGAACTACCTCTGAGCTGCTTCTCTGGGCATACTGCCTGTGAGGTAGCTCTGCTCTGCAAGGAGTACCTCTGCTGGTGCTGTACACTGCCACTTCAATAAAAGTTGCTAACACCCCAGCTCACCCTTGAATTCTTTCCTGGGAAAAGCCAAGAACCCGCCTAAACTAAGCCCAAATTTTGAGGTTTGCCTGTCTGCATCATCCCAACTATGAAGGGATGAAGACAGCGGAGACGGTGGTGATTGACAGAGAGGCAAGATGGTAAGATAGCAGAGATGGTAGCACTCAGCAATCAGAGGAGATGGCAATTGGTGAGACGATGAGCAGAGATGGTGAGAGACAACAAAACAGTCTGTGAGAGCTACTAACCCTACAGAGATGTAATGCTAATAAAGGCTCTTTTCAGAGCCATCATGTTCCCTGGGAGGTGGCAGAGCCAAATATATATGGCAGTGGCCATAGCACTGCCACCTTATGTGGGACTGCCACCCCTATCAGCAGGTTGGCAGGTCACTGGTCCCCCTACCAACCCCCCATGCAGCAGCCAAGCCCACCCAAACTGAGGAAACCTGGAGAGACCTTCACCTGGGTTCCATGTGGAAGATCAGTCAGCACAATTTTGGCTCCTGTGGATGGATAAGTGTCCACTCTGCCACTCCCCATAATACCAGGTAATCCAGGGAATAAAAGCTTTTGGTTAAGTGGTCAGTTAAAATTTAGCTGTCATTTGAGTGCCCTGAAGCACATCCTTGTCATCTGTGATGGTTAATACTGAGTGTCAACTCGATTGGTTTGAAGGTTGCAAAGTATTGTTCCTGGGTGGGTCTGTGAGGGTGTTGTCAAAGGAGATTAACATTTGAGCCAGTGGACTGGGAGTGGCAGACCCACTCTCAATCTGGGTAAGCACAATCTAATCAGCTGCCAGCACAGCTAGAATAAAAGCAGGCAGAAGAATGTGGAAGGACTAGACTGGCTGAGTCTTCTGACCTTCATCTTTTTCCCATGTTGGATATTTCCTGCCCTTGAACATAGACTCCAATTATTCAGCTTTTGGACTCTTGGACCTATGCCAATTGTTTGCCCAGGAGCTCTTAGGCCTTCGGCCACAGGCTGAATGCTGCACTGTTCTCCTTTGTACTTTTGAAGTTTTAGGACTTGGACTGGCTTCCTTGCTCCTCAGCTTGCAGGAGGCCTATTGTGGGACTTTTCCTTGTGATATTGTGAATCAATACTCCTTAATAAACTCTTTCATATATACCTTTATCCTATTAGTCCTGTCCCTCTAAAGAACCCTGAATAATATATCACTCCTTCCCTGGTCCTTTCTCCTCTGACTCCATTTTATTGTTTCACCAGTCATTTTGTTTTCAGTCCTAAAACATTTTACTTGCAGTATTATGTTTGCTTTTGACTTTCTGTTAACTCTCTTTGGAAAACTGGCCACTTATTTGTGAGAGGTCCTCCACTGGATTAACTCTGGGATGCCACAGTCACATTGTTCTGTGACCCCAACTTAGGTTGTGGTTCACTGTTGGCCGCCTCCCAGGTGCCACAGGGTTTTCAGCATTCAGTGAGGGGGACCCTTGTTGGCTGAAACTCAGGCACTCCAGGTTTTCAGCATTGATATTGTTGGCTGTTTTCCAGATGCTTTGGAGATTTTGGCATTGCCATTCCCTTTATGATTGTGGGTTATAGCCCCTCCCTCTAGAGGAGTGTTGCTCTCTCCTTTACCTGCCCTGAAGTTAGAAGTTATTTCCTCACAGCCATTTGTAAGCCTCTTCCTGTATGCTGTCGTACAACTCCCTTGCTCAAGCCACTCTTGGTCAAAGGGATTGAGAGTTCTCAGGACCCTGGCCTGATGGACGACCACCTACAGCAATAGACAAGTGGTCACTCAAACATTTTTTTTAGATGTCTCCACTGCTGGATACGTTCTTTATCAAGGCAGGGTCTCTGAGGTCTCCCCTTGGGCAATGCTGCTTATCCCGTACCCTTCCTCCCTTTTACAGTCACCATTGGTTTAGCCCCTCTCTCTGCCCAACTCTCACTCTCTGTGGAATTGAGGCTCAACATTGTACTGCCCATTTGTAGCGCATAATCCACTTTTCTAACACCTTGCTACCTATACTTACACCTTCTCTGCAGAAAGTAGAAATCTAAAGGGGAAAAATAACAAGGGTCCAGTTACTTTATATCTTGATAGACTTAGATAATCTTCTGTGCCCAGTAAAAATCCTTGTTAGTCCTGAGGGACAACGATGAGCCTCCCAGAGGATTCACCACTAGGATGGTTTTTAGGATACTGGAGAAAATTCAAATTTGGCTTAAAGA
This sequence comes from Homo sapiens, assembly GCF_000001405.40. NCBI lineage: Eukaryota > Metazoa > Chordata > Mammalia > Primates > Hominidae > Homo > Homo sapiens. Next base: position 22,230,174 of record NC_000003.12, read on the forward strand.
AAAAGAAACTCATTTTCTATTGCACCACCATTTGGGTTCAATAAAAATTAGAAAACCAACAGAACTGACCTAAACATGATTCTGTATAATGATATTTTACAATTGGATTTATCCTATAAAAAAAGAAGGAAAATGGGAAAAGGTCCCTTATGTACAGGTTTTTATGGCCCTTTTCTGGCTCACGTTACTTCCAGGCACCAGAAAGTCATGCCTAAGGGTTCCCATCCTAACTGCTTCCCATAAAAGGCCTACGCCTTCCCTGGAGTTTTCTTAGTTCCCCGATTCTGAGGGGGATTCCATCTGTTCTTTAATGAAGGATTCCACTCCAAGGTCATCAGACACCCCTCCCTCTATTCCAACTAGCCCCAGACTATACACCCCTAATACTGGAAAAAATAAGCACAACCAGTTACTACCACGAGTGGGGCCTCACATCAACCCCTAAATTCAACCCTACATTAATTGTTCAAGTTAGCTAGTGAAAATGAGGGAATCACTTAGAGTACATATGCCATTTTCTATGTGTAATTTGGCTTTATACAAGGAAAAATTTGGCCGGTTTTCATAAAATCCAGAAAAGTTTATAGAGGAGTTTGTTAAGCTGACCATGTTCTTTAATTTAAATTGTCATGAGTTACAAGTATTGTTGTCTGCTTGCAGTGCCATGGAAAAGAAGCAGAGGAAAAAGTGTGTGGTTAAGCCAGTCATTAGAGAAATAACTCAGGAAAAAGATGAAAATTCTACAGTTTCAGGGTCATTTAGCTGAGGCACTCAGGAAATGTACTAATTCAGACCCAGACTTCCCAGAAGGGCAATCTCTCTTGGATATACATTTTATTACTCAATCTACCCCAATATTGGGAGAAAATGACAAAAAACAGCAACAGGACCTCAAAACTGTGAGTGCCAACTCTTAAATATGGCCTTTAATGTTTTCAACAATAGGAACAGGGCAAAAGAAGTTCAAAAAATAAAGAAAGAAATAGCCAAAAAGTGCAATTGTTAACAGTTGCTTTAAGCCCCCTGCCACTGGAGCATTACTCATCCTGAGAAAGTGTTGCAAGATCAGTGTCTGGAAGCCCACACCAAGGGCCACTGACTCACTGGCCCTGAGCCAGAATCAGTGTGCCTATTATAAGCAAAAAGACTATTGGCAATGAGAATGTCCTTACTGTCCCCAGTGAGAGAGAGAAAAAAAAAAGTTCCCCATTAATACTAGAGCTAACCTTCTTCCACCAGCCCCAAGGAGCTGCCTCGCTCAAGTTAGTTTACTGGGTGTCTTGAATCCTTGACCTGACAAACAGCTTCCCACAGTAGCTGACAAGAGGCCGTCTGAACAGCTTTCTTCAGTGTCTCTGCTGCTGAGTGAGCTCTCTGGTGGCTTGGGGACACCAAGGTCTCTGCTTGAACAACACAGTTTACCTCTTCCCTTCCTTATTCAATGCTATGAGATCCTTTTCTGTGCCTCCTTCTGTCTTCCATACCTACTGGGGCAAAAAAATTTTGCCAGGTAGATGGGTCCCAATCCTGGGGCAAGGAGCAGAGCAGAATAATATGGTTTGGCTCTGTGTCCCCACACAGATCTCATGTTCAGTTGTAATTCCCAATGTTGAAGGTGGGCCCTGGTGGAAAATGATTGGATCATAGGGGTAGATCCTTTTTGAATGGTTTAGCATCATTCCTTTGATGGTATTCTTAGGATAGAATTCTCACAAGATCTGGTTGTTTAAGAGTATATGGCACCTCTTCCCTGTTTCTCCTCCTGCTCTGGCCATGGAAGACGTGCCTCCTTCCCCTTTGCCTTCCACCATGATTGTAAGTTTCCTGAGGCCCCCCAAAAGGAGAAGCCACTATGTTTCCTGTACAGGCTGCACAACTGTGAGCCAATTAAAACTCTTTTCTTTATAAATTACACAGTCTTAGGTATTTCTTTATAGCAATGCAAGAATGGATACTCTGGCATGCCAAATCCCTCACTTTCTTGCGCTCATATTGTAACTATTGTGAAATCTCCAATAGGAGATCATCTGGAATCATTATCCCCCTACCTTTCAAATGTTGCTAGTATAACTAAAAATTTTTCTGAGTAAACTAGGAAGTCATCAGCTGATTCTATGTGCCATATTAATGAAATTGTATGATTACACCTTTTTTTTTTTTCAAATTTCCTACTTGAACTTTGTATTTTTCTCTGAGAATGGCTTCACGTTCTTTCTTCTTTTAAAATTATACTTTAAGTTCTGGGATACATGTGCAGAATGTGCAGTTTTGTTACATAGGTATACATACACGTGCCATGGTGGTTTGTTGCACCCATCAACCCATCACCTATATTAGGTATTTCTCCTAATGCTATCCCTCCTCTAGCTCCCCATCCCTGACAGGCCCTGGTGTGTGATGTTCCCCTCCCTGTGACCATGTGTTCTCATTGTTCAGCTCCCACTTACGAGTGAGAACATGTGGTGTTTGGTTTTCTGTTATTGTGATAGTTTGCTGAGAATGATGGTTTCCAGCTTCATCCATGTCCCTGCAAAGGAGATGAACTCATCCTTTTTAATGGCTGCATAGTATTCCATGGTGTGTGCCACATTTTCTTTACCCAGTTTGTCATTATTGTGGCTTCACTTTCCTACAAGGAAAATCTAGGCCACCTGATTTACATTTTCTCTACTGTCTTCTCTCTGCACAATTCTTGACATTGTTTACATCCTGAAGATTTCAATTTCACTGGATTCTCTTTTTAGTTCATCTTAACTTCTTCATTCTGCTTAAACAGATTTTTAAAACTTTGTTTTTATCATTTTTGTTTGTTTTAAATTCTAAGTTTAAATTCCCTATTTGTACTTCTATTTAATGGTGGTTTTCTCTTACAAACCATGATGCCCTGGGAAATTTTTACTATAATTTTTTTTGTTTTTAGTATACTCCGTTTCTCTATTGAGTCCTCTTACCTGCTTAAAAACACCTTCAGATTTTTTCTATCTCAAAACAATAAGAAATCTATGTATTATTATAGCTTCAGCCTTATTTCACTAATAAAATTGTTCAAAACCATATTCTACATACTCAGCACTAAAAGGGAACAGATTAAGACACATACAACAACATAATCTCAAAATCCTGCTTAAGTGCAAAAAGCCAGACACAAAAGGGTAAGTACTATATTATTTCACTTAAAAGAAATTATAGAAAAGAAAATCCAATCTGTAATGAAAGAAAGCAGATCAGTGGTTGCCTGGGGCAACAAGTGAGGAGATTAAATTGAGAATGGTCACAGATGACTTTCTGAAATAATGTAAATGTCTTGATTGTGGTGGTAGTCCCATGGTGTATATAGGAATCAAAGCTTATAGAAGTGTACACTTAAAATATGTGCGTATTATTGCATGCCATTTATACCTCCATAAACTTAAGAAAAGTGCCCACTCTTCTTATCCATATGACCCTCCAACTACATCATAACCCCCAGAATACCTGGCTTCTACCCACACCACTTCACTGAAATTATCCCAGTGAAAGTCACAAATATAGTCCTGGTAGGCTCTACTTTCTTGACATTCTCATCTTTTGAGTTCCAGGGTGGTTTAATTACCCACCTACTTATTTGAACATTCCTTCTGTATCTCCTCTCCTAAGTCTTACTCCTGTACTCATATTCTGGTATTAAGAAACAATTTAATGGTTGCATTAAAAACCCATTTCCTTGATCATCAATTACCATGATTTATTAAAGTTTTAATCATTCTTTCCTTTGTGATAAGATCAAACTCTCCACTCTTCTATCTCCTAATCTGCAACCCAGAGTTCTACCTCAAAGTTCAAATACTTGAAAACAAATCTACTCTACTATCTGAAGCCAGCTAAAATCTAAGTTCTCTGGCAATTTTACAGTCATTCTAATTAAAAATTTCAAAACAATTTTATCTTCACTATTCACAACAAACCACCACTAGGTAAGTAAATGCATTATTTGGGATTTATATTTTACTTTCCATACTCATCATATTCAACTGGACTCAGAGTTTTATTTGTTGCCTTATCAGAAAAGCTCCTTTTCTCCAGACATCCCCTTTCATCTCCTCAATGTATTTTATTAGCTGCCATCAGATTGTCTTAAATGCAATGTGGTGATTGCTTCATCCAGCAATTCAATAAACCACAAAGATCACCCTAGTGCTTTTTGAAGACACTTCCAAATCTAGAGTCTTTGGCAATCTCTTCCTCTGTTGTTTTATTAAATTTTGTCCTCAAATCTAAATCATTCATTTCATCCAGTCTAGAAGAGTCAGCATTCCCTATTAATGCCCTAGATTTTTTTTTTCGTTCCTGAACTTGTTTCATTCTTCTCTTTGACTGAAAAGCATCCCACCATAATCTTAGCCTATAGATGTCTTGTGATGACTATCAATGTCTTGACACAGCAGGTGTGTGTCAACTCCTTCTGAATTACATTATTTATGTTTACTTAAGGGATATATTCCCTTTGTGTTTCCAAGTTATTTCATTTATACAAAATATTTGCTAATTATATATCTCTTTGTATTGTAGTGATTGGAATGTGTTTCCTTTTTTCAGACTTTATTCTCTGCGAATGGAAATACTATGAAATATATTTCTATAATGGAGTACCAAAATGGGCCTGTACATTGTGAATGCTCAATAAAATATTGCATCTGAATAGTATTTCATCAACTATCCTGCATTATAATTCTATAAGTTCTTAAATAATGTACTTAGAGCTTGATATTTAGCCAGGCAAAATATCTTCAAGTAAACATTTTTATAGTACCAAATAAGAAAATTTAAGTTTTTATTTCATTATATATACCAAATCTCAACCACATAAAGAGAAGATTTCAAGTGGAGCCACTAAGGCACGAGTTAAAAATCAAAGCAATCAATTGTTGGTCAATAATTTCTGATAAGTTTATTAAGGAAAATATGTATGTGTATGTGTGTGTGTGCAGCAAAGAATTTAAATATTTTTTCTATATGAATCTGGAATTTTACCCTCAGCCAGACCCAAAATCTGTGCATTTCACATACTTTCAATATCCATGATGTGTCTTCTCAAAAAGAATAATTTGCCTTTAAAGAGTTTCATTCATTTAAAACAGTAATGAATATTTAAATGTGAAAAACAACTTTAAAAAGAAAGTACCTGTGCATGTGTTTGTAATACTGAAAGAAGGTAAAGTAAGGCTGATTGCAGGGAGAAAAAGGGAAAGACGACATTTATTTTAACAGGACGAAACACTCAGAGGGCACAAAATGAAAGATCAATAGAACTAAAATATTAGAATCTTCAGTGTGTCCAAAATACCCAAAACAATGCCAAAATGACAACTAGAGACAAAATATTCAACTCTTATGCTAAACAGTGTTTTCTAAATGTTTAAAGAGGCCTTGTAAAATATGACAGTCAAGTAAAAAGGTCAAATGATCTGTGCAGAGAATTTCTTTAAAAAGGAAAAACAAACATAAAAATATGCTCAAGTATATTTGGAGTCAAAAACTGAAAAACTGAAAATCAAAATACTTTGCAGTTATCCACTTATCAAAGATTAATATGCTTAATAATACTGTGTGCTAATAAAGGCAGGAAAAAACAAATTCTCACATAGTCTGGGAGGAGTGCAAATTGGTACTATCTTTTTGAAGGGTAATATAAAAATTTAATTTAAAAAAGTGCCCAGATTCATGTTCGACAAATAAAAAGTAAAAAGTAAATATTTATTTTTGAATTAAAATTCAAAACTGCACATGCACTTTAACTCATCAGTTCCATTTCTACAAATTTCCTATGGAGAGGGGCTCACAAAATGCACAAGATACAGCATAAAGAATCATTGCAACATTGATTGTAACAGCAAGGAATTTGGGGAAAAAAAGGAACCTGACACATCTGGAATAATATACAATCAGCACAAATAATAATACAAATTTTTAAATGCAAACAAAGCAATTTTTGCAAAAATCATGTAAGTAATGGTATAATCCAGGAAAAAATTTTATGATATATATGTATGTACAGAAACATGTATATTTTATGTATACGTGTATTTACATATGTATACACATATATATCTTGCTTATATATAGAAGCATTTCAAGTTATTGATGATAATTATCACTGGAAAGTTGACTAGGAGAACAAGAACATTTTATTTATTTATTAGATGGAGTCTTGCTCTGTCATCCAGGCTAGAGAAGAGAGGAGTAATCATAGCTCACTGCAGCCTCAAACTCCTGGCTTCAAGTGATCCTCCCATCTAAGCCTCCCAAGTCATCGAGATTACAGGCATAAGTTACCACATGCATGAATTGAAAATTTTTAATTACAGTATTATGCCTGTCTAAATGGTCTGATTTTTAAATATTAAGATATAATCACTTACCATAATATTCACCCTTTTAAAGTGCCCAATTCAGAGATTCTCAGTATATTCACAAGGTTGTACAATCATCACCACTATCTATTTTCAGAACATTTTCATCACTACAAAATGAAACCCCATAATGATTAGCAGTCACTCTCTATTCCTATGTCTAGCCCCCGGCAACTAGTAATCTACTTTCTGTCTCTATAGATTGGTTTATGCTGGGCATTTTATATAAATAGAATCATACAATAAGTGTCCTTTTGTGTCTGGCTTCTTGGACTTAGTGAATGTAGCATGGATCAGTATTTCAATTTGATTTATGGTTGAATAATATTCTATTGCATGAATATAGTACATTTTATTTATCTACATATTATGTGATAAAAATCTGGGTTGTTTCCACCTTTTGGTCATATCATAATGCTGCTATGAATATTTATGTATAAGAATTTACGTGAATATGTTTTCAGTTGTCTTAGGTACACACCTAGAACTGCTGAGTCATATAGTAACTCTGCATTTCCCTTTTTGAAGAACTGCCAAACTGATTTCCAAAGTGGCTGCCCTGTTTTTCACTTCCACCAGCAACATGTGGGGGTTCCAACCACTCCACGTCTTTGCCAGCAATAGTTAATATCCTTTTTTTTTTATTACAGCCATTCTCTGTAGTATAAAGTAATATTTTATAATAGTACTGACTTCCATTTACCTAATTTTAAATGAGTTGAGCATCTTTTCATGTGCCTACTGGCTATTTGTATATCTCTTGGAGAAGTATCCCTTTAAATCACTTGCCCATTTTAATTGGGCTGTTTATTATTGGGTTGTGTTATTTTTATATTCTAGATACTAGACTCTTACTACATATATGATTTGCAAATATTTTCTCCCATTTTATAGGTTTTCCTTTGATAGTGCTAGTTAATGCACAGATGTTTTAATTTTTATGTAGTCCAATTTATCTACTGTGTTATTTTGTTGCCTTTGCTTTTGGTGTTATATCTAAGAAACTAATGCCTAATTCAAGGTCATTAACATTTACATGTAGGTTTTCTCCTAAGATTTGTATACTTTTTGCTCTTAAATTTAGACCTTATTTTATTTTGAGATGGGGTCTCGCTCTGTCACCCAGGCTGCAGTGCAGTGGCACGATCTCAGCTCACTAGAACCTCCGCCTCACAGGTTCAAGCGATTCTCCTGCCTCAGCCTCCTGAGAATCTGGGACTACAGGTGCACACCACCATGCCTGGCTAATTTTTGTATTTTTAGTAGAGGTGGGGTTTCACCACATTCGCCATGATGGTCTCGATCTCCTGATCTTGTGATCTGCCCGCCACAACCTCCCAAAGTGCTGGCATTACAGGCCTGAGTCACCACCCCTGGGCAAATTTAGACCTTTAATACACTTGAAGTTAATTTTTGCATATAGTCTGAGGTAGGGGTCCAACTTTATTTTTTTGATGTGGAAATCCAATTGTCCCAGTACCATTGAATGAAAAGATGATTCTTTCTCTGTTGTCTTTGTAGTCTTGTTAAAAAAACAAAAAAGGTAGATCACAGATGTGAAGATTTATTTCTGCACTCTCAATTCTATTCTACTAATCTACATATCTATCCTTATGCCTGTACCACATTCCATTGATTTCTGTGGCTTGTAGTAAGTTTTGCAATTGGAAAGTGCAAGTCTTCCAACTTTGCTTTTTTGGTTTTTCTTTTCCAGATTATTTTGGCTATTGGGGGTCCCTTGCATTTCCATATGAATTTTAAGATTAGCTTGTCCATTTCTCCAAAGAACATAGTTGGGACTTTGATAGAGATTGCTTTGAATCTGTAGATCAGTTTGACATGTATTTCTATCTTTAAAATGTCAAATTTTCAGTCTACAAATATGAAATGCCGTTCCACTTACTTAGGATTTTTTTCAACTTCTTTTAATAATAATTTATAGTATTTAGTATACAAGTTTTACACTTATTTTGTTTAATATTATTCTTTGATGTTATCATAAATGGAACTTTATTTTCAAATTTTTCATTGCTGGTGCATAGAAATACAGTTGATTTTTATCTATTGATCTTTTATCCTTCAATCTTACAGAACTCATTTATTAGCTCTAATGGTTTATGTGTATGTATTTGTGTGTATATGTGGGTGTGTAATGTTTCTTAATATTTTTTATATATAGATTTTTTTTTAGACAAGATCTTGCTCTGTCACCCAGACTGAGGTATAGTGTTGTGAACAGGGCTCACTGCAGCCTTGAACTCCTAGGTGCAAATGACTCTTCTGCCTCAGCCTCTGGAGTAGCTGGGATTACAGGCATGCACCACTATGCAGTTATTTTTTCTTTTGCAGAGACAGGGTCTTGCCATGTTGTACAGGCTGATCACAAACTCGTAGGCTCAAGTCACTCTCCTGTCTCGGCGGCCTTAAGTGATCCTCCTGCCTCAGCCTCCCCAAATACTGGGATCATAGGCTTTAGACAACACGCCCAGACTAATTTTAATTTTTTAAAGTGAACTAGAATTCAATTCCAAAGCCTTAACTCACAAAAACCTAAGACAAAAATATATGATAACACGAAATGGTTTTAAACTAAGTTCTGCTTTTTTCTAGAACAAGAGTTGGAAAACTATGATTCATTGCCAAATCTTGCCTGCTACCAGTATCTTTAAGTAAAATGAAATTGGAACATAGCCACAATCATTCATTCAGGTATTGTGCGTGGTGCTTTCACGCTAAAATGGTAACATTGTGTAATTACAACAGAGACTCTATGGCCCACAACATTTAAAATATTTACTATCTATTCCTTTGTAGAAAATTTGCTAACCCTTGTTTTAAAGTGTCCTAAGCCAAAATCTGAAATAGTGAGGGGAAAATTCAAGTTTAAAACTTTACCAGAATTCCTCTTTTATAATAGAGATATCTTTTGCTGATAACACATACTACCACATATACAAAATACATATAATCATATTTTAAGTCTTTAAATGATTTATTAAAATAGTTGCTGGCAGACTATTCCTGTATTTTATTTAGGTTTTACCCTTTGATTTCATCTTCAGGAAAATATCTAATCTTATGTTATATTTATTTTTCAAATTACATTTTAAAAATATCCTCCAATAAACAGTGTGCTAGCCAATATCTAGATTAAGTGCAAATTCAAGTATGAATTAATTTATTGAAAAGAAATTTAGGGACTGTTCTCCAGAGAGTTACAATCAGTTGATGAAAAAGAAATGAGTTTTTCATATAATGCAGAATAAGTGACATGTCTTCATAGAAATTCTCAAGCACATAGAACGTCAGAATTCTGGCTTTAAATGATTTCAGCCTGGGCATGGTTGCCCACGCCTATAATCACAGCACTTTGGGAGACCAAGACAGGTGGATCACTCGAGTCTAGGAGTTCAAAATCAGTCTGGGCAACATGGCAAAACCCAGTCTCTACAAAAAAAAAAATACAAAATATTACCCAGGTATGGTGGCACATGCCTGTAGTCTCAGCTACTCAGGAGGCTGACGTGGGAGGATCACCTGAGCCCAGGAGGTCAAGGCTGCAGTGAGCCATCATCATATCACTGCACTCCAGCCTAGGTGACAAAGCGAGACCCTGTCTCCAAAAAAAAAAAAAAAAAAAAGATTTCAGACACCTGGCTCCACCAAAAAGTCATCATCATTAGAAATTTTCTGGCTTGCAATGCAGTTTCTACCTGCTGTGCTTTTACTTTAAAAATCCAACACCTTATTAGAGACACGGAAAGAACACACATAACCCACAAACTAACTACAAGTCAGAAACCTGACCAGGTATCTCCCTCTCACTATCTTCTTCCTGCCCTTTTGTTAATTATTTTCTCATCAGCTGTTCTGACCAGTTCCAGCCTACATCATGTTTAGTTGTAAACCTGGATCACCCACCTTTACTTAGCTCCTTTCTAATTGGATGTGGACTATTGAACTCCTTTCAGATCTGTGCTTCCCCACAGCATTACCTTGAGCCCTGCTTCATGGACTGCACAATGTGACCTTCCAGGGTAAGAAAGATGCCAGGGCCACCTCTAGTCTTTGAGGTTGCAGCAATTGACCCACAATTGCTGCCCTCTTGATCCTCTTGCTTCCTCACATCCTTGTCAGGCAAAGGATGTTAGACAAATAACACGTCAAACATTGTGTAATTGTAATTGTACTTGTATATGTCTCCAGACTATGCACCTGTAGAATAAGGCTTCAATAAACAGCTAGCACATGTGTAATATCTCCCCCTAAGCCTTCCTTGGCCCTCCTTACCTACACAGATCTAATCACTCTCTTGTCTGTACTACCTTCATATTAAGTACATGCTTCTTTTGATGCATATCAAAGTGGAAGTATTAATAATTTGTTTGCTTCTACATCTCTGGCTTCTATCAGACTATGAATGCCTTCCACAATCCCATGCACAGTTTAAGTGTTATGTGAATGTTCATTCAATTGAGTAAATTTTTGCCTTGTTAATACCCAATGAAGAGCTCCAAAGTAGCAGATATTCAGTATGTTTGATCGATAACTAAATCAATAAATTATCCTTATTGTATTCTAAGAAACCTTAACTAGCCCAACTGTACTGAAACATTTTTCTCCTTTCCCCAAAATAAGTGCCAAATGATGTCTTCTGAAAAACCAAGCACAACACTGAAAGAAAGCTGAGTATGGTGAGGAAGGTGGCAAGACTTTGGTCTTCACAAATAAAACCAACCTACAGAGGACAGTGTTCCCTTGCACTCATCCTCCCTGACTCCTTATTGCCTACTTCCTTGTCAATTCTATATTGGTTTTGATCTTTGCCTATTCTATGTTCTCAGTCTCTCTGTTCACCTTTACCTGTATTTGTTTCTCGTCTGAATCACTAGGTGCTGGCCTTGCTTCATCCACTGACTCAGTTTCCAAATCGTGGACAAGATTGATTTTGTGTATTCTGTATAGACACTTGTAGACATTTGAGTTTTGCCTACTTCAGGCTTTGGATTTATTATTTCTAAGCCAATAGCCCTCTGGCCCTTAACAAATTAATTAGGCTTTTTTACTCAGGGTAGAATTTTCTTGAACATCCATTTTCTTTCTTTTTTTCTTTTCCTGGAGAGGAGGCAAGAATGCTTGAATGCTTCCATATTGTTTTAACTTAGTTTAGACTGAGGTGAGAAATACCTAAAAAAAACCTTTTTTTTCTTTAGAAAATAATAGTGATGAATACACACTCTACAAGGCAATATCCATCATTTGAAATTCCAGGAATTTCAAGAGTACAGATAACTCTTGAATATTCTGAATATAGTACTTATTTTCACATTTCAACATAGTACTATTTATTGTAAAGGAGCTTCTTTAAACAGAAGGGACAACTACTTTAAATATCCACTCCCATTCGCAAGAACAAAAAACCAAAGACCGCATATTCTCACTCATAGGTGGGAATTGAACAATGAGATCGCATGGACACAGGAAGGGGAACATCACACTCTGGGGACTGTTGTGGGGTGGGGGAAGGGGGGAGGGATAGCACTGGGAGATATACCTAATGCTAGATGACGAGTTAGTGGGTGCAGCGCACCAGCGTGGCACCTGTATACATATGTAACTAACCTGCACAATGTGCACATGTACCCTAAAACTTAAAGTATAATAATAAAAGAAAAAAAAATATCCACTCCCTAAGAAGGTGATTACTGTTTGTGGCTTGTACTAGCAGGAAGTTTAAATTTAAGATGGAAACCATAACAATTTATTCTGCATTGAAGAGAGTGCTTCTCACTTATCAAAACACAGCTAGAGAACCTGGCAAACATCACCTTAACCAAACGATCAAGGTTAACATCACCAGTAATAAGTTTTATGGATATCACGTAAACCCTGAAATGAAGCCATGAAAAGGCCACTTGGTATTTTTCCCCGAAATCAATAATTCCAATCTAATTATGAGAAAAAAAAACTCAAAACAACGGATAGTTTACAAAACACCTAACCAGTACTCTTAAAATCAGCCAAGGTTATAACGAAGGAAATATTGAGGAAAGATTGTTGTAGACTGAGAGAGACTAATGTGACATCGCAACTAAACACAGCATGGTATTCTAAACTGCATCCTGGAACATTAACAAAAATATCAGGAGAAAACAATCACTAAAATATGAATAAAGACCATAGTTAATGGATTATACCAATTTTAATATTTTAGTTTTGAAAAATCTATCATAATTATGTAAGATGTTCACATAAGGCAAGCTGGGTGAGAGGTTTACAGAAACTAATGTTTCTGTTAGATTTATAGAAGAGGGGTATACAGAAACTAATGTTCTGTTAGATTTATAGAAGAGCAAAAAGTATACAAATCTTAGGAGAAAAGCTACATGTAAATGTTAATGACCTCGAATTAGGCATTAGTTTCTTAGATATAACCCCAAAAGCAAAAGCAACAAAATAACACAGTAGATAAATTGGACTACATAAAAATTAAAACTTCTGTGCATTAAATAGCACTATCAAAGGAAAACTACAGAATGGGAGAAAATATTTGCAAATCATATATGTGGTAAGGGTCTAGTATCTAGAATATAAAAATAACACTTGCAACCCAATAATAAAAAAACAAACAGCCCAATTTAAAAAAATGGGCAAGTGAAAGGAATACTTCTCCAAGACATATATAAACAGCCAATAAGCACATGAAAAGATGTTCAAATCCTTGGCCATTAGGTAAATGGAAGTCAGTACTATATCAAAATATTACTTTATACCACAGAGAATGGCTACAATCAAAAAGAATTTTTGAAATAGTTAGATTTACAGCTGAATACTTTGAAGGGGAAACAGTGAGTTGACAAGAATTGGATTTGAACATTTTGATATCAGGCTGAACAAAATGTAATTATACCCTATAGCAACGAGAAGCTACTAAAGATTTCTGAGCAAGGGAATAAGATGCTAAATACTGTGTTTTGAAAGTGGGGTACATTTAGAAAACAGGGAGAGAAATTAGCCTGCTATTATGACAATGGAAATGCCATGAATCAGGACCAGGTGGAGGCAATGAAAATGAAAATCAAAAGATGTTAGAACACTTCAAAGGCAAGAACAGCCAAGCTCTGTGGCTACCTGTATTGTTTGAAAGAAAGGAGGGTAGGCAGCTCTCAGATATTGAGCCTGGAAAAATGGTACCGTTATCAAGATTGGGCAAATAGGGTGGAAAGTTGGTTTGGAGGTGAGAGGAGATGGTCAGTACTCCAGATATGTCAAGGGTGGAGCTCAGCACTCCATCCAAAGTGGTATTCAATTGACAGCTGGAAATATGGCCCTTAAGCTCAGGATACAGGAAAGAGCACCTTTGAAATTTACCCATTATATATTTCTATTATATATATTTCATAAGTGACTAGAAATTTATGGTCTATGACAACAGTCAACCTTTCAATTTAGTAATCTCTTCATTGGCTTAGCACTTCTCTCACCAGAACAAAGTTACTGAAAAACCTCTCAAGACTTTTTATATTTCCCCTTGAAGCCAATGAACCTCTACAAAATCTACAGTTTCAAAAAGTGTTAGTACTCTGTGCAAGAACCTTCTTAAGGGGATTTAAAAAAAGCCATTATTAAACTTTTTCTCTAGGGTTTGCAATACCTGCAGTTTGCCACAATATGTTGTTTTGTTATAACAGCCTTGGACTTGTGATTTATCTTGAAATTGTGTTACTCTTTGGAGAGTTTTAAGATAAACTCTCTCGCTCTTACTTAGCTTTGAAGCAAAGTGATACCAGACAACCGAATGTAAAAAAAAAAAAAAAAAAAAAAAAAAAATGAAAACATAAAACGCAGAAAAGTAAAATAAATATCAAGTATATTCTTATCATCAATACAAGAAATACAATTTCTGTTTTATCTTTTGTTACTTAAATAATATTCCAATCAGAATGAAACCCTTACTACTTTGAATTGGTATGATCAAATCCAAAATGAGATGCTTAGAATGATTAATATTTAATGTCCCTTTCAAGTACATCAGCTCTCAAAGTAAAATTGTTAAGTTTGAAATAGTATGGGTTTCAAAAGTGTGTTTAATATCCCTTAAATACAAATGACTTCATGGTCTGCAACTCTATGCTGAATTTACTATTTCAGAAAACTTCCAAATGCAGGTATTTAATGCCTCAGGTATATTAAAAAGTATCAGCGAGCTCTAAAATCATTGTAGGCACATTTATTATTTTGGGGGAATTTTTTTCCTTGATTTTTTTTTTCTCATCTGCTATACAACTTGGGCTGGCATGTACCCAGTCAAATAAACAGAACATCACTGCGTCTCCTCAGGTCTCAATGCCAGCTGTGATTTCTACAATTTGTGCTAGAGGAGCTGTGGCCTTGGCATAGCCTGGTTCCAAATGGCCTACCTTATTCCTTTTGTCTGCTCTTGCATCAGAATTGCCAGAGAAAGTAGAAAAATGACCTCCAAGTGAATAGACGATCTATGCTGTATAAGTCTTCATTCAATGGCAGACTAGAAATACCATATATTGCCTTCAAGGAAACTGAGGTTCCAAAGTTTGGGGATAAAGTCTGAACAATAAATAGATTATTAATTCCAGCAACATTATTATTTTCTTTGCTTTCAGATTGCCCAATATAAATTTTTCAGCTACAAAGATGTCACAGTAAAAAGAGAGATGAGACTACCACATTGATTTATTTCACCACCATTCTGACCTCAGCATTCCTACCATATGACAGAAGTGTCCTGGGGCTAGTCCAGCTGTGGTTCCTGCTTTCCAAGGAAAGCATGCTGCTACTTACACTGCAGCAAATTCCACATAAACCAGTGTATTTCAAAATATTTAGAGGTAGTGTCATGGACTCAGCTATTATGACTTCTCAAAGACAGGATAAGCCAAAAAAAAAAAAAAAAAATACAAACCCAGAAAAATTAAAGTAGGGAGCGCATTTCCTATTCCTATTTGATTCTCCTTAATTGGTATTTTAAAGTTGCTTGATTAAAGCATTTTAATTTTAAAATGGAAAATGTGTTTCAGATTTGACAGCTTGCCACAACAGACAATAGACGGGTGTGTGCTGCTGCACAACTATGAAGGATTCAAGTGAAAACTGTGAAGAGGAAAGTGGTTCAGCAAATTGCTCTTTTTCTCTTTCCTTTTTTTGGGGGGTGGTGGGGAGGGGGGGCTATGTGGAAAATATTTAGTCCCACCTGTCTTATCAGGCAAGATGATAAACTTCCTGGGACAGATTGGAAAGAATTGTGATTGGATTTGACATGAAGAACCTCTCTAATCAAGTAATAATCACTCTGAATCATTTCCAGGAAAATCTGCAAAGTGGTTTAGATTAAGTGTCATGGCTTAATCTGAGCTCCTTATGAAAAGAGCTCAGTCCCAACCAATCTCAGTGACAGTGCCACGAAGCCAGCCTACTACCACTTTTGCTTTCTAGACACACAACATTTGGCCAGGAAACTTGAACATCATAACAGATGCTTGGATCAGGTTTATGAAACCACAGATCATGAGAAAATGATTTAAATGCAAACTTTTATTCAAGCATTTGAATACAACTATTTTAATACTTCACACAAGAAACATACTTTTCTTTTCAAACATAACTGTCTTTCTCCAGAATATCTCTTAAGTAGATCTATACCTTTCTATAACTAATAGCAAAATTATTTTTCAGTTCTTAAATTTATGTTAGAAGGATGGCACGCAAATTTTTTGGTTGACCTCTGTCTACTCTGAAGCATGTTCCCTACCACAGCCCAAATAATTTCCCTAATGTGTTATGAATACCTTACTCAACATCAGCAAATATGAATTGAGTGACTATTTGTAGACGGCCCTCAAAAAAGAAACAGGAACACTTTTGCAAAGAAAAACCAATCTATAAGTGAGAACCATACTCATAAGCCTTCTGATGCACTTCAAAGATATATTTTCTCTTGCTTCAAAGCCTAGACCTGACTTTGCTATAAAACTAACTGAAATGTTAACTTTATAAAATTTGATGTTAGTATCTCAATGGCTTGACATGTACACTAAATCAAACAAAAAGAAAGCCTTAAGTGTCTGTTTTTCTAATCTATGATCAAAGGAGGGAAAGATTATTGCATTTTTTATTCTTATTATGAAGGTAGAAAAGATGGAAACCCAAATGACTTTCAGAGAAGTTATTTAATTCTGTCTTACATGTTCCCACTCTTAAGCCTTTTTTACTTTTCCCTAATAACGGCTCTCCTTCCCTAGAAATTCTGATTCTAATTACCAAGTTTAATTCTCAATGATTTTTCAGAACATTCTCTGTGTAGATATGTAGGTAGCATATATTATTGTACCTTTTGTCAATCATACATACGTGCACACACACAATTTCAATTTATAGATACATTCATTTAAATTTAAACATTCACCATATACACAAACAACTTCATTTATACACTAACTCACACAGTTTTACTTATACACACATGCAGTTTCACTTGTTCATTCTATTCTGTTAGATTTTAAATTCCTGGGCATCAGGAAGTAAAACTATACTGGTAATTTCATGCAATTATCTTGGGCCATAAAAATCCAGCTTTATTTCCTATTGTTTTTGATAATAATGTCCTTTAGAATGTTGATTATTTAATATATTAAACCATCTGATTAAAAGAAAAAATAATCATTTCTAATTAAAAGAAAAACTAAAACTATTTTTCTTAAATAAAAAAACTAAAGTAAAAATGGTACAGTAGAAAGTGTGTATATTTAGCATGTAAATATAACAAATTTTCAACCAGATTTTTTATACTATGTGAAAAATTGATGCTGATTACTAATTTAAGCTCCAGATAACCTATGCCAACAATTATGCCATGAAAATTATGAGATCTTAGAAATTCATATTTTGATGAAGATATGTTAGAAATGTTTTGAGAACCATACGGTATAATTTCTTGAAAATCACACAAATTAAAGAGTCTTTGATTTGTTTTTCAATATTTAACAGATTGCTATTTATATACCAACCATTTTACAATTTTATTTATTTATTTATTTATTTATTTATTGAGATGGAGTCTCTCTCTCTGTCACCCAGTCTGGAATGCAGTGGTGCGATCTTGGCTCACTGCAACCTCCTGCCTCAGCCTCCTGAGTAGCTGGGACTACAGGCACATGCCACCACACCCAGCTAATTTTTGTACTTTTAGTAGAGACGGGGTTTCACCATGTTGGCCAGGATGGTGTTCATCTCCTGAGCTTATGATCCACCTGCCTCGGCCTCCCAAAGTCCTGGGATCATAGGGGTGAGCCACCACGCCCGGCCTACAATTTTTAATATGACAGTTTGCAAGGCAGATTTCCATGGATTCAAGAGCATTTAAATCAAAAACAAGAATTTTGCTGTGAACTTTATATAAATAAGTTCACAAAATACATATAATAGAGATTTAAGTCAACAAAACAATGACAACACTATCTGGTAGCCCTCAATCAAGCTGATGTCAAGATTCATGAACTACACAACCTTGCTCCCTGAAGATTCTGTTTTCTGGCATCAGGCAAATCTCAACATTTTGTATTCTAGTGTAATCAAAGTTATTCTGTCAACCATTCACTTTGCTAAGGGGAAAGAAAACCAACAATCACCAATCACCTGCAAGGCAGGTAGTGACCACATGTCTGTACAAGACCACACACAGTTGTATGGGAGGAAACCTTAAATTTTATTCAAGCTTGATGAAATTGAACTTTCCTTCCTTTATTCAACAAACATTTATTGAGCTCTTAGTTTGTGTGACTCACAATGTGAAGCACTGAGGATATAGAGAAGAAAGTAGATATTATATATTCACTGCCCTTCATAAAGAGCTATAGAGTGAGGCAGAATATTAAAGGAAATCATACAACTCATTATTTATATACAATTTAGACAAAGTCCATTATGGAGAAGTAAAAATTGGGCCTCTCTAAATTGACATTACTTTTCAGGAGGCAAGGCTTTTGGATTTTGATTCTGGTTTTGTTATTTACTTGCTCTGTGATTTTGGCAAATTATTCAACCTCTCTTAATCTCTTCTTCCATAACTCTACAGGGGAAATTAATTCCTATCTTTCGTGATTTTAAAATAGGGCTGCAAATTTTTTTACCAAACCTCCCATGAATGGGAGTCGCCTCCATCTGTGTCGCCTTTGTGTAGTTGTGTCGCCTCCATTTAATGCTGGAAAATGACTGCTTTGACCTTTATAGCACATCAGAAGTGATGCTCTACTCTTCAGATGAGGTAATATAAATTCATGAAGCCTGTGCATATTTTTCTTGAATACTCCCTTCTCATGACCTTCTCTTTCAGAAGGCATCATCATGCTGAGAAAGCCCATATGCAGGAGAGGTCACCTGTAAGTATTCTGACTGATGGTTCTAGCAGAGCCACCTCTTATGTGAGTGGAGAATCATTCAGAAGTGGATATTCCAGCACTGGCTGTTTAATGCCAGGCATTCTACCCACTTCCAGCCATTCAAGTCTCCACAGCTGAGAGTCCAGACTCTTGGACTAGATAAGCCAAGCCATGTCCATTCTAAATCCCATACCTGAATAGTTAATTCTTAGCATCCATGAGCATAATGCCATGGCTGCTGTCTTATACCACTAAGTTTTGGGAAGGATTTTTACATTGCAATACACAACCAGAATCCCCCCACCCATATTAGCAACTGTCTTAATAAATGTAATGCAAACAATAATGTGTCTTGATCATAGTAGGCACTTAGTAACAGAAAATATTTTTGTTACACGGTTCATCAGAAACTCGGAAGAAATGTCATAATACTCAATAGCACGAGGGTCTCTTAAGCATTCAACTAACATTTTACAACCTCCAGCGTATTCTCCCTGTCATTATTCCAATCTGTATTTAAAGAAGTAATTATGTAAGACACTATTTTAAAAAACTTATGTAAACAGAACAGTGCAATGCATATCTTACCATGCATCACTCCT
Organism: Homo sapiens; assembly: GCF_000001405.40. Lineage (NCBI taxonomy): Eukaryota > Metazoa > Chordata > Mammalia > Primates > Hominidae > Homo > Homo sapiens. The sequence goes on from NC_000003.12 coordinate 22,249,578, forward strand.
TAGGTAAGGATGAGGTCAGACAGGCTGATTCGTTATGCTGGAAATTACTAAGGATAGAGATTTATATATTATAGATAAGTCCACAGATAACTGAAGAGCAACAGCAGCAATCATTTTTGACAAACCCTTTCAAAGCTCTGAGAAATGTGCAAATGCACATCATTTGAAATTATGCTGAGCCTCAACTTCTAACTGTTGAAAGCTAAAATTGTGGGGTTTTTTTCTGTTTATATTTAGGACCACTAGAGTCCACCTGAAACAAGAGATGGATGTATATGCCATGTCAGCTTTTCCTTTCTCAAAGAAGCCTCTCCATCACATGAGCTACAAGGATATTGATCACTGCTTCTAAGCTAACTGGGCACCACATATTTTCTCAGGGAGATATTATCAAATTACCCAAAGCAACTATACAATGTGGAAATTTACTTTCCAAAAAATAAATCTCAATCTTCATATAGCACATTGTAATGGAGCCTATTTCTAGGTTTTTACAACTGTTTACTCATAAATTTGTAATTTGGAAGAGAAAAGCCAAAGATGTGGTAAACTTCAAGGTATCTTCCCCCAATTTTATTTATATGTAGCAAAACACAGTGCTATTCAATCATATAAGATACAATTTAAAAATCTGAAAATTTCTTTATAGATATATTTCCAGTATTCCTTGAGTGGGTTGTATTCTATCTTTTTAAATATGCAAAAGTCTTTTTATTTATTTTTCTAATTTTGATGGGAATAATAAGACAGATTTATCAATTTAGATTTTAAGAAACACTGAATGACATAATTTTTTAAAAGGTGTATTTCTGCTTATCAACCTCCCTAAGCAGGTTGATAAGCAGAAGAAAAAAATGCCATTTATTTAGGTTGCAATGACTTTGTCCTTAACTGATCCATTAGGAGTGCATTGGAATATTGCCCCAACACTCCTCACCCACAACCTGACAATACATAAGCAAAATGTACTTTATAAAGATGAGCCAGCTATGTAATTTGGGGACTCAGGGGAAAATGAAAATCTGGGACCCTGATTCAAAAGTTAAGAATTTCTGATGAGAGAAGAATATTAAACAAAGCACAGGGTCCTTCAAGGCACAGAGCCCCATGCCATTGCACAGGTTATGCATGCACAAAGCCTGCCCTGGCTACAAAACAGTTAAATAACACTGCATGACAGAGCAGTCATCAAGTGAGCAAAGGGCAAAATGTGCTGTCAGTGGAGAGTTTAGAGTGAATCTGTGGGTACCTCAGTGGCTTTAAAACTAAATCCCTCTTGTCAAAAATACCTTAATCCATGGGATCCAAAGACCCTTCAAGAACTTTATTAATGAGGACTTGAGAATCGACCAAATGTTTCAGTAGAGTGGGTTTTCACGTTTCTCTGCCCATCTAAAGAGCTTCCAGGCATGAAGCTTGGAATCAGGACAACACCAATCAATCGCCCTTACCTCAGAAAAATAAAAACATCATGCCTGAAAAATGCACTAGACTAACTACTGAGCCACTTGCAATTTCAGTATTTATTCAGGTTAGGAAAAAATTTTCCACCAAATTTAAAAGACTTAGCTGACATACATTTGCTAAAATAATCAAGATTTGAAAACCTGATGTTTTAAAGTAGACGTGAAAAGAAGAATCCGTTTACATGAGTGCTTAAGTATCATCTTTACATAGGTGTCTACTGTAACTTCTTCCCTCAACAATTTAAGATGATGTTTTCTTGTTTTAAGTTCTATAAGAGGCGTAAGCACTCCACCATCAGTATTTCTATGGTAATGGTTGTCTTCCACAAAAAACAAACAAACAAATATAATACCATGTATTACAATGGTTGGTTGTACGTAACCCCTTCCTCAACACCTCTTTCTCCAACTCATTTATCTACTTGGAAATCTCTTAAGTGGCTATTCATAATTTTACAGGTTTCTCCACCTTTACCTTAGACCAGGATTTCTCAGCTTCAGCACTATTGACATTTTGGTGGAGGGCTGTCTTGGGCTTTCTCCTGAGCCAGCATCCCTGGCTTCTATCCATTACATGTCAGTAGTGAATCCCTCCCCCATTTGTGAGAACCAAAATGTCTCCAACATTGCCAAATGACCCTTTAAATGGGGGCAGGTAAAATCACCCCCTCATCTTTGTGGAGTACCATTGCCTTAGACCTACCTCTACACACAGGGAAATAATATAGCACAGTGGTTCAGAGTTTGAGCTTGGGATCTTAGAGACACTAATTTTAGGTTCACTTCAGTCACTGAGTGTTACATAGACCTGGGAAACTCACACAGCCTTTGAAAGTTCAATTCCCTCTTTTGTAAAATAAGGTTTGGGCGACCTACCTCACAGGACTCTGACCAAGACTAAATGGATAATGCTTGCAAAGTGCTTAGCTTAGTTTTTGGCACATATTAAACATTCAATAAATGTTATTTAAAAGCCGAAATTGAAATGCAACCTAATTCAAATCGATACATAAGAATAAGGAACTCAGGGAAGGGAGAGAGGGAGGATGACACATTTCCATAACTAAAGACTTTTGTTTTCCTCTACTTGGATGTAAACATTAGACTGTGATAATATTATTTGCCTCAGAATTTCAAAGAATTGATTTAGCAAGGTTTATACAATTGCATGCTTAGCACATGTTTTAGCCAACTCTTATGAAAGGAAATTGAGGGGAGGGGCACTGGTCATTAGATTTTATACCAATAAACTAATTTTTCCCTGATTTAAACATTGTTTTGATGTCTTTTAATCAGAAAAGAGTAAGTATCGATTGTTGTGTGGGGGAAATAAACCCAACAGAAAGATACTTAAGATGCAGATCTTGCCTTCTGATAAGTTACAGTCTTAAGATGAGGTGAGTATGTTTAAGTAGATTGTTATATTATTTAATGTGGTATGACAAAGATATGAGCAGAGTTCATGGGAGCAAAGAAAAGAAAACTACTACTGTCAAAGAAAATTACCATTTATTTAATGATTATTGGGTGCTGTGCATTGTGCTAAGTATTTACCATGTATCATCTCATTTGACTAATGCTTTCTAGGTACCTGAGGAAGGCTGCATCGATAGAGAAGCAGAGAAGCTGGCTTTGGCTACTGAAGGCTGATTCAGGTGTGTCAGACAGAGATGGCATGGAAAAGAGCATGACATAAAAAAGAATTAACGTTTTCACATAGGCCATAAAACATTAGGCATGTTTGAATAAGTTTAACAAGTCCACTGTGGTGAAGCATAGGTATATTGCTGAGTTGAGAAGATACAAATGACAATCAAGAGGCACACTGGCGAAGACTGTAAAAATGTTCCTTACTCCAGGCTGAAGAGTTGATTCTTTATCCTATAGGCATCAAGAAGTAACAAAGCATTCTTTTAAAACCCAGCATGACAGAGTAGTATCTATTCCCATGAAGATGATTGTGCAGGCACAGTGTTAACCTGAATTGAAAAGCAAAGAGATTTGGTAATTGATAGATGTTGGAAGATGACAAAGGAGAAGGTGTTTTGGACAAATCTTGGTCTCCCACACTGAGGGAATGGATAGACTGTGGTGACAATAACTGAGATAAAGAGCACACACCAAACGAAATCACATTGGAGGGTAGAAAAATACTAAGTTTGAGGGAGACTTAGAAAGGGCTGTTCAGAAGGTTCTAAACGGATAGATTTTAATGGTAGGATGGGAAAAAGTTAGGACTAAGGTATTGTAAAAACTAAGAAATAGACTGTAATTGAAACCATAAGGTTAGTTGCATCAAGAAAGCAATTAGAAAAAAAATAGGAACATAAGTGAAAACAAGTTCAGTTTGCAGGTTTTGAATCTCAACTTCAGCAGTAATTGTAAATTATAAAAGCAGTTTCTTATTAGCCATCTATTCAGTTATGAAGATTAGAGAGTTTTCAATCAATACACTTTTAATAGTTCGGTTTATGATGCTGATGGTGATAAATAAAAATTTGCCTAATGGTAAGACATGTCACGTTCTCATGACATGATAGGACTCACCAATGACAAGATTCCAAATCCCTGGCATTGATTTTTTTCAGGTTTAATGCAATTTAATTTGAAACCACAAATGATGTTATTCTGGGATTTTGTCAGTGACTTAGTTTTATCTGCAAGAATGATTAGATAAGAATAACTTAGAAAATATTGCAAAAGTGAGCATATTAGAAAACAAAATTACTGAAGCAGTATAGCATTAGTACAAGAGTAGCCAAACATTGCTATAACAAGAGAGAAAAATCCAGAAACAAACAAAACATGACAAGAGAGGCATTTCAAATCCATGGGAAAATAAAGTATTCAATCTGTGCTGTGTTGAACACTAGAAAAAAATAACATTAAATTCATCCTCATCCAACATACCAATTCTTTCTAATCCTTTTCCAAGAAAGAAATGATAGAAATTTTGGTAGCTATGACTACATAAAACCTATTTATTCTTGTATGTTAAAGAAAACACAAATTATAAAGCACACAATGGGGAAAATATTTGCACAGTGTAAAACCTACAAGGCATTAATGACCTTAATGTATACAGTTTCCTCATGATCAGTTAAAGAGAGAAAGGGAAATTCTCCTTTAGAAAGAAATGGAGTAAGAGACATATATGATTAAAAAAAGAAATTAAAATGAGCAATAAATATTTCAAAACTATTGAGTCTTACTAGCAAACATAATTATGCAAATTAAAGCAAGAGATAATTTGTTTATTTTACTGACAAATATGTATGTATATATTTAATTTTATTTTTCCGTGCAAGCAGGGTACATGCATGATGGTTGTCCTCTCCAGTGACAGAATCCTGAAGAAAAAACTGACATTTACTATCAGAAATATTTAATCTGCATATTTTTTGACCTAGCAAGTATCTTCCATGTGTTTATATCAGTGTTATTTTTCTATTTCTTTACACATTTCATTATAAAATATGTATATTTCCTAAATACACAAATAGATTTCATTTACAGTAGTACCCCCTTATCTATATTCCAAGGCCCTCAGTGGATACCTGAAACCTCAGAAAGTACTGAACCCTGTATATTTTGTTTTTTCCTATACATACATAACTATGATAAAGTTTAATTTATAAATTGGGCACAGGAAGGGATTAACAACAACTAATAGAAAAATTATAATATGCCAGCATTACTTCTGTCGGCATGTTAATAGTAACCCTTATTTTACTTAGTAAGGGTTACTAAGCAAAATCGCAGTGCTTGTATTCAAGTAACCCTTCTTTTACTTAATAGTCCCAAAGTCCTTGTGCTTAGTCCCTGTGTTATCAGTCCTCTCTGATCACAAAGATGGCCAAATAATTGACTAACATGGGGGTAGTGTATATAGTATAGAAAAGCTGAACTAAGGGATAATTCATGTCCCAGGAGGATGAAGCAGGATGGCACACGATTTCATCACATTATTCAGAACAATGTGCAAACATGCAATTTAAAATCTATGTATTATTCATTTCTGGAACTTTCCATTTAGTATTTTTGGACTGCTGTTGACCATGGGTACTGAGACTTGGGAAAACAAAACCACAAATGCGGGGAACTACTATATTGTATAGACCTTGAAAAATGCTCATAAGAAAAAAAAAGAAAAGAAAAGAAAAAAACTTTGTAATCACCAATATCTTGAGGAAAATTCATGTTGACACTGATTTTGTTATCATGTATTCCCCCCCCCAAAATTGTGTCCTAAAATATGCTTTTTTAACCTATTTTTTCCTCCCTTTATTTAATGTGGAAATAATGAACAGACAAATATATTATTGTTTTACTTCTAAGCATATTTTATCCTACAGATATGAAATAACTTACTTACACACACTTAACATTTTGGGGATTCTTTTCATATTCTTAACAAGTCTAGATAAATCTTACTGGATATATCTCTTTGTAAACATTTCAATTATTCCCATTCAAAATCATTAACTGTAGGATCGTTTTATCAAAGACTTGTAAAGTTTTTAATGTATATTACCAATGAGCTACCAAAAGGGTGGCCTCTATTATATTTCTACCTGCCTATTTCTCAGCCTTTAAAAAACATCATAACATCACATTTCAAAAAAAAAATGCTAGCATTATCCATTTCATATGTACTTTTGTGAGAAGTGGTAAAGTTTTATTTGCATGTTCACTAATAGTTTGTATTTATTCTCTTGAGAGTTTAAATTTCATATCCTTAACTCAGTTTTTTTTTTTTTAGTTGGGACTCATGCTTTCCTTACTAATTGTGATGGTTAATACTGAGTGTCAAGTTGATTGGATTGAAGGATACAAAGTATTGATGATCCTGGGTGTGTCTGTGAGGGTGTTTCCAAAGGAGATTAATATTTGAGTCAGTGGGGCTGGGAAAGGCCGACTCACCCTTAATCTGGTTGTGCACAATCTATTCAGCTGTCAGTGCTGCTAGAATATAAGCAGGCACAAAAATTAGACAAGAAAAACTGGCTTAGCTTCCCAGTCTACATCTTTCTCCCATGGTGGATGCTTCCTGCCCTCCAATGTCAGACTCCAAGTTCTTCAGTTTTGAAACTTAGACTGGCTCTCCTTGTTCGTCAGCATATATATACATATACATATACATATACATACACACATACATATATACATATATATACACACATATACACATACATATATATATATATATATATATTCCCTTAGTTTTGTCCCTCTAGAGAACCCTAATACACTAATCTATAAGGGTACTTACGTAATTAAGAAAGGTCTCCCCAAAATATTATGACTACTTTTTATGCTCTGTCATTCATATTTCAACACTGCTAATAGGAGAGGCTTCTGATTATCATATTTAAAGATTAATCTTCATAAAATTGAATTGATCATTTTTTTTAGTTCCTGCCTACAGAGTCATCTTTCAGATAGTTCTTTTCCAATTTGAGTATTAACTCTTGTATTTTCTTTGATTTGGAATCTATGTGGGTATAAGGCATGAGGTGGCAATATAATTTCTGTCTACAAGTGAGATAGTGATAAATCATCGTATCTGTCACAAAACATTTGCTGCTGCTGTTGTTTGTATAGCAGCAGTTATCATAACAAATGGTAAACTTATTGCCTTTTAAGACAATGTCTATAACCAAAATTTTCAGGTGCCATCTTTATTATATATGTACTCATTCTACTAATATATTAATGACTGCCTTCCATGTGCTTGTTGCTATCACCATTCTTCAATGTGTTGTAATGAACTAAAACTCTCTCGTCTTCACAGATTCATTTTCTCAGTGGAGAAGGATTTAACACAAGTAAATGTATGATGTCACATTTTGTAACCCTGTAAAGTTAAATAATTAGTTCATAAAGATAGAAAATTTTTTTCAGGTTAAGGAAGACTTAGATCAAAAGTTATCCAAAACCCAAGACCTCAGATGAATAAGGCACATGTCAGTCAGAAGAAGGAAGAATATTCCTGGAGAAGATAAAAAGAAGAAAATTTCTGGTATGCTTCAAGATCATACAGAAGGCTGAAACAACAGGACCTTGGGAGACTCACAGTTTTGTACAGTAATTTTTCAATAACAATATACAGGCTTCTCAGTCTCACCAGAGAAAAATCTGCCCCCATATTTTCAAATTATTTTTGACAAGCTATGTACCATTAGACTGTATCACACCCAAGTCTCCTGGCCTTTAACAGGACTGTTAGATTCTACACTCAAAGTACGAACTTGTTTCATTCCTTTTTATTTCTTCAATTAAGGAAACCACCATCAAGCATTATCACTTCCACTCATGCTATAAAGGCACCAACATTTTTCATCATCATACTGAACCTCTCAATTTTTCATATGATTGCATCTTCTTGATGTGCAATTGCATCATCATTTCCTCTCCTTTCTAGTAATTTCTCTTATTCCTCCTCTACTCTGCATTATTCTATTATACTCTCATAATAAATATAGGTTTTCTCCAGAATTTCATACGTGGTTTTCTTCTATTTCAATCTATATATTTTAAGAAGTTTACATCTATTGTGGATGAAGGAAAATAATTGAGAACATCACTACTCTGCCCAGCATCTGAGTGAAGGATGTGAGAATGGTGTGTTGTTAATCTTCCCTCCACAATGCCTTTTAAATATTCATCCTTTTAACTCATACTATCACTTTCTCAAATTCAAATGCAAATAAGTAGGGTAAAACTGTTGTTACAGTGGCTTTGATTCTTATCAGGCATGATTAAAATGCTGAATAAATAAAAATTCCTGGTGACTTCTTCATAGATCACACAATTTTGTATCAAGTTATTTTCTAGTGATATTTTTAAAAAATTAGGTTACCAATGCTACAAAATATCTTACATTATATTTAATCTTACAATCTCAACTAATCTTTTAACAAGTTGAGATTGTACAACAATATTTGATAGTAAAATCATTATGCCTCATGCAGGAGAGGTGTTTTACACAAAGATCAGAGTTAAATGTTTCCTACAGAGGTACAATGAGATATAATAGAGTAAACTGATGAATTTTTAATTTGAGAGTGAGGGGAGAGCCTTACTCTTTATAAATAGAACAGATTCCACTTTTAGTCTGTTTAGGGGAAATTTTGCCCCCAAAAAGTTAATTAGAGTAATTTGTTTTGCAAGGACTGGAGTCTAATACTGTGAAGAAGCTTTAAATGTTAGAGCTAACATTTACTCAAAGAGAGGAAGACATAAAATTATACACACAGCCACATTTATGCAATAGCCAAATAAGCAGAATAAGTGAAGAAAAAATAGTGCACAGTTTTCTCAAGGCAGGATTTGCAAATATTTAAAGGTTATAAAGTAAATTGTGAAACAAATACATTTGTTGCTATTTTGGAAGAGATACAAATGTACTCTGTATAATATCATGAAAATTGCTTGGGTTTTAGAACCAAATCATCATTCTTTTTTAAAGAATGACTAAAAAAAGGCCTCTCTGGGTAGCAGAACTTGTAATAGTCTCCCAAAAAAGAATCTAAATATGGATTTCACCTACTGCAGAAGTTTTCAAACTTTTTGGTCTCAGAACTCCTTATACACAAAAATAATTAAGTAAAAATAGCCCAAGAGATTCTATTTATGTGGGTTATATCTATTGCTATTTGCCACATCAGAAATGAAAACTCAAATTGTTAAATATTTATTTAAAAATATAATTATAGATTATTTGCATGTTAAAATAACATGTTTTATAAAAAATACTTATATTTTCCAAAATAAAAAATAGAAAAATAGCATTGTTTTATAGTTGTGAAAATCTCTTTGCTTTGGTATTCAATCTGCTATAATATATTGCTGTGCTTGAAGTTTATGGAGAAAAAACTAGTCTCCTGAGGGCATGTATTGGACCAGGAAGGAGCTTTTGAAATCTTTTGGATAATTACAGATGTACTTATTTCTTACTACAGCAAAACTTGACATGTGGTAATTTTGTAAAGTGTAATTGCTATGTCGATTCTGAAATCATAAAATGAACTATTTTAAATTGGGCTACCTTGCTCTTTGAGTAAATATTTCTCTTGCACTACTCTGTAACATCATGTATCTCTCATTTGGAAAGTACTGGTTTACAGAGTTATACTGATTTCCCAAATATTGATATATTTCATTATATATATAAAATCTCATGTAATAATATCATCTCTGAGCTTATCAGAAAAGTTATTAAGAATTGGGGAGTTGTTTACCTCATGGTGCCAGATTCAAGTTTTCCAAAATTCTAATTTTTGCATGAAAACATGAATTTTATCATTCATAGCAATTATTAAGTCATTTTCTTTAAATTTTATGCTTGCTTGACTCTGCCAAATACCAGTATAAGAATAACCAGAGTCTGTCAGTTGTTCTTTCAAGTAGAATTGACATTCTATGATAAAATGCAAGTAGTTTAGCCTACAAGTCAAACACTCATACAGCACCTTTCCTTGAGACAGCTGTCATATACTTCTGCATGTAACAGAAGTGCTGTGTACCTCCCATGTTGTCACTAGCATATCAAAAAAATGTTTAATTCAAGTTTTGAGATTTAACAAAATAAATAATTTTTAATTTTTACTGCTTTATAGGAAACATCCCAAGTAAAGTCAGCTTTAGGAAAAAAACTATGAGCACGTAGTAGTGAAGAACACACTGGTCCTTATATAGTTGGTACCACTGCCTTGCTTTGTACTAAGGCACCAGAAATTTTACCAGCCAGTGCTTTGTCCACCATCACTCCAAATGCCAACATAGTGAGGAAAAAAAAAAACTAATACAAATGTTGGTTTTATTCCAAAAATAGTTCCCCCTCTCAGACTCTCTGAAAGAGACCATCAACCTCCTGCATCCCTACTTTCAATAACCTCAAAATGTACATAAAAGAGAAAAGGATTGTTAGGACACGAAAAGGTCATAAGCAAAACAGGGAAACTGAATGTGTGAGCAAAATATGCATATAGTATACTAATAATTGAAAACACAATCAATTAGATTATTTACAGTGTGCTCTACTCTAAGTAGTAAATTACTTAAATACATTGTATTCAGGCTTTCCTTAAGGAAAGAATTTTTAAAGGAAACTGAAATAATATTCTAATTAAAAATTGTTAATATTGTATCCAAGAAATGGAAGCCTTCATTCTCAGCAAACTAACACAGGAACAGAAAACCAAACACCACATGTTCTCACTCATAAGTGGGAGTTGAACAATGAGAACACATGAACAATGAGAACACAGGGAGGGAAACATCACACACCAGGGCCTGTTGGCAGGTGGGCGGCAAGGGGAGGGAGAGCATTAGGACAAATACCTAATGCAAGCAGGGCTTAAAACCTAGATGTTGGGTTGACAGGTGCAGCAAACCACCATGGCACATGTATACCTATGTAACAAATCTGCACATTCTGCACATGTATCCCAGAACTTAAAATTAAAAAAAAAGAAAACTACATTAGAATTGATTTTGATAGGTTGTAAATCATTTTGTAATCTCTTATAGGAAGAATAAAATCAGTATAAATTTGATAGGTATTTTAGAATTTCTACTTAATACTGTACAAAGTTTTACAAGTAAAATGGACATAAATCTGCCCATTCTCAAAGAGGGATCCTTTTTACCTAACATAAAAAATACCTTCTAATTTACCTAATATAAAAATGCTAATTCAACTACAAAGTTTTAGTTATAGTCTTAATTTTAAACATGGAATATGATATTCCTGTAACTATTTATCAAACTCAAAAATCATAGCCAGATTTTCAATTCTGAAGAAACGTGTTTTTATCACTTATTCTATGGTAACAGTTTTAGTAGAACAATAAGTTTAATAAACCTAACCATTATGCTACTATTTCAAAATTACATTAAAACATATTTATCACGGAATTCTTCAGAAACTTAAAAAATTTAAAGTGGCATTTTAATATTACTTAAATGGGGATAATTATTTGACTCATATGTACTAGAAATGAACTGAAATTAATTTAATCACTGTGTTTTGCCTACAACTATCTATCCATCCATCCATCCATCCATCCATCCATCCATCTACACCGACCTACCTTTCTACTCATCTACTTATAGCCTCTCAAATTTGTTGTTCATCCATACCCCACCAACAGCAAAGTTAAGGGGTGAGACCAGACCTCGGGATATATTCAAGTAGTAGGAGGAGACAGAGAACCAGCTAGACAGACTGTAACATTATAGTTAAAGACTAGGTAAAAATGGTGCAGTATAATATAAGAAAAATAATTTAAGTTATGGTTTTACAATCTAATGCATTGTGTGGCATTAGGATTGAGAAGAGGTTGAATTAGCTTGGTAAGGCTAGTAAATAATCATTAAAGCTAATTTCACAGGAATAAAAGTCTAGGCTGTCTGAGCAAAGATGTTCTAGGAGCTAGTATATTGTAAAAATGTAGTGTCAATGGGTGTGCTGTATTTGCCCCTTCAAAACCACTCTCCATCCGTCCCTATCCTGCTCTGTGCCTGGAAACCTAGCCTTATGGTCTTCTTCCAAAGCCTCTTCCTCTGTTTTCTACCTGGACTAAGCTAATGGAGCTAGGGTATGGGGGTGGCATTAGCAGAGACCTGAAGGTGGGGGGATGCGAGGTGGAAATTTTCATCTGCCCTGCCGTTTTGCCTCCAGGTTGTCGTGTTCCTCTAACCAAAGGCCACAGAGCCCATCTGTTGGCTTCTTCAACAGCAATAAGGTCTCTCTCTGAGTTTCTGAAACCCATACCTCTACTTCCTCCTCAAGCCTATGGGTGATAATGACTCCCTGTGATTCTAGCCTATGGTACTTTCCATCTCCTATTGATGTATCTTAACCTTTTTTTGTTGTTGTTGTTGTTAAACTCTCCTTAATTACCTATTTGAGTGTGCCACCTGCTTCTTTAAAGGAAGCCTGACTGGTAGAAATAGATTGATCCATTAATATTTTTAAACTTGCAGCATATTATCATATAAATAATTTTAAAATAATATTCTAAAGCATTTCATAAATAGTGGCTTTTTTGGTGTTTTCAAATGTTATTTTTTAATGTTATCATCATTTTTCTTTTCTTTTGCCTAGAGATTTACTAAAGACAGAGTAGAAAACATTGGCATGTTAGTAACAATATAATGAGGTATTTTGAGGAAGGAGACATGAGCTATTCTGTGAGAATCTTTGCATTACTAGAGGCCTTGGGGTCTAAAGTCATGAGAACATTTAGGAAAATGTTCCAAGTGACACATGGAGTTAACACACATGGAAGAATGGGTAAGAAATAAAGACCAAGACCCAAAAATGGCTTTGGAGGAAGTTGATGAGATAATGCCATGGTAAACCCAATCATTGAGATATTTTTTGCATAATTTCATCTTTTATTTTAAAAATATTAAGAATAAAGAGAAAAAATAGACACAAGTGCCTTAGGGACATGTATTTTCAATTTCTATATTTATTTTCTATGTGTTACAAAGTATAATAGCATATGTTTCATGTCGTCCAGTCTTAACATAAAAACATTTGGCAACTGTAACTAAGAATACTTTTTCAGAGTCTCGATTTAGAGTCTAAATTTTTTAGCAAAAATATTGGTTCACTCAAGATTTCTGAGCCCCAGTTTTCTCATTTCAAAATAAAAGTTGGTTGTACCAACTACCTGTACAAACTTTTTGGGTTGTTTTGAGGATTAAAAAAAAAGATAATTGAGGTAAAATTAACTGCTTATCCTCAACATCCTCACGATTTGCCATTCCATGTGGTCTTCGTCCCCTCTTCCCCCACCTAGCCTGCTTCTCCCCAGATCTTTCTCATATTAGAAAAGGGCATCAACCCTTACCCAGGCACAGGTGCCTATGAGTCACGCTGAGTCCTTTCTTCTACTGATATCCAACGTCCAGTCTTTCAGCAGACACAGTCAGACCTATCTTCAAATGACATCTCTTAATCTAACAACATTTTCCACCTCCAGTATCATCACCCCCAGTTCCAGTTACCTTCATTGCTCACTGACCTTCCGTGGTAACCTCTTTAGCTCCTTTCTTGGCTCCCCTCCTATTGTTAATTCTGTCCAGATCAGTCAGAATGTACCAACCAGATTAAAAATAAGATTCTGCTACTGCCCAGCTCAAAGCCCTGCAATGACGTACTGTGCCTGGAATCCATCTAACCCAGTCATTCTTCAGTCACCTCCAGCAAAGCTGCCCATCTTGCTGTTTCTCAATCATAAGCTTGTTCCACTTGGGGACTTTCCAACTTTCTGCTTCCTTCTTTCTGCAATGATTTTGTCCAAGATCTTCACAAAACTTTCATCTTTCAACTTTTTTTTCCTTTATGTCTTTGCTCAAAAGTTATTTCCTTAGAGAGACTTTCTTTGACTATTCCACCTGAAATAGTGCTCTGCTTCCTTGATTGCTTTCTTAAGTTGTATGTTTTATGAATGGATGCAATATTATACATTTTTAAATTTATTATACTTCCCTACAAACATGTGAGTCCTACAAGGGCAAAAGTTTTGTCCGTATTCATTACAGTTGCATTCTCAATGTCTCAAGCAGTTTCTGGCACCAAATAGGCACTTAATAAATATTTGTTAAATGAATGAATGAACAAATGAATAAGAATTGCCTTGGTTACTCGAAAGCAGTGATTCTCAACCAGGGGCAGTTTTTATGCCACAAGACATTTGGTAATGTTTGGATACATTTTTTATTGTGACAACTGAGGGAGGGGTGCTCCTGGCATCTAGTGGGTATTACTAGGTTGCTGCCAAATGCCCTCCCATGCACAGGACAGCCCCTCATGCAAAAAATAATTTACTGACAAAAAAGTCAATAGTGTCAAGGATGATAAATTCTGCCTTAAAAGGTTAAAAATTATAAGAGAAGGAATATTCCTAAACAGAAATCACTTTCTTTCCCTGCTTATTGTCTAGCTGTCATAACTGTAGTCATGAGCAATGTGAATATAAATATATAAAACCCAAAGGGATATGGAATGGAGTGAGGAAGGTAGGAAGAAGCTAAGACAGACTCCAAGGGGCATAAGGCTGGAAGAATTTAACCATTATCCAAACTGTGAGGCATATATAAGATCAATTTGGACTAGGTCTTGGCAGAAATTCAGTAAGTATGTGACAAAGTGAGGCTGGTAATAGAGTGAAAGCTTTCAGTAATTAATGCATAAGAAAAAACCAGCAGCTACTTTTCCTTGAATTAAAGGTCAGCAAGAGAAAGGAAGTTCACAGGGTCCTGGTCAAGACAGATGGGTCTTAGGGCAGAACGCCAATCCCACTGAAAGTGGTGAATGCTTACTAAAAGCCAAGACAATTGATCAGTGGCAGGGCTGTGTTGCATGGCAAAGACTAGGGATCTGAATCTACAATGCATGGGTCAGAGCCTAGAGGCTAATAGCAGACAATACAGTGTGACCAAAGATCCTAACATGTTTCTTTATTTGAAGAACCTTCTGTGAGACTCTTCTTTCCACATTTTAAATTGAGTTTTTCACTTCCTTGCTTCATTTACATGTATAACCATATGCGGTGAAATATTAATATATATTTACTTAATATGGGTCTCCCTACTGCATTCTGTAGTCTGGGAAAGAAAGACACCTATTGGTGCAGAACTTGGTACACCAATTAGGTGATTAATGAATACTTGTTGCATGATCTAATGAATAAAATCACACCCAGCAATGAACTGCATTGAAATAAAAAATATTTCATTATCAAATGAAACAATGATTATCAAAAATGAACATTTAGATATCTAAAATTCCATTCTCCCTCTTAGTATAAGACAAAGGATTTAAATAATCATGTTGAGCCCCTTCAAAAGAAGCAGCCCTCTAATCTGGGTTCTGTAGTAGCCTCAGAAGTTCCTCTTGCTCCAGACTCCTCTTCTCTCTTCCTTCTACTCCAGAATCCTCAGATAACGGACTTTTTTTCATGCAACATATTATTGAACACCTTCTATGTGCTATGCTCAGAATTACATCACTGGGATAGAATGATGAGCAAAGGAGATCTGCCCCAGTACTCAAGGAGTTTACAAACTAGTGAAGAAAACAAGCATTAAAAAATATAATTGCAAATTGTGGTAAATGCATCAGAAAGATATACAAAAACTGCAACCTGATAGAGAATTACAGGGCGACCTACTCAGATAATATAATTTGGAAAGACCTCTCTGAGGAGGTGATGTTTAAGCTAAGAACATTTAAGATTTTTTTAAAACCAGTTTCTACTGCTGTAATCATTTTAAAATGAATTAAGACACTTAAGCGATCATCATGAAATTACAAAAAATTTTTGTGAAACATTATTGGCAAATGAGGTTAAATGAACTCTTTGTATCTAAATAATAAACATTTACAGAGCAGAAACATTTAAAACTCACCAGGCCTTTTAAGGTCTCCACATACCAGAGAAACGCAGTTGATTACTTAGAGAGGAAAGCAAGTCGAACTCAATTGACCTTGTCGCCATCAACCTAACACACGCTATCAAATCAATTTTTGTCACAGAAGGGAAGGACTATGACACAAGGTCTATGAGTCAGCAGTCTGAAGTCACTGAGTGATAGAATTTTGGATATGAGAGGAAGGAGTGATCAGAAAAGACTGGCTTGAATATCAACCTTCCTGGGCCTCCCGGACAAAGAAAATTATCACTGATCCAACACCTACTATGCATTAAGCACTCCACAAAGTGTTTTAACATTTGCTGCCTCATTTTAGGCCTGGTGTGGTAGGTACCATTTTTGCACGTGGGAAAATAAGGTCACATAGAGGTTAAGCCACATACCTTGACATCATATAACTAATACGTAATTAAGTTATGATCTGAACCCAGTTCCATACGACTCTAAAACTTGTTTCTTTTGATTAAAATATGCTGTCTCTTCTATACTGGGACCAGCTAACTCTACAGGCCATCTTGGCCTCCACTTTCCCATTTTCAAAATGCCTGAGCTAGTTTAGATTTACTCAAATGACTCCTACAGCCCTGGAATTTCTGTCAATGACTGAGGTTACTCTCAACTGGATTCTTATTATCATAGTTCTACAATTTAAAGAATTACTCTTTCCATTTGGACCTTCATACATTTCATTGTCTCTCTTGTTTGGAAGAGGAGCCAGGTCTGGAAATACACAGCAATCAAGCTGCTTCTTTTTCTCTCTTCCTCAAAGTCATGCCGACTGGTAGAAAACAATATAGCAAGATACCTATGTTCACTCAGGCTCACAGTATTTCTTAATGCACATCTCTTGATCAGAATGTAGAAGCAAAATTAACTTATTTTGATTTTAAAAACTAGAGCTCAAGTAAAACCAGCGGGTAAGAAGAGGTGTAGGGATCAGGACTCCTGTTCACATAGTCAGCTGGCTGACTGCTATCTTATTTAGCTTGAAGAAGCTACCAAGATCTTCCTAATTAATAATAACAATACCTGGGAAAATTACAGAGAAGCATGAGAAAGCACAATTAGAAAGGAGACAGGCCAATGTAAGAGCCCTAGTCTTAGGGAACTTTGCCAGTCAAAGGCTAAATTGAATAGTTACGATAGACACTGTGCAATGGAAATTTTCTATTCTGGTACAAAGGTATTCTTTTCACAGCTTGCTATATATTTATATTTCATGTCCCAAAGCAGTACTCTTGTTTGGCTACTGCTTTAAACTTTATCATTATTTGATAAGTCTGCTCAGATATTATCGGTAAGTAAAGTCCTGACTGTATGATGATGCACAGATACCGAAGCAAAGTCATGTTCTCTTTTCTGGGAAAGGTAGTGTCATCCATCATTTTCATTCCATTCATAAAGCCAAGGAAAACAAAACAAAACAATCTTTCCTTCCGAGGATATGTAACGACAATAAATATAGTACCTAGTGCTTTGATACAATATTCCCAATATCCAGAGTGTACATGAATTATTTAAAGTGAAACAAAAGTAGATTAGGCAATTCTCTTCTGAAGTTTAATTTCTAAAGCATAAAGAGGTAAATTTACCTAATCAATTGCTTACGTCATGAACTAAGCTAACTCACTGCTTTCATCAGGGAATAATCTGAAAGAGTTCAACTTGCATCAAACATCTATGAGAAAGAGTATTTGAGAAGTAGCTACTATGTATCCAGATTAAATAATTAGGTTTCAAAAGATAAATAACATACAGAGTATAAACCAATCTAAAATTTAGGTGTATTTAAATTCACAAATTCCTTCCTTGTCATAACCTAAGACAATAAACCTCTTAGTTTCTACTTTCTAACCAAATGTTTTTTCCATTGTTTTACCAAAGAACACAAAAACTACATATTTAGATGCTTTTCTCTGAAAAAAAAATATAAGGTAAAGAATAACTTGCATGTATCAGCAATTATATTTTTATTATTTTGAAACAGTTTGGGTATTCTGCTTTCATAAATTATAGTGTCAGTGAAAATAAGATCAATAGTCAAATCAATATTTCTCAGTAAGAAATAATAACTCACAACCCCAGATGAGCAATATCGAAATAAAATTCCCTTCAGCTTTATTAAAACACCATTATTTTAATTTTACCTACACTTTTCTTTGTCATGTAAAAATATTTTGTGCAAATAACGAATCAACTTCCTAAATGCACTCCCATGTTAGAATGATGCGTATACAATTAAATGCTCTATTTGGATTGCATTTCATCTATTAAATTATTAAAAGCAAATCAAGCTCTCAGTAATTAAAGTATTACCAATATACTCAATGTACACTTTTCATATTTTATGTGAAAGGCAATAAAAATCATTGATGGAACATGATAAATATTCAATGTGTTTCTACTTAAAGTAAAAAACGAAAAACAAAAAGCAAACCCCAAACCCTGAGGTTAATATTTTGTTTTTAGTTCAAGTCATAGCATTCTAATAACTGAAAGAAAGCAAATATTCTTTCTTTCCTTTTGCAAAGTAAGTATGCACTACAAGAGACCAATTAGTGTGTAAATTTATTTTGCAGTTTCAGGTTGTTCTAAGTAATTGTAACAAAAATTGATTATTTAGTTTTGAGACATGAAATGGCAATTTAAAAAATGGTAACTGTTGCTACTGCATGGATGACAACCCCAGCTGTCCAACATAAGTGTCACTCTGATGCTGTCATTAGGGGCACACAGCAATGGCACAAATCAGCCATGTTCTTTGAAAGAATGAAATATTTATCCACTAATATTTACTAAAACTATTTGAAAATTATATAATTGCAATAAATGTACTTTCTTTTCTTCCATAATGTTTAATTATAAATGTTATAGTACATGAAAGCATAATGCTCATTTTGTTGATGTTATACATGTTATTAATTTTTTACTTTTATTTAAAAAAGAGGATAGTAAATATTATCTGTGAAGAGCCAAATAATAAATCTGGCTTTGCAGGTCAGAGGGTCACTGCCACAACTACTCACCCCATGCTACTGTAACCCAAAAGCAGTAAGGGGCAATATGCATGCAAAGAGGCATGGCTCTGTTCTAGTAAAATTTTAGTTGCAAGATAAATTTGGCATGGGCCATAGTCCATAGACTTCCAGCACAGAAGAGAGCAGGAAGTGGTATTAGAATATTTAAGCAGATATAACTTAATCTATCAAAAAGCTATTGAGAGGCACGTTATGTTATAAATGAAAGTATGCATGTAAGTGAAACTTAGGATGTGACATCTTTGGAGACATACCCCCTCAGAACCCATGCATTTTTACTTGCTAGCTGTATAGCCTCATGTAGTTACTCTACCCAATTTTCTCAGTTTCCTTATCTGGAAAATAGTGGGGGTGGGGGAGAATGGGGTTGTGGTGAAGATATAATCAGCTAATGCAGGTAATTCACTTAAATTCATGCCTGGTAAACAATAAAAACTAAATAAATATAGCTATTATCATAAAAGTTCATTTTCATACACAATGGTCTATCAGGAGGAGAAAAGTAAAGGCCCCACATATTTTCCAGCTTCTTCTTGTCATCAGTAAATAAACAAATGAACAAACAAACAAACAGCTTATACCCTGCCAATGTATATCTGTATGCATAACATCATTCTAAATTCCCAAGGGCCAAGCCTGAGACTTATTTATTCTTATATCCCCAGCACTAATCATTGTCTAACATATAGTTGGGAAATGTAAAATGAATGAGAGAAGTAATGGCTGAATAAATCTCTAACAACTATCAGAGGCATCCTTGGTGGCTATAAGACCACGGAAATAAAAGGTCCCCTAAGAGTTAAATAAAGAGGACACATCTGACAGACTAAAGGCAGGAGGCACCAGTAGACTGTGAGCTGCTAAAATAGGCACTTTCTAGAAATTAGAGTAGTCAGGGTGTTGAGGGTAAGGATAAATGCATATCTTTCCAGGGCTAGGAAACAGCCAAGGAAGTTTAGGTCCTGTCTGATGACTTTGGCATGACTTTCTAGAGGTCACAGAATTAGAAACAATTTGAGTAATGGAGGAGAGAGCACTGGCAGTTTGGGATATAAATGATACTCCAAGAAAATGCACAGATTGAAGAGTGAAATTAGAATTAAATGACAAAGTAGGAAAAAGGACTTTTCCAGCTTCTTCCAGGTCTTTAAATACAAAATATAATTGATCATTCTCTTTTTTTGGGGGGAGGGTAGGTAAAGAACAGTTAATATAACCTCCAAACACCACCCTATAGAATCATTTTTCTCCACATTCTTTAATCCTCTGCTTGTCTGAATCTCAATGCTAACTCCAAGCCCTAATGAACCTTAAATGGCAAATATTGGCTTGCTTTACCTTGTATTGTCTCCTTAAGATCTGGTAATCCGCTATTTTATCCTGTGCTGATAGCTTTCCTAAACTTTCTCCAGTGCTCTTTAGTAGTGTATAGCAGCACTTCTCAGACTTTAATGTACGTGTGATCATCCAGGCACCTTGCCAAATTGCAGACTCTGGCTCAGACTCTCTGGGGTGGAATCTGAGTCTGACTCTGTAGCAAGCTGCTGATCCATGAGCCCTACTTTAGGGACCAAGGGTGTAGAGAACATTTAATTCTTATTTCCTGCCTAATATTATTCTGATTTATTTCCCCCTAGAAAAAGCCCTTTCTCTGGCTCACAGCTCAAATGGTACACTGTGGTCACTTACTCCTCCCTTCACTTTGTGAAAGCACCCAAAATTGCCCTCAATTGCCTAAATGGATTTCTATAACCAGGGGCTTTAGGACAGTATCTCAACTTTGGAAAATTGAAGCTATCCAACAGGGTTTTCATATACAGCTTTTGACCCTCATTTTGATAATAGAGAAGCCTGTCTGTTTTACTCCTCCTCTGCTTAAAATCTGCCAACCAACATTTTCTCAATTATTCTTTTTCTTTTAATATGCTTGAAAATTTCCATGTGAGCTTACTCCCTGTTGGATAAACTTATAATTAAATTAATAGTAACTATTCCTCATTTTAAATTGTGGTGTTAGAGTGAATGACAGTGTCATATACTTTCCTAGATACAATAAAATTTAAACATTCTGTTGCTATGTTGTAAGAAAGCACATAGAGGCTATAAAGCTACATGATGTGAGATCTTTACTTATTTGCTTTCCTTACAGTAATAACCTAGATGATTTGTGCTTTTTTTTACTGATAGAGTTGTACAATATGTTATATACCTCTTGAATAAGTCGTAGTGAATCTTACCCCGACTTTATTTTAAACATATGTAGCTTTAATAAATGTATTGAACTTACTTATGTAATTTTCCTCTGTTTTCTTTCTCTAATCTGAAATGCCCTTTGCAATTCTGAAATAAAAAACTAATATCACACAAACTTCTTACTGTGTTCATGTGGACCCATTTCAGTTAATCTCCAAGTGTATCTTTTGCTGCTTCTGCCTCTTGAGAGTTTTCATTCTGGGTATTTTCTGAGCAACATTTTTTTGATGTCTTTACCCAATTACCTCCTTTTAGCCCCTCCTTCCATGAAATCTTTTCCTGGAACACTCACTATCTTGAGCCAGAGATCCAGCCATCTATCCATAAATTCAGTCATCTGTTCATTCATTTACCCACATTCATTGATTTTAATATTAGAAAATTATATCATAATACATTGAGCATTGTCTTTGAGCTATTATAGTCAGGAGACAGCAATAACAGCTTTTCTTCATAGCAGAAAAAAGGATGAAGAGGACAGGAGTAAAGAAAAGGCAGAGATATAGAAGAAAAAGATGTTGGAGAAGACTAATTTGGATTCATTTTCTGCAAAAGTTTTCTATACAGACTTTTTTATTCAAAAAGGGTTGTCTAATACAAGATTTTTCTTCAAACTTTTCAAAGATTTCACAAAACAGTTTCGAGATAAAGACAAGAAAACAAACCTAACTGCATAGAAAAAAAAATAGATTTCCCTTGGAGCAAAACCCAGGCTTCTTACCAAGTCCCCATTTAATCGGGCCTCAGCTTATGTTTTCAAATTCACCACCACATTCTCTTCATACCCTTAAGTTGATCCCAGCCACACTCCATGTTCTTTTGTGTTTCCTGAAACACAACTTCATTTCCACCTCAAAATTGTGCACTTGCTGTTCTTTAAGCTTAAAAAACTCCCCCCACCCTCTGCCTGTCTCCTTCTCATCATTTAAACTTTTTTCAGATGTCCGATCCTCCGTAACCCCTCCCATCAAACCATCCAGTCAGACTCAAAGTTAGCCTTTTTATAAGTTCTTAGCACTTTTCTATCTTATTTTTTACCTATACAGATGGTCCCTGGCTTACAATGGTTCAATTTACAATTTTTAGACTTTACAATAGTGTAAAAACAATACGCATTCAGTAGAAACAATACTTTGAATATTGAATTTTGATCTCCTCCCATGCTAATGATACACAGTATGATACTCTCTCAGCAATCATGTGGTTAAACAACCAATACTTTACAATATGCAGTGGTGCCGATATTTTTGGATAATGTGTTTTGTGTTTTTACATCCCATCGTATCCACAAAATGCCATATGTGTCTCATGCTTCTGAAGAGAAGAAGGCAGTTACTCTTGAGACGACACTCAAGATAATTTCCCAAAATGAAGGCAGCAAGCCAGTAATAACGACGCCACGAGGGCTAGGACTTTCACATTCAGCTATCCTGACCACCTTATCCTTTAAATGCATTTTTAACTTGCAATATTATCAACTTAAAATGGGATTAGCAGGATGCATCATAATCTATTGTCTTTCCCGTTGAGATATTGGAGATATATCTCCAATATCTAAATTTCTAAATTCTAAACTTAGAATTCTAAATTAATTCTAAATTTAATTCTAAACCTTCACCATCTAGGACATTACCCATAATGAACTCAAGAAATATATATGTTGACTGACCAAGATTTAATCGTTTAATTACCTTTGCTGATGTCCCTGCAGAAGTGCATTCACTGATTTCCTCAGGGAGCAGAAACCTCTGCTTTTTATTTATGAAAGCAGCCTTGTAAAACCTGTGATTTAGTTTAGGTATGGGCATTGTGAAGACATTATGTAACACAGTGTTATCACCATAGCCCTCTATTCATAAAACTTTAAAAAAAATTCCTCTTAGGATATTGTCAGAAAATTTATTGCATTAAGGATTTGGTATATTTGTTTTCCTTAGACTGTATGTAAATAATTGTATCCCTTATTTGGCTTTGTCACCAGTAAGCCAAATTGTAGTATCTCAGACTTATCTTACATATCTGTATCTTTTAAAATACATATTATAGACATGTGCTAAAATGTAGTCTAAGTGCTCATATAGTTTCTCAATATTTTACTTGTGGGTTACCTCGGGGGCCAACTTTCAGAAACGATCAGAAATAAGAGAGGACAAAATTAATGATGACTTTTTTCACTTTCATATTTATTACTAACTTATTTCCTAGATATATAGCATGCTTTTATGCTATAACTAGGATCATTATTTAACTCACAAATTTTAAAAAGCCAAGGAAAGAGAGAAAGAGAGAAAAAAAAGAGAAAATAGGCAAAACAAGGAAAAGAATCATTTTACAGAGTAACAATATATTTCCCTGGACTAAAGGTAAACAAGAATCTGCATAAACAGGATATGACACTAACTGGAATTAGATCCAAGTTTCCTAAAAGCAAATTTGTGTTTGGTCTTATTGATAGCTTTATCTGTAGAACCTGTAACTAATACACATACACACACATCAGCTGCACAGTAAACTAGTAACATGAATAATGAGCAGCAGACATTAGTCCTTTTTTTGGAAATTAAAGCAGATATATTTTATCCCAGGACAGTTGTTCTCAGTCAGGGGTGATTTTAAATATTTGCAACTGGAACTCTTAACAATGTCTGAAGATATTTCTGGGTGGTTCTACTGGTATCGAATGGGTAGAGGCCAGAGAAGATGTTAAATATCCTTTAAGACACAAAACTAGCCCTCATAACAAAAAATTAGTGGCTCCAAATGCCAACAGTACTGAAGTTGAGAACTCCTGTCCTAGAGGAATGATAAAAAACAATTTTCCAACAAAAAGGGTAAAATCATGATTCTCATACAGATATAAAATAAATGTCTTAAAGAATGTATTTCAGTGAGAGAACGAGACAGATGTTACAACTGGTTTAAAAGAAAAACAGACATATTTACAGATCAGGAAGTTGAATACGCAAATGGCAAAACTATTCCACAGGATGAGGAGGGAATTCAACTGAACTTCTACTGGACCAGCAGAGGTTACATACAATTTGCACAATTATAGAAGATCTCCCATAGAATCAGGAAAGGCAAAAAGGTGTGCTATATATGGACAATGGTTTTCCATATGTTTTTCCTACAAAAAGAAGGAGAGGTAGAGGAGAGATGTTGGATACCATTAAATGCTGCCATTAGCAAAGTATATTCTGGTAGCATTTGGATACTACTCATCAAAGAAGAGTTTTAGTAAGCATATAAACAATATTTCTATTTACCTTATTTCATATTGAGTAATTTTAATTCAAGGATCCTTGAATCTAACCCCTTCTCCTGGAAGGGGCACATCTAAAGTAGATTTTTTAAATTGGATTTTCTTCCCTCCATTTTTAGTTCAACAAAACAAGTTCAATCAGAATATAGCACTTAGAAGAAAGAAGAACAAAGAATGTATTATAATATACTACTTTTGTCTACCTAGATACTAAAACTAAAATCAAATATTTCATCTTTCTGAATGAACCTTATAGAAAAAGATATAATTTTTCAGTATAATATAACCATGAGGACAGTATGATATCTCATAATAATCTATATGGATGACAAATTAATGATTCATAGAAAACAACAGGCCTGGAAATAATTATTGAGACAATAAGTTTAATAGAAACTACTTAGAATGTCCAGTATTAGGCTCTGAGGAAGCATGGATAATTCGACTTCCTATAAATCACTTATGATTTTTAATGGCTCATGATGTATGTGTGAACAGTTTCACCAAGGTTGCCCAAGAGTCCATTGCAATCAAGATGTTAAATTCTTTTGGCTGTTTAACAGTTTGGCTCACTGAAGATGAAAATAATATTTCTATTTGTTCATTTTAGTAAATTTTTTAAAAAAAAGAAGTAAAATAGGTTTGAATGAAACTCTCTGCACTTAAGATAATCTTTTCTATTTAATCTTCCAGTCAAATAAATATTGCGGCTTGGATTCCAACGAAGTTAGTACTTTTTTTTTTTTTTTAAAAGTCTTCTTATTTTTTAGTTAAAATATTGAAGTCTTTAAAAATATTTTTTACCTGAACTGAAGAATAACAGGGATAGCAACAATATAATCAAAGTTGAAAACATTTAAGTGCATAAAAACTAAGCTCAACAAAGCATATCTGAATTTGATTGGGTAAGAAAACAAGAAGAGTTGTATATACCACAGATCAATTGATTAGAGAATAAGACAAACCCTGTGGATAGCTGCTTTGCTTATTATCATTCTACTGTCATTTCTCAATTACTTGAAAATGTTATTTCTCACACATAACTAGTGGTAACACAGTAAAGATAAATGCTTCAACTATGTTAGGAAGAGCCTACTTTCAACTAGGAAGACATTACATTGTATTCTATTTTCCTTAAATGATCACTGTGGTATTAATCAGAGTGAAACCTGATTAGAAAACTAAAAATTTGATTGTCTTTTTCCAGAATGAAAGAAATTAATCAAAGATTCTCAGAAGGGTCTAACTAGTCCCTTACTTCAGCCAACACCTTCACCTTGAAAGCAGGAAGATAATGGCTGCTAACACATGAGAGTTTGAGAACAGTTGATTGCTGTAAACCACTTTTAATTCTTCTTTAATCAAAGTAATTACAAAGTACAATGGTTCTTTGACACTTATACTCTATCAAGGTAAGATTAGGGTGCTTTTAAGACACTTTACTTGTGCTGAAGTTAAGAAATAAAACTGCATCTTACTCTACTAATCCTGGAGTCATAGACTTTGCTTACCATTTAAAAAGTTAAAATCTAGGTTAATATTCTTATCTAAAAGAATCATATTTCAATTTTAGTAAAATGAATATTTGGCATTTGGAAAAGCCAATAATCATATTTTTATCAACTTTAATAAATGACAGAAAAGCCATATCCTTATATCTGGTGATGTCAAAAGAGTTTCATGGCAAAACTCCAAAGTGAGCAACTTCCAATAAATTAGCATATGCATGTTCTTTAAAGGTTCATGAGAACTGGTGGAGCACAGTGGCTCACGCCTGTAATCCCTGCACTTTGGGAGGCTGAGGCGGGTGGATAACCTGAGGTCAGGAGTTCGAGACCAGCCTGAACAACATGGCGAAACCCCATCTCTACTAAAAACACAAAAATTAGCTGGGCATGGTGGCGTGTGCCTGTAATCCCAGCTACTCAGGAGGCTGAGGCACAAAAATCACTTGAACCCAGGAAGTGGAGGTTGCAGTGAGCCAAGATCCTGCCACTGCACTCCAGCCTGGGTGACAGAGTGAGACTTTGTCTCAAAAAATAAATAAAGAATCATGAGACTTGAAATGGTGAGTCATTGGGGCACTGTCACAAAAATGAAAATTTATTATTTATTATGAATTAATTTAAATTTCTTTTAAAGTGTACATTTCTATACTTTTGGAATATCAATGGAGAAAACACTAGGATCCAGTCTTCAGCAAAAAAGTTCAGAATATGTATGATAAAGATTTACTCTCCTGTAAGTCTGTCCTTTAATTTCCACTGTACATTATAATTTATAATAGCCACTCGTTATTTATATATTCAGTAACACTCTAACAATGCTTATCTTAGCATAGTGATCTCATGAAGTGGTATAAGAGTTTAAAAGATACATTACTGGACTAAAAGTTATAAGTCCTGCATCTGAGACCCAGATCTATCAACTCTTTAGCCATAGAAGCTCAAGCAATGCACCTAAAGGTGCTAAGACAAGTTTTATACTTGAAAATTGATGACGATGGCACATTTCTTGCTTGTATCACAGTTATACTTTGTGGATTAAATGGGAAATGCATTTGCAAAATGTTGAAACAAATCACTGTAAAATATATGATTTTACCAATCATCATCATGCATTTCACCATCGGTGATACAAGTGTCCACAGAGTATTTGCATCTCCATTTTATGCACATCAAACCAAAGTACTGGCCTTTGCTGCTTATGGATGGGACTCCAATGCAAAACTCAATGTATCAGTGTGAGGATGTCTAGGGTAAGAAATATAGAATGGAACAAAATAATAAAGGGTACAATTTTAGTTTCTTTTCCTGTTCTAAAATTTTTATATCTGAAAATAGATAATATGAATAAAATTGTCAGAAATAACAAGAGATTTGTTATTTCAACACATGCATTCACTTAAGACTTTATTTTACATGGTTGGTAATGAAGAACAGAAAACACAAGCAGTAGTTATATAATGTCATATTTCATTCTATTTCCATATCTGTGCTTATTCCTATTTTCACAAAGAATGAGACAGCTCAAAATTCTAATTCTAAGTAACAGATTTAACTTTTTCCACACTAAAACTAACTTAATAACTCCCAAAAGGAAGTAAAAAATGAAATAGAGATTTCAGGGAAGCAGGCAAGTAAGGGAAGCAAGTTAGCAGTGGTGAGAGAAGCAGAGCTGTGGGTTCAACAAAGCCAGAGGAGAGTCAGAAATGAATATTCAACAAATGGTTGGCAACAGGGGATTCAAGTAGCTTTGAGAGGCTGAACCTAAAAGAATCCCTAGACACAACCTGTACTGGTGAAGGAATGCTTTTATGGGATACAAGGACCCAAGGGGTAGCCTAGAAAATCATAAAGGCAACAATTCATTCAGATGGGCTCTGAGTAGCTCACAAACAATAAAATCTTCAAATTCAAGAAAGCAGCAGAAGAAAAAAGTACCAAAAGCCCAAATAATCACATGCTGATTAATGAATCACTAAATAGTATCAAACGAATTAAAGCATAAAGTTTTTATCATGCTATTATAAGACTCTAGAAATGCAGTAGTAAAGAAAGCAGGATTCTCAGTCTCATGAAACTCATAATATTATGGAAAATAAAAGTATTAACAAAGTTAGCACAAATGTTTTTTACAATTATTAGAAGATATGAAGGAAACTGCAAGATCTGATGAAACAACAGGGAGGCAAATTTTAGATTCATAGCTCAGGTTACGGCTCTCTGAAGATATGGCATTTTGGCTGAGTCCTAAAGGATGGCTAAGCATTACATGATGAAAGAGCGAGGATATTTAAGGCATGTGGGAAGGCCCTGATATGAATTAAGGCTTAGTGTGTTTAAAGAACATTGTGGATAAAGTACCAAAAATGAACAGTAGTCTCTCTAAAATATGTTTAGTATTTTAAACCTCACGTCCTTCAGGAAGTCTTTCTGATTTCTCCTACTTTCAGTGCTCTCCCTTGCGCTCCCCAACACTGTGTATCTCCACCACTGCACTTCTTAGATTTTGTAATAATCTGCTTTAATGACATTTTCTACACTGCATCACTTGCTTAGTTAGAACAGAACATGTTTTATTCATGTTTACACCCAACATGGCCTACAACAGTATCAAGAAGAGAGGCATTTAATACGTTAAGTTTAAAAAGAATGCAACTATAAATGTATTCATTAGTACAAAGTAATTAACTCAAAAAGTACAGTCACAATGGTGACTGCTTCATTGTCACCGAGTGTATCATTGTGACCATTTGAATACATTTCCAATCTGAAGCAAGCATTTGCTCATCCACTATAGAAGTCTTTGGTAATTGATTCATTGAATAATCTGAGCCTCATGAAAGAGTTTGACCATTTTTGTTTTTCTCCAGTCATTTTCTGTTTGCCACTAATTGTATTCTGCTCACTCTCTTTTCTGTCCATGAATTATCTGGGGTGGATCCAATGACTTTCCGATAACTAAAGTATTGAACAATATACTTTAGTTAATCCAGTTTAAAATTTGATCTCATATTCAATTTAGTTCTATAATTCTCCTCTTCACATTCCTGCATCAGCCAACTCCTTGCCTAGGGTCAAAGGCTGGAAAATTCAAATATGTGTCATTCATTTTCCCTCCTTGACACTCTCCACTTCTTTTTCATTTCTTCCAGGGGTTTGAAGAAAGGATCAGAGAAAATTGGCAAAATGTGTTTTACTTAAAAAGATGCAATTGAAGTATTCTCTTGGTTAAGAATTCCTTCTCTTGGGCAGGGATCCAGATGCTGGCTATCTTGTGGGGTCTGGGTTTACTGGAAGCCTTGCAGGTATGGGAAATTGGCTTGACGTGACCTTTTCTAAATGCTACCTGCAGTTTTCTCCTGCATCTCCCACAGCCCTTACTCGCTGGGTTCCCTTACCTGATAGGCAGCCCTCTTAGGCGGGTTACTAGAAATTTGGACCTAGCCCTTCTACATTCTATGGCGTCCACTTCCTACACAGAAATGTTACACATCCTGTCATAGCAAAGAGTAGAAATACAGGACTATCTCCATCTACTCTCAATTGTGTTCCTTTTTTGTTTTATTTCAATAGGTTTTGGGGGAACAGGTGATGTTTGGTTACATGAATAAGTTATTTAGTGGCCAATTCTGAGATCTTGGTGTACTCATCACCCAAGCAATGTGCACTATACCCAATGTGTAGTCTTTTATCCCTCACACCCCTCCCACTCTTTGCCCAGAGTCCTCAAAGTGAATTGCATCATTCTTATGCCTTTCCGTCTTCATAGCTTAGCTTCTACTTATGAGTAAGAACATGTGATATTTGGTCTTCCACTCCTGAATTACTTCACTTAGAATGATGGTTTCCGATTCCTTCCAGGTTACTGCAAATGCTATTATTTCATTCCCTTTTAAGGCTGAATAGTATTCCACAGTATATATATATATATGGAATATACATATGTACATATATATGTATATACATATACATATGTACATATATATGTATATACATATACATATGTACATATATATGTATATACATATACATATGTACATATATATGTATATACATATACATATATGTATATGTGTGTATATTTTATATATATATATATGCACACACACCACAATTTCTTTATCCACTCACTGATGAGAATTTGGGCTGGTGCCATATTTTTACAATTATGAATTCTGCTGCTATAAATATGCGTGTGCAAGTAACTAATTTGTATAATGACTTCTTTTCCTCTGGGTAGATACACAGTAGTGGGATTGCTGGATCAAATGGCAGATCTACTTTTAGCTCTTTAAGGAATCTCCACACTGTTTTCCACAGTGGCTGTACTAGTTTACATTCCCACCAACGTGTAAAAGTGTTCCTTTTTCACCACATCCATGCCAACATCCATTATTTTTTAATTTTAAAATTATGGCCATTCTTGCAGCATAAGGTTGTATTGCCTTGTGGTTTTGATTTGCATTTCCCTGATCGTTAGTGATGTTGAACATTTTTTCATGTTTGTGGTCATTTGTTTATCTTCTTTTGTGAATTGTCTATTCATGTCCTTAGCCCACTTTTTGATGGGGCTGTTTATTTCTTGCTGATTTGAGTTCCTTGTAGATTCTGGATATTAGTCCTTTGTCAGATGTATAGATTGTGAAGATTTTCTCCCACTCTATGGCTTGTCTGTGTACTCTGTTGATTGTTTCTTCTGCTGTTCAGAAGTTTTTCATTTATTTAAATCCCATCTATTTGTATTTGTTTTGTTGCCTTTGCTTTTGGGTTCTTGGTCACAAAGTCTTTGCCTAAGCCATTGTCTAGAAGGGTTTTTTTTTTTTTTACTGTTATCTGATAGAATTCTTATGGTTTCAGATCTTAAAGTCTGATCTTAAGCTGACTTTTGTAAAAGGTAAGAGAAGAGGATCCAGTTTCATTCTTCTACATGTGGCTTGCCGATTATCCCAGCACCATTTGTTGAATAGGGTGTCCTTTCCCCACTTCCTGTTTTTGTTTGCTTTGTCAAAGATCAATTGGCTGTAAGTATTTGGCTTTATTTCTGGGTTCTCCATTCGTCCCATTGGTCTATGTGCCTATTTTTATACCAGTACCATGCTGTTTTGGTGACTATAGTCTTATATAGTTTGAAGTCGGGTAATGTAATGCCTCCAGATTTGTTCTTCTTGCTTAGTCTTGCTTTAGCTATGCAGGCACTTTTTTGGGTTCATATGAATTTTATGATTATTTTTTCTAGTTCTTTGAGGAATGATTGCGGTATTTTGATTGGAATTGTATTAATTTGTAGATTGCTTTTGGCATTATGGTCATTTTCACGTATTTCCATTTGTTTGTGTTTTCTATGATTTCTTTCAGCAGTGTTTTGTGGTTTTCCTTGTAGAGGTCTTCACCTCCTTTGTTAAGTATATTCCTACATTTTTGTTTTGTTTTGTTTTTCCAGTTATTGTAAAAGGGTTCTTGAGTTCTTGATCTGATTCTCAGCTTGGTCACGGTTGTATAGTAGGGCTACTGATTTCTGTACATTCATTTTGTACCCCAAAACTTTACTGAATTCATTTATCAGCTACAGGAGCTTTTAGGATGAGTCTTTAGGGTTTTCTAGGTATATGATCCTGTCATCAGCAAACAGTGACAGTTTGACTTCCTCTTTATCAGTTTGGATACCCTTTCTTTCTTTCTCTTGTCTGACTGCTCTGGCTAGGATTTCCAGTACTATGTTGAATAGAAGTGATGAAAGTGGCCATCCTTGTCTTGATCCAGTTCTTAAAGGGAATGCTCTCAACTTTTCCCCACTCAGTATAATGTGGGCTATGGGTTTGTAATACATGGCTTTTATTACCCTAAGATATGTCCCTTCTATGCCAATTTTGCAGAGGGTTTTAATCACAAAGGGATGCTGGATTTTGTCAAAGGCTTTTTCTGTGTCTATTGAAATAATCATGTGATTTTTATTTTTAGTTCTGGTTACGTGGTATATCACATTTACTGACTTGTGGATGTTAAACCATCCCTGCGCATCCCTTGTATGAAATCCACTTGATCACAGTGGATTATCTTTTTGATAGGCTGTTGGATCAAGTTAGCTAGCATTTTTTTTTTGAGGACTTTTGCATCTATGTTCATCAGGAACACTGGTGTGTACTTTTCTTTTTTTGTTATGTCATTTCCTGGTTTTGGTGTTAGGATAATACTGGCTTCATAGAATGATTTAGGAAGGATTCCCTCTTTCTCTATCTTGTGGAATAGTGTCAATAGGATTGGTACCAATTGTTTGAATGTCTGATAGAATTTAGCTGTGAATCTGTCTGGTACTGAACATTTTTTGTTGGTGGTGGTGGTAACTTTTTAATTACCATTTCAATCTTGCTGCTTGTTATTGGTCTGTTCAGAGTTTCTATTTCCTCTTGGTTTAATCTAGGAGGGTTGTATATTTCCAGGAATTTATCCACTTCCTCTAAGTTTTCTAGTTTATGCGTGTAAAGGTGTTTATAGTAGCCTTGGACGATCCCTTGTATTTCTGTGTTATCAGTTGTAATATATCCCGTTTCATTTCTTATTGAGCTTATTTGGATCTTCCCTCCTCTTTTCTTGGTTATTCTCACTAATGGTCTATCAATTTTTTATCTTTTCAAAGAATCAGCTTTTTGTTTCATTTATCTGTTGTACTGTTTTAATTTCATTTAGTTCTGCTCTGATCTTTGTTATTTCTTTTCTTCTGCTGGGTTTGGTTTGTTCTTGTTTCTGTAGCTCCTTGAAATGTGACCTTAGATTGTCTATTTGAGCTCTTTCAGACTTTTTGATGTAAACATTTAACACTATGAACTTTCCTCTTAGCACCACTTTTGCTGTTTCTTAGAGGTTTTGATAGGTTGTGTCACTATTATCATTTAGTTCAAAGAATTTTTAAATTTCCATCTTGTTTTCATTGTTGACCCAAAGATCATTCAGGAGCAGGTTATTTAATTTCCATGTGTTTGCATAGTTTTGAGGATTCCTTTTGGAGTTGATTTCCAATTTTATTCCACTGTGGTCTGAGAGAGTATTTGCTATAATTTTGATTTTCTTAAATTTGTTGAGACTTGTTTTGGGGCCTATCATGTGATCTGTCTTGGAGAATGTTCCATGTGTTGATGAATAGAATGTAAACAAATCCTCAAAATATACCAAAATAAAATCTCCTTAAAGGGTAAATCTCACAGGACCTATAAAATTATAACACAATGAAAAAAAACACAAGGTATTCAACAAATAGCATGATGAATAGAATAGTACCTCATATCTCAATACTAATGTGGAATGTAAATGGCCTAAGTGTTCCACTTAAAAGACACAGAATGGCAGAATGGATAAGAATTCACCAATCAAGTATCTGCTATCTTCAAGAGACTCACCTGACATATAAGAACTCATAAACTTAAGGTAAAGGGGTGGACAAAGATATTCCATGCAAATGGACACCAAAAGTGAGCAGGAGTAACTATTTTTATATCAGAAAAAAAATTTTAAGGTAACAGCAGTTAAAAAAGACAAAGAGGGACCTTATATAAATGATAAAGGACTAGTCCAATAGTAAAATATCACAATCCTAAATATATATGCACATAACACTTGAGCTCCCAAATCTACAACAATTACTACTAGACCTAAGAAATGAGATAGACAGCAAACGATAGTAGTGGGGGACTTCAGTACTCCACTGACAGCTCTAGACAGGTCATCAAGATAGAAAGTCAACAAGGAAACAATGGACTTAAACTAAACCCTAGAACAAATGGACCTAACAGATATTTACAGAACATTCTACCCAACAACTGCAGAATATACATTCTATTCAATTGCTTTTTGATTCAATTTTTCCTTCTTAAATAGGAGCACAGCACAAATCTTCAAGTCAGATATGTAAGCAGATGTCCAATCAAGAATCAGTGTCCTAATCTTCCTTTCTTGCAATAATTCATGTCTCTTTCAGTTAAAGGCAATATGACTTTTCATGAGCAAAGCATCTGGATCCAGAATATATAAAGCTGAAACCAGATTCTGACATGTAATAGCTGTGTGCAGCTTTGAGCAAGATGCTGTTCTGTGCCTCAATTTGTGCATCTGAAATCACGGGTAATAGTAACTCCTATCTCAGAAGGTGGTTGTGAGAAGAAACTGAGTTAATAAATGTGTGATGTGCTCAGTCTGTTCCCTAGCACAGTGATCACCCAATACATTTTAGCTATCAAATTTTATTTGGATTCCCTGTATCTATGGGAAGGTACAATTTTCCACCCATTCTCCTCACAAGAAAGGAAGAAAGAAATCTCTTAACAGGAATAATGCATTTCTAGTGACATCTGACCCTCAAGTTCTTTTAGTTCTTTAGGAAAAAGGTAGAAAATAATGGTTAAGTTCCCATAATGGGATCTGGTGCCCCTTATTGATGCCTTTTATGATGTGGCTGGTGGCTCCCATTATGCAGTGTGGATACTTGGACATAATTACGAGACAACAAGAAAATTAACATTGGACCTCATTTTATACTTACTTGAGGCAAGATAGTACAACTGCCATTCTATATCCACCAATAAAAAGGAATCAATCTTTAAAAGCTTAAACATTATCAATAAACACAGGATTTTTGTTTGTTTGTTTGTTTTTGTTTTTGTTTTTGAGACGGAGTCTCTGTTGCTCAGGCTGGAGTGCAGTGGCGCGATCTTGGCTCACTGCAACCTTTGCCTCCCAGGTTCAAGCAATTCCTCTGCCTCAGCCTCCCAAATAGCTGGGATTACAGGAACATGCCACCACACCCGGCTATTCTTTTTTTTATTTTTAGTAGAGATGGAGTTTCACCGTGTTAGCCAGGATGGTCTCGATCTCCTGACCTTGTGATCTGCCTGCCTCGGCCTCCCAAAGTGCTGGGATTACAGGCATGAGCCACTGCACCTGTCCCCAACACAGGATTTTTTTTAATGACCCAAATCTTTTATACATCGTGCATCAATTCTAAATTGTATGGTGGACCACAGAGAAGAGTAATGTTTTAAGAACCGCTAGACACTGTGGCTGATCTTAATTTCAAAAGTACAGCTGTAACTGAAAGGCCTATTCACTGCATGTAAAATAAAGGAAAAGCAACCATAAACTAACCACACTATCCAAACACAGCCTCTTCCTACTTGAGATTCTTATTCAATGAATCATTCATTCTTATGAAAATAAATAAGATAAAATTTACAATCATAATTTAAGAATGTCAGGAGATAGGAGAAATGTATAAATTTGGTATACCTAAAAAAGAAAATCCTTTCTGAGGAAGTCTATTTTGACAGACCCAAATCATTTTAGATAAAAGGATATTTTATTGCATTAAAAGGGCAGGCAGGAAAGAAGTAGCATCAACAAATGAATGTGGAAGGATCAAGATGTGAAGGAAAATAAGCAAAGAGGAGAAAAAGTTACTGAATGAATGTTTAGTTTACTGAATAATAAGCTAAATGTTGCAGAATAATCCACTTGAAACTGGCCATATACAAGTTTAATAGAAAAAAATTGGAATTTTTCAGCATTGATTAGAGGTAGTATTTCCCTGGCAAACCAACTGAATCACCAATTTTGTTACAAAGCAAAATTAGTATTCTTAGAGAACTTATCTTCAAACAGGTTACTCTGTATGTGATTCTGAATAAACTACAATGTTTTTGGTGATAAGAGGCTCATCTGCCTCTAACCCTCCACCACATTCCTTTCTGTCTTTAACTTCATGTATCCATTTTTTAAGTAGAAAAGATCTGACTAGTTTGACTAAGTAGAAAGATTATCTATTACAAATGACAAATATTTATTTTTCATTTAGTCAGTGAGAAAGACTGAAACCATTTGAAAGTTTTGGGTTTGTGTTTTATTGACAGGATTTTTTTCTCTACTGAAAAATGTAAAATGAAGTAGGAAGAAATTTTCTATGTTGTTTTAACTGTGCACTTATTCAATAACTTTATTTATTTTTTATTATACTTTAAGTTTTAGGGTACATGTGCACAACGTGCAAGTTAGTTACATATGTATACATGTGCCATGTTGGTGTGCCGCACCCATCAACTCATCATTTAACATTAGGTATATCTCCTAATGCTCTCCCTCCCCCCTCTCCCCACCCCACAGCAGTCGCTGGTGTGTGATGTTCCCCTTCCCTAGTAGGAAGAAATTTTCTAATTAGAAATTAACATTCACTTTGTCTTCACACAAAGACGGCATCACCGTCTATGGGAATTTGTTCCCACTCAACTGACAGTGTCCCTAAAATATAGCTAGTATTAACATTACCATTTAATCCTTAAAAAGTATTTACTATAAATCTTATGCCAAACCGTATTCTGAGAAAACAGCAGTAGTTACATATAAATTCAGGTGACCTGGTCACCTAGGAGTCAACCAGATCATGATACGTCTCCACAGCATTTCTTATTAAATTTATTTTCTTGTAAAGCTATGAAATAAAGACACACAGGAAAGGTTTATAATAAACTACAGTGGTGTACAGGTAGCACTTACTCTAGTATCTCTTAATACAATGTACTCATTTTTAATAATATGTACGGTACTTACAGCATTATTTTTTATCAATCACATATAAAATCTGGCAAATATTTTGGGTTTAATATTTAAATAAGATAATTAATATTTGTCTAATTCTTCTTCTACAGTTGTGTGATGTACTAATATCCGCGCCCTCATGCAAAGCGTAAG
Source organism: Homo sapiens (assembly GCF_000001405.40). Classification (NCBI taxonomy): domain Eukaryota; kingdom Metazoa; phylum Chordata; class Mammalia; order Primates; family Hominidae; genus Homo; species Homo sapiens. Next base: position 22,286,284 of record NC_000003.12, read on the forward strand.
CTAAACAAGTTTTTTCTTAGTCTATGTAACAGTCTATTAATTTTGCTTATCTTTCCAATAAACCAACTCTTAGTTCAATTAATATTTTATATTGTTTTCCTACTCTCTATTTCATTTATTTCTGCTCTGATCTTTCTAGTTTCTTCCTTCTGCTAACTTTTGGCTTAGTTTGTTCCTCTTTTCCTAGTTCTTTGAGGTATAATGTTAGATTGCTCATTTGAGATCATTCTTCTCTTTTGATGCTCATGATTGCTACTATAAAATTCCCGCTTAGCACTGTTTTTGACGCATTGCATAAGGCGATATGTGGTGTTTTCATTGTTTCAAGATATTTTTCAATTTCCCTATTACTTTCTTATTTGACTCAATAGTTGTTCAAAAGTATGTTTCATTTCCATATACTTGTAAGCTTTCCATGATTCCTCCTCTTACTGATTTCTAGTTTTGTTGCATTTTGGTCAAAAAAGATACTTCACAAAGAAATATGTTGAGACTTGTTTTGTGGCTTAACATATGATCTTTTCTGAAGAATCATCCACGTGCACATGAGAAGAATGTGTATTATTTTGTTGTTGGGTGGAATGTCCTACATGTGTTGGTTAGATCCATCTGCTGTAAAGTGTAGTCCAAGTTCAGTGTTTCTGTATTAATTTTCTGTGAGGATAATCTAACCATTGCTGAAAGTAGGATGTTGATCCCCTACAATTAATGTATTAGACTCTATCTATCCCTTCATATATTTTAATAACTTCTTTAGATATTTATGTGCTCTGATGTTGGGTACATATGTATTTACGATTGCTATATTTTGTTGGTGAAGTAACCACTTTATTATTATATAATGGCCTTCTTTTTCTTTTGTGACAGTTTTTTTACTTAAAGCTTACGTTGTCTAATATAAGTATAGCTACCTCTGCTCTCTTTTCCATTGCATAGGATATATTTTTTCACCCATTAACTTTTAGTTTATTTGTCCTCAAAGGAGAAATGAGTCTCTTAAAGTGAGCACATTGTTGAGTCTTGATTTTTTATTCATTAACTCACTCTATACTTTCTTATTGCAAATCTTAATCCATTTAAAGTAATTATTGATACAGGTAAGGATTTACTAATGTCATTTTGTTAATTTTTCTACTTGTTTGACATATCTTTGGTTCCTTTCTTCCTCTCTTGCTGTCTTTGCGGCTTAATGGTTCTCTCTAATGATATACTCTGAATCATTTTTATCTTTTGTGTACCTACTATGGGTTTTTGCTTTTTGGTTATGCTGAGGCTTACAAAAAGCACCTCATATTTATAACAGGCTATTTTAAACTAATAAAAATCTAACTTGGCATACACAAACTCTACACTTTTTCTACCCATAACCCCCAGCATTTTAGGTTTTTGATGACACAATTTACATTCCTTTATAATTTGCATCCCTCAACAAGATATTATAGCTATAATTGTTTGTAATAGTTTTTCCTTTTAGCCTTCATACTAGAAATAAGGTTAACTTACACATTGCCATTATAGTATTAGAATGTTTTAAATCTAAAAATTTATTTACTTTTATTTTGTGAGTTTTATACATTCACATGTTTTCTTTTACTAATTTGCATCCTTTTCATTCAGCTTGTAAAAATTTTGTTAGCACTTTTTGTGAGGAAGTTCAGTGGGAATAAACTCCCTTAGCTTTTGTTTGTCTGAGAAAGTCTGTATCATCTCTTCATCTTTGAAAGACAGAATTGCCTGGCATATTAATCTTGACAGGCAAGGTTTGTTTTTTTCTCTCAGTATTCTGAAATATCAAACCACTTCTTTATGATTGCAATGTTTTTGCTAAAAAAAAATCCACTAATAGTTTTACGGAAGTTTCCTTGTATGTAACAAGTAGTTCTCTTGCTGTTTTCAAAATTTTCTAATTTTGATAATTTAAAATAATGTGCCTCAGAGTGAGTATCTTTATATGCATCCTATTTAATATCTTTTGGGCTTCTTATATGTGGACTTCTATTTTCCTTCTCAGTCTTGGCAAGTATTATGCCATTATTTATTTGAGTATATTTTTGGTCTTTTCTTGATTTCTTCTCCTGGAATTCTAATAATGCATAGATGGTTTCACTTGACCGTTTCCCATAATTTTCTTAAGCCATCTTCCATCTTTCATTTATTTCTTTTTTGTTTAAGTGGATGATTTCCAGTGACCTGTCTTTGAGTTCACTGATGCCTTTTTTGCTTAATCCATCCTGCATTAGATTTTTCTATTCATTTTTTAACTTCAGTTATTATATTCTTCAGTACTATGATTTCTGTTTGGTACTTTTTATAGTTTGTCTCTTTGTTGAAATTCTCAGTTTGTTGATATTTTGCTCCCCTAACCTCAGTGAGTATTTTTATGACAGTTCTTTTGAATTCTTTGTTGGGTAAATCACATATCTCCATATCCTTATTTTTAGCATCTAAAGATTTATCTTGTTCTTTCATTTGGAACATATTTCCCTTTTTATTTTTATTGACTCTCAGTGTTGGTTTCTGTTTATTAGATGAGACAGTAGCATCCCTCAGTCCTTTTAGACTGGCCTCTTGTAAAAGAAGAACCTCACCAATCCATCCAGTCAGAGATCCTAAAGTGCCTCTCAAATCTCTGTGTTTGTCCAAACTGCTGACTCTGTTTTTAGCGGCCATCTGGAGACAAGAGTATGCCAAGTCTTGTCAGTACCTCAGAATGGGTAAGCTAGAAGCCAGTGTCTCTAGATGCAGCTGGAAAGGTTGGGGTGTTAGATGTTTGTTCTAGTTTCTTCTATCCTCAGGATAAAGCTGACAGCAGAAGACAATCTCTCACCTTCTCTACACTAAGCCTGGAAGAAGATCTGTGGAAAATGCCTGCATTCTCCTTCCTACTATACCCTTTGATTCTGGCAGAATATTTTCTGTAAATGGGTCCTCTGAATGTGTCCACCTCTTTGTTTTCTGTGATATAGGGAGACTCAAGCATGCAGAGCCTCATCAACTCCTGAATCTAGGTGGGTAGGGAGTCAATTCATTACGTGCAAGCTGTTCCATACACAATCTATTTGTGTGCTTGGTACATAGAAAAATTCCTTCCAGAGAGAATCTACAGACTTGGCTTTATCACTGGCATAAGCCAGGAAAAAAGGTTCAAGAAGTAACCAAAATCTCATTCAGTCTTCCAAAGGTTTATTGTTTCTCTACACCACTGATTCCCAAATTCAGGCTAGATAGGAGCTCAATCCTCAACCAACAGCTGAAAAACTGGGCATGCAAGCCTCTTGCAGGAAAAAACTGGGAAATGTGCATTTCAGCCCCATCTATGCACTGATTATAGGAGGTTTAGGCCTTGGGAATGCCGGTGTGCTTATTTAAAACCATCTCTTTATTCTGTAATCAAGGGAGAATCACACATGCCTAGTACGTCTCATTTCCTGGGCTAGAAGGTTTAGGATATGGTGTAGGAGCTATAAAAGTTGGGGCACTGATGCATGCACCAATGCCTTCCAGGAGTAATCGATAGACCTGGATTTACCCCTGGGATAAGCTAGGGGAAAGGTTTAGAATACACACAGCTACTGTTCAGAATCCTGGAGGTCTATAGTATGTCAGCTCAGTTAACTCTCTAATGCAGCCTTGTTAGAAGCTTGACTATAAGCAGCAGCAGTTGAAAGAGTTTGTGGAAAAAAACCCTCTATGGAAAAACTGGAAGCTTTGAGTTTTAGCCCCTTTTCTGCCTCAATCTTGAGAGAAGTCCCTGGAAGTGTGATCATGCCTATATAGAACTGCTACATTGTTTTGTGTTCTAGGGAGATTTGTGTATGCTTAGTCCATTATGCTTCCAAGGCAGGTGGATTAAGAGCCAAATTGTGAGGAAACTTAGAGTGCTACATGTGTGGCCTGAACCTTTGTCTCTTCACGGGGAAGCTGGGTGTTGGGAATTCCTTCCTTACTGGAATGGTGCTAAGATTTGTGCCTGAATGTGCCTCAGCTTTACTAACCTATTCAATATGAATGCTCTCCTCAGACCACACCACACCCAAAGACAAAAGCCTCCCAAGGAGCTAATTGTCCACCTTCAGGAGGGGTGCAGACTGATGTCAGAGAAGATAGTTCTCACTCCTCTCACCTTTTCCTCTCATTGAGAAATGTAGCCACACCACAACACAGGGTTGGAGAAGAAGCTGGGAAGGGGACATAGCAAGGATCTCTGTCACTCAAACAGTGGCCTTTCTGGCAAGGTAAACTGTTTGGCACTCATTCCCGGATGCCCAGGGCAGTGGCATTGTGCAGTATCCTGCCTAGGCTCTGGCCTCTGCCCGCCCCTCCTTCTTGTTCTGTCTGCCATGTTTCTGAGGGGCCTAGATGTTTCTTGGTCTGGCTCAATGTCTTCAACAAAGAACACTTTCCAGTCCATCAGAGATAACAGCAAACAAAAATCCAACGTGTAGGATTTTCTCAACTTGTTTATCTCAGAAGTAATTGATCTGTGTGTAGATGTTTATTTGGTGTGTTGATGGAACAGGGAGAGTCAGTAGCCTCGTATTCCATGTTGCTGATGTCATCCTACATGCGGGGGCTTTTAATGGCTCTGTAGTATCCATTTGCCAAGATTTCCTAAATTATTTCCACTAATCAATATGTATATTTTTGTGTGCTTTTCCTTGTTGTGCGGGCATGAGGAACAAGAGACTGCTCTGATACTTCTTCTTATATGGGCACTACTCCCATCAATGAAGGACTTACCTTCAAGACTTGAGCAAACCTCCATTACTTCCCAAAGGCTCCATCTAAAATACCATCCCCCTGGGGATTAAGGCTTCATCATATGAAATGGGGAGGAGGGCACAAAAATTCAGTCCATAATACTCCCTCTTCCTCTATTTACCATTACTGTTGGTTGTTACTTTCTGATTTCTCCTTCCAAATGAACTTTAAATTAGCTTTGCAGAACTGCCCCTCCAAAAAATAATGGAAACTTTCCTTGTGATTATGTTAAACATATATATTTATTGGAAGGAAAGATTATAGTGTTGTTCAACATTTAACCATCAAGACCCATTTTCTGCCCCTATGAGTTCTTGTGCTTTAAAAAATCATTTGAGTCCTACATATTTATTTATAAAATTATTTCAAGGTACATTAATTAATAGTAAATTCTTAAATGGAAAAATTTTCTGTTTAATTTTATATCCTACCATATACAAATATAATAGCTTTCCTATATATCTTTTATAATTAAGCATCTTACTGAACTTTATTTCTAATATATTTTAGTTGATTTAGTGTATTATTTGCAAACAATGATAGTTTTATACTATTCTTTACAACAGTTAAAGAAGTGTAATAATTTTATTGTTTTACTGTATTACCAAGAACTTCTAGACTTGTTTTAAATATTGTGGGGTTTATGATCTTGTGTATATTTGTTCTTTTCTTCACTTTACTAGAGATACCATAATGTGAGGTTTTATTGCAGATTTACTAATATTAAACAAGTTTTACATTCTTAGGGTTAATCCTACTTATTTATGCATTACTACTCCTTAAAATGCAAAAATTTAATGCTTTTTTATTTACAAACATGTGTACTTCAGTTTTCATATGTGAAACTGGTGAGAAATTTTCTTTTCTTCTATTATCTTTCTCTTATTTTGGTATCATAATCATGTTTTATTCATATAATCTAGAACTGGTTAATCTTCACAAAAGATAATCACATACTACAGGCTCTGTTATCTCCTGAACATATTGGATATTGGAGCCCTTCTTCTTTGACTTTTCATTTCTGCTTTTTAATTTGAGAGCTGGATGAATCTTAATGTTGGCTTTTAATTGAATAATTCTTTATTATCTAATGTACTTTCTACCACCTTTATTATTTTCAAACTTCATTACTTCGTGGGTTATCATAAACTTTTGAAGACTTCCTTTATTTTTTAAAAAAGAAATATAGAAGGTCTATCTTCTGAGCCCTAACATACATGTAAAATGTTTTTGTTGTTGCTTCAATATATGCGAAAACATGCTGTATATTTACTCATTATATTTTTATCTCGTTTCTTTAGATATTTCACCAATGTAATCTGCAATTAAGTGTTATACAAAACTCTAAGCTTTTAAGTATATTTATAAATAAAGCCATTGTAGGCTTTAATTAGTTTTTGTTTTCTGTGTTTTGGTAAGTTCTTTTTACAGGGGATAGTACTTGATCGCCCAGTACTGGCACTATTTCTAGAACTATGTGAGAGATTTTGTAGACCTCTATTTAAAGCAACATGCCCAGATAAGTTTCAAAATGAAATAATTGGAATTTCATGTTGGTTCTTTCACACGGCTAATTTAAAGATCTACAGACTTCAATAGATAAGGGAAGGAATCAGATACAAATGTGATAGTGGCATGGAGTTTTATTTCTGTAACAAGTATTTGTTTTCTGTATTTGATAGTTAGAAATATTTTTAAAATGTGCTAGAGCTCTATTCTTTTTCTGGTTTATTTGCCATTGACTTCTTATCTACTTATATTACTTTCTGGGGGCAAAATTCTATAGTGACAGAAAAAGAGAGAGAGAATTTTAAGCAGCAGCTGCTGTAATTGTCCCAGTTCCAGATCTCCAAGAGAATGCATATTTCTATTGTCCCATCCCAGATTCCTGTTTTTCCCTTTAGACATGATGCCAGTAAGTTTAACAATGTATATATATGCAACTACATGATTTATTATCTCCATTGATTTCAACAGTTACCTCAAGAAGCTGTAAGTTAGTAGTATCCAGAGGCTGTCTCATGTGTATGCTGAACATTACTGTCTTATATATAACTCAAATGCTATCTTTTCACTTATACATCATAAATCCCTCAAAAAAGCCTTCATAGAAATCCCCCAAACCTAATCCTAGTTATTATATTATTCATTTGCATGTGTCATAATAATTTCATTACTTTGGAGAGCAAGCCCCATTATTAGGGCAACCAGGAGTCAGAAATATATTGGAAACCTTTGCTACCTTTTATTAAACTCGATGTCCTTTACTCATCTCAATTAGTGATCCCATGAATTCCTAATTTAGTATCTCTCCTTCTCTCCATAAGACTTTAATAAATTATACATCTTCTTTTTAATTTAGAAACTTCAGGCATTCTCTTTCTAGCTACTAAACCTGGTACTCTTCCCTAAGCCAATAAAAGAGTCCTCTTTGTTCAATGATGCCCTCTAGCAATACTCTCCTTACAAGCTAATTATAGCAGTGTTACCTAGTGTGACATCTAGGCCCAGTATAAGCTAGGAATAAGTTCCACAGTGGATAGATAACATATTTGACATCACACATTATATTTTTTGGCAAAAGAATGCTACCTGAATATTTTCCTCAGTTGTTCCACAGCTTGGCATGACTCCCAGCTCTTACTTCCCCGTGTTGAATGTGGTTCTCAAAGACTGGCCCCAAGACCAGCAGAATCAACTTCAGCATCAGCATCACCTGGTAGCTTTCAATAAAATGAAAATAGGTTCTACTTGAAAACTACTGAATCAGTATCCCTGGAGGTGAGGCCTAGTGATCTGTTCCTGCAATCCCTCCAGGTAATTTTCATGAATGCTAAAGTTTACAAGCACTGGTCTTAGGGTTCATCTGGGGTTTCTTCTACTTCCTACATACTTGTTCATTTTACCTATGTTAAGTTTGGGATCAATGAATTTTCTTCTCCAGGCATGGTAATTCTATCTTGGCCTAGATTGCAGCATTTACTGATGCTTTTTTTTTTCTAATTGATTGTATCCTATAGAGTATTTGGAGGAGGAGGAATGTTGAATACATAATGATACTCTAAGACCATTATAAATATAACCTTAATATTGCATTATGTACCTTTGTTACAACATAGTGCTACTACAGAAAAGTGCCACTATACTGGGTAGGTATAGGAAACAAAACTGTGGCAGTAAACCCTATAAAATGGCTCTAGTTAATAGGAGGTGGATGCAGTTTTAGCTTCCCCACAATTTGCCTCTCCTATTGGTGCCTCTTTGTACAACTTCCCTCCTTAATGAGCCTCCATTATTTAGTGCTATTTTTCCTCATATTTTTCAATATCTCCTCTAATAAGAAAACTGTTCCTATGAATATACTTCTTATTTCATTAATATGTTATAATAGATGTGGGTCCACCCCCGCATATTTATCGTATATAATATATAATGGGTATTATATATCAGTATGTATTAGGGAATGTTTTTTATTTCCTTAAGATGATAATGACTGGCTAAATGGATATATTGATTTCATTTAAAATTTCAAGGCTAAAATAAATCAAATAAAAGGAAACATGAAATTCAGAGTGAAAGAGACCAGATTTGAATCCTGGTGCTGATGATTACTAACTGAGTGTTGATGAGTGTGCTACTAAATGTCTCTAAGCTTCTATGTTCTGAATTGCAAAGAAAGAAAACAAGTTAATGCAAAATACTAGCATGTTGTAAGAATTCAAAATTAATAAGCAATGTCAATGCTTAGTGGAAATTCAATATATTTTGCATTTTATAACAAAGTTACTAAATTGTAAAGCCTTAATCTGTTACCACTATTAGATATCCTTTGTGTTTAAAAGGAAAAATCAACATATTAATTCAAAGGAGTGGGAAAATTAGATATCTATTTTCCATTACAGGACCAGGGGTATAACTATCTATCTCTGTATATCTATTTATACACACACTCACACACATGTTTCACTCTAGGATTATAATTGGCTTTAAAATGTTTGTTTATGGCCCATTAATGTCTATTATTATTGGTGGGAAAATTCCAGTTTTCCTCTGAATGAAAAAGTCATCATGCTGTTAATAACTTGTTTGGAATTATATACCATAGATAACAATAAATTCTTTCTCTACATTTGAATAATAAAGTGTAAAGATTTAACAGTCTTTCAGAGGCTGTGAAAATTATAGTAAAATACTACTAAAACATTCCCAATACATTAGGACATAATTTTTGCACAAAAGATAACATTCTAGAAAAAGTTTCAATTTTTATGCAAACACATGAGATGTAGAATAGGCTATACAGCTCTCACACATGAGGGAGAGAAACTGATGACAGTGCCACCTCACATGCCTCCAAAGGCTGTGATCTGACTCCAGCCTCCTATAAGAGAATTATAACAAATTTTTTAATGCAGTAAAATAGAATAAAAAAAGTTTGCAAAGCAAAACTGGGCGTACATGTAGGTGTATGGCTCAAATAATCAGAAAGTCACAATGGGACATTCATATATGACAGCATATAAACTTAATGAAAAAAGTTTTTAATAATGAGTGGGAACTAGTCTAGGGCTGAACTAGGTAAATGAGGTGGATCTGAACCTTTGGTTGGTAGAAAAATATAAACATAAAAGAAAATCCGCCCCCTTTTGATTACTTTATATGCACACCTCATAGTCTGACTTCGGATGTTTTAGGCACAAATTTAATATTTTTTAATCTAATATTTTCCTTCACCTTCTCAGTAACAACTGATAAACTATAACCTTTGAAAGATGTGATCAGAGAAAGCTACCACCCCTGCCTCACGGCCCCTCCCAATGGCATTGTTGATCAAGAAGTACAAAGGCTAATATTTGAAAGAAACTGAGATTTCTGAAAAAAGAAACAGGAGAAAGTCGACAAGAATAGTTTATGGCAAAGGAGAAGAAAATAAATAGGAAAGTTTCATGAGAACAAATGACTGGATCACCTATAACCTTTGCATGGCCCAGGGAAAAAGTACAAGTGGAGGCCGCATACCATCTATCTAAATATCCAAAATGTAAGGTTATGAATCAATCCAATGCCATAGGTTTTAGATTATTTCATTATGATGTCACTCACTCCAGATAACACTTTCTGTTTCAAGTTATCTATTGCTACAATACTACCCTCAAAACTTATGGGCCTTAAACAATTGTGTTTGTTACTTCTTGGGATTCTACAGTTCAGGCAGGGCTTGGCAGAGACAGCTTGCCATTGCTCTGTGTGGCATTAGCGGGGATGGTTTGAACAGCTGGAGGCTGGCATAAATGAACTAGTGTCACTTGTTTGAATCATAGGTTCTTGTTGTTGGCTAGTTCCTCAGTTACTGTTTCAGCTGGGTTCTCCAGGAAGAAAATGCTAAAATGGGACTGCAAGCAGTTCTTCAAGGAAGGGTATGTCTAATGCCTATGAAAGATAAAAGAGAAGGGAAGCAGAATTGGACAGGGAACGCCTTCAGACCATGACGAAGATTTGGCACCTATGAAAGGAAAGGAGGTAGGAAACTGAATTGTACAAAGAGAACTTTTGATGGCCTGCCTCAGTTTGAACACTGAGTTAGATACTGAAGGACCTTCAGCTAGTGGTTTTCACTTGACTGCACTCCTTGCTGAATGCTGAATTCCTTCTTGAAGAGAGCATACCTCTGCAGCTGACATAGAAACCTCCATGTGGCCTCTCCCTAAGGTTAGGTTGAGTTTCCCCACAGCATAGTGTCTGTCTTGAGCATGGTGGTTGGCTTCTCTGGAGAGCAAAAGTGCAGGCTGCCAGATGTTCTTAAGCCTTAGGCCAGCAACTGGCATGGTGCCATGGCTAATGGGCCAGGCCAGACTTAAGGAGAAGAGATTATACAATAATGCAAATATCAGGATGCATAATTCATCTACCCTTGGAAATAGTAACAGTTTTGCCCTAACATTTTCAGGGCCTGAGGTACAAGTATAAGTGGAGGCCCTCATACTCCCCCTGCAATTATTTATGTGATAGATTGTATTTCTGTTATATATTGAATTAGTAAACTATTAAAACATATTGTATTCTCCTATCTTGAAAAATATAATCTCCTAAGGACCTAAAGGTCGCACTAGAATATGGTGGTACAGAAAGACTGACTTGTTCCTAGTCTCAAGCTCCCAGACTGTGACAATCAACCCCTTTATTCGCAACCCCAGATCCCCCCAATAGGACCTATCATACATATGTCTGAACACCCCAAATGACATATCCCAAATCAATCCATCTCCTCCGCCTTTCCCTTCATCTGAAAAAAGCTATCTTTTGGCCAGACCTCTGCCTTTGGGAGGACAGCCTAGGGAAAGGACTCACACAGAACCTGGAGGAATTCCAGGATTCCTCATACCTGGAGCAAAGTCTAGGCTATAGATATAGTCTATAAAGGGACAAGCCCCTTGAGCGGCAAACTTTTTACCTTATAGAGAGAAGGGGGCATGGCTGAAGTGGGGCCGGAGGAGGACTCTGCAGTGGGTAAAGTCCAGAGCAGAAGCCCCACTCATCTAGGCAATATGGGGGAATGAAATAGTTGTCTAGAGGAGTGGAGCAATGAGTAATCTGACCTCAGGCTGTTCTTTTCTTCCTACTTTCCTCTTTGAAACAGCATAATAAACAAAGCAAATACACGTGGCGAGGATTCATAACTGGGAATTTTCTTATGTAATATAGAAGAGTATATAATATATACATAAAAATAACATAAAAACCTTTAAAATGAATGGACATGACTATCTCTATTGACCTAGGAGCAAATGATATTGGGTTACATTTTAAAAGTATGTTTAAACGTACAACGCGTATTTTCATCCAATATTTACAGATATTGAAACAAATTTTAAAAATAATCTCTGCATCTATAAATATGTTTCTATAGTTTTGTTTGGGCACAGAGAAAATTAAGTAGTGGTAGTTATTGACTCATGAAACTGATCAATTTGGGGGAATATAATGATGAAGGGTAGAGGGAAGAGTATGTTTCAGAACTTCTCCTGTGTCTCTATTGCTTGATTTATTTAAACAGGCATATAATCTTCGTGCTTTAAGAAAAAAGTCAAATGAAGTTAAAATCAAAGAAAATGTAAGCTATTAAAGATAAATTTTTAAAAGGTTGCTAAGAATTTCAAAAGACACACAGTAGTCAAAGAGAATAAAGATTCAGGAAAGGTCATATGATTAGTCATAAGTCATAAGGTGACTTAAAGGTTACTGTACAATGTTCCATTTAAAACAAAGTGAGGATGGGAGGTTGACTGAGACTTTAACAGCAAAGGAGGAGAAGAGGAGAAAGCAGTATGTATGTGTGTGTGTGTGTGTGTGTATATATATGTAAAATAAAAACATTTATATATAATATATAAATATACATAAAATATTTATATATAATATATAAATATACATAAAACATTTATATATAATATATAAATATACATAAAACATTTATATATAATATATATACATAAAACATTTATGTATATACACACATACACACACACACACATATATGTATGTGACTATCCACAGCTCCCTCTCAACATGTTACATCTGTGGTTCTCAAGCTAAATTCTGTGGAAAATATTTTGAATATAAATGGGTATGCCTAAAATTAAAGATAAATAGAAAACAACAAAAACCAAAAAAAAAAAATAAAATGATCTAATTTCCATTTTGGAGATTTCATTTTCTTACCATTAAAATGATAAAAAACACTCTTAGAATCAATAAATAAATTGTTTATCTTTATTTAATGCAAAGTTTCTTGAATATACTTAGCCATGGACTTGTGCTCTTTTATTTTCTCACCAAATTCATATAATGATGACTGTATTATATTACACAGTTCTTAAAAAAGAATTGCAACATTATTTGATTCCAATTAATTCTAAGAAATGATTTGGCAGAGAGGATACAGGCTGGATTGAGGTCCTTTTATGATTACAATATATCACAGAGTAGTTTTTAACACAATTCAAATTTTGTGAGCTTGTGTCAGGAGAATGCCAATAATAAACTGCCATTTCTTCCCAAGTTGCTTTCAGGTTTCACTGTATCTGTAAAAACTAAAGAGGCTGCTGGTGACTTTAGTAACCAATAAGATGACAAATATTGCTATACTGGTTTGCTATGGAAATGACTATCAGTTCTTTTAAGATTATAATTTATATAATGATTATAGCTATTGTAATATAGGTATACCAATTGAACAAAAAAGAACAAGTAAAATTAAAGAAATGCACTCTTAAATAAAACACTTTAGGTTATTTTTGTAACTTTACTCTAGGCCCTGAGGAACTTGCATGCTGAATATTTTTCCTACCAAAAGAAAGATTATACTACACGGGGGGAATGGAGGAATATATATAAGTAACTATAAAACAAATCATAATTTGAAAAAAAGAAAACAAAAGTAAAACATTCTATAAAAATACCAATGAACATCCAAATTGGATAGTAAGAAGTTCCTGTTTGTGAACAACATGATCTTACAAATAGAAAACCCTGAAGACTTCACTAGAAAACTGTTAGAACTAATAAATGAATTCTGTAAAGTTTCAGGATAGAAAATCAACATACAAAATCAGTAGCTTATCTATACACTAATAACAAACTCTCTGAAAAAGAAAACGATCCCATTTAAAATAGTTATAAAAAATAGTAAAATTCTTAGGAATAAATTTAACCAAAGCAGTAAAAGACCTGTACACTGAAAACTGTAAAATATTGATAAAAGACATTAAAGAACACAAATAAATGGAAAGATAACCTGTGTCCGTAGATTAGAAAAAAATATTGTTGCTAAAATGTTCATATACCCAAAGCAATCTACAAATTTAATGCAATACTTATCAAAATTTCAATGACATTTCTCACAGAAATAAAATATCTAAAATTCATATGGAACCACAAAAGACCCCAAAGAGCCAAAGCAATCTTGAGCACAAAGAACAAAGCTGGAGGTACCACATGACTTGACTTTAAAATATACTATAAAGCTATAGTAATCAAAACAGCATGGTACTGGCATAAAAACCAACACATAGACCAATGGAATAGAATAGAAAGCCCAGAAATTCATGCATTTAAGGCCAATTGATTTTTGACAAAATGTACCAAGAATGTACAATGGGGAAAGAACAGTCTCATCAATAAATGTTGTTGAGAAAACTGGATTTTTGCATGCAGAATGAAATTGGGCCATATATTAAAAATCAACTCAAAATAGATTAAAGACTTAAGTGTAAAGCCAGAGACTATAAAACTGCTAGAAGAAAACAGGGGTACAATTTCCTGACATTGATTGGTCTGGGCAATGATTTTTTTTTTTTTTGGATATAACCCCAAAAGCACAGACAACAACAGGTAAATGAGATGATATCAAAGTAAAATCTTCTGTACAGCAAAGAGAACAATCAACAGAGAAGAGACAACCTATAGATGACCACAGAATAATCTGCAAACTATTCATCTGAAAAGAAGTTAGCACCCAACATATATAACAAACTCAACAATTCAATAGCAAGAAAACAAATAACCCAATTTATAAATGGGTAAAGGATAGAAATAGACATTTTTCTAAAGAAGGCATACAAATGACCAACAGGTACATTAAAAACGTTCAATATCACTAATCACTTGTGAAATGAAAATTAAAACCACAATGAACTGTCACTTCACACATGTTAGAATAGCTATTATCAAAAAGACAAAAGATAAAAGTTGGTAATAACATGGAAAAAAGGGAATCCATGTGCAATTTTGATGGGAATATAAATTAGTATAGCCATTATGAAAAACAGTATGGAGTTTCCTCAAAAAATTAAACATAGAACTACCATATGCTCCTCCAATACTACTACTGGGTATATATCCAAAGGAATTGAAATCAGTTTGTCAAAGAGACATCTGTATTCCCATGTTCTTTGCAGATGTACTCACAATAGCCAAGATACAGAAACAACCTAGGTGTCATTCAACGTAATAAAGAAAACGTGTTCTACATAGACACAGTGTAATATTATGCAGCCCTTAAGAAGAAGGAAATCCTGTCATTTGAGACAACAGAGATGAACCTGGAGGTCGTTTGTTAAGCGAAATAAGCTGGGCACTGAAAGACAACTACTGCATGACCTCACTTATATATGGAATCTTAAGAAGTTGGACTCACAGAAACAAAGAGGAAAATGGTGGTTACAAGGATTGGAGTTTGGGGTGGAGCCAAAGGTTTGGGAGATGTTGGTCAAATAATACAAGATTTCAGTTACATAAGAACAATAAGTCCATTTCACAAGATGGTGACTATAGTTAATAACAATGTATTGTATTCTTAAAAATTGCGAGGTGAGTGAATTTTAAGTCTTCTCACCACAAAGGAATAAGTATGTACAGTAATGCATATTTGATCAGATTTAGTCATTCCCTAATGTATATATATTTCAAAACATCATATTGTACACAATATATATAATTTTGTCAATTAAAATATATTTTTTAAATGCCCATAAAGTCAAATTATGTTAGGAGGTAAAAACGTTCAGACATACAAAAACGGTAAAGAAAAAAGTCTAGGTACTTACCAACAGGCTTAAGTGGTAAAATATTACAAAGATAGTTGAATCCTCTACCCTAGCACATTTCTTACCCTTGTGTCTGCAGGAAGCCATTATGAATTTGTGGTTTATCATTTCAAGCTACTGCATGTGAACTTGGCATTATATAGAAATACATGTTATGCAGCAATATATATAACTATTGTCCTGTTGATTTTTAAAATTATGTAGACAGTATCATACTGCATGTATTCTCTGCTTTTTGTTATTCTTTGTAGTATATTGTGGTTTGAAATTTTCTATACCGATGCATGTATTTCTTCTTCATATTGTTTCACTGTGTGTATATCCTTTTTAATCCAGAGTGCACACTTCATTTTTTCATTTTCCTATTTACTGACATTTATATTGTTTCCATGTTTATACTTTGCAAACTATGCTCTTATGAAATTTCTTGTGCTTGTCTCCTTATGCACACAGCATGAGAATATTTATAAACTGTACAGCTGGATTCACACTTCCAGAATGCAGGGATGCAGATTTTCAATCTTAGTATCCTCTCTTGACAAATTTATCTCTAAACTTTTAAAATAAATTTTCGCTAACCACCAGCTACCTAGGATGGGTCCTGGGACTCCACATCTTCATCAACACTTAGTATTTCCACAGTATTAAATTTTTTATTTCCAATTTCTGTGTATGAGTTAGTTTCTCATTGTGATTTTAATATGCTTTTCTATCAATGAATAGTAAAATTATATATATATATACATTATATAATTGTATTGGTATATGCAATTTATTTTCCTCTTCTGTGAATGTCCTGTTCCTACTCACTGATCTGTAATTTCCCATTATGATATGTACAGTTTATATTTATGCTTGGGTCTGTCCTTAGTGTAAACAGTACAGTATTATAACACTTACTCTAGATTTGCAAACTCTTTTGGCTATTCTTTTGTTTTTGCTCTCCTATTAAAATTAAGAATAAAATTTTCAATTCAGATGGGATAGCTTTGTTGGGCTTTTAATGGTATTCTATGGAATTTTTAGATAGAGATAATTAAGATAACTACCATTTTAGATATTGTATTCTTGCACATGGCTTTATCTGTATACATTTTCTAATATTGTTCCAATTAGTTTTAATGTTACTTTGAAAGGCCTCACATGTCTTTCATTAAATTTATTCTTAGTTACGTAAGATTTGTATTTTTATTTTAAATCAAATATTTACATTTTTGTTTTATTTCTCTAGCTAAAGAAATATAAAATGTCTTTTAGTAATGATGACAGGGAGTTTTCATCTGTTCTTAGTTTCATAAGAGTTTTAATCATAGAAACGTGTAAAATTTTAACTAATTTTCTAATTTCAAAATTTGAAAGATGATAGTTCATCTTTTTTGTTAATGTTGTTAATTGCATTCTGCTAGGATAACATAATTGGTGCATACTAATTATTTGATGATTATCAAGAAACTGCCATTTTCCATCCAATCTCCATTCCATTGTTCAATGATAATAATATCGTTGGCTGCACATGTTGCCTAGAATGAAGACAAAATATCCAGCCTCTCTTGCAGCTACATGTATTGTGTGTTTTAGTAGAGTGGCTTATATGGTACTGTCTTACTTCACAGTAAACTGGTTTACCCCATTGTCAATGAGATTTCCCATCTTGCACATAGGCTGGGTCTTGTCTCCTGCCACTACTCTTCTCATAAACATATGGCCTGTCTCTTGCCACTACTCTGTTCCCATAAACATATGGCCTTTGAAAGGAAAAGTCCTAGCCATCAGGAACCTGCTTGTGTGCCAAGGAGAGGTATTTGCTTTACAACTGGTTCACTTATCTTGCCTCCTTTCTTTTTAGTTTATGAGGATTTTACTTTTTTATCAGCTTGTCTATGTATTCTAAATGATGTTTAAAACATATTCTATACTGCAGCTTTTTGTTTTCCTTTGCTTTTCTGTGCCAGGAGAGTTCCATCAGTTTACCCACTAAACCATATTGCTATAATTAAAATCAAACCGGTGATTTGACTTTTTATGTTGTATATACGTTTACGGTATATGTTTAATGTAAAAAATCATATGCTCTCAATAATTTTATTTCCTCATTCTGAGTGTTTTTGGCATTTACTTCTGTTTCCTTTTCTTTTTTTTCTTTTCTGAGATGGAGTTTTGCTCTTGTTGCCCAGGATAGAGTGCAATGGCGCAATCTTGGCTCACTGCAAACTCCATCTCCGAGGTTCAAGCGATTCTTCTGCTTCAGCCTCCCAAGCAGTTGGGATTATAGGCATGTGCCACCACGCCCGGCTAATTTTTGTATTTTTAGTAGAGACAGGGTTTCACCATGTTGGCCAGGCTGGTCTCGAACTCCTGACCTCAGGTAAGCCGCCCACCTCGGCCTCCCAGTGTTGGGATTACAGGCGTGAGTCACCATGCCTGGTCTCTGTTTCCTTTTAACTGCATAAAGCTTCAACTATAATTCTTAATAAAAATCTGGCTTAGGTCTATTGCATAGATCTTCAAGTGTAATTTTTAATAAAGAGCAAGTTTCTTCTTGTTTTCTCTAAAGAATATCCCTGTATGCATTTTCTAATTAGGTATGATATTTTAATCAGAAATGTGTTTTGAATATTGAGAACATTACACTTTATGATTTAATAGATATGTTGAAGTCAAAATCTTGCTGTTCCTGATTTATATTCTATTGAATTCAAATTGCTTATATTTAAGATTCTTGAATCTATGTATTTTAGCAGATATTGACATGCAAATTTTATTTTTTGCTATTAATTTCAATGCTGTGTGAAAATTGTAAGGTATATTAGAGACTTTTCCCTTTACGTGTTACACATTTTAAAACAAATAACCATCAAATCTATCTGAGGCCAGGGCCCTTGTTGGAAATAATTATTTGAAATATTTTTAATATCTTCTATGGTTAGTGATATAATCATGCTTCCCACTTTTTCCAGCACCAATTTTGATAATTTATCTTTTCTTGGACAATGATTACCATATAATGAGGTTTCCAACTACATCTGGTATTTTCTTTTCTTAAAAATGTCATATCAATTTAATGGCTAAAATATTTTTGTTGCTTATGTTGAATATTTCTTAAATTCTCTCTTCACACAATCAGGCATATAAGAACTATTTTTCATTTTGTAATTCTTTATCAGTGCCACTACTTGCTTTCCCCTATTTCAATTAATGTCTCCTTTAGCAGTTGCCAAATAGGGTACTTTGTTTCATTATAGTGAAATCATTAATTCATTTATTTTCCTTATTTCTTTTTATGATTAAAGCATTAAGTGCTTAGTACAGTATTATTTCTATTTTTCTACAGTGTCAATTTTGCTTTTTATTATATCCAATAAAAATTTCCATTTCACTTTTGCATTTTTAATCTCCAAATATTTTTCCTTATCTCATCCAGTTCTCTTTTAATCTCAGCTTTCGTCTTAGGTACCTTCCTTTAATCTTTCTTATTACTTTATTTTTTGTAATCTCTTTATTCACGAATTACTCGCTTATTAGATTTTATTGAGAACAAAAGCAGATGGTTTCTAAATGTATATGTAATCCTATTTCTTTCTCCTATTTATCTCCTTAACATTTATCTGCTACTAGAGTAGTATGCTACTTTTTTGTTGTTTCAGATTATTTTTCGTAGCTTCTAGGTTTTTTAAAAAATTCTTTATTTAAATTCACTCATCCTTGCATGAATACTAGACTTAATAGTTCTTGGGATTACTAACTACATCAATCTGGTTACTATGCAGTGACAAACAACCTCAAAATCTCAGTGGCTTAAAGCAGTAGGAGTTGACTTCTTGCTCCTAACTCATGTTCACATTACAGTCAGCGTTGGGCTCTGCTTCATGTCATCTTCCCCGTGTCTCAGGCTGATGCAGCCTCTACCTCCTGGAGCATCATCATTTGCCATAGCACAGGAAAAAGAGTATGGTGAATGACCACACCAACTCTTAAGAACTTGTGCCCAGAGATGATAGAGATGATGCATGTCACTGCTGATCCTTCATTGGCCTAAGCAAGTCACACGGCCACAACTAACTTCAAGGAGCCTAGGAAGTATATTTCTACCATGTGCTCAGTAAAAGTAGAGAACTAAAAATACTCATGAACAACCAATGATTACTACACTAATTAACAGGGCAGTTATATTCTCTTAAATGTTGTTACTGTTCACCTGTGTGTTGTTACAATTGTTTTGTTTGGTCTTAAACTAGAGGGAAATTGTCAAACAGTTTCTAAATATTCTGTGTAGCACTACCTTCCTAGGTTAGCACTAATTTTTCTAGTACGATTCTGTTGAACTGAAGGAAGGTTTTCCTATCACTCCTTTTAGCTGTTTCTCCTTGGAGGGCAAATGCTGCCTACCAAAATTTGAAAAATGTCTATAGCTTGTTTCCTTGTGGAAGGGCAAGAAAACTACAAAAGTCAGAATTCTCTTTCGTATTTTCTTCTTCTTAATTTGAGTTATTCTGCTTGCATAGTGATGGGGGTGGTGATGAGGATAAATTGCCCTTGACTACCTTAGAATGCAATTTTCATGAGGATGAATTTGACAGCGGTGTCAGGGAGAAGCCTAATCTTCTGGTTTTTCTGGCAAGTGAAGCTTCTCAGACTCTTGTCTAATGGATATAAAATAGGGTAAACCTTTCTCTGTCTTGTGGTTAAAAAAAGTCTTTTTTTTTTCTTTCCCAGACCCTGGAGCATACTTCATTTGTTTTCCTCCAGGAGAATGTCATATTATTAAGTTGATATTCTTATTTACTGAAGCTGGTCTATTTTCATCTCTTCTGTTTTAGCTGTCCAATAATAGTTCTACAATAATAGAGAAAGAACTATGGCTCCATTAAATAACAACCTTCATAATCAAGAGAACAAGACACTGCCGTCTATGCAGTGGGAGAAGGAGGGCAATCATGCTAAGGCTGACCAGGAAGAAGTCGCTGTAGCCAGGTGAGGGAGGATTTGAATGAGAGGGAAATACTCGCTATGTTTCTTCTTCTGATATGGCTGCAATGTAAGGTGAATTAGCATGAGAATTGTCAGAGAGTTGGAGAGATAAGATTTGCTAATTAGCTGGGTATGGAGTAAGGGAGGAATGAACTCAGCTTTCCAGGCTAGGCTTACTGGATTTGTACAAAGGAGAGGTTTAGATATAAAGATAATGAGATAAATGTTAGATATTATATCCCAGAAGAACTACCCCTGTACTCAAGACAGCTGCGCTTTGAAGAGCGAAAAACATAAAACACAGTCCCAGAAATAAATACAAGGCTGTTTAAATGTTCTCAGAAGTTCTGCCTACACATGCATTAGAGTTTCAAGAAGGTAACATAATACCCCATTGATGGCTCTGTAGAGGGGATTTACTCTGAAATTCACATAGAGAAACAACTTTTTTATTCCTCTGAAAACTAGGGTTAAACTACAGGAATAGTCCCAAAGTTTCTGCGCCCTAAAAGGAGTTGAATCCTAAAAAGGGGAGCAGACAATAAGTGCAATACCAATGAAATTGACTCAGAAAAGCCCTGGTGGGGTGGGGAGGTGGGAAGTGTTTGAGAGTCAGTTTAATTGGAACAGGCAGAACAAGAAAGCTAGGAATGAAGATAAGTCTGCAATGATAGATTAGAGTCATAATGGAGAAATCTTTGAATGCCACAATGAAGACTCTAAATAGTGTAAGTAATAAGAGTTTTAATCACAGAATTGAAGTTTAAGAGAGCCATTGGACTAGAGATGTGCATTTTAGAAAGCTTCATGATAGCAGTGGTTTAAAGTTATATCCACATGGAAATAAGAATTGAAGGCATAAGAAAAAACATGGTTATTTGGAGAATAAATAAGTACTTGTGTGTGTGCACACGTACACATGCCATTTCTCCAACCACATCCATGTAACACATATGGTATTTTGGGAAAATCATAACACAAATGGACTATGGTGGACTACTCAGCTACTCATAGATTAGGAATATGCCTGTGTGTTGACCTAGTGGCAAGAGGTAAGATATTTATTTACTTGTTTGTTCGTTTAAAATAGTCACACTCCTAGCATACCTAGAATTTATTGCCTCTGTTTTAAAAAAAAAAAAAAAACTTTCTTTCTTAGGGTAATCTTAAATACAGAAAATGTAAGGCAAATCACATAAGACATATGAAGCAACAAAGAAGAAACACTGCATATCTTCAGAGAAGACTAGTAAGATCATCAAATTCAGAATATGTTTCTAAGGGGAAATTTATAAAAGATAAATGAGGCACTTTAAAATCAAAGTTAAAATTACCCTTAATTTTTGAATTAGTTGAATCAGATTTTTAATACATACATAATCAAATTCCATACTATAATTTAGGTCTCTAGACAGCTCCATTTACTTTCAGGTCAAAAGATTAGAGCAGGAGGTAGAATAGTTTAAAGCACTGACATAGTAATTAAAGGACTCTGGTGAACTGAAGAGTGAGTGCAACTTCCAAAAGAATGTACGTTATTTAAAGCACAAAGACAATCTACTAAAAATGCTGAAACAATTATTATGTTAGAAAATAGTTTACTCTAAGTTGCATTTTATTCTTCATTTTAGGTTATTACTCATCTGAGCGGAATTTTATATTATTAAAAAATAATTTCCTTTTCTTCATATGAAATCCATAATTTCTTAATATAAATTTCAAATCACTAACAGCCCAATTTACCTTTCCAGCTTAATTATTATTTAAAGAAAACCAATTTTTATAACAAAAACATTATAAGAACAATAAAACCTGCCTTTTTTTTCTTTTTTGAGAAAGTGAAAGAGAGAAAGACAGAGAGAAGGACATTCCCTTGAATTCCATTAAGTGATTCCCAGGGAATGAAAAAGAAAACTTAGTGATGGAAAAGGCAGTCAGTTTCCTAAAGGTGTAACACATGGGCACTGCTCAGAAAGGGTAGACACACTGGTGAGGAGCCACAACAGAGGCGGCATGAAAAAAGAGTTACTGAGATTAGAGTTTATTGATATCAGAATTTACTAAAAGGGGAACTCATGCCAGACTCAGAGTATTCTGAGAAAATAAAGTAGTGGCCAAAAGAGGCCATATTGCAGAATTAAAGTGGAGATTTTAAACAATGACTTACACTAACATTATCATTCAGAATATGAATTTGGATCTGCTCCGTTTTTCATGTAAGTTTCCAATTTTTTTCTCAGCAACAGAACAAACAAATACAGCCAAAATCCTTCTGCAGATTGCAAGTTAATAAATTTGAAAAATTTGCTTTATAATTTAGGAATTTTTTTCTAACTGCAAATTGATGAATCCCTACCTTGCTTCTGCAATAAAATAAGAGGCTATAAAGCTAATTTTTCCATTCTCTGTACTTGTATGAAAATACTGCCAGAAAGGAAATCATAAGCCAGAAAACCACACTGTGTAACTTGAAGGGTGCCAAGATATTCCACTAACGAATTTAAAACAGAAAAGGAAAAGCAGCCCCTGTGTTAATCTCCAGGCTATTCACCATTTTGAAAAAGTAAACTAAAATGTGAAAAGGAGGAAGATATTTGACCCCTTCTAAGAAAGGCAGCACCATCTTCAATTCTCTGTAGCTGCTTTTGCTTTAAATGAGTTTTTACTTGTAATTATTTATCTCTGCCCTGTACAGTTAAAACTTTAATTATTCATGTGGAAATCCGTCCTATAATAAATGATTCTAAGAAAGAAGAGAAGCAAGTATAAATAAAATGTTTCTTGGATTTAAGAAGGCATGACCTTGTCCCAGTTTCTCACTTCTAAGGGTGAAAATAATGACATCAAACTATTTTTGTCTCGACTATATAGAGAGTATTAATATAAGGTCAAAAACATATTCTATTCAACTATTTAAATATATAAGAAAAGTTTCAATGTAAAAGACAGGGTCCAAGATAAAACATGGCCAGGTCTAGAACAAAACTAAAATATATTTAGCTAGCTTTTTAAATTTTAAAATCATAAAAAGGTCAATGGTGACAGTCGACAATTAAGCTGACCAAACTCACTTTTGAATTATGTCCTGTTTTTGGTAAATCTCAAGGGTCACCACTCTTTTGAAAAGAGTAGTATTCTCTCTCTCTTCCTTGTAAATGGCCAATCTACTATAGTATAGCCTTTCAAAATTAAGTATTTTCACATTCAGATTACCTTCCCTTGATATCCAAGATAAAAAGGTAACAATGGCCAGTAGGATGGAATTTTGTGTGCCCAGTATAAAGAGACATTATAAGAGCCAAAGTATAATAAATAGGAGAAAACTCGCTAATTCCCAATAAAGCCATGGAGGCTTGATGAACTGCTCAATGGACCAAACAGTACCTCACTTGAGAGATTAGAGTTATTTACATTGGGATGAGGATTGATCCAAGCAGAAATAAGACCTCCAATAAATACATCTGCTAGTCTGGATCTTATATTGTATTAAGTGTTTTACAATATTGGATTGTGATCATTGACCAATTTGGTGACATTATAGCATAAAGGTTAAAAGGAGATTCCAGAGACCATTTCCTGGATTTGCATTCAGGCGTCATGATTACTATTACGAACAAGAGCAAGGAATTTAACTTCTTGGAACTTCATTTTACTACAGGTAAGATAAAACAAATTACCTTTCTTGATGGCTATGAGAATGATATGAGCTGTTACATAAAAGGGCCTAGCACATAACCTGTAACTTTTACATGATAACTCTCATCATTACTACATAACTAAAATCTCTGATAACATAATTTAATGCTTATTTATAGATCTACTATAATATATCCAACTCACTGTCAGTTTTAGAACATTTATGCTATATCCAGGTTTTCACTGTTGTAAATATTACTGCAGTTAATCCCATGGTTTCATTGCTGGTTAGTTGCTCAAGGTAAATTCCTAGAATTAGAATTATTAACTCAAATAAAA
This sequence comes from Homo sapiens, assembly GCF_000001405.40. Lineage (NCBI taxonomy): Eukaryota > Metazoa > Chordata > Mammalia > Primates > Hominidae > Homo > Homo sapiens. Next base: position 22,310,592 of record NC_000003.12, read on the forward strand.
TGACATCTTTAAATATTTTTATATTTACCCTTATGTTGCTTTCTTAGAAAGAGAAGTAAATTTAAACTTTTATCAGTTCTCTTTCTTGTGTTATCACTAGGAATATTTCCTTTAACGCCCTCAAAATCTGGAAGTGAAAATTATATACGCTGTTTTCATTTGTAGAACTTTTATGATTGATAAGCTTCGACAGCTTTATAATTTTACTTCCCATTTTTCTATTAAAATATAATTTTATCCACTCATTTTTAATTAACTTTTTTGATTTGTAAGTACAATTTTATATTAAAGATTTTATTTCTACTATTTAAATATATTTGTTTCAGTGTTTAATTTTGTTTATGAAGTTTTTGATGTTATAAGTCATTAAATTTTATGAAAAATTTATCAATCTTTTCCTTTGTAGTATCATACGATGAATTGAATCATATGATACTACGAAGGTTGAATTGAATAAGGAATGACTAGAAGCAAGCAACCCAGGTTATTGTAATAGGCAATAGAGAAGATGAAATCAGGGGTACGACCAGAGACAGAAGAAAGGAGAAAAAGGAAGCAGAATTTCTGCAAAAGAATAAATAGTATTTATTCTTAAAGTCTTTACTATATCCAGATATAAATTATTACATGAATGCTAATACTTTTATCTTTATATTAAACACTTTAATTCAAGTTTACTTAAATGATACAGAGTGAAACACAAAACGGTAATTTGATTTTATGTGAGTGTGATTCTTTTTCTCTCCTTGACATGGAATGCTTACAAAAACTTCTGATTAGGTTGCTTTTTGGGTTAATATTTCCAGTATTCTACTACTTTAATAAATGTGGTTTCATAGTGTGTTTTCGTTCCTAGTACAGCAAGTCTCACTTTGTTTTTATTTATTTTTAAATACTATCACATATACTTACCTATTTATTCATTCAGCTAAATTTTGTTTTAAGCTAAATCCAGGCAAAGACAAAGACTGGTGGAAAAAGTCAAGGAAAAAATATTTCTAAACGTAAAGATGTAAACTCGAAAGAATTTTACATTTAGCTTGTATGTATAAGCTTGTAATATTAATTCTGATTAAAGCTATGATGTAGAGGAGTGGAGAAAAAGAAGATAATATTCACGCTTTGCTCTCATCTCATGCTTTGCTCTCCTATTACGACACAAATCTAGTACTTTTAAAAACTTCAAAAACGCAGATGAAGCTACAATAAATTGAGCCAATTTTTACTATTATGAACTCTGTCAAGCCATGAAATCAGAGTTTCTAGGAGTACTGCTATACACCTACAATTTTGTCAAGTGGCATACTTGCCTTTATTCTGATGAAGAATGTTCAGTCTTCATTGAGGCTACACAAAGTAGCCTCAGTTTATGCATTATGCAACAAGACAACACTTGGAGGCATTAGAATCCTACAATTATTATTTCCTCCGAATCGACCACCACTTTGGACTGCTGTGCTGGAAGTCTTCACACTACCTACTCACTTTCTAATAACTCAATCGGGCAAAATTGCCTAAGTTCATAGGGACTCTATTAATTCATCATGTATGGAATTTGAGCCTCTTCCCTTTGTATTATGATACTCGTTTGGCTTGTGCCGATACTGTTCTGATAATCATCTTCCCTCTTCAGAAACACTGAGGAAAAAAATAGATATGCACAGTAATCTGTGAGTAAAAATTCAATTAAGTCAACTTTCATAAGCACTTCCTATTTTGAAATCACACCATTAGAGCATGAAGATACAAAATTAAACAAAACTGTGTTCAAAATACTCCGAAACCCCATAGTCTCACTAAGATGTAGATATAACATTTTTAGTACTAAAGAGCTTCTGCACAGCAAAAGAAACTACCATCAGAGTGAACAGGCAACCTACAGAATGGGAGAAAATTTTTGCAACCTACTCATCTGACAAAGGGCTAATATCCAGAATCTACAATGAACTCAAACAAATTTACAAGAAAAAAACAAATAACCCCATCAAAAAGTGGGTGAAGGATATGAACAGACACTTCTCAAAAGAAGACATTTACGGAGCCAAAAACACATGAAAAAGTGCTCATTATCACTGGCCATCAGAGAAATGCAAATCAAAACCACAATGAGATACCACCTCACACCAGTTAGAATGGCAATCATTAAAAAGTCAGGAAACAACAGGTGCTGGAGAGGATGTGGAGAAATAGGAACACTTTTACACTGTTGGTGGGACTGTAAACTAGTTCAACCATTGTGGAAGTCAGTGTGGCGATTCCTCAGGGATCTAGAACTAGAAATACCATTTGACCCAGCCATCCCATTACTGGGTATATACCCAAAGGACTATAAATCATGCTGCTATAAAGACACATGCACACGTATGTTTATTGCAGCACTATTCACAATAGCAAAGACTTGGAACCAACCCAAATGTCCAACGATAGACTGGATTAAGAAAATGTGGCACATATATACCATGGAATACTATGCAGCCATAAAAAATGATGAGTTCATGTCCTTTGTAGGGACATGGATGAAACTGGAAACCATCATTCTCAGCAAACTATCGCCAAGGACAAAAACCAAACACCACATGTTCTCACTCAAAGGTGGGAAATGAACAATGAGAACACATGGACACGGGAAGGGGAACATCACACACCAGGGACTGTTGTGCGGTCGGGGGAGGGGGGAGGGATAGCATTAGGAGATATACCTAATGCTAAATGACGAGTTAATGGGTGCAGCACACCAACATGGCACATGTATACATATGTAACAAACCTGCACGTTGTGCACATGTACCCTAAAACTTAAAGTATAATAATAAAATTTAAAAAAAGATGTAGATATAACATTTTTAAAAAAATACAACATGGACTGTAGAAAAATTAAATTATGAATAAATTTCTATTCTGGTGTGGGAGAAATTCAATGAAGAATATGGTGTAGATGTCACATTTAACATGTTTTTAAAAAAGATATTACAAAACAGACAACTCAAGAATTTTATGGTTAAGGGAAAAAAATAACTTAAGCTAAGGCAAAGTGATACAAGTGTATAATTCATAATAACCCAAAGGTAAAACAGATGATGAGTAGCAGGAAATCATCTATAAAGATAGGGCAGAGTCAGAATATCCTCAACGGCTGTTACTACAGAAAGTGATTTTAAAAATTTCTTATAAACCAAAAACAAAATGGCATAAGCAAAAATGGGAATTTGTTATCCTTCATAACTAAAAACTCCAGCATTAATTCTCTCCTTAGAATAGTTGGATTCAAAGGTGGAAAAGATATCCTCAGGACCCTACCTCTTCTATTCACTTCTTGGTTTGCTTCTTCATTTTGGCTCTCTTCTCAGTTATCCTATTGCTTTGGGTATGAAGCTCTGCATAAGTTCTGATCTGCATTTGTTGCAGATTCCAGTCCTTCTGGAAATGGCAGTGCTTCTCACTCTGAGTTACTCTAGCTCAGTGGTTCTCAAGATTTTTTTCATTATAATTCCCCTAAAGACACTTTACTTTTTTAAACTGTTTTAAATTTTTAATTTTTTATTTCCATAGGTTTTTGGAGAACAGGTGGCAGTTGGTTATATGAGTAAGTTCTTTGATGGTGATTTGTGAGATTTTGGTGCACCCACCACCCAAGCAGGATATACTGAACCCAATTTGTAGTATTTTATCCCTCATCCCCTTCCTACCCTTTCCCCACTGAGTCCCCAAAGTCTATCGTATCATTCTTATGCCTTTGCACCCTCATAGCTTAGCTCCCACTTATGAGTGAGAACATTTGATGTTTGGTTTTCCATTCCTGAGTTACTTCATTTAGAATAATAGTCTCCAATCCCATCCAGATTGCAGTGAATGCCATTAATTCATTCCTTTTTATGGCTTAGTATTCCATCATATATATATTTATGCCACAGTTTATTTGTCTATTCATTGACGGATGGGCATTTGGGTTAACACATTTTTTCCCTAATTTTCTTCTACCCAGGATATTAAGGAATAAGATTGTTTCACGTAGGGTTGAGCAGCAGGGTTGCACTCTGGCAGCCTGCAAATCATTGTCATATTTAAGATTTTCTTTACCCTTCAAGAACAAATTTCTACTTTCTTGGGAGTGATATCATCCCCATTGAGAATGCATGCTCTAGTTTAAGTTTGAGTAGACCTAGAGCAGAGTGGCTTTAATTGCATTTTATCTTTATACCAAACATCCTGGTCATATTAATTGACTAGGCCTGGACTATGTGGTTTCCTGGAGGTCAGGACAGGGTCAGCCCCCCAAAAAACCAAACAGATGGTAGAGGGATTGTGCAACAAATGGAAATGTGTAGTACTATGATCAAGGGGAAAATGAATGGATGTGGAGTAAGGGTTAAGAAAATATGGGCCCATCACATGTAGGTCTTGAAGAAAGCACCCATGTTTATGCAAAGCACTCATGATGAAGGCTGAATTGAGTAAAGAATGACTAGAGGCACAAAACCCAGGTTATCGTGATAGGTAATATTCACAAATAGAGAACGTAAAATCAGGGGTACAGCCAGAGACAAAGGAAAGGAGAAAAAATGAAGCAGGACTTCTGCAAAAGAAGAAATAGGATTTGGGAAGGCAGAAGCCACAGCATCTTAGTAGAGTGGATGGGAATGTCATTAACGAAGACAAGTCAGACTAGGTGAATGCAAGTTTGGGAAACAATGACTTGTTTTATAGATATTTTAATTGCCCTTTGGACCTTCAGGCAGAGATGAACATGGAGAAGTTGGTTTATTAAGAGATACATCAAGGTTAATGTCTAAAATAGGTAGACGCTGACCTACGGATGGTATTTTCAACCTTGGAAGAGGATGAGCTACGCAGAGAATAGATTACACAGTTTATGTTACACAAAGACAGAACCTTGAGAAAACTATTTGGGAAGAGATAAAGAAAACTGTTAAAGAAAGATGAGTGAGAGGAGTGGCATGGCTGGGGAAAACATAAATTCAAAACGGAAGGAGTTATGTCACTGACAATAGTGTTAAACACAGAAGACATTTGAGCTAAAACAAGATATTAAATGTGAAACCACCTGTCTGCAAAGATTATGACTGCGACAGAAGTCTACCATGGCTGACTCCATCTTGCCTCACAGGCTGGCTGTTCTCAGTCATTCCCAGGAAAAAGCCAAGCTCACCATGGGAGGAATTTAGTTTATAGTTTAACTTTAAAGCAAGGATGATAATAGCCCCTCCCTAAAACTGATCCCCTCCTTGTTCAGAGACTGAATCTGCCTTTGTAAGACTAATGAAAGGCCACAAGATTAGGATTATAGGAAGGGTCTGAATTCTGCTAAAAAGTAGGCATAGTTCCTATAATCCCTTACTGCTACAGTCATGTAGCCAGAGGTCACAAGATGTGTGACTTCCCAGTTGCTCTGATAACATTACTATTGTCAAACCTAAGATTGGTCTCCTGAGATGTTTTTCAGGCTTCACATTCTGACAACTCACTGACCCCACCCTGCATCTGTGACTCATAACTCAATTGGTCCTGTGGCCCCCTCACCCGGAAGTGGACTAAGTGCAGGAGGATGGTTTTCCACACTCCTGTGATTTCATCCCAAAGCAATCAGCAGCACACATTCCCTACTGCCTGCCAACCAAATTTTCCATAAAAAACCCCAGCCTTTAGTTCTCAGGGAGGCAGATTTGAGTATTATTAAACTCCTGTCCTAAATCTTGGCTGGCCTTGTGTTAATCACTTTACCACAATAACGCTGTCTCAGTGATTTGGGTTTATCTGTGTGGCAGGCAATTAATAATAAAGTAGGTCTTTCTTTAATGACCACAGATAGGAATATTTTAATTTATAGGTTGCACTAATCTGATTAGGCAATAAACAAATAAAACAGTTGAGACAAAAAAGGTAAATTTTTCCCCAAAAACTTTGATGGTAGAAGGAAAAAGTGTGACAATACAGGAGCTATAAGCTTAAATGCATTTCCTTTGAAGTCAACTTTGAAGTTTGGCCTGTGTTTGAGTCCCATTTTTGACACTTAATGATTTTGAGCAACTTATTCAGATTCCCCAAAACTCAGCTTGATCATCTATTAATGGGATTAATAATAGTATTTACCATACAGAGTTATATTGATAATCAATTAAATAATGTTTTGTCTACACAGCTACCAAGTCAGCTTTTAGTGTTTGAAACTTCTAAGGAAGTTTTAGACAAGGGAATATTGGGGTTCAGAAAGTGATACCCCAAAGACTGGCATTTTGACATGCTGAGAATTCTTAGAAGCTGCCTCAAAATCAAGGTCTCTCTAACCTTGTCTTGCCTCCTACCCTTCACCAAGTGCAGGAAGGGGCTCAGTCTGGAACTTCCTTAGCTGACCAAGAAAGCTTCTTTCCAAAAGAAATGCAATTGTCGGTGGGGAGCAGTGACTCACCCCTGAAATCCGAACACTTTGGGAGGCCGAGGTGGGCGGATTACCTGAGGTCAGGAGCTCCAGACCAGCCTGACCAACATGGAGAAACCCCTTCTCTACTAAAAATACAAAATTAGCCGGGCATGGTGGCATGCACCTGTAATTCCAGCTACTCAGGAGGCTGGGGCAGAAGAATCACTTGAACCTGGGAGGCAGAGGTTGCAGTGAGCCAAGATCGCGCTATTGCACACTCCAGCCTGGGAAACAAGAGTGAAACTCCATCTCCAAAAAAAAAAAAAAAAAAAAAAAAAGGAAAAAATAAAAGAAAAAAAAAGGAAATGCAATTGTCTTAAACTCACTCCCTAAGGATTTCATCAAGTAACCAAGAAAGAGCAACCACCACTGGAAAATAAAAGAGACTGGGAGTCATCACCACCTCTAGACAGAACTTCTACCTATTCTTCTGAGGGCAGCTCCAAGATATTACCTGTGGGACTTTATCTACGTAATAAAACCACCTTTGATGCTGTGCATCTCCACCCCTCACCCTCCTATAATGTCTGCCTCCACCTCCATGCTACATTTATTCTCCCTAATAATTTACTGACCCTCAAAATAATTTTCTACATTCCCCATCCCCTCCTCCCCTAGGAATAAGGGTAGGTAAACTTCTGTTCCTACTGGGTAATAACGGTAATTACACTACAAGTCATCAGTCTGTAATTTTCCCCCATGCACATTAATAAATTTGCATCACTTTTCAGCTATTAAATAATGTGAATCAGGCTGGGCATGGTGACTCACTCATGTAATCCCAGCACTTTAGGAGGCTAAGGCAGGCAGATTGCTTGAGGCCAGGAGTTTGAGACCAGCCTGGCCAACATGGTGAAACCCCATCTCTAATGAAAATACAAAAATTAGCCAGGCATGGTGGCATGCACCTGTAATCCAGTTACTGGGAGGCTGCACTGGGAGGATCACATGAGCTCAGGAGGCAGAGGTTGCAGTGAGCATTACCACGCTACTGCATTCCAGCCTGGGCGACAGAGTGAGACTCGGTTTCAAAAAGAAAAAAAAAAAAATGTGAATTAGAGTGCCAGTACATGGAGAGTGCTCAATGTGTTTTGGCTGTTAATATTTTTTAATGTAAGGCAAGATTCTGAGGAAATTACAATACTGAAATGCTAGGGGTGGAGAATAACTGATGTAGCTAGGGGCAAATGGAAGCAAATAAAGATTGAATTTTGAGTGTCCAAGTGGAAAGAAAGCTTTAAGTAGAATGAAATAAAATTATTTATCAATATAGAAGACAAGATTGAGAAAATGGATGAAGATGCAGGGAAAATTTGATGTGGAAAGGAAAACCATGAAGAGAGCAAACATCAGATAACCTTGATCGATCAATAAAGAACCAGACAAGTTTGTCTCCAGTGTGAAGAAAGTGACGTCAGAAGCTTGAAGTAAATGGAAAATTATGGAGCTGGAGATGTGGAGAATAAACTAGGAGATAAATTAAATTTGAGTACAAATGTTTCTGATTGAGAGAGGAGCCAAGATGAATTAGCGCTTAGTGAATTGGTGGTCAAAGAAATTGGCCCACTGCCTGCATTTTTCAGCAATATTTTGGAAGCAGCAAGCAGATAAGCAGATATTAAGCAGAAAGGAATTACCCAAGATTGAGCACGAGGAATACAAGACAAGAAGAAAAAGATCCCCGGAAATCACAAATTTTTAAAGAAACAACCCAGAGTATACTGGAATGAACAATGTAGAAGTAATTAAGTACTGTGTATAAAACAAAAATGTACTGTGAAAAAAGACAATGATTAGCAGACTGGAAGTCATGATGAATATAAAGGTAAATTTCATTGGAAATCGGAAAATCAAAATTTGGTAGCTTTAGTCATATAAGAAATATTCATAGGTTAAGTTCCCTAGAATGCATTTTTTGAGAAAGTAGCATACTTTGCTTTTTAAAGCTGTGACTATTTTTCTTATTAATGACCAAAGAGGTTACCTAAAATGTTTGCAGGGCAGGCTTTTATAAATTTGTTCCATTTCATAAAATATATCAAAAATTAGCATAAAACAAAAGCCAAATTTGTAATTATCATAAAGCCGCCCAATATAAGTATCTTAAAAGACAATAGATGATAGATTTTAGAAGCACATGGGGGAAAAATGCCAATACTACTTTTCAACCAAGTCTTTCTTATGTGTACAGAACTTCACAAATATTTGTCAAACATTAACTGGAACATTTGAAGTATTAGTTAATTCAAGAACTCCTCTGAATGGATAGTGATGTTTTAAAAAGTCACAAGAAATAACATGAATAATATGTAATATTAGTTAATAAATTAGCTAAATATTAACTATTTAATATATTAAATTATATGCAATATTGAAATAGTTTTTATATAATTATAAAATGTGGGACACAATTAATATACTTTTTTTAAAAAGAAAGAAAATTCAGTACTGGGAAACTTTGGGGAAAAGTTGGCAAATGCCCGTATTGGACACTAGAAATGCTGTTGTTCAAATCTTAGAATCAAAAGATGTCTCATTAAAATGCATACAGAGCTAGCAATAGCAGGGTCCACAGATTTCCCTATAGTTCATGGGCTCTAGTTTGTGAATCCCTGAACACTGACTCACAATCTCCTCCTGTGAAAAGATGTCCTCCCAGGAAGTAATCTGATGATATACTACAAAAATATTGGTAAAATTCTCTACTTCAGAAAAACACTGGGAGGTCAAGAGACCACAATAAGCACAAGCTGATATTGCACACAACTTTCCTTAATTTGGGCTGAAAGGGGTTGACTTTGAATCTATTTCAACTTCTGAAAATTTTTTTTTAAATAATGGTATTTTAGTTATGCATTTTCCTTTAAGTGTACCTGTTGCTATGTCCCATAGGTTTTTATCATAAAACATCTTACTATTTATTATTTTGAGATATTTTATCATCAGAACTCTCTTTGACTGAGACAAGAGTGACCCCTGCCTTGGACACTGTGATTTGGAAGATCCTGAATTTCACAAAACACATACAAACTTTTTTTTTTTTTTAAGGAGTACATAGGTGCTTCATGTGGAATCTGGTGCTCTATACATCCTCAACCTTCTCTCTTATCATTTACACCAATAAGGTCTTAGAGAAAACCCGTGTGTTCATCTCCCACCCTATGTCCTCCAGACAAAAGATAACTGTTTCTAAAGGTCATTGAGGTTTATCTGAGTTGCTCTGCAGCTGATTAACAGAGATGAACCAAGGAAGGTTTGAATAGCATTAGTATTCTAGTAAGGGGAAAGACAAATAACTGGTCCCAAATTCTTCCTTTCAGTCATTATGAATGCAATTAATTCTTACATAAAGGATCATTTCCCTAATATTTTCCATTGCTTATTTCCTTGTTTTTGATCATGTTCTAATTTGTGGTCTGGCAGTACTCACAAATTAATGCCCGGATAGTTCTGAAGGTGGTCACAATTTTTTGGCATATGATAGTGAGGAAATATTTATTAGATTTAAAAATTCATACTATTTTTAATGTATACATAGATAAGTATGTTTGTATAGAAGTAACAGGAACTAAAGTTTTACTGATTACTTACCTTGGCAACTAGATATACATTAAATACCAGAATTCTATCACAATATTTAATAGATTAAAACTACAACTTAAAAACTTGATTTTTAACATGTCTACTTTCTTTGAGGAATATTATTTTGTTCTTAATTTTAATGTATAATTTAAATACATTTTATACTTTTAAAGTATAATTTAGACAGTTTTAAATCAAAGTAATTTTTTGATTTTATAAGTGTTCAACATTTAATATTTCATTAACTTATATTTTTATGACAGCATATTTAAATTTTGTACATTTTAAATATACTTTTTAATTGCTTAGATGATTGTTATTGGAAGAAAAATGGATCGTTAACAAAAGTAAACATTTTTTTGAAATGAAAGCAGGAAAAACAAATTTGCGGAAAAACATAATAAATCCTGTTATATGATTTGATACATGCAAGCTCCTAATTTTTACAATTGTTTCAGAAACTGTACTGTCATTATTTAATATCACACTTCATCCTGTTCAAATTTTTTAATTCTAAATTTCACCTTACTGCTGATAGTAACACTTATGACCTTGTTTTTTTTTTTTTTTTTTTTTCATTTTCTGGCATCTCTTTTATCTCTTTTATTACACTTTACGACTATCAACATTTAGTTATCATTTTAAGTGTATTCTGTGTAAAACATATTTTGTATAACCTTTTTTAAAACTCTTTCTACAAGTCCCTACAATTAATGGGGGGATTCAGTCTATATATATGTGTGTACTTTTTTTAAAAAAAATTATTTATTTTTGAGATGGAGTTTCACTCTTGTTGCCCAGGCTGGAGTGCAATGGCGTGATCTCGGCTCACTGCAACCTCTGCATCCTGGGTTCAAGCGATTCTCCTGTCTCAGCCTCTCGAGTAGCTGGGACTACAGGGGCCCGCCACCACGCCCGGCTAATTTTTTGTATTTTTAGTAGAGGCAGGGTTTCACTGTGTTAGCCAGGATGGTCTCGATCTCCTGACCTCGTGATCCACTCACCTCGGCCTCCCAAAGTGCTGGGATTACAAGCATGAGCCACCGCACCCGGCTCAGTCTATATGTATTTAATGTAATGACTGATATATTTTATTCCTTTCAACTTGCTTTATTACTTATTTCAAATGCTATTTCCTACTTTTTTCCTTTTTCTTATGATTGCTGGTGTGAACAAGTTACTGTGCATTTCATTCTTTTCCTTACTAAATAGGCAGATTTATTGTGCTTTTCTGTTCTTTGAATCTTCATTCTTTTAATAGCTACACTCCCTTTATTGAGTGTCTCAATATTAATTTTTAAGATAATTATTTCTCCTACCTATTTATACTGCTATTGTTAATCTCTTCTTTTTCCTACTTCCATTCCTCTCAAAATTTCAATAAAATGAGTTCTTTAGAAAATTCCCTGCCTTTACCCAATTATAGCTTTTTTTCTGGGGTTATTTAACCCATTTAGGTCTCAGCTGTCACCAAACTCTGATTAGTGATATATACTTTGTATTTTTAGTTTCATTCACACTTTTATATCATATTTCTAGGCAATATATCTTTACTCATACCATACATACAATTACTCACCATTATTTTACTCTCTTCTTCATCTTTTCCTAACATGTAGTACCTGTTGTTTGGCATTTATAGTCTTTCCACAAAAATTTTCTTCACAGAGGGACATGGATGATATATTTTAACTCCTTTATATCCTCAAATATATTTTTTTGTCTACATAGGGAAATATCTTGGCTGGATATAGTAATATTCTATTGTAATATTTTTCCTTCTGACCTCCAGATACTATTTCACTGTCCTCTATCTCCCAGTACTATAAAGGAGAAACACAGTGAGTCTGACTTTTTTTAGGTAACTTGGATTGGGCAGAATTTTATAAGGTTTCCCCCTTAGACATCAAGAATTTTACCAGTCTATCCCAATCTTTTCTCACCGACCCAGCCCTTTTAACCTGCCCAATCAGTGATATTTTCAGTTAAGGGATCTTTTACTTTATTATTTAATATTTGTATCTCTCCCATCTGTTCTATTATCTCTCACTGAATATCATTATTTACATAACATATGCACAGATATATTCTCCAAGTTTCATATAAATATTTTCCCACATGCTATTCCTCTGTATGTTTCTACCTTTCATTTCTTCAACCATCCAGTAATGTTTTTGTTTTAAACTCTTCTTCTGAATTACTAAGCTCAGAAATCATGTTTTAAAGTTCTGGATATTTTTTACTTAAGTACTTTTTATCATTTTTAATCAGGTTGTCATCTGCTAACAGCCCTGGCTAAGTGTTATATTTGTTCTGTTCTCTTTCTCATTGCTATGGCACCTTAAATGGATTTTTATTGTTCTGTTTTGTCTCTTTGGGATCTGTAGGACTGTAGGTAACCGTACTCCTGAAAACGATAGAAAGCAGGCAATCTCAACCCCCACGGACAGGAAATGCGTAAAAGTCCTCTGCAGAAGAATCCCCTTGGTTGCTAGGCTTATTAGGGGAAGGAAGGACTTGGTCTACCTGTATGGCCTCTTGGTGGCTGCCAAGGAGATTTTGCACAAAGATTTTTGAGTTAATATCAATCATTTCCACACTCAGGGCCACAAGTTTCAGTGGATCAAGTTCTTTCCAGGATCTCTCCCTTCCTGACCCTGCCCACAGACTCCCTGTTGCTGGTATATAGGGATATGCCCATCGTTGATAAAACATTTTCCATTATCTCTGATGCTAATAAGGCCCCACAAAGTTCATGATAGTAAGTAAGTAGATGAGACTGGGAATGGAGCAGAAAGGGGGAAAGAAGGAAGTGCTGGGTCCTAAGATTCCCTATACACACACATGTAAACACAATTTCTGCTAACACTACTAGCTGAATAATGCTAACACATTGAGGTAAATGCTTAAGAATACAAAACCGTGAGAAGAAAAGGAAAGGCTAAAGGGGAATTTAGCTAAAGACAGCTAACTTTCTTATTTTCAATGGAAGTAGTACTACACATTGTTTTATTCTTAAAGATAATTTTAAAATAAAAATTATTAAAGCTACGGTAACACAAAAATTCTACAGAACATCTGTTTCTTAATAATGAGGATAATAGCAGACAAGCTTTATTATGTACTTAAAATAAGCCACGCAAAGTGCTAAGTGATGAATATAAATTATCCCCCTACTAACCTATGAAAGGAAATTAATACTATTCATATTTACATGTAACATTCATGAGGCCCAGAAAAGTGAGGAAAATTGCTAAAAGTCACATAACTAATACTTGGTAAAGCTGAAATACCCAAATTTGTCAGGCTTTGCCTTTAACTAATATATACTATCCACAACATGAGCTCAATTTATTCTAGAAATGAGCTCATGGTCCAATATTAGGATAACCTAATTAAGTGTTTTAACAGAAGGATTAAAAGATATCATGAAAGCTCCTAAAATGACATTTGATAAAATTCCATAATTGTGCTAAAAAATAATTATAACTTGGCGGGGAAAGGAATAGATGGATACCTTCTTAACATGGTAAGGAACTTCTAGAGAAATTCAAGAATTAACTTGGAAGTGAAATAATTTTGGTGCTCCTAATAGGACACTAATTATCACCAGTAATGTTCAGCACATTATAATATTGATAATTAATGTATAAATGTTTGAATTTAAAAAATGAAATAATCATTATTTGTAACTAGTATTAAGCAGTAGAACAACAACACACAATATTTAGGAAACAAAATCTACTAGAGCTAGTAAGATATTTCAGCAAGGGGTCCATTTGTCAAATAAATGCAGACAACTCAATCACTCTTCTATATACATAAATAGTATTTAGAATAGAAGTCCATTTATAGTAGCAACACAAAAGTATAAATAACAGAAATATGCACAACTTAGATGAAGATATATAAAAATTTACTAATCTAAGGAAGACAATAAAATGAAAAGATATTTCATTATCCTATGAGCATTTTCAGCATGCTAAAGATTTCAGTATGCTCCCCCAAATTATCTATATATTGGAGGAAAACCCAATCAAAATCTCAACAGTATTTTAAAATAAAATTTGACAAGCTAATTCTAAAATGCACTTGGAAAAGGAAAGATACAGCATTTTGAAAAAAGAAATCCATTACTGCCTTCCCTCACCACAAGTGCTACTCAATACTGTGTCCCCTTTGACCCTCTACCACCAGTAATTACACAGGGAATGAGATTGACAAAGTGGTCTTTTTTGGAGACAGTAAAAATAGTGATTAAAAGAGAGATCCTACTAGAGCAGCCAAACTGTCTGGATTTCAATCTGGGTTCTAACACTTACCATCTGTATGACCTTGAGCAAGACACTTAACCTCTCTGTGTATCTGTTTCTTTGGTGAAATGAGGATAAAAGTTATAATAACAGTACGTACTTTCTAAGTTTGCTCTGATAATTAAATAATGAAAATGCAAAGTACTTAGTATAGTGCACGCCACAGAGTGCTATATAAAGTGTAATTATGTATATTACCACAATAAATACTACTACAATATTACTACAATAAATTCTGAAGTAAAGGAAGTCCAGGTGTTTTGTCCTTGAGTTTTATTAGATAACTGTTCTACAAATTTTTAGAGTTTGGAATTAAGAATAAACTAGTTTGAAAACTCAAGCTGTAGAACTTTTACATGTGGCTAGTAATATTGGGGAACACTGAATGCTTCTTTGTATTTATTTTAGTGGTGAGAAGGGGCAGGTGGTACAAACCCTGTAGTTGATCATTAGTTGTACAGCAATACAGTAAAATTATTTTCTAAATAGACAAATTCTGGAAAACTGTATAATACATTCTTACCTATCAATGTATTTAATCTGTTAAAATTGGGCCATCGGACAGGCACGGTGATGCACGCCTATAGTCCCAGCACCTTGGGACGCTGAGGTGGGCTGATCATTTGAGGCCAGGAGTTCGAGACCAGCCTGGGCAACATGGTCAAACTTCTACTAAAATTATAAAACTCAGCCGGGCATGGTGATACAAATCTGTAATCCCAGCTACTCAGGAGGCTGAGGCAGGAGAATTGGTTGAACCCAGGGGCGGATGCCACAGTGAGCCAAGATCACGCCATTGCACTCCAGAGTGGCCAACAGAGCGAGACTCTGTCTCAAAAAAACAAAAAACAAAAAAACAGAGCCATCTTTCCTTCTCTTTGGGTATCATGAGGGAACAAAAAGAATCACATTTTTTTTTCTCTAAAGGTCTGGTAGTTTTAACTACAAATGTCTTAAGAGGTGGCAAAGAAGAATTTAGTATATAAAATACAGGGGAAATTTTCTAATGATCATCATTATCCATCTCTTTCCCCAAAGTACCATACCTCATAGCAGGTGCACCATCTTCCCTTTCTCATAAGCAGTCCTGACACACTGGCTCTCTTCCCTCCTCCCTGTCTCCAATTCCCGAATGTTTTCCTTTCCCCTCTCTCTTCCACTTTTCCCTTCCAGGAAGTTCCTAAAGCATGCAGTTCAATTTTGCCTCTGAATTTGCACTGGAGTCTGTATTTCCATTTATTAAACCAGAGGAAAGGCAATGAATAGAAACACTTCAATTACTATACCCCTGTCTCAGATAAAAGAATGTCTCCATTGTAATCAAAGTTGTTGTCTATGTAGATTATGCCAAATTTGGGGAAGATTTGAATCTGAGAGGTAAGGGAGAAAATTCCTTCCCCAAGCCTGAAAGACTGGGGGCCCAAAATCCCAGGTAGAGAAGAGGAAACACTGTCAAAGAAGCTCGTGGGGTGGGAGTGTGAGCCAGGGGTCTAGCCTATCTTCCAGGCATTTTCTGCATGTGGCTTAATTATCTCCTGTTATTTCGCATGCCTTGAGGAAAGTGTTATCACTTTCAGGTATTTTCCATGCACAGGATACCACAGGAGGCAGTATAAACATTCAGGGCAAGGTAGAACGGGAAAAGAAGGAGCAAGTTTAAAAGGCAGGAAGAAACCTGCCAGGAATGGAGCATCTGTCTCAGGTGGGTGGTCAAAAAATATGACAGGTAACACTTAGATGGATTTGGGTTTTAAAAATAAAAGTGAACATTTCTGTTTTAAAACATTTTAGTGACAAAGTCTACCTAAGGGAGTGTATTGACCATAAGTGTACAGCTTGATAATTTTCCCAGACTAAATACATCTGTGTAAGGAACACCCACATCAAGATACCGAACATTACCAAAGCACCCCAAAGTATTTTCTATTACTTATTCACATTTATGTCTGCATTTATCTTAAGGCAGGAAAGCAAGTTGATAAAAGCAGTCAGAGTGCCAGAAAATAGGAAATCACCTCATCTTTAAATTCCTTGGAACATTTGCAAGTTCCAAGGTCTATTGCTTTGGGTCATTAACTCCTCCCTGTAAGGGAGAAAAGGACAGGAGATGAAAGTGAAACCCAAATGACTTTGAAATCTATTAAGTACCTTAAAAAAATGAAAAAGTGCAAGAAATATTGACTAAAGTGAATTCTGAAGATTGTCGGAAAGTTTTGTTCTTTTTTTAATCTCACCCTACCACCCTTACTAATTTGCAATAATAATTGAGGATGGGCCATAAAAATCCATTCGAAAACTGGTAGCCAGGAACATTAAACCTTACAAGTTGGATTCTGTAAATAAAACTTTACCTCCAAAAAGAGTAAAAAGAATATTTTGGGATACTTTCTGTAAAATAAGAAATGTAAATTTTCTAAATTAAACTACAAGTAGAAAAAAATCACCATGTGTGAAAGCCTGCCTATCGGTGTCCTACACTCTAAGTTCCATGGGCCTACATTAACTAACCCATCCTGAAGTGGTGGTCCTAAATTTCAGGAAACATCAACCACTTCCAGAAATTAATGAAAGTTATACCCATCACATTGAAAAATGCTTCCAGCCACATTTCCATGCATCGTTTCGGGAAGTCCAAGGATTTCCTGAAGACTAACACAAATCTCCATGTAGGTCCATCTACCAGATCATGAACCTCTTCCCTAAACTGTAATCTCTACAGAGTAGGTGGTGCTATGTTTTCTTATTTTGCACTCCCAGTGGAAGATTGCATGCTGCTTGGCAGATATGAAGAGGGTGATGTGTATTTAAACGGAGCTCTAGGCAAGGAGAAGGGAGCTATATTTCAGTGATGCTGCATAGATGTGATTTATCGACTTTGTCCCTGTGCTTTGTGAATGTTGACCTTGTATGGAAGAGAACATTGCTATTTCTTAAGGCATTTCTCTTCATTTTGTCTGTTTCAACACTTGAGGTGTAACATAACAAAACCTAATAATTTTAATATGAAAACATCTATCATCTGGAAGAAACTGAAGTAACATTAAGCGCCTAATATATGATAAGCGCTCTTCTAAATATACACATTATTTTCTATTCCTTTATTTTCTATTTGTTTTTCATTACCTAAGTCTTTTACATATGTCTTTTATTTAGGTTTCTTTTTGTCTGATGATTTCTGACTTTTAATCAGATTACTTATTCCATTTACATACAGTGAGATTACTGCTCCATTTGCACTTTTTTTCCTTATTTCATGTTTCATGCTTATCCATTTCCTCTCTCCTTTCCACCCTCCCCTCACTTCATGGTCCTGCTGCATTAATATATTTTTCTGGAGTCCTTTTTTTCTCCCCTTCTACAGTGAAAGCTGTATGTTACATTTTCTTTTGATTTAGGGATTTCTCTTAATTTTACAATTCTGATTATAAAAAATTTAACATAATTTAATGATTCAGTATTTCTATACTTCTGATGTTAGTATATAAGTATACATTGAACACCTGCATTACCATATTTTATTACTTTTACCTAACTTTACATATTTTAAAATAAAAAAAACTGGCTGGGTGTGGTGGCTCATGCCTCTAATCCCAGCACTTTGGGAGGCCGAGGCTGGCAGATCATAAGATCAAGATATCGAGACCATCCTGGCCAACACGGTGAAACCTCACCTCTACTAAAAATACAAAAATTAGCTGGGCATGGTGGTGTGCACCTGTAGTCCCAGCTACTCAGGAGACTGAGGCAGGAGAATCGCTTGAACCTGGGAGGTGGAGGTTGCAGTGAGCCAGATTGCACCACTGCACTCAAGCCTGGTGACACAGCAAGACTCCATCGCCAAAAAAAAAAAGTTAATAAAAAAGAGTTTATTGGCCGGGCGCGGTGGCTCACGCCTGTAATCCCAGCACTTTGGGAAGCCGAGGCGGGCGGATCACGAGGTCAGGAGATCGAGACCATCCTGGCTAACACGGTGAAACCCCGTCTCTACTAAAAATACAAAAAAAATTAGCTGGGCGTGGTAGCGGGCGCCTGTAGTCCCACCTACTTGGGAGGCTGAGGCAGGAGAATGGCGTGAACCCGGGAGGCGGAGCTTGCAGTGAGCCGAGATCGCGCCACTGCACTCCAGCCTGGGCGACAGAGCGAGACTCCGTCTCAAAAAAAAAAAAAAAAAAAAAGAGTTTATTAAAGTTGCTCATATCACTTTCTAGGCTCACTGCTATTTCTCATATGCCATGCCTTCCTCTAGTCCACCGTCCGTGCTGATGTACATCCTGCAATAAGCCTCTTAGTGATGATCTACAGATGGTGAGGTGTTGTTTATTTGAAATATCTTTTTTCTTATTTCTTCTCTTTCTTGAGTAACAATTTGGTTTGGTACAATATTTTTAGGTATATATTTTTCCTCACCAATTTAAATACATTACTCCATTTTCTGTGATCTCCAGAGGAATCTACATCAGTTCAAGTGTTGATATTTCATAGGTCACCTATTGGTGCAGACTAGAAGTTTTAAAATTGTTCTCTTTATACCTGAGGTTCTTCAATTTTACTATAAAGTTCCTAAGTATAGCTTTACTTACTTTATTTATCTTAAAAATTATGTAACATTTTGATGCTACATATACCTAATCCCATCAATTGTACACAAATTTGTCAATTGTAGAAAAAAATTTACTAATGGCTCTTTAACTACCTCTTCTCCACCAATCCCTCTGATACTATTTGCTAGAACTTTTGCATAAGAGTAAATATTATATAGATCAACACTGTCCACTAGAAATGTAATGCAAGCCACATGTAATTTTATGTTTTTGTCTGCAGCCACAGGAAGAAGTACAAAGAAACAGGTGATATTAATTTTAGTAATATTTTAACCCAATATATACACAATATTACTTTAAACATATAATTGACATAAAAATTATTGAGATAGCTTTTTTTGAATCAAGTCCTTGAAATATGGTATGTGTTTTACACTTATCGCACATCTCAATTCAGACTAGCTACATTTCAAATGTTCACTATTCACTCATGATTAGTAGCTGTCATAATAAACAACACAGGTTATAAACCCTAAAACTATGCTCTGTATTGCTTAATGGCTTTTTTGTGTATTAATCTAATTGTCTGTGTGGCAAATTGATCGATTCTCCTTTAAACTGAGCTAACTCTAGTATTTATTTCATCTATTGAGCTTTTCATTTCGATGAGTACATATTTTATTCTCAAAATTTCTCACTGATTCATTTTTACAAGAAGTATTCTTATTTTCTGCCTTTTACACTTTCATTTTTAATTTTCAAGAGAAATTATGCCTGTATTTGTCCATTTAAGAATTTTTAAATGTTTATTTTAAATCTTTGTCAGGCTTTTATAAAATCAACTTTATCCAGGGTAAATTCATGTACTAACTGCTGAGGTTTGTCTTTTTTGTTTTTATTGTCTGTCTTAAAGGTAAAAATTATTCAAGTATTTTGGAATGTAGGTTTGCAGGATCATTTAGGTAGGAGTTGTTTATTCTTGTTGAGTTATTTTTGTTGATGTCTTCACCCTTTATTTCTTCTTTTATAATGTTTTGAGCTTTTTTGTATCCCTGGTATCCTTATTTGAAATTCAAGTCTTATAATGATATTTCAGGGCCCCCGTCTGCTGTGATATGACAGATCACCTAACAAAATGCTTCAGTTTTTCTTTAGGAGGTTCTCTTCCCACTTTCCATCTCACTCTGGTTCTCCTAGCCCATGAGCTCCTCTACACTGTGATGCATGTTCCACACAAGCAGGGATTTCTGTGGAATAAGGCCAGGGACATTTTAGAGGCTTTGAATATTTGTTGAATGAATTATTGAATAAATGGAGAACTCTATCAAAGGCTTGCTTTAGGCAGTGTGCCTGCCTTTACTTTGCACTCTTTGTTCCTGTAACCCTGCAGGTTCCAAAATCTAGGCAACCTATCTCCAAATTTAGATTAGAAGGTCAGAAACCCTGCAGCATCAGCCCAACTTTTGACTTGGCATGTCTTTCTGGGGTATGGCTATGTCCACCTTATTGTGCTGCTACACATGAATTTTAACTCTTAAAAAATCAGGTATATGTGTGTACATATATATGCACATTTATGTATTTATCATTGCTTTGTGTTTGCAGCAGGGAATGTTTATTGACGTGTAAGTCCTCTGTTCTAAATTTACCATAAATTGATTTAAGAACTGACTGTTCATTAGGTATTCCTATGACAAATACTTCAATTCCTTTATTCTAAACATCAGTAATGCAGGCCATTTATTATTTTTTTTAGTTTATATCATGCTTTGTGATGAAAAGGCTTTGCATAGATTACACAGCACAAGTGTCAGTGCTAGAACTATACATGAAAATTTAGAATACAAGAAGTATCTATCACTTAAAACTTAAAAACATCTTTATAGTTTCTAAGCAATTAATGTAAATAAATTATAGAAACTCTAACAATGGTTATAAACAGTAATATGAATAAAACAAAAAGAAAACTTTGAATATTTACTTTAATAGCTATATATGACCATAACATTAATGAAAACTTAATATTATTTCATAAAATTACCTAACGCATACTCGTAAAACACTGCATTTTTCATTAACACCCATGCTGTTATAATTATAGTACAAAAATTTAGACATGTATCTCCAAAACAGAATAGAAGATGGCCTAAGCAATTCAAAACTTTGGTACAAGGAGTAAACTTTGTGCAGGCTGCTTTCAGTTAGAAATAAGGACTAAATTTGTATCAGCTATAGACTACCAAAATATATTGCCCAATATATTTGCTAGGGATTTCTTGAGAAGCTCTATTGATTCACCCGTTTGTTTTCAAACTTTTACTAAAAAGGAAACATCTTTAATATAGTGACATAATAATTGAATTCGTAATCATCAGATTCAAAACTGACATCATTTGAGTTTAGGTAATTTCTATAGTAACTTTCAAAAAATATGTATGTGGATTCCTGGCACAGGCACTTGATTTAAAATTTGTGGTCTTGCTTTTCTAAATATCACTTATTAGATTTTTACTTGAAACTTAATAGTTTCAAGTAATATAGAAGAATAGTATAGAAAATATAGAAGAATAGTACAATAAATACCCACGATAACTTCATCAAGTTGAACCAGTTGTTAACATTTTACTAGTCATCAAGCTAATATTCCTATTCACTACTTCTATCCATTATTAAGAGGAGGCCTAACAAGACCTGGTTGTTTTATGCAGGATGTGTTTATTGTTTTTGCCCAGCTCCTCCACACCTGCCTCTATGATATAAGTTCACTCAACGGCTAGGCAAATTCCATTGCAGAACTAGAACTACGGTAGCAGGTTTATTTGTAAATCTAGTGAGTCAGTTTTCAGTAACTAACAGGTTTTCACCCAGATGGCCTCAAAGAGGGCTCTTTTTCTGCACACAAAGAATATTAGCCTGAAGATTCAATGAAGAAATTATTTATGAAAATTATTTGTATACAAATAAAATATTTTAAGGACTATTTGGTATTGTGAAAGGAAGAAGGCATGGTGGTTATGAATTATGAGTAGAAAGTAATCAGGCTTTAATATAAACAGGTTTGTATTAAAAGACAATAGGATGAAGCTTAATAAAACAAGAGTTGAGAAGAATGGATAGCAAGGAAACAAAAAATTCAGTAAGATAATTAAAAAGTGAATTAATTGGAAATAAATAAAAGCTTAATTTATTTTGCAGATTATGAATTTAAATTATATGGAAAGCCAAGATGAGAATTTGAATCAGCATGTGGAAGCAAGTGGCTATACAATGAAAACAATGAGAAAAACCATTATCCTGTGAAAGAATAAGCATGGAATTCAGACTAATAATTGCTATGTTTCTGGAAATAAACCAGCCTATGAGAGGGATAGTCAAAGATATACTGTTAAATGTAGTAGTTATTATATTTATAAACATGTATAGCATTTATATTACTTTTCCTTTTTTTTTTTTCCTGGTGTTTTAACTTTCCTTCCGGTAACATTTCCCATCATTCTGGAGAACTTTGATCAGTTCTTTCAGAGAAGGCCTGCTGGAAACAGGTTCTCATACATTTTCTTCATCAGAGAATGTCTTTATTTTACCTTAAGTCCTGAATATTATTTTTGTTGGACATGGAATTCTAGCTTGGCAGTCCTTTTCTTTACAACATTTAAAAAATATTTTGCCATTTCATTCTGGCATCCTTGATTTCTGATCAGACATCTTCTGTAATTCAAATCATTGACCCTTTATAAGTTTTTCTCAGGCTGCTTTCAATATTTTTCTCAGCCGCTGGCTTTCAGGAGTGTGTTTGTATTTCTTTGGTTTTATTTTGTTTAGTCTTTATCCAGATGTTTAAATACATAGGTTTATTCACCAAATTTAAGGAGTTTTCCATCATTATTTCTTCACACATATATTTCACCGTACTCTTTTTCTTCTGTGATTTTATGACATAAATGTTAAATTGACTTTTCGGTATGGTCCCATAAGGCTGTAATGCTTTGTTCATTTTTTTTCTATCTTTTTTTCTCTCTGTTATTTGGATCGTATAATTCCTATTAATTGGTCTTCAATTTCACTGAACTTCTGTTGTCATCTTTACTTTGACATTTACCCCATCCAGAGAGTTTTCATTTATTTTTTCAGCCCTAAAATCTCCCATTTTGTTCTTTTTTACATATATTCTATTTCTTTCCTAAGACTTTCTATATTTTCATTCATTTCCGAACTTCCACCTTCCTCATTGGAGAATTTTTATAATAGCTGCCACTGCTGCACTGAAAGGAGACTATTTTTGCACTCCTCCACCCTAGACTAGATGATTTCTCCCCTCTGAGTTGGTGCAGACACCCAGCTTTCAGGTGACCTTGGGTGGAAGCTGGTGGATACCAGAGAGAGAAATAGGCAAATTCACTGCCAATCAGGTGGTACTATATATTCTGGTCTTATTCCCCAATGTATTTATTGCTATTTACTTTTCAAAGTCCTCAGATACTTGTTCCATACATTCTCTTCAGAATGTTTTATGTATTTTATAGTTACATTCAGTGGGAGAAAGTGTAAACTCTGCTTATTTCATCTTACCTAGACTAGAAACTATACACATCCTTTCGCTTTTAAATTTTATGCGTTCACATATTTAATGCATGTCTCTTATAAGTCCATATGACAATCTTTATTTACTGTAGTTCTCTTAGATTTACTGTTATCCACTGATATATTTAGGCTTTAAGCAATTATCTTAATTACTTGAGTTCTATTTGTTATCTGTGTTACTTTTTCTCACCTTTTTTGAATTGCTTCTTTTTAATAATCCATTTTTCACTTTTATTAGCTTTACAGTTCTATGTTCTTTAATTATGTATTTAGTGACTATTACACAAATTAGATAGTATTGACTTAAAGCCTAAGAATCAAAGGGCTTTCTAATATGTTAGTTCCATTTACCCTTTCCAAATTATATTTTTAAATTCTGTGATATTTTAAATCCTAAAATTTTATAGATTTAATTAAATGTACCCACACTTTTACCATTGCTGCTCATACATCTCTGAGCTTCTTTCTAGTATCATTATACTTCTGACTGAAATGTGCGTGTTCTGGTGATGAATTCTCTCAACTTGTTTGTCTGAAAAAGTTATCATCTGACCATAATAGTTGAATTATATTTTCTTAGGTCTAAAATTCTATTTTACATCAAGATTTTGAAGACATCAGTCCATTGTTTCAGATTTCATTGTTTTTGTTGAGAAGTGGACATTTTACCCTACTTTTATTATTTTTTTCTTCATATTCAGTTTTTAGCAGCTTTACCATAATGTGCATCCATGAATAAGCTTTTCTTCGTAATTTCTGGTTAGCTTTTATAGGACTACTTGAATCTGTAGATCAATGTATCAGAAATAAATGGAACTAATTTCCTGCTGATTTCTTCAAATATTACTTCTTGGATTTCTCATATATTTTATTTTCTTCATGATAGTTTTCAATATCAATTTTTTCATAATGAGAATATTCCTTGTTTAAAAAATCATTGTGTTAATTCAACAAATATTAAGTAGCATTCTATGAGCCAAGTATAGTGCCAGGCACTGGAAAGATCAGAAATAAATGGAACAAATTTCCTGCTTTCATTGAGTATTATATTTTATATTGAATATAATGTATGATCATAATATATGAGAAGGAGAAAAGCAGCCCTTATCTATGTGTTAGGCCTTGATGCTGTTATAAGTTCGGCTGGCACTCACAGATAGGTCTTGGCCTTCTGCTAACATAAACAATTTAAACATCACATTAGGTCACACCATGATCATGATGGCTTCAAACAAAAATAAGATCATTCTGTAATGTCTGAACATAGACAAGTCATGAACATTGTGAGTGTACAAAAATAAACATTTCACTATCCTTGCTCATGTGAGTGACTGTTGCTTTTTTATTAAAGCATTAGATGTGGTCTAATATTTTTTCCTTCCAGATAGTTCAGATAATCATAGAATTATGTCTGATTCCTGACATCATTCAATCTAAAGCCTCACTTCTTTAAACGCTCCTTCAGATCTTTTAACAAAAGCCTAAATCCTATAATCAATCCTATTGAATACCCTCTTACAGAAATGCACAACAGTTTTCCATGTTGTATGTTCTCCCTCACTGCAACAGGTAATAAATTCAACTTGTTCAACTACAGGTGTGTTCCTGATGGTCTTTGCCTGAAGAGCATTGACATATATGTTTATGTGTGTCGAAGTAAAACCACCAGAAAATTAACCAAAAAGGTTTTAAGGAACAACTTTCTTCTATCTTTATTTTCCATATTTCTATTATACACATACTTCTTTACCAAAAAAATTAATTTTAAAATATTAATTTGTAAACCTTTATTAGGTAGTCTATATGTGATAGCCTTCGTATTGTCTTCCAAAATAAGAACACTAAGTACATCTGGGTGTTTAGTATAAAGTATAGCTTTAGGAGAATTTATATTTTTATTTTGGGACTTTGTGTTGTCTGAATTTTCAAAAATGTACATGTACTCAGTATTCAGAGTCCACTAAAACAATTCAATTCTATTCAAAAACTAGCGCTGATGATACAGATTAAATATACTAAACTACTGATCTAGATTAAGTAATCTGAAAGATTGGGACTAATCCTTACCTCCAGAGAAACCCAGTTTGTTTTATTATTGGATAAGGCTCACATGGTAAAACTGTTAACTTGAAGTGGAAAGATATAATAAAGAATAAAATAAATTCCAGAAATTTTAAACAAAGCCGCATTCCATTATGATATAATGTTAAGCTCTAAGTAAAATATTTAAAGTAGAGCTGTTCTTTTAGGGTGATGCCTGAAATACTATTGCAACTTGTACAATACCAAAACTTAATTCTTTTTTTATTTGTTCAAACTAAAAAGCTATTCAACTGTATCAGAAATAGTTTTACGGAACTGATTTATTCAACAGTAACTCTAAATTAGCTTTTGCTTTCTGATTTTTTATCTTAATTGCAGCAGCCTATTTTTATATTCTATGTGACTTTTGCTACAGAAGTCCAAGTTATTATTTTCAAAAGTTAAGCTGGTGACCTACAGAGGAAATTATGTATTTTTATCTTGTCACATCTGACAGCTATTTTCCACAACACATCATCAAGTATTTCACTACACATCAAATTTCCATGTTTATAACTGGTAAAATTAAATATCAAACTAAACCAGACTTGCTTCTGTATCATTTCTATTATAAAAAATATTTTATTATAGCACTTCTAAAATTAGTGGCATATTTTATACCAAATTTTTGCATAATGTGGGTTAGTAATCTTAAAACAGTAAGTTTTAATATGTAGGACCAGAGTGTTTAAGGAAAATGCCACCTGTGCTTTAAATGTTTCATTACAGACATAATGGTAATGAATGACATCCTTGAAACCACTATGCAAACAGTGATTTTTCAAAAAAAAAAAAAAAAAAAAAAAAAAAACCCTTACTGTTAGTGAGGAGAGAATATTTTATGCTCCCTTAGTGAACACCTCTACTAGTTTTCTTTATATAAAATTATTCAAATAAAGTCATAAAAACCCATTCATTTACCTGCTGTCAAAGAGTAGAAAGTCAATAAAAATTATATATTTAGTAACACTTTATAAGTCATTTCAATGATGTTTTATGAATTACTTCAACATTTAGAAGTAAAGCTTAACTTTTTCCATGAGATTTTTTTTTTAATGTGCTATGCTCATTATAAGAATGGATAGCTCCACATTTCATCAAAACAAATGCAGTTAAGATGCTTGGCCGGATGTGGCATCTCACGTCTGTAATCCCCAGATTTTGAAAGGTCGAGGTGGGGGCAGCTCACTTGAGGCCAGGAGTTCAAGACCAGCCTGGACAACAGGGTGAAACCCTCTCTCTACTAAAAATACAAAGTTTAGCTTGGCGTGGTGGCGCATGCCTATAATCCCAGCTACTCAAGAGGCAGAGGAGGGAGAATCACCTGAACCTGGGAAGCGGAGGTTGCAGTGACCCGAGATTGCGCCACTGCACTCCAGCCTGGGCAACAGAGTGAGACTCCTTTTCAAAAAAAATAAAAATAAAATACAGTTAAAATACTCATTTGGTACACTTGGTATTAGAACTCACCGAAAATGCCCAATTTGCTTAATAGTCACAGAAAAGTAGATAGACTTGACATAGAGTTTAGAAATGTTTGCCTGATACTAATAGAAACCAAACAGCAGAAATAATTAAAAGCTTCAATATTCTCTACCTCCTTTTTTGCTTTTATTTTCATATTTGTATGTTTTCATAGAATTTCAAAAGGGCAGGAAAAGAATGGAACCATGTTAGTTATACCTGTAAGGTGAGAGGACAGAACAGGAGCTATCACTGTTTTGTTTCCCATACAGTTTTCATGACTGGAACGTGGTCTGCATGGATAGTAAAGAGAGTGGTGGACCCTTTGACTTTTCGACAAACACCTTTTGGTACACCAAGCTGACTGAAGACAGAAAGGACAAATTCTACATATGGGGTTTATGTGGCTGCAGCACAGAACTAAAATTTTTTCTCATCCATAAGTCATTTGTCTTACAGCTTATAACATATGCTGAAAACACAGTAACATCTCACTAAAATATGGTTGAAATATTTTTCTAATAAGTTGAGAAACATGAAAAGAAAGTAGGAGAAAGGTGACTATTAATAGTAAAGAGACCTGCAATAGATCTCTTTTAAGTAATTATCTCAATGTTTTCCTTATACTTCGGTGCAGACTTAGTTTTATGTACAGTATAAAACTTGATTAAACCAAGTAATATGTTGACAACTCTATTTTCTGACAAAGATTTTGGTGAGTATATGATTTCCATATGATCTTTTTAGTTTAATAATTCAAAGAAACACATAAGAGAGAGAAAATATGTTACTTTTGATAACATAGAATTCCATAACAGTTTAGTAATTGAAGACCTATGTAGCTGTAGATTGCCCTTTTTTTGGAAAAAGAGGTGAGTAAAGTCAGATTTTTATAATAAACATGACATTACAGAAATATCAATATACAGTGGATAGAAATTGATGTTGGCTCAGAAATAAGTTTAACATAAATAGCTCTAGATATGTCTTATCTTTTCTATTCATATTTTGAGAGTTGCTTTCACAGTACAGAATGTAACAAGATTTTTAGTTTTGATATTATAAATAAAAAAGTAAAGTTAATGTGCAGCAAAACATATTCATCTCATTTTTTTTTTTTTTTTTTTTGAAGTGGAGTCTTGCTCTGTCACCCAGGCTGGAGTACAATGGCGCGATCTCGGCTCACTGTAGCCTCCACCTCCTGGGTTCTAGCAATTCTCCTGCCTCAGCCTCCTGGGTAGCTGGGATTACAGGCACGTGCCACCACACCTAGCTAATTTTTGTATTTTTAGTAGAGATGGAGTTTCACCATGTTGGCCAGGCTCGTCTCGAACTCCTGACCTCAGGTGATCCACCTGCCTTGGCCTCCCAAAGTGTTAGGATTACAGGTGTGAGCCACCACACCTGGCCTCATCTCACTTTTTAAAAAAGAAAACATTGATGTTTAAATACATATATATAGAGAGATGATAGGCACATTATAAATGTGTGTGCATACACACATACATGCACATTTTATATGCATGTTTTAAAGCATGTGCTCCTGTACGCTGCCTTGCTAATAAACTACTCCTCCCTGCTAGTTTTGTCACAACTTAAAACATTTAGTTTTAGCTGAAGTTCAATAACTAAATAATATAAAAGCTTGCCACCATGAAACAATGAAAGAAATTGAAGTTGCCCAAGTGCGTAAGTAAATACTTGAAAACTATTCATGTTTATATTAACATAGCTAATATCATTTTCTCACCTTCTTTGTGAACAAGGAAGGCCTGGTATTTTCAGTTCAACTAATAGTTATCAAATACTATGTGCCATATACTATGCTAGGTGCTGAATATTTAAAGATTAATTAGCCACATCTCTACCATCAAAGGGTTCTTACAGATGAAAGACTTCCAATAAAGTACATATGCAGTATAGAAATTTGAGCTGAAAACCCTCAACAGCTCCAATAAATGTTATGTATTAACATGTCACTTTTCTATTAACCTTTTCCATTTGATGCTCAGAAATAAAGTAGTACCTCTTCCTTGAAAAGAAAGGCGATTATCCTTGCTACTGTTCTACAGTCCATTTTAGTTTCCCAAATTTCTGAAATTAATGCTCACCTGCTTTATGTGCTCACTCCTTAGAAATCAGTACACTGGTTTCTGCCTTCACTATCTTGAAACATCACCAAAAATGTCACTAATCACCTCTTAAATGCCAAGTCTACTGGTAGTTTCTGCAGCCAGCTTTTGATACTGATCGACATCCGCTTTAAAAAACTCTTTCCTCTGAATCTCTGGTCCTCTGATCCTACTCAGTTTCTCCACCTAACCCTCTGAGCCCTTCTCTGTACCATTTGTTGTTTTCTCTTCCATTTCCCACTTTCTGTGACCATTTGTCTAAATCTGCCCATCAGTCATGTACTCATACTTATTCCCCTCTTTGCTTCATAAAACTCAGACATTTTCATAGATTCAATTAAAAATTTCATTAAACAAATTAAAATACATTAAGTATTATCCATGAATGAAAATAGAACATGACCTGCTTGGGGACAAATTAAGAACTTTGGTTATCTCAAGGTTATTGCTAAGAAAGATGAATTTCAAATTAAATATAAATTATAACCATGCCTGTTAAATTGCCACTTTGAAATAAATGTTTGAGCTATGTTAGACCACAAAGAACAGGTCTGGGTTCTAAAATGGACATAAATAAAGATTTGGGCCCAGTTAAAACTTATGGCCACTTTATTCACTAATCAAACAAAAAATAAGAAGTGAGGTGGGCGTGGTGGCTCACACCTGTAATCTCAGCACTTTCTGAGGCCAAGGCAGGTGGATCACCTGAGGTCAGGAGTTTCAGACCAGCCTGGCCAACATGGTGAAACCTTATCTCTACTAAAAATACAAAAATTATCTGGGTGATGTGGTGCACGCCTGTAATCCTAGCTACTTGGGAAGCCGAGGCAGGAGAATCGCTTGAACCTGGGACGTGGAGGTTGCAGTGAGTTCAGACTGTGCCACTGCACTACAGCATCGGTGACAGAGTGAGACTCTGTCTCCAAAATAATAATAATAAGATGTGAATAGGACATAAGACATACAAGAGATACAAATACAAGTACATGATAGGACCCACCTTCCTAGTGTCTCCTTACATTCACATGAATGTATGACCAGCATAAGTAATTAACTGCACCCACATATAAAGGATAAGGAATCCACATTCACAGGCTCACTGCCTTTTATGCCAGTAAGCCAGGGCAGGAGCCATGTCAGCTTCAATTTCTATCGACTATCACAAGGGAATTCTTTGCTGTGCTACCAGGACATCTTTCCTTTGTATATTCTATCTCTTCCCATATTATCAGGTCAATGGCGGTCCAGGTCATGGTCTACTTACCACATAGGATAACTTCATCACCATTAAGGTGACAAAGCAAGCAAGGTCTTTCAAAACAGAGTTATGATGGCTAGGGACTTAGACAAAGAATCAAGAAAACCTGGTTTCTTATTCTGGTTCTGGAAACATCAAAGATTTCAAGAAAGTTTATTTTCCTTGTACTTCTGCTATCTCAATACCTACAAAAAACGAGTAGATTATATTATTACCAATCTCTCTTCAAACTCTTAACATATTATAATAATGCTTTTATCTGCATCAGAAGGACACAAATTAGAGTCCACAGGCTAAATGTGCCTGCCACCTGCTTTTGTAAATAAACTTGTTTTGGGACACAATCACACCCATCTATGACATGTAGCTTATGGCTGATTTTGCTACAAGGACTAAGTTGAGGAGTTGTGACAGAGATCATAGGGCCCAGAATGCCTAAAATACTTGCTTTCTGGACCTTTATTTTAAAAAGTTCACTGTCCAACAACCTACAAACCTCCTTCTCCATATATTCTCTTCTGACATCTCTAGAGGTCAGTCTCCTATCTTCAACTAATTTTTTTAAGCACCATTTGGAATGAACCAAAAAATATTATCCACTATCTGAATGGCAAAGGGGTATTCCTTTATTCCTCCTCCATTACTATTCACTATAAAACGTAAATGCCACAAAAGTTAACATCAAACAGAGTTGATAGTCATATCTTTTGGAGGCTATAAAATGTAGGGATTAGGAGCATCAAACTCATAACTGCCTATGGAATCAAATGGAATGAAATTATAACTCTGAGCTCTTCTACTTATCATTCAACATCTCCCAAGCTATTAATGCATTATAATCCTTAAAACAATACTATTTCTTGTAAATAACTTATATTAATGCCAGGCACATAGTAGGTGCTCAGTAAATTTGAGCTATTACTGTTAATTATGGTAATATCTCTGGCTTTCAGAAAAGTGCCAAGTACATAGTTAACACTGAAAACTGTTTAATGAATTAAAAGACTGAATGAGGCCGGGCGCGGTGGCTCACGTCTGTAATCCCAGCACTTTGGGAGGCCAAGGCAGGCAGATCACGAGGTCAGGAAATCGAGACCATCCTGGCTAACACGGTGAAACCCCGTCTCTACTAAAAACACAGAAAAAATTAGCCGGGCATGGTGGCGGGAGCCTGTAGACCCAGCTACTCGGGAGACTGAGGCAGGAGAATGGCGTGAACCCAGGAGGCGGAGCTTGCAGTGAGCCGAGATAGCCCCATTGCACTCCAGCCTGGGCGACAGAGCAAGACTCCGCCTCAAAAAAAAAAAAAAAAAAAAAAAAAGACTGAATGAATTACTATCAATGATAATTTCATTTTACCAGTTACTCAGGCTAAAACCTCAGTCCTACCTTTAGTTTTAATATCTCCTGTAGACTTACAATCAAGTTCTGCTAATTATTTACTTGTAAATTCTATGAATCTGACCATCCAGGCTTTTCTCCCTGGATCTAGAATTGTCTCCTTTTTCATCTACCTGAACAACTTATTTAGAAACTCATATATATCCCATAATCTCTGCAATACTTTATGACAGAAGTGTATGACAATTACCCAAAGAACACATCTCTGCAGAAGGTTAGAGTTTTAACCTACATGCAACAGACAGTTACTGGAGCTTTTTATGCAAGAAAAGGAAAACAGAAGCAGTGCTGAACTACTGATTGTTACGTACTCTCCAGGGTGATTTTCCATGAATTGCTAGAACACCAACAAGCAAAGAATATAGAAAATAATACCTCAGCCCTTGAAGAAATGTCTCCAATGGATTATAATTAAGTCATGTGCCCAAAGTCGTTTTGGAAAGAACTTCTCCAAGAGACCTCAATCTCAAAAGCTTCCTGACTATTCCAAACCACAGTTGAAGATACCTAATAATCTAAAGCTTCTGTGTCCAGTGGTAGCCTCTAGCTTCAGGTAGCTATTGAGCATTTAAAACATGACCAGTCCAAATTGAGATGTGCTGTTATGAACAAATACACACCTGATTTCAAAGACTTAGAAAAATTATCAAATATCTCATTAATATTGTTTTATAATGATTATACGTTTTAACGATACATATTTGGAGATATTTGGTTAAAGTATTTACATTTTCCTGCCTCTTTTTACTTTTTAAAGTGTAGTTACTAGACATGTTAAAATGTATATAGATTGTATTGTATTTGTATTTGACAGCATTGACATAAAAGAGCTAATTCAAGACCCATCATTAAAACCATTAGTGTCTTTGAAATCACTCACTAAACAAAACAAAACAACCCAGCAATGATTTTGACAGATCTACGTTTCCATTTCAGGGAATTTTCTACTGTGGAAGCCAAAGGTGTCCACACATACTTCCTCTTTATTTCCAGGACCAAGAGTTGAACAAGTGACTTCAGTTCAGCCAGCCAGAGACCCCTACTGAGGACTTTGGAACTGGAGGGATACACAGGAACAACTATGCAACAACTAATTCCCCTGGTGGGACTACCCTGGTGGGAGTAGCAGCACTTGTCCAGTGGCAGCAGTGTCCGTGGCAACAGCAAGAGAGAATCCTACTGACTGTACCTGTGGTTTGGCCTTGGCCATGTTCCTTGATCTTCTGACATCTTCAGTTCCTGCCCATTTCTTCACCTCACTCCCTACTAATCTCATTGACCCTATAAGCTACCCAATATTCTTCTAATAAATTTCCATCCTGATTAAGCCTACTAAAGTCAGTTTTTAATGCTTGCATCTGAGAACATTAAATAATAGACCTACAATATTTTACTATTTTTTTCTTTTTATCAGAAAACAATATCACATTCAGTGCCCCTTGTACAGTCATTCTCACACTTGAATGTAAATCTAAATTACCTGGAATGCTTATTAATTCCCCAACTACTGGGCTGTACCCCCAGCATATTTACATTTTACCACATCCATTAAAAAAAATGAACAAGTGAAAAGACTATTTTGACTTCTCTCTTATTGTCTACTTTCCACCCATTATTTAAGATCCAACTCAACTCTCTTCCTTCATGATGCCTTCCCAGAAGATAGGGATCCCTCTTTGCAGTGAACTAATTGCATATATTGTATATCAGTCCTGTGAAAATTAATGACAAACCGTTCCATTTGGCCTCTTGTGTTTTGAAGAATTTTTATAGGCACATGGGTAGGGTGGGGTGGGGTGTGTGTGTGTGTGTGTGTGTGTGTGTGAAATTACATGACCAGGAAGTATCATAATCCAGTAGAAAAGAAAGGTTTTGGAGTCAGACTGGATAAAATTTCATCTCTACTCACTACTGACTGCAGGATTACTAATTCCTCAGAGCTTCAGTCCCCTCATCTTAAAATCAAGGATAATATTACCTTTGCTTTAAATAGGTATTTTATTGTTGCTGTTGTTTTAGTTTTGAGACAGGGTCTCCTCGCTCTGTCACCCAAGCTAGAGTGCAGTGATGTGATCACAGCTCACAGCAGCCTTGACCTCCCGGGCTCAAGTGATTCTCCTGCCTCAGCCTCCTGAGTATCTAGGACTACAGTTGCATACCACCATGCCTGCCTCATTTTGGGGTTTTCTTTGTTTTTTTGTTTTGTTTTTTTGTATTTTTTGTAGAGAAGGGGTTTTGCCATGTTGCTCAGGCTTGTCTCAAACTCCTGGGCTCTAGTGTTCTGCCTGCCTCTGTCTCCCAATGTGCTAGGACTACAGGCATGAGCCACTGCACCAGGCTAGTATTTTCTTTAACAGTAACATTTTAGACTTCTTGTTTGTAAAGATTAAGTATATTTAATGAGGATAAATCCTTAATAAGTAAATGCTGGTTCTATTTCCCTTTGTTCCCTTTTGTAGGTCTATGATTTGATTCACCAACTAAACTATTTAAACTTCAATGTGCATGACAGTGACCTGGGAAGATTTTGAAGAATGTAGTTGCTCAGCCCTATCCAAGTGAGAAGCTTGGGCCCAAAATTTCTACTTTTTCATGCTTCCTATATGATTCAGTCATGGGTGATTCAGGAAACCTTATTCTGAGAAACTCTACAAAGCACAGGTGTAATAATTGTTTATGATCATCATGGGTCCTAGTATACATTTCTCACACATTGCTATTCAACAGGTGCTATGTGATACAGTATTAACTATAATAACAATAATAATGCAAACCATACTAATAATTTTAATATTATTGTTTTAGTTATGGACTGCCTTTATGGTAGTTCTCTACTAACTCAATTATTTCACTGTCCAGGTAACTCTACTAGTATACCATACCAGATACAGAGCAAAAGGTTTCCAACTCTTCAGTCTATTTTACCATACTCAATATCTTTGTTTGACACTTCAAAAATAAATGAACCTACATTTTCAATGACTGAAAGCTGTGTAATTACTCATCTCTTCAAACATAAAGTAAAATCCTGATTTCTAAAACACAAAAACTTCACATTCCTTTATTAAGCAAATACCTTAGATTATTTCTTTTGACAGTAAATGACAACAATATCCCAAGCACCATTTTAGGCAATGGAGATATACAAGACAGGCACATCCCCTGCTATCATGGAGTTTTCACTTTGGGGAACGTCAAACAATAACGAAGTAAATAGATGCTTAATATAACTTATGTACAGAGAAAATAAAGCAGCTAGGTACAGAATAGCGGCTGTGTAATGAGTGCTGAGCTGTGAAACCCAGATGCCCCCCTTCAGAACTACATGACTTCATCTTCCAGCTTCTAGAAGTGCTACTGGCTGATACATTCAATTATTTCACTTAGGGGAAGACAGTCCCCTAGTCCAAGATCATGTCCCTTTCCCAGGGTCTCTCAGATCTCGCAGTCTGCATGCAATGACTGGTCAACATGAAGGTATAAAGTCTGCACTCTTGCCCAAGTCAGGGCATCTCTGAGGGGCTATTCCAGTTCTAGTGCTCCCATGGCTTCGCTGAAAGCTGACTGCATCACAGTTCAGCTTCTCCCTTGTCCCGATCCTGCTTTCTTCCCTTCTATATGTGTTGATCCCAAAAAGAACTCCTTGCATACTCATCTCCTCATGGGGTGTGCTTTTCCTGGAACCCAACTGCAATGAGCTGAAAATGGAAATTGAATGTCTGCTTTACTCCCTTGGCACTCCCTGACATACATGAATTTATTTTCATATTTCCCACTCCTGTTAGCCTTTATGCCTATAGAATGACTTAATTTATAAGCCAGGCTCCATAAATTCCTGTCTACCACTTTCTTCAGCTCAAAGGAATAGACGTTTTTCCTCAAAGAAATATTCATTTCTTTTTCCAAAAATATTTGTCTAAATACAAATAACGACATATCTGTTGGGGAAAAAAAGGCAATCTGGATTTTTTGAAGCACTGTACTGGGATATCTTCCTTCATTCTATTTTGAAATGTTTTAATAACAATCATAACAAGTTAAATTTATAAAGCATTTGCCATGCATTCAATATTATGTGAAGTGCTTTTATATTCACTATTTCATTTTATCCCAAGAACAACTTACGAGTTTACAAATTATTATCCCATTATACCAAGAAGAAAACTAAAGTTTAATGGGTGTAAAATGTATCCAATGAACCAAATCCAATAGGTGATAAAAATTTTAATCTAAACCCAGGCAGTGGACACCTGACTCTTAACTACCATTTGCCTTTTATACAATTTAGAAACCGTTGTTCAAGAGTTAAGTGCTATTTTATATATTCTTTTTAAAAAAATTCAGTTCCCTTCTCTCACCTCAAAAAAACCCCAGTGCATTTTATACTAATCATGAAAATACAGACAAGGGAGTTTTCTAATGTGTCGATGGTAAATGCAAACTACCACTTTTGCCTACTTTAAAAAGAAAATTTCCTTTTTATCCAGAGTGCGACACTACACTATCATAATGGCATTTTTCATTCTGTTCCGGTTTATGATCAGTCAGATGTTGTTAATATGCTAGTGGAGAATCCAAAGACAAGTATCCACCTAAGTAGTTGACCATTTGGGACTTTCAATCTCCTATAACTGCCAACCCACATAATGTACAAACAAAGAGTAAAACTTCAAGGATTAATGTAAGACACTGCAAAAATGAAAGTGACATAAAGAGAGAGACACATATTTTGCACCATATTGTATGTTTTCATTACCCTTTACAAAAAAATGTGTTTCATTTTGAGCTATAGAGCAAAATCATATGGTTTGCTCATAACATGTTTATTCATCTTTAAACAATGCATTTAATTAAGTTTATCATGGAGATTTTAAAAATAGCTTTGACAAAATTCAATTTATAAGAAAATATTTTGTTGGTAGCATTAGAACCCAGTTATTTCAGGTCAAACCACTGCAGGGAAGAAAGATTTCTCTCCTTGAGTTTTGATCTATACAGTTCTGAACTGAAGTCAAAAGGTCTCTCCCAGTATCATAATAGTTAACTGTACTTGATCTATAGCCCCCAAGGAAGAGAAAGTAAGTGGAAGCTGACTCAATTTTAGAAAAGGCTAGCTAACATCAGAAAAACTGCACAGTTTCAAAACAATCAGACATGTCAATAGAAACTTAGATCATTTGATGCTCAACAAAATCAAAATCTGAGTTAGAAGCTAAATAAAAATAGATTCTCCAGCTTGGTAGCGTTGTTAGAAAGGTTAAGATAAACTGTTGCTAAGATTTAAAAATGATATGACTGTTTCACTTTATGCATGCCCTAACAATAGAGGATTACACAAAAAGATGGGAATGGAAGAAAATCTCAGCTATTAAATTTGGGAACAAAATTCCTAAAACCACATTTATACAGAACTATATAGTCTCTCCAAAAAAAACCTTCAATTTTGCATATAAATTAAGAACATTCTAAGTTTCTTATTTCAGTAAACTCACCCATCACTCAAACAACCAGAATGGATAAAATGGAATGTGCAATATCTAGAGTTGCCTTCAATATGATTGCTTTTTCTTGTTTCACCTGAAATATGAATAAATTCCTGAAGAAATTATAGTACCTCTACTTCTGGAATTTTGTGATAATTGCAGCATGTATAAAATCTAACTAAGGTCTACGCTTAGAATATAAATAATAACATACATTTTTTAACTGGTACCTGTCTTTCAAGGAGCCTATATTAATAGGAGAAAACAGGCAAATAGTGATTAACTGGCTTTTTCTTAAGTAATATAAGCTCATTGTTACAAAGGCATTGTTATGAGCTGACTTATGCACCCCTCCAAAAAAAATTCTATTTTGAAGTCCTAAACCCATTACCTCAGAATGTGACTATTTTAGGATAACCTTTAAAGTGATTACTAAAAATGAAGTTGTTAGCGTGGTCCCTAATCCTATTTGAATAATAACCTTATAAGAAGGGGAAAGTAGGCTGGGTGCCGTGGCTCATGCCTGTAATCCCAGTACTTTGGGTGGCCGAGGCAGGCAGATTACCTGAGGTCAGGAGTTCAAGACCAGCCTGACCAACATGGAGAAACTCCATCTCTACTAAAAAAAAAAAAAAAAAAAAAATACAAAATTAGCCAAGTGTGGTGGTGCATGCCTGTAATCCCAGCTACTCCAGAGTCTGAGGCAGGAGAATTGCCTGAACCCCGGGAGGTGGAAGTTGCGGTGAGCCGAGATCACGCCATTGCACTCTCCAGCCTGGGCGACAAGAGCAAAACGCTGTAGAAAGAAAGAAAGAAAGGAAGGGAGGGAGGGAGGGAGGGAGGAGAGAGAAAGTAGGGTACAGGCACTTATAGGGGAATATCATGTGAAGAGTCTGGCAGAAGACTGCTATCTACCAGTTAAGGAGAGAGGCATGGTGATAGCAGACTTCTGGCTTCTAGAACTATGAGAAATTAAATTTCTGTTTTTTAACCCACTCAATCTGTGGTACTTTGTTATGACAGCCCTGGCAAACTAATACAAGCATGTAGACAAAGCTAGCCATTAAATGGCATAATTACATAAAGTTGTTCATTCCAGGAGTTATCTGAGAGCAAATGACTCCAACCAGAGCATATGCTAATTGTTCTATTCATGATCTAAGCAATTAATTTTACTATAAAATTACTCTTCATTTAGGTTAATATTTGCTTAAAATTCAGAACTCCATGTCTCCTTCTCTATACTATACCTCTCTCAAGGGTAAAAATCCCAATACTTATTAATCTTTGTATGCTGAGTGCCTGGAACAGTACCTGGCACTCACTAAATGCTTTCAGAATTAAATGAGCCCATGAAATAAACAAGCAAATACATGTTTGGCTGAATAGTAGCAGCAGCAGAAGAATCTCAAGTTGAACCTAGATAATTACAGTATGAATTACTTGTTCACCATATTCACTGTCACAATGTGAATAGTGTTCCTAGGGGACTTGCGTAGGAAAAATGTGATTCAATGGAAAGACTGCTCAGTGTGGAGGTAGTTGTTTTGAGTTCTAGTGGCAATGCCATTCTCTGAGATAATAACTTCCCAATCTTCTTAAATGTACACTGGTGATATCTGTGTTTCCTACCTCACACGTACTGAACATTTACTCTTCAAGAAAGAGAAATAAACAAGATAATGCAATTGAACATACTTTGTAAAACATCTTTTATAAGATTTGACATTTCTGGGACCAAACCCAAGGTTTTACTATTTCTGGAAATCCTTCATTTTAAAAAAGGGAAGGCATATATGATCAAGGATGTGTGACAGATAATAAATGCACTGGACCATAAATCAACAGGACACATGAATTTTTATGCAGTTTCCAGTGCAATATTTATGGTCTGGGTCCAACCACACTTAGCATGAAATGAAAGAAAATTCAAAAGTACACTGAGAACTACTAACTTCGATAAATTTCTAGACATTGCCATTATTAATTTTCTGAATTCTTGTGTAGGACAATAACCAATTAATAATATAAGATGTAACCACTCATGAAGTTGTAAAATATAAGCAAAAGATTACAAGTGTGAAATAATAATAATGCAATGCATAAAATGTGAAATAAACCTTGGCTATGTTGTAAGTAAACATGAATATAGAGTTTGGTTTAATTGTTCAGAATATAACCAAAAAATGTTTGGTAGAACTTTCTAAAGTTTTCTTCTCCTGTCTTATGAATTCACAATGCTCAAAGCCTGGATGTCCAATACAATACTGCTTCCCATGACTTTAGACTAAGCGTTTACATGCAAAGAAGTTTACCCCAGGAAAAATTCATAACTGTTTCAACATGTTAATATTAGTTGCTTATAACTGTGTCTCCACTTTGCATTGTTTTTATGTCTTTTCACTTCAGATTCAATAATATTTTTTAAAAGGAAAAGATGTATGGTTGAAAAATAACTCAGTAAAAATTTCTTTGTGCAGTTAACCCTTTAGGATGGGATTACCCATGTGTTTAATTACTCACCTTTGAACCCAAATGTGGATGATATCATAATAAAATATTGACGATAAAATATATTGCCCTATTAATGATCAAAGTTCTAACTATGAGCATTTGTAGCACCAGTCCATGATAAATCTGTGTGTATAAGCTATTGATTCCAGGCTTGACAAACCTTAGCAAATTCTTAATTCAATTAATATTTGTTGAAGACACCTTATGTACAAAATATCACCTAGCCATTATCTTTGTAGAACTTATAATTCAGTGAAGATAAGCATATACTCAAGTAACAATACTCCAAAAGATAATGTATTTCTTTTTTTTGTTGTTTTTTTCACATGCGATTATAACTTCCTTTCTAGAATGAATACACTTCTTGACAGAGTGCTCCTTTTGAATGTGTAAAAGACATTCTTCTGTGGCACTAAAACCATAGCTAGAATTCATCACATTTTAAAGATACTGTTAATAAGCACCACTTATTGCATGGCAGGCATACCTTAAACCCTAGGTATACCTAAAACCATTCTGGGGGATATACATTATTTTTCACTTCACTGATGAAGAAACTCACTCTCAGTAAGGCTGCACAACTTACCTTAAGATATCATAATTAGGACATGTTAGAAGAGATTCAATAGACCCGCTTCCCCTGGCACATACTCTTATCCACAATGCTACACTGATGTCAGTAAAGGACAATTCACATTGGTTCTTACAGCTGCATGTATATCTACAATTATCTCAAAATAAAAATGTTAATTTAAAAAAGCAATTAGCCTGATAAAATAACCACTCAGGTTATTTTATAGGAATGCAAAGTAGCCAGAATTGGTTTTGTTTTCCATAAAGACAGTAATTTTAGCCAAGCTAAATGAATATGCTGCATTCTAATGTCACTGAGATTCTATCAAAGCCCCTCCCTAGAAAGCATAGCAATATATATCTACCTGTTTTTTCTCCTTAGACCATTCTTATTTAATTTAGAACTTTCTGAAAGATTCTCTCAGAAATGAGCAGTTTATACAAAGACAAGGGATACTAAGACACAAGAGATATAAATAATAAAAGTTAACAAGCATAATTACTGAAATACTTGGCCCAGCTGTCTGGAAAATACTTTAAGGGTATTTTCCAGATACTAGCATTCCAAAAATCTAAATCAGATTTTTATACACAATGCTACAATATAAGCAGTACACTTGCTATAACTACAAATATAGCTTCAAATACAAATACATCCAATAACTCTGTATAATGAGAGTAAGCTAAAAATCCAGTGCAAACAAGCCTACAATGATACTTGGTGGTAGTTTGAGACTAAATAAATACATATCACAAAGCACATTAAAGATTAACTCATATCTTCAACACAGGCTTCAAGTAATAGTACTATCATGGGTTTCACAAAATTCATAATCCAGAGATCTGAATTGCTTGCCCTCCACCATAAAAAGAGAAGGCAATTCAAAAATCAGGTTGAGTGAGAGATTTAAGCTAGTTTTCCTCCCAAATATAGAATGAAAATGGTGCTAACCTGAAGAGAGAGAAAAGAACTGCTTGTGTACTTACTCATCCTTACGTGGGCTTTCTTTTATACATCTTTTGTATCATTACCTCATACCGTTCATGTAGCCAACATAAAAGGGATATGTTAATGTTTCCTTATCTGAGCCAGCCACAAACCTTTACACAGTGGCAAGGAAGAAATGATTCTCCAGCAATATGATGGGTATCACAGACTTTCTTCCACCCTGCAAGACTAAGAAGTCTGTAATAAGTTTAAGTAGGAGGTAATTTACAATCCTTACTTTTCCCGGCACATGTGAAAGCAAAATTGAAGAAAAAAGTAAGGCAAAAGTTACCAGTTTCCTGCCTAAAAATCTTTGACAGGATTTCCTCCCATTCCTCATCTAATAAACTTATGAACATGTTCAATTACCTACAACATGAGGTGAGTTCACCAAGGCATTGCAAAGCATTTTAGGCAGTTTAGATCCATTTAGGTTAGCAGAGCCTCCTTTCACAATCACACGTTATCTCTGTTCCTGTGCATGACACGGTGTGACTGAGGTTTGCATTTTCCAAGGTGAAAAATGTGATTCACAGCCCAGATGGGCGATTTGTCTTAAGATTCTTGGATTTCAAATTAAGAGATTTCTTTGGATCTTTGATTCTTGTAATATAATCATACCCTAACACATTTTTAGTGAGTGGCTTTATCTTGACCTTACTGAACACAGCAACCATCCAGGTCTCTATAACTTCCTATCACTAAAGGTTTATGTACAAACATCCTGAGGTTTTCACCAAGCAATTCCAAATTATAAGCAAATCTGAGTAATTCATTCACTCTAAACATATTCAGTAGATAAAAATTTGGAGGCATACATAGTTCTCCACAAACAACTATTACGTGTTTTCTGTTCAAGTCCCTCTTTCCATTAGATAGCAGGTTCCTATCACATTTTAGTCTAATTCTATAATCTTTCAGTCACTTTCAAGTTGTTAAGAGTCACTCAATATCCATTTTAAAACCTCATTTTCGTATGTGATTAGAAGCTCTCTTCCTTCCCTCCAAGCCCTAGAGTTCTACATGGAGGGACATGAGGCCTCATCTTATGTCACGATGTCTTTGTTTCTAGATGGTTCCTTATTCCACCAAAGATAAGGTAAGAAGGAAGAGGAGGAAAAAAGATGTTGAGTTCTCTGCATAGGCAGTAGCTAAGGAAGCTGCGTTTGTTACATCCTATTCCTTCCACCTCAAGCAAATTTCTGGTGTGGGAAGTCTGGTTTAGCTTAAATCCACAGGCCTGCCAGAGCTTCTTGCTACTGGAATCTCTTCATTCAGTGTAGGTCCCCCTATTAGAAAAATGGGGCCATTCACTCATCTGTGCCATGCCAAGTAACAGAAGCACAGGCTGTGCCCTTGGCACTGCCTCTTTGAATTCCACCATGTCTCCTGGACCATGACCATGCCCAAGCAGCATCAGGTTGTCATCCAGGTCAGTGGTTCAGAAAATTTCATGCAAAATACAATCACTTCTCCCTGATTTATTGTTGCAGTCTCTGTATATTTGGTAGCCCTCCAAGTACAGGAGATGTGCCCAATTTGAATTCACGATGTCCTGATATAATTGCTTGCTATGTGCCAGACCCTGCCATCACAACAATAGAATGTGGAGATCAATCCTATGTCCTCGGACTGTAGCACTATCCCCCCTTCCTTGTTGCAGTTATTCACTACCCACTTCAAAATTTTAGATCTTGTCTCATGATCACTCTTTTCAAAACTACTTTTGT
The DNA here is from genome assembly GCF_000001405.40 of Homo sapiens. Taxonomy (NCBI): domain Eukaryota; kingdom Metazoa; phylum Chordata; class Mammalia; order Primates; family Hominidae; genus Homo; species Homo sapiens. Next base: position 22,353,670 of record NC_000003.12, read on the forward strand.
CATAACTCATGGTGATTTCAATATGCAATTAGACAGTCCTTCTACAGTCCTGTTCCTTCACTCCTTTAACTAGAGCAATCTTACTCTCCATCCTACCTCAGCCACACTCTCATCTTTACACTTTCCTATTAACTGAGCAAATGAGTGTATCTTTTCCCAAATCTCAAACATCTCACTTGCCAACCTCCTATCTTTCTGGCTCACATGTTCTACTACCAGGACTGAAATCATTGTTGATCTCCCTCCTCCCCACATTTCAGTGTTCCTCATTTTCCTTCTTATCCAATATAAATTCCATGGGCAATCATTCTAATCACAAACACATATGCACCCTCCATTCCCTTGCCTTTTTCTTGCATTATCTTCTTTTTTTTGGTTGGCCAGACCATAGCTCTGTTAACTCCAATGCTCCATCTGCTTCTCACTAGCATCCCCTCTGCTGAATGTGGAAAGAGAAACATAGTTATACTGATTACTGGATTTTTTATATCGCCTTGGTTTGAAAGCCAGTTCTCCAACTCCCCATCCCCATTTTCCAACTGAGTAATCTTAGGCAAGCTATGAACATTTTCTGTATCTCAGTTTCTTCAGTTTTTTTCATTTACAAGATGAAGAAAACATCAGTACATATTTCAAGTAGATACAGTAAGGATTAGAGTTAATGTATGTAAAGTAGTGCTCCACACTTAGTCTTGATAAATGTTGGCTGCTGTTGCTGCTATTATGAAAAATATTTTTCTATCTTTGAAAAACACAAACTCAATCCAAGAGACACAGTCAAATACCTTATAAAAATTTAATTATCTCCAAAATATGACAGAAATCTTGATAAGAAGGAAATGAATAGATTGTATTCATTTAAATTAAATTGTATTCATTCAATTAAATTGAATAAATAATGTATAATAAATTATACATTAAAACCTTAAGGAATTATTTAGTTACCATGGTTTTAATGGTATAACAATATCCATCAGGCACGTTGTCTTCAAACTAGTGACTCCCATATTGTTTTTATCATAACCTTAATTTTAAAAATGCAGACAATAACAGAGAACATCAGGAAAACATATAATCAATGACTCCTTACCAGAAACAATCATGATGAGGTCCTTGGAGTATAATAGTCTTCTATGCCTGTGCTGTTTAATATGGTGTTGCGGTTATTTAATTTAAGCAAAATTTGAAATTCAGTTCCTTAGCCACACTAACCACATTTCAAATGCTCAATAGCCACGTGTCACTCATGGCTACCATACAGGAAAACACAGATATAGGAAGAACATCACCCTCACTGCAGAAAGTTCTACTGAACAACATTGTTTGTACCCTTTATTATACAAATTTAATTATAAAATTGGATAAATTGAAATTATACATTTGTTTGTGAGCCTCTATATTTACTTATGATATAGTAAGTGTATTTCAATGTCAATAGATGTATTTTCTGCCATATCATGTATCATGTTGTTGGAATGCATTTTCGTTCCTTTATATAGTCTCCATCAACTTGCAAAGAAAGTTGCAACTATAAACTTATCATCAAATCTTTATGGGTATGAGATATTTTCATTAAAAAATACATTGTAGAAGAAATTCCCATAAGTTGATTCGTTAGATCAAATAACATGCATAGTTTTTAATCTCTGGATATGTTTTCAACTCTTTTGCAAAGACTCATCTGAATCTATACATCTATATTTTACATCACACATATTCTTTCTAACATAGTTACTTGTTATGTATTTCAGTAAAACAACAGTCAGACCTAGGAAAATAACAACGTATGATATAATAAATAAAATAGGAGTATACAAAAATGAAATGAAGTCTCAGAGCACCAGCTGTTTAAGAGAACTAAAAAGCAACTAAGACAAAGAAGTCAATCAGCTCCATGATGACTTAAAGAAGGTACCTGGAATGAATTCCAAGAAATAAAGGAAGAAGCTGGCCAATGTTAGCAAGATGATGAAAGAAAAGATCCTCTGTTAAAAAAAATTCCAGGAAAACTTCTAAAAATCAACGTATCAGACATGAAGCAAGCTAAAAAATATATTATGGAATTAAATCATCTATAGAGTATAAGAAAGGAACATTCATTTGTCCTTAACCCAAGGAATAATTAAAAACAGATTTTTGGGATACACAGTATACAACCATATCACAAATTTATCAGTAGAACATGTTAACAAAGAACAATTTATTTTCAGGTCATAAAAATATAGAAGCTACAACACATGAAAAGCTGTGTTACAGCAAATAGACACATAACTCAGTAAATTCTGTGTGTTATCTTGTAAGTAGCATTTTTATGCATGTAGGCTAAAAATATTTCCAATTACTTTCCAAAGATCCAGCATGTAAAAAACCTATGCAGAAAAATAAAACTTGTTAATTTGTGTAGGTATATGAGTCTATGTAAGCAAATATGCGTGTTTTAAGCAGCTTGAGATTTAACTACTTTGAATTCCAAGGACTGTGTGGAGGTGGAAATCAAGACACCAAATCATACAAATACCACACAACAATGCATCTATGTTTATACCTCATAGGTACTCTGTTTTGCCTTATTATTGGGCATTTTAAAATGGTCTACACATGAAACAGCAAACCACACAGGAGGTATATTTCAATGGGTATGGTATGAAAAGTTTTGTATATGCTGTTGTTTCAAGTATTATCTTTGTATGATTTCTCTTTTACTATCCCTTGATTTTTTAAGGAAAGCATTTTACAGTGGGTATTTGAAGTGGGGCAGCAAATAGTGAGGGCAAATCTAAGAAACGTGAGAAGCAGATAGAAGAGGCCAGACACAATGTTGTCCTTGGCTATAGAAACTTCCGTCTGAATGAGATTCCAGCAGGTCTTCTGTGCTAGAACTCTGTTTCCCAACTGATCATCTTTACAGCTAAGATTTCAAGGAAATATAAAGATGTGGTTGCAAGTACTGTACGAATATTAGATAGGTAGATAATACATAGAATGCAAAGTGTTATGACTTAATTCCTTAAGAGATGGCAATAGAGGAATCGACGACAAATCAAAGACAATGCCATTCAAATGGGATATTTCTGAGTTTAGTCAATGCAAAGTGATTAGATAGACAGATGATAGAGTGATAGAAAGATAGATAGATAGCTCTGAACATTTTACAAAGTAGATTCAAGGTGAAATATTTAAAAGAAAGAATAAGATAATATCATATATGAAGAATGGGAGGTTTGAGTGGTAATAAAATCAGAGTCTACTATTAAGTGAGTAAAACATTTACTATCCAAAAAATACCCTATCTTCAGAATGTATAGGAAACAAGATAGCAAGTTATAATAAAACCTACATTTTACTGAGCATATTAATTATATGAAAAAGTGCAAGAATAAGCATTAGCACATAAAAAGAAAATTCCATCATTGATTATCAAGAAGTTCACATACATAATTACATAGTACTTTTCCTGTCTTAACACAATGAAGCTTTCGGATGGGAAGAAAAATAGACCAGAATATATCATTATCTCCAAGTTTCCAAGTGAACTTGAATTGTTTTTAAGTTTCAGGAAGTGTTTAAGGGAGAAAATACAAACTGAAGAGTAGTTCTGAATTATAGTAATAAATGCAGTAAGAAATAGCTGTGGTTGGTGGTGGACAGGTTTTCTCACAGACCCTCTACTACTTTTCAATTAGATGCAAGACAGATAAATTAATGTCACTTATAATCAAGCAAATACTTTTACAGTCTTAGGAAATTCTTTTTAATGTGGTGATTTTAAGGTGACTGAAAAGTTTAGTAGAAAACTTGGAAGTGCAGATATAAATTCTTGGAAGCATACAGTTATGTCTTTACAGTATTTTATTTACATTTCTACTGTAGCATTATATCAGTCAGGATATGCTAGGTTATGCTAAACTATCAAAATCCTAAAATTCTAGTAACTTAAAGAAAAAAAAACTTATTTCTTGTTCCTTCAGTATATTCATATTAGGTCAACAGGTCCTCTGTTCCAAGTTATTCTCTCAGGGTCACAGGTTAACAAAGGCTTCACCATCTGGAGTACTGTTTGTCTCTGACAAGAAAAGGGAACTTTAGCAAATCACACACCAACTTTTAACATCTTCTGCCAAAAGTGACATATCACTTCCATTCACATTTCATTGGCCACAGCCAATAACATAACTTCTGGAGTAATCTAACTTCAAGGGGGTGGAGAATTGCAATTCTTCCAGGTGATCAGAAGAAGGAGAACAAGAAATATTAGGAAACAGATTTAAACATTACAAGCATTCGATATGCTATATTTTAAATGGTCTATTTTTCTCTTTCCCAGTTACCTTTGAGCTCCTGGAAAGAAAATGTTGAATTATATCCATATTTCCAAAGTTTGTACCTTATGCAGTACTGGGCACTCAATAAATATTTGTCGAATGAATAACAGGGACAGTCAGCAGTGTCAAATATTTCAGCATGTTCAAGAAGTAATACTGAAAAGAGACTTTTGGATGTGACACAAAGTTCACTTGTAATAACTGAAAAATTGTCTCAGAAATATGACAAATTGAGGTGAGGAAATGAAGACAAAGCATAGATACTGCCCTTTCCAAAAGTCTGGCATCAATTCCAAGGAAAGGTTTTCCAGATCTCACCATTGTTGAGACCAGTCCTAAATTCCATCAATATGCCCAAGGTGGCAGAGCCTCTGCAAATATTCAAGGAAGACAGCTTCATTTTTGAACAAAATGCAACTTTGTTCAAAAGTTGCATTCTGCATTCAAGTAGCAGCTTGAAGAAAGTTATTCTATATAGAGGACAATACAGCAGGTCTGGTGGGAGAGAGTGAAGTTTTAAGAGAGAGGATGAGTAATTGATGAAATGTTTAGGCAGCACCAGGAGGAAGTGCGGTCATAAAATAAGTGGGCATTGGGACAGTAATCCTTTTGAGATGAGGAGATTTGAATCAAAATGGTGGTAAATAGAGATGTGACTTGTAATAAAAGAGAAATTTTGGAGATGTGCTTGCCTAATGGTCTTTATTTCATCTGAGAAGCAAAAATAAGATACTATTTTGAATGTGGAGCAGGCATTGGACAGAGGACTTAAAAAGCAAGGAAAAATTTAGAATGGCCTTTACAGTAACAGAGCTACCAGGGATTACAATGACTGAACAGCATTGATAATGGATGCCTAGTGGGGCTTAAATGTTAAATGAAAAAGACACTCACCTACACAGTTATTGGAACCATCTGTATGACTTAGTGTCTAGATATCATAACCCTACAAGACATCTGGTTACATAGCCAGGCCCAGTACCAAGGAAATTCAAGCAGATGATCCCTTTCTGACATTAGGCAAAAAAGTATACTGCCTTGACTACCCGTATTAAAACAAACAAACAAACAAACAAAAAAACCAAAAAAAAAAACAAAAAACAAGAAACAAAAAAAACACTTGATAACTACGGTTGATTATTTTAACTTAATTACTGGGAACAAAATGAAAATCCAATGTTGAATAACATCTCAGTGGTCATTTTAGGTCTACCATCATTAGTTAATGCTGGGAGGACACTGGAATTGATTCGATTAACTTAAAATATACACAGAAGTATTATTATGCTACATTCAAGAGGTTTTTCTGTCTTGTAGAATCCAGTATCACCTAAAAAATGAGCAGGTGTCTCATAAAAGAAGAACAGATGAGATTTTTAAAAAGTTTGCATTTTTGTTCAAAAATGAAGCAAAGTCTTCCTCGAATATTTTCAGAGGCTCTACTACCTTGGGCATATTGATAGAACTTAGGACTGGTTTCAGCAATGGCGATTTCCAGAAAATAAATGTAACAATACTAATGACAGGACCCTTTTAGGTTCCCCATATTTAGTAATATATAATGATAACGGAGCAATCATTGTAACTCATTGTGTGTCAAGATTGGTATCTACCATTTAAATGTACAGAAATAGTTAAACTCTGAGAAAACAGCCTTGGTATTGAGAGACAGTCATGTCAAGAAGAAGTGGAGCTGAATGGAAGGGTAAAATGATGAATTCAGTTTGAGATAACGGGAATGCCAGTTAAAATGATAGGAAATAGTGTCCTATACAGATAGTATATGTCTCATTGGTAAGGAAACTAGTTATGAAACATATATAAACAAATGAATTTATAATATCATTTATATTTCTTGGCCATATGACTATTTTTTAAACCTGTGTTATAAGAGAGAATTAGATATACATACTAGCGGCAACATAATGTTCAATAAAAAGGTATTTTACATGTATAATTGAGTTCTTAAACGTATGTATGGAGCCACTTTTTAAACATGAATGGGAGGCTAGAGCAAAGCTGCAAATAAGAAACAGCTTTGGCTGGGATTACCGTGATTATTAAAGCTGTAGGCACTTGACTAGCTTAAAAAATCTCCTCTTTGGTAATGGTTGTGATGTTTTCTTGGAAAGTATTCACAGTTTAATTCTTACAACTTGTCTCATTTTCTGAAAAATTTTAGGAACTAAGAAGCCAAATGCTAAATAAACCATAGCTAGTAATGAAAAGCATTATTTCTTTCTTTAAAACGTGTGCCTGGTACTTACGTTCTTTTAGGCCAAACTACTTTTATTATTTTCCACGAAGGTATGCCAAGCCATCCTCAAACTAGCCTCTCAATGACTTCCAAACTGCTTCAGTTTGTATGCACACATTATACTCCCATCCATACACAGACGCACTCATGAAGTCAGTGCCACAGGTTTAGTTCCAAACACAATAAAGATTGCACAGTACTTGGCAGTATCTTAAAGGACATGTTCCACTCTGTTTTCTATATACTCGAGGATAATCATCCAAATTTTAATAATATATTAATTTTATCATTTCTTAGACTCGATTTATTAAAACCTTAGTAAGAGCCAGCTTCCAAGATTCATGGCTGTTTATTTCAGTAACAAAGTAATGACATGAAGTCTTAAGAACTCTTTCAAGGTGGAACGAATACCAAGTCCTCATATGCCCTATTCACAGTAGAGAGCATGAAAGGCACTTTGTGTTGACATACATTGTCTCACTCCTCTGTTCATGCTTTAACTGTTAGAAACCAAGAAACAACGCTTCAACTTTAATGTTTAGACTCTCCTTTAGTGGGAATTTATGAAACAGAAATGAATAACTGTATTCCTATGAGATGCTATTAATCGGGGCGATCACTCAGTTGGCACATTTTTGTTTCTTTCAGGTTATACAAATTGAGAACCTTCTAATATTATTTGATTATGCGACCTCTCTAGAGATCAATCACTATTATTACCCAAACCTTTTGTTATTCTGATACACAAGGTCGATTATTAAAATATCCCATTTCATTTATGAGGAAAAAAAGTCACAGCCTTTGCCGCTCAAAACAAAACTAGTTGATGTTGCATCACAAACACATCTGGGAAAGCAGTTAAGTTGCCAGGTTTTGAATTATCAAAGGGATGATGTAAAAACAAATTCATTGAATAACACAGAATTTCCAAACTCAGCTAATGGACAAGATGATTCATTGTTCCAATGTGGCAAGACTAAATAGAAAGCCAACAACTGGGAAAGGACAAAAATGCAGAGACTGGAAACTTTCAAACTTGGGCATGGAAAGCAAGCAATTTGCTGTAATCAGAATGTAATAAGTAGCATTAATTTATAGGAAGATGTCTTTTAGAGAACCAAATTAGCCTAATCAATTTAGAAACTTATTAATGGCCCTGACAATTTTCCTTAAGGACCACATCAAGGTACAAAACTGTTAAAGTCACTTCAGCATTCGCATAAAAGTAGGTTATCTTCACATCAAATCTGACTGTGGTTATGAAGCCTATCTTGGAGTACATTTTGAAGCAGTTTTCAAATTAAAGTTTCATTAGTGCTCCCTTAATACTGTCATTTATTGATTGTTCTCATCTCCATTCCATTCATGTACTATCATTTTCCTCCAGTGAATCATTCCAATGTATGATAGACTTAGCAGAAACTATTTCTCTGTATATGTGGAAAGAGGAGGAAACTATTCAGGGCAGCAGAGAGACCAGGCTTTGAGTCAAAAATAGTTCACTATTTAATGTTGCCACCCACAAATTACTTGATCTCGGAAATCACTTGACCTTTCTTAGTTTTGCTTCCTTATCTAAAAAAAGAAAGTAAGGCCTACCCACCTAATTTGTGGGAAGAAACAATAATTCCAACAGTAACTTTTGTGTTCTGTGAAATACTATTTCAACATAAGTTTTTAGTATATGAACTAGCAGGAAAAATAAAAACATTTTGCTCTAAATAGACATAGAAATGTAAATCCCATCATTTCTAATGGCAGACGTTTGTTATTATTAGTTATAATTATATTATTAATATATTAATATGGATGTATGCTATTTGGTTTTTTCAAATCCTTTATGCCTGCTAAAACTTCTGAATTATGGAAACTTTTACTTTTGTTAAGGGCAACTTTTTAAGAAAGGAATTCTTTTTCCTGGCTTTTTTTGTAGTGGTTCTTCAATTCTTAAGAATTTAAATTAAGAACACATGTTCTAATTTATGATCTGAAAAGAGAAAACTCTAAGTATCATCTCTTCAGATTAACTTGCATTGATTTTTTTTTATTTATGAAGAATCAACGTGGAATATATTGGTTTAGACAAATTTCTGAATAATTAAAAATTATGCCACTAATAAAAAATTGTTACAGATCCAACTGTTCACCAAATTCCGTAGGAACTGAAAAACTGTATATTGAAAGCAATTTTCTAAGGTCAAACTCTTCTTTATGAGGTCCTCAAATACTTTTTTAACTCAATCTACTAGAAGCTGTCAATTAACCAGTAATTGAGATGTGTCTACTTTATTTGGGAGAGAACAAATGGAAAGGCATATCAAAATCATATCTTACAGAACATAGGTTTGAGTACTTCTTATCGTTCCGACTCTTAAGGAAATTTATCTTTATCATGAGCATCTCAATGCCTAGCTTTTTAAACTTTTTAAAAGTATAATTCAAATAGAGTACTGCATAGATCATATTTATAAAACTCAATGAATTTTTACAAGGGAACACTCCTAGATGACAGAATATTATGCTGTTTTTAAGGCAAATTGCAGAATATGTTTAGACTCTGACAGCTATTCAACTCAATTTTCTACAACCCCTATGTCTACCAGGCAGCAGAATTTAATTATTTGTTTCACAAATGTTTGGGGGCCCCTACTTTGTTCAAGGCACTGACAGGCATTGCAAGAGGCAGAAAGAGTAATAAAACAAAATCTCTACTGTCACAGAACTCACTGTCGAGATTACTGATGTTCTACGAGATCAGCAAAGAACTGAATTATCCAGGGAAGTCCAACTTAGTTCGCTGTGCCCTACTTATTACTTCTTAATAAGTTCCTCTTCGGAGAACCCAAGAAATTGATATTTTCCAGGCAAGAGAGTGTATCTCTGAGATGGCAGCAGAGGGCAAGGTCTACCACTGCCTGGACCTTGCCCACTACTGCCACCTTAGAGGTACTCTTTCTTTCCTGGAAGGAATCAATTTTCTCAGATTCCCCAAAGAGTCAAGCAGACCCCAGCTTCTAAACCATCACAAAGTCTATGAGCACTCAGAATTTGTCAGAATACGTGAGCTCAAGCTCACTGACCCGCACCCACTGTCAAAAGCATCATTAAAAGGGGAAAAATGGATAGGGCATTGTCTAAGAGGTATGTGGCCCCCTCATCATTCTAGAAATTAAAATGTTTGAAGCTGGACAAGGAGGCATCCAATAACTAAACTTCTTTATATTCTGTAAGTAAGATTCCTGTTCAAATCTTTGCTACATTAACAAGGATGTTGTTCACAGGGCCATTCAATTCCTTCTTTATGAAGACTCATGAGAAACATTTTTTTCAGATTCAGTACCAAGAATGGTTTTTTATCTGGAAAAATAGTATTCTGATTATATCTGCTTCTTTGGGTCTAATGGCTGTTTAAAAACTTATGGTTAAATTGGTGGACCAAGTCTGGTGAGTGTGTATTCTTACAGAACATAGGTTTGAGTACTTCTTTACTTATCTTTTCTACTCTTAAGGAAATTTCTCTTTACCATGAGTGTCTCAATGCTTCACTTTTTAAACTTTTTAAAAGTATAATTCAAATACAGAGTACTGCATAGATCACATTTATACAACTCAATTAATTTTTACAAGTCAACACTCCTAGGTAACCAACACCCCAAAGCATGAAGCAGGACATTTTGGCATCTTACCTTCTCCCTCAACATTAGCCACAATGTGCTTATGAGTTAGCTTTGCTTAATATTCAACTTTACTTAAATGAATCATCCTTTATGGGGTTTCTACCTCTTGATGCTCAACATTATGTTTGTGATAGTATTCACATTCTAGTCTGTAATTATAGTTATTTCATAATCATTCTAGGCTCTTATTTTTTTGGAATTTGATTTAGTGATCCTTTACATACTTTTTAAAGTCATCTTAAACCCATTATTTTAAACAAAGGTTTAGAATAAGCAATGAGTTTTGGGATATGACATCAAAGGCACTTGCAACAATGACAAAAAATAGACAAATAGGACTTTATGAAAATTTTAAAATTTTGTGCAAAAAGGCCATATCAACAAAGTAAAAGATAACCACAGACTGGGAGAAAATATTTACAAATCATATATCAGATTAAGGATTAATATCTAGAATATACATGGAACTCCTAAAATGCAACAACAAAGCAACCTGATTAAAAATGGGCAAAGGACTTGACTAAATATTGCTTTAAAGGAGACATACAAATGGCTAACGAGCACATGAAAAGAGACTCAACATCCCTAATCATTAGGAAAATATAAATCAAAACTACAATTAGATACCACTTCACCCCCATTAGGATAGCTACTATAAAAAAAATAGAAAATATGCATTGGTGAAGATGTGGAAAAATTAGAAAACTTGTATGCTTTTGGTGGAAATATAAAATGTACAGCCACTGTGGAAACAGTATGGCAGTTCCTCTAAGTATTAGAAGTATTATGTCATCTAGCAATTCTGCTTCTGAATATATTCCAAAAGGATTGAAAGTAGAGTCTTAAGGGATATCTGTGCACTCATGTTTACAGCAACATTAAACCGAAGCAGCCTTATACAACAGCTAAACAAAAGCAATCTAAGTGTCTATGGACAGTTGACAAGAAATGCAAAATGTCATATACACACACAGTGGAATATCATCTAGCCTTAAAAAGGAAGGAAATTCTGACACATGTTACAACATGGATGAAATCAAGTTATGTGAAATAAGCCAATTACAAAAAGACAAATACTGTATGATTCCACTTACATGAGGTACTTAAAGTAATCAAAATCAATCATAGAGACAGAAAATAGCATGGTGGTTGCCAGGGGCTGTGGGCAGGGAAGAATGGGGAACAACTGTTTAATGGATATAGAGTTTCAGTTTTGCAAGATGAAAAGAGTTCTAGAGATGGATGATGGTGATGTTTGCACAACAATATGAATGTACACTGAGCGGTGCACTTAAAATGATTAAGATGATACATTTCATATTATATATATTTATGACAAAAATAAACAAGATAAAGTATGAATAAGTAAACATTGTCTATTCACTGAGGGCGAAATATCAACTAATATCTAAGAAAAAAAATTGAAAAACAAAAAAGAATTCTAAAAAATGGTTCTTACCTTTCTGGTTAAACCCAAGCCCAACTAACCAGAACATCTCATTAGCTGATATTTCTATGTAATTACATTATGTGGTCAGTCGACGAGATGTTTATCTTTCTAAAAAAAATTTTTTTTTGTTTGCAAACAAACTTTATTTTAGTTCAATCTTTCACAAACATACTGTACAGAGTCTTCTATGGTATGAAACAAAGGAAAACATCTCTGTCTGTTCAATTTAACACACCACCAAAATAAAGCAATTAAGACTTTGGGGAATTCAAAGGTACAAGAAAACAAGAATGGTTATTACTAATTCCTCAGCTTTTTACCATAAACACTTGTCATTTAACATAGTGTTTGATATAGTTTCTTTTGTACTGCAAGTACTTTTGGTCTTTCCTCCCTGTAGAACAAATGAAGACTTAAAATGAACCCCATAGCATCCTCTGAAAGAGGTGAAAAGATAAAGCCCCTAGACATAGCATTCACTTCCATTAAATTTGCCAAAGGAAACTGTTAATATGTTTCTGTTGTTATTATTATTCCTGTAGGATTTATTGTACCTCACAGTATTTATTGTTTCCCAAAATAAGCATCATTAGTTGGGGATTCAGGATTTTTATTTGTGAAAATTTCAGAAACAATAGATTCTTAAAGATAAGCTAAAATTTTTTTTTAATATTTTTTAAGCTTGTCCTTATTCTTTACCTTGTTTCAGGTTATATACAGTACAATCAATCAGAGGAAGCAGAGTTCAAAATTTGGCCCTTCCTGGCTGTGTATATATTCTTTGGCATAGTTTCTTATCTCTAAAAGCAGTTTAATCATACTTCCTTGCCCCTAAAATGCTGAGGTTAAACATAAAGAGCCAACTACACCCAATACAAGTACTCAATACTAATAAGGTAGTCATTGTCTAGGGTAATGCTATTATTTATACACTGGTCTTTACACTCCATGAGGACAGGGTCTCACTTTTTCTGTCAACTTCGATATTCCCAGCACTAGCACTCTCCAGGTACACAGTAATCACTCATACAATATTTATTGAGTGCATTATGTTAGAGTGAAGAGAGCAGAAAATAATTGATTGCCCTGTACATCTTTGATTCACAATCTGATCAAAATTAAAACATATTAAAATAATGTACTTTAAAAATAAATTTCTGGTCCTTCCTGCATTTTTTACATTTTACTAATGTTGGGTCTGCTGTCTTTTCACACATCTTGCATAATATTTTTTAAAAGATGATTGTGGTAGACAAAATAATGCACATCCTCCTCCTACTCCTGTACTCCTCAGTCCTTACTGAAAATACATTAGTTCGTAATCCTTAGAACCTGTAAATGATAACCTTATTTGGAAAAAGGGTTTTTCATATGTTATTACATTAAGGATTTTTAAGTGAGATTTTCCTGGATTATAAGGGTAGGCTTTAAATGCAAATATAATTGTCCTTACAAAAGAGAAACAAAGAGAGATCAGACACTCAGAGAAGAAGGCAGTGAAGACAAAGGCCGAGATTGGAGTGATGTGGCCACAAGCCAAGGAATGGCAACAGAAGCTGGAAGAGGCCAGGAAAAGATTCTCCCTTAAAGCCTTCTAAGAGAGCAAATCTTTGCCAACATCTGGCTTTTGGCCAGTGATACTAATTTCAAACATCTGGCTCTAGAATTTTGAAAGAATATATTCTTATTGTTTTAAGCCTCCAATTTATAGCAATCTTGGTACAGTAGCCATAGAAAACTAATATATGATGATAATAAAAATGGCTAACATTTATGCCTTACTAGGTACTAGACTATTCGAAACACTTTACGTGTATCACCTTATTAAGTCTTCAATCAGTGCTCTGAGATTTATTTTCACTACTTTATAGATGAGGACACTGAGGTAAAGAGAGGTGCAATAACTTGATTAAATTCTCACCACTTTTAAAGAAAAAAAACAAGGATTCAAATCCAGCCCGTCTAGTTCTTAAACTCATACTCTTAAAATGCTACACTATGCTAAATAACTGTTTTTCTCTATGATTTTGATGTCAAGTTTTACTGTGAATAGAATATACTATGAAGTTACTGTGAATGTAGAATTTATAGCCACCTGATAACTCGGTCCAGTACATGGAACCTTTGTTCTTTACATTCCAGGTGATCTGGATGGCTTTAGGAAACTGAGACACCTAACTTCTGGAAGTTGTACTTAACTAAATACAATTTTAAAATCTAGATTTTTTTTTTCAGAATGCCTTCTGGAGTTTCCTGTGTTATTCTTTTGTTTAAGGAGCACCTGAAAGAAAAGATACATTTCATTCTTTTTTTCTTTCATTTCAGTTGAGGATAGATGGAGACTGTTGGAGAAGCAAAGGAAAAAGAAGTCTCTAATAATCTCTTCTATTATACAAATTGCGGAGAATAACTCTTCAGTAATAAAATCAGAACATATAAGATAACAAAAAAAGTTAACAGGGAACATCTGGCCTCATGTTATGAGAGACTCTCAGGAAAATCCTCAAATGTAACTTCCTAACACTGTGGCATAATAACGCATTTTATTCTCATGGGGACAAATAGGTCTAATGACGAATCAAGGCGCATCAAGATCAGTACTGTTTCCTGAAAGATGGGCTACATAACTTGCAAGGAAGGAAAATGAAAATTCTCTTACTGAAAACTTCTCACTGAAAAGACCTGTTTTGAAATGCTACATGCTGGCTTGTTTTGGTAGATATATTTCCATAAAGAGAACTGTCCCTATGTGTTGCAAATAAGGCAAAAAATTAAACACATGTTAGGATGACATTATAGGTAAATAAATAAAGTAACTAAGCGATCTAAAGGTCTCTATCCTATTCTAAAACTGTGTTCTAGTATACTCTACTGGTTTATCAGGAGGTTAGGAATAAGATACTCTTTGAGACATATCCCAATCTAGGCACACTACTAGAAGTAGTACAGAATTATCTGAATATGATTGAAACCACATTTATAATAGGATAAAGGCCTTGTAAAATAATTTGATTCATCTCTGCCCCTGGGTGTCCTTCAACTTCCTCTAATTGCAAATTTTTTATGTTAATCATGAGTTATTCCAAAATGGGAAGTGTCTTAATCAGTATGGACTGCTACAACAAAATACTATGAACTAGGTAGCTAAACAACAAACATTTGTTTATCACAGTTCTGGAGGCTGTGAAGACCAGGATCTTGGTGCCAGCAGATTCAATGACTGCGGTGGGCCCTCTTCCTGGTCTGCAGATGGCTATCTTCTTGCTGCATCTTCACATGACAAAGAAAGGGTCCTCATCTCTTCCTCATCTTATAAGAGCACTAATCCCATTACAGGGGCTCTACCCTTATAACCTCATCTAACCCGAATCATTTCTCAAAGGCTTCACCTCAAATACTATCCCATTAAGGGCTAGGGCTCCACAATATCAGTTTGGGGGAGATATAAACATTCAATCCATAGCAGGAAGACATCACTAGCTTTACCAGGCTCTAAAAAAGTAGAAGTAAATACATTTTTAATTGACTAGAATGTTTTAAATGATCTCCCGTGTGTCATCTACTTGTTCAAAATATAAATTACACTGGCAGTTTTTGGGTGTGTAATCTACAGAAGTTGATCTCAGCTTCCTAAGTGGCAATTTAAGCACTTGCTTGATTTTCAACTCACCAGCTTTATTTTATTCAATTTCTCACTTTAGAGTCCTTGTCAGAAAACTAAGAAGTACCATCTACCTTGAGTTCCAAGCTCTTGAAACATTCAAAATTACAGATCCTTTTCCAATATTAGTTTCTTCAATCTGGGATGTCAGTGTGACTCATGTTTATGGAGCTTAAATTACCTTTCAGAGATCTGGTTGTTCAAATCACCAAATAATATCAAATAAAATATTAGTCCTATTGTTTGAATATGAAACAAACATTTTTAAAACAGTAGAAAATACATACATGTGATTATAAGGCTAACCATTTACAAGACTCCCATTGTCATGAAACATTTTGCAGTTTGACGATTCAAGTTCATAATTAGTTTCATTATTTTAATACTCTTCTAAGGTTAAATATGTTAGCTACTATAAAAACCTCCTTAACTACTGCCAAAAAATAAAACAACTCTCTAGGCAAGTTATTATGAGACATGTAGATTTATTGGAAACAGTAAGATATCATGCAAATACAATGAAACATAGTAAATTATCGTTAATTTCCCCAAGATTTTCTATTTTCCAAAGCTGCTCCCAAATTTGGAATATTAATAGCATTAGCATCCCAATGGGTTTATACAAATTTTATTTGATAATTCCATTCATGTATGGATAAATGAGATCTGTGACTTAAAATATATCATCACTCTCAAAATAAAGTATAATTACAGCTAGTGAAGAAACATGACAAAGTTATCTTACTTGTTCTTACTCCTACTTTTAAAACCTCAAAATCTTTATAGACAGTACTAACATTACTTAGCTGAAGAACTCATAAGTACTGAATTTATGAAGTTGGAGATTATAAGAAAATAATGGATACTGTATACTCAGCTACCTGCATACACTTAGCAATGAGAAATGCAACATTTTAATTAAATTACAAAAAAACTAAGTTAGATGTGACTCATCTAATCTTCGTTACTATAGATGAAACACTGTTTTCTTGAATTGCAAACATTTTCATTATTGAACTTTTGATGCACCTGGTAAATAGCAAGTCACAGCAGGGGTAGTAATTGTTTTGAAAATACTGTTTAAAATAAAAGGGAAATTTTAAAACAAGCTGCTTGTACCTCTTAATGGAAATTTAAAATCCTGTCAGGATCTGAGCTTTAATTATAAGCTGGCTGAAATATGGAAGTGTTCATGTAGACCTCAGGATAACTCTATAGTCACACAAATATGATGTTAGCACCAGACATGTTTGATGTTATAAATCACACATTGTTAAGACAAGGGCTATAATGTAGCACTATTGATTTACAATAACAGGACTCAAAGAACGTCATTCAAGATGAACACTAAGATCTCAGTGTTCTGCCCTCTCTAAAGCTGGCAGTCCGAATTATATAAGTGCCACACAATTTTTATTTTATTTCACATCTACAAATTCTGCATTCTGTTATATTAAATACCTGAAATGGTTGGGTATGAATCAATCTATGGTATTACAATCACTGTATGAATTTTTCATGGAATTAAAACTTAGAGAGGTTTATTGCTCTCATTTTTCAAGTGAGGCTCAAAGAGGTTGTGTAGGGGTTAACAACCGACTTTGGAGTTCTGCAATCTTGGATTACAAAACACTAACTGTGGGACTTTTCCCAATTTAACATCTCTAAATCTCCTTTTCCTTGTCTACGGAATGGAGATGGTAACAACGCCACCTTCTTGGGATTGTTAGGCATTTACGTTAGCTGTAGAGTTTGGTGTTCAGTGAATGGGAAACACATTTTAGGTGTTATTATTATTAGGTAACCCCAAAGATCTCTCAGCCACATTGTCATAGAGCAAAAATAATTCAGAAGCCCCGATTTTTGCCTCAGGTCTCTTTCTCCTAACACAGACAACTTCCAGCACTTCATTTCCTTAAATCTGAGATAATACATTAACTCAAGATGTTTGCCCATTCCCCTAGTCTACATTTTAGCTCCATGAAGAGAGTGCTCAAGTTAATTTCTAAAAAACATCTGGAAAGAAATGTGAAGAAATTGCAGCAAAGCCCGGACATGCTGTGTTGCATCAATCTACATAATTTGAAATGACCCATATTTGCCTTTCATGCTTAGAGACCAGAGTAGTGTGACTGAATTACCAGCATAGGCCAACGAGTGGCACGACAACCCAGAGGGAGGAAGACCTTTCCAGTAGGTTTTAGAAAACATCGTGAACCGGAATTCAGTGGTCACCTGAAAGGCACATTTCACAGACCAGCTAGCAAACAGACTCAGCAGAACAGAGATGATTTCCCCACCATATTCCGGGAACACCGCAGAATTAGCATAGAACAGCGCCAGCTCTAGGGTCCTTAGTTACACCTACAGAATGTCAGATGTTCTCAGTCAGTTCAAGGTTCCAGAATTGAAGACACTCCAATGCCCAGAAACCACGCATCACTCGTTTGAAATCACAGACCAGCTCGGGCTAAAGCACTCATCAGCACAATCTCCAGAAACACATGAGGTGGACAAGCCTGATTGTAAGGGGGACAGATCTGGAATTGGGCATTTCACACAGGGTGACACCATTTTGGAGGCTGCAGGTGTCCTCTGACCCAAATTCATACACACAATAAAACATCTCCCAAAATGCAAGAGGTCAAAAGGTACACAACTCTGTGCTCTCTTCTAATTTGCTCCTCCAGGTACTCAATGGAAGCGTAAAAAGAGGCACTAGCTGGCCAAGAAGACAATCAGATTCAGGAGCCCTGGCTTACACTCAGCCTCCCAACCCCACCCTAAATGTCAAAGTGATTTCCTTGGAGGGACGCTTCATATAACTCAAGAGCTTCTCATCCTGCCCTCAAAACGCGTGTATCTCAGGTTTTTTTAAGTATTTGTTTTAAAAAGAAGAAGAAGAAGAAGGAAATGAAAAGGAAGCAGGAAGCTGTCCCGCTGTGTTTCTTTATCCCAACAACTTCGCCAGGTTTCCCCCGAGGAGGGAGCACGCCTCGCACACACCCAATGAAAGACAGACAGCAGGACGTCCTTACCGGGTGGCCCAGCCCTCGACTCTGGACAGAACCAGGCTGACCTCGCCCCCCCGCCTCGGCCTCCCCTGCCCCTTGGTTCTCGGCAATGAGCTGTGACCTGAGACCCTCCAGCTCCGCGCTCTTCACTCTGGCCCCGCAACCTCACATCTCTTCTCCTTGGCACCGAGAAGAGGCTGGGGTGTGTGGACCGATAGTGCGGGATACCGAAAAGGTGGTCCAAGGTCTGGGCGGTGCGAACGCCCATTCCGCGCCCCCCATGCGAGCCCCAGCCCCTCGCGCCTGGTATCCCGCAGGGGCGCAACCCTAGCTCCTTGCCCGGCGCCCCAACGAACTCCGCCACCTGAACCGAGACACCTCTTTTTGCACTCAACTTACCGCGGCTGGGCTGAGCTTTCGGCGCCCCCAGGAGCTTTTCTCTCCTTCCTCCCACCGAGCTCTTCATTCTCCTGCTGGCGGCCGCCCGGCGCCCTGGCCCTGGCATCCGGGAGGAGCAGCCGCCGGGGCTGGCTGTCCCGGGAGACGCACGGCTGCCCGCCTGCAGCTTCAACGGCGGTGGTCGCCGCGAGCCGTGAGCGGCGGCCAAGGAGAACGGTCTCCGTTGCGCAGCGCGTGCTGTCCCTCCGGCACGGGCTGGAGGTGGCAGTCAGCGCGCCTCTGCCTCCGCCGCGCTCGCGGCGCTCCGCACGAGTCCCGAGCCGGCGTCAGCCCAGGTGCACCAGGCTGGGGAGAGGTGCGAGCCCGCGCGAAGGGAGGGGCCCGCGGCCTGAGGGTGCCGGGAGAGAGCGAGACTGATGACCACGAAAAAAGAAACCTGGAGACTAGAGGCGAGGAACTAGCTTTAATGGAGTGAGTGGGTCGTGGGTGTTAAGTGGAAACACGAGGAGGCGAAATGCATCTAGAAACTACAGATATCGGAAATGAGCTTGAGTGAGCTGCTTTTTGAGTGAGGCTCGAAAAGGGGGCTGTCATTTTGTGCTTACCTCCTTTATCCTCCTGGTTTGGGTGCAGTACCAGACAACAACTTCCCCCACACTCTCAACTCTCATATTTAACTATAAATAACGCTAACCTCAACAATCTTGGACAGCAGACGCAACGAAATCTGGTGAAGCTACTGCAAGAATACAGGGGAGTCCCACATCCACAAATCCCACATGCCCATCCCTCTGGAAGGACCCATATCCTACTGAGATTTCTCTCCTCTTACCTGTCTGTCTCCTCTCTCTCTCACAAGCACACGCACTCACACACTACGGTACCCTAGGGATGAAATCACACGCACGCACACACTACAGTACCCTAGGGATGAAATACCTTTTGTTGCTCTGTTCTAGGACTTAAAGTGGGTGTTTCTCAAACTTTACTTTGCACAGGAATAACCTTGGGATTTTATTACAGTTCTGATTCTGATCCAGTAGATCTGGAGTGGGGCCTGATATTCTGTATTTTTAATGGTGTGGCAGAGGCTGCTGATTCAAGAACCATATTTTGAGTTACGACACACAAATGAACAAACCTGCTTTCTAATATCGGCTGAGCCATTATTTGTAAGATAGTCTGAAATAACAAAACAAGCCCCGTTTTCATGGGGTTTCAGGATGCTGTGGAGGCCAAATAACTAATGAACACAGTGCCAAAGGATAAAATACCCTACAGGCAAGCTTCTCATTATTGTTATTAATAATTACTCCTGATAAAATCATTACGAATACTAATGCTGATGACAGGGTAGAGAGATTTTGGTAATTTACCATTCTACATTTTCTCAAGAGAAGCTCTGAAAAACAATCCACAGTGACCACCCCACAAACACACCCTGATTTAGAAAGAAAATGTAAGTAATATCCTCTAAGGGGCAGTCTGTTCCTCCCAGGAGGCCATCGTTGAATTTTCCAGACACGCAGCGCTATTCAAGTGTGTATTAAAAAGTAGCCAAATCACTTATTAACCCACAGATAAGAAGAGCAAATGCCAAGAACAAAAAAATAAAGACAGAAATATAGTCAATGCACCAAAAGATCTGTTGTGATTTGAATTAGCATGACTGATAAGTTAGTTTGACCCTTTCTCTTTTTCCATGCTTTCATCTGAATGTAAACACCCATCCTTCTATTTCAATTCAAGAAGTACTTACTAAGCCTAATTTACCATGGTAAAGGCCTTTCTTGGGAGTGAAAAAAAACTCGTCCTGCCCCTGCTTTAAAGGAGAAATTGGACAACATACCAATAAGTGCCGTATTAGGCAGACTATGGTGCCAGAAGAGAACACCAAACACATTAGCAAAGTTCAAAAGGCAGTGAAGTCTGGAGATACTTCATTGAAGGGAGGTCATTTGACAGAAGTCTTAAGATATGATTTTCTCTGACAGAGATAAAAAGGAAGGGAGTAGTCTATAGTCTACCCTTCTACCCAGAGCATACAGTACATGGAGGAAGGTAGAAGAAATGATTTGGAAGATGTCAAGTGGGGCTCTAATTGCTAGCCTGGGCAATTTGTACTTCACTCCAGAAATGCTGAGCAGGGGACCTCCATGACCAGGAATGTACCAAAAAGATTAATCTGATATAACAGGTTCATAAGATGATCTAGAACCAGAAAATAGTAGAGCTGTAGAAAGCATTTAGGAGGCCGTGGAAGCACTAGGTAAAAGATCATGAAGGTAAGAACAGTGATAGCAGCTGTGGAGAATGAAATATAAGGATGTTTAAAAAGAGACATTGCTGAGATGTAACTAACAACGTGCAGCAATTACGTGAAGAGGCATTTATTAAAGATATCTCTAACTTTCTGTCCCTGGAGAACTAGAAAAATAGTGACACTTTTAGGAGTTGAGAACCCAAGAAGGGAATTTACAGTTGTTCAGTTTTATTTTAATGTTTGTTTAGGAAAGGTTGTGAGATAATGAGTTCTCTTTAGGCAGCTGTAGTCAAAGGTCTGCGGGAGATGTTCAGGTGGAGATCCTTATACATCTAGAAATTCAAGCTTTGCTCTATGGAAATGGTTCTGCATTAGAGCCTGTATTAGCTCTTGTGTTTTAGAGCTCTGGACATGTGTATGGAGTTCAACTGTTGGGAGAATGTGAGGTTTATGAGGTAGAATATAGGAAGCAACAAAAGTACTCAGGACAAAAGCTTAGAGCTATATGACCTCCTTGTTTCTCAATATTCTCATCTGTAAAATGTGAAAAATAGTACCCTCCACATAAAGTCATTATAAGGATGAAAAATAATGTACTGATTTTTCATTGCAATTTATATTTTCTACACTAACCTGCTCAGTCTGAGAGGGCAGGGACCATGCGTATCCTCTTAACTGTTACAGCCCCAGCACCTGACTGAGTGCTTGGCAGATAATAGGCTCTAAAAATGTTCGTGAATATTTTAATAATTAATAAGTTAATTATTAGATTAAAAGAAGAAGGGACACCAAAGAACTACCAAAAAGACGGGCGAAGATACAGTCATGGGTTCTATTATTTCAATGTCATGGAAACTAAGTTAGGGAAAATTTTGCTCTAGAGATGGTCAGGTGAGCACAGAGAGATTAAAGAGAAAACATGAATACACATTGAGAAAATGCCTGTTGTTCAAACCTGAGTGACATATTTATCTTCAGTTTCTCTAATATGCTAATTTTTTCTTGTCTCAAGCTCTTTGCATATACTTTCTCCCTTGAATGGGCTGAACGTCTTTGGAATCCTTCTTATTTTTTATTTTATTTTATTTTTTTGAGACGGAGTCTCGCTCTGTCGCCCAGGCCGGACTGCGGACTGCGGTGGCGCAATCTCGGCTCACTGCAAGCTCCGCTTCCCGGGTTCACGCCATTCTCCTGCCTCAGCCTCCCGAGTAGCTGGGACTACAGGCGCCCGCCACCGCGCCCGGCTAATTTTTTGTATTTTTAGTAGAGACGGGGTTTCACCTTGTTAACCAGGATGGTCTCGATCTCCTGACCTCATGATCCACCCGCCTCGGCCTCCCCAAGTGCTGGGATTACAGGCGTGAGCCACCGCACCCGGCCCTGGAAAAGTTTTTTAAAAAGTTAATAAACGTAGTTAGCCCATACTCCTTTTTTCTTAGATTGGGTTATTCAGGAAACAGACTCTGTAGACATGGAAATTAGTGTGCAGGATTATTTGCTGGGGAGAGCCATTGAGGTCAAGGCATGTGAGAATAGAGCATGTGGGAATGGGTAAAGCTACAATACAGTTTCAACACTGGCCTTCTGTCAATCTCACAGGAGTTCTGGGCTGCATTGGCCCTTTAGAGTTATCCTGAGCTGATGACAGGGAACCAGGTCTTTGTACCATTGCAACAACCAGTCTTTTCTAATAATCAGAATTACGTTCACATAGAAGCCTGAAGAACTAACCTGAATGAGAATTTGAATATTTTATTATTACTATTTTATAGCAAACAGAAGATGACTACATTGAATGCAGCAATTGTTTTAATAAGCATTATTATTTGCAAGGCACTGTAATGGGTACTTTGGGGGAACACAAATGTACTTAAAATCATATGTTTGATATCATGAAACTTAAGAAGTAAATGATGTATACAGAAGTAAATTATCTGTAAAAGGAGGATAATAATAGTATCTACCTCATAAGGTGAATATGAAGATTAAAAGGTCTTCACTAAGTTAAATATAAAAGTATTTGCTTTTTTGCCCTAGCTATAATAGGTGGCACTGAAAGATTTTGTGAAAAAAAAATAAAAGAGGAAAAACAAGTTGCAAGAAGCTCAGGGTAAGAAGTTTTCACTTTATCAGAGAAAGCCTAATGAAGAGAAGGGATTAGGTTGAGTCTTAAAGAATGCTTTGGACTTTGAAAGGCAAAAATGATGGTGAAGACAATATGGCATTCCAGGGAAAACAAACAGAATGAACAAAACATGTAGGGATTGAAGGCTTAAAAATGTTTTGAGAACAAGCAAAGGTACCAGTGTTTCAGGGATATAGGTGGAAGATTTGGAATACTGCTGAAGATTTTCATTTTTGGGTTTGTTTTTATGGTTTTATTGAGAAGAAAATGAAGAATAACAATTTGAGCTAATTTAAAGTATGAACAAAATAGTGTTTTATGAAAATTAATCTCTGCACAATTGGAAAAAAATTGGGAGCAAAAAAAAAATATGTTTCTTGTTCCCGCCTGACTCTAACCTTTCTTTCTGGTGATGTTCTAAGCCAATGATTACCAATCAACAGCAGCAGCATCACCTGGGGACTTATTAGAAATACAGATTCTCTGGCTCAATCCCTGATCTAC
Organism: Homo sapiens; assembly: GCF_000001405.40. Classification (NCBI taxonomy): domain Eukaryota; kingdom Metazoa; phylum Chordata; class Mammalia; order Primates; family Hominidae; genus Homo; species Homo sapiens. Next base: position 22,377,342 of record NC_000003.12, read on the forward strand.
TGAAGCAGACAATCTGGGTGTGGATTTCAGCAGTCATGTTTTAACAAGACCTTCAGGTATTTATATATATGCTCAAGTTTGAAAATCATTTCTGTAGTGTTTCTCTAACATAATTTTTTTTCCTGGAGCAAATATCCTTCTGGAATATCCTGAGGCAACCCACTTCTCTCTGTAACTCTCTTGAGGATATGATTCCTTTACAATATCTTTCCAGACTGTCTCTGACCAAATGACTCAGCAGTGAACCATGCTATGCTCTTCTATGGGTCAGGTTGGTTTTGAAGCATTACTCCATATAAATCTTTAATACAACATTCCTTCTGTTTGTTTTGGATGAGAGATGCCAGAACACCACTGTGTCTATTCTACTGCAATTAAGATACCAGGAAAAATCCTCACAGAACTTCACAGGGCATCAGAAAGGGCCATTGATTAGTATACTTTTCCATGACACAAAAAAACAAACAAACAAACAAAAAAACACTAAAATGTCCCTTCCCATTATTAGTCAAACTCTGGAGTAACTAATGGAAGTATACATAAAAATATTTCAAAATAATTAGAGTTTGGATACTGAGGAGGGGACTATGATCAATAGAAAATGGTTTTTAAGTATATGCTAAATAAGAAAGATCAATGTAATGGCCAAATGTAGAACTTATTTGTGACTCTGGGGATTCTGGATATTTTTTGATCAACGGATGGGAAGCTGACAGGAGAAGAATAAAATGACAAGGAAGTGAATTTAGCACTCAGTGTATCCAGCCCAGATGGGGGTAAAGACTTGAAATACACAAAGCAATCCTATGGAGTACTGTGGCTGCAATAAACTCAGCACATTTTGCAGACACCAAAAGAAAAAAAATCACACACAGATACAATGTGTTACATATATCGGATTGGTCCACAAGTAATTGTGTTTTTTTGAAATTACCTTCAATGGCGAAAACCACAATTACTTGTGTACCAACCTAATACAATTCATTTATGCTTCAAAATAGTTTCATTTTATTACCCAAACAGGAATCTTTCCCAAAATAATGTATCAGTTGCTGTGTAGTTATACAAGTTAGCAGAGAGTGAGGTTTGTAATATGTGTATGTGTGTGTGTGTGTGTGTGTGTGTGTGTGTGTAAATTATATACATTTCAGTTTGCCCAGGTATCTATCTTTACAGGGATATTTATGAAACTTTGCTCTTTTCCTGGATGTCTAGAAGCATGAATTCAGTAACCCACAAATGTTACGTCACCTCAAACTCTGTGTGTCTCCTTCAGCAATATCCCCCATTGACTCCTCTTTTAGCGATTTTCCCATTCTATCAGGTTGAGTATCACTAAGCCATCTTTACTCACTTTCTGTCTTAAATTTCAGCCAAGTTGATTTCCTGTGCTCAGCAGGACTTAGACTCATTTCTACTTCATATTTAGAATGCCAGGATTTAGATTCGGGATCCCATTTGGATTAATTGCCAATATTAATGTATAAGCTTTACTGACTGAAATCTAAGGCTGAAATCTTGATCTTCTTCTAAATGGAGTAGATCAATGCCAGAGAAATCTGCCCAAATCATGCATTTTGCCAAGTTACTCCCAGTCCTTCACATCCCATGCCTTACCATTGCCTTTACAATATAGTTTAAACTACAACACAGCATCTGAAATCCCATTTCCTCATTATAACCTGCCACTCCTATCCTTTCACTGTGACTTCTTTTTAGCCCAATGATCCCCCTGCTGTGACTGGGACATCTGTTGCCTAGAAAGTTTAGTCCTCTTTTTCCACCTAGTGAAATTCAGCCCATCTTTAATAACCAGGTTGAAAACATCAGGCAAGTAAGTAGAAAGGAAGAGGAAAGACAAAGGAAGAAAGGAAAGAAGGGAGGGAGGGAGGAAGGAAGGAAAGAAGGGAGGGAGGGAGGGAGGAAGGAAGGAAGGGAGAGAGGGAGGGAGGAAGGAAGGAAAGAAGGGAGGGAGGGAGGGAGGAAGGAAGGAAGGGAGAGAGGGAGGGAGGAAGGAAGGAAGGAAGGAGGGGGGGAGGAAGAAAGAGAGGAGGAAGGAAGGAGGGAATGAAAGAAGTAGGAAGGAAGGAAGGAAAGAAGGAAGGAAGGAGGAGGGAGAGATAAAGGAAGAGAGGGAGAGAAGGACAAAAGGAGGGGAGAGGGAAGAAGGAAGGTAGAAAGGGAAAGAAGGAGAGAAGGAAGAGGAGAAGGAGGGAGAGAAATAGAAGGAAAGGAAGGCAATATGGAGAGAAATGAAGGCAAGAAAATTAATACTTATTTGGCCCCCAAGCAGCAAATGTCATCACCCCTACCTTTTTCATATGAGGAAACTAAACATCAGAAAATGAAATAAATTTTCCAAGCTCACAATTATTAATTGGCAGATAAGATATGTCATCAGATCTTTGTGCAGCAGTTTCAAACTTGAATATGCACCAGAACCACCTGGCAGGATGGTAAAAATACAAACTGCTGGACCCTGGCCCCAGAGTTTTTGATAAGTTAGTGTTGGGTTGGGGTCTGAGAATTTCCATGTTTAGCAAATTCTCAGGTGCTTTTGCTGGTGGTCCAGGGATCATAATTTGAGAACTACTGGCCTAGCAAGTGCCTCCATTGCCATCACCACTAATTGGCACATTGTAGTCACTCTACAATCATTTGCTGAATAGATACAAGTGTATAAAATCTAGTTTCTACTATATTTGGAAGCCTTTCTTCATCACCGCAGTTGGCAGTGACAGTCCTCAACTCCTGATTTCTCTAATATATATTGTCTACACCACTCAGTCTACATTTACTATTTCTGTTGTGCTATGACAGATTCCCCAAGGGCACCCTTCAGTTGAAGGTGCAAGTGATTAAGGGAAGTCTCCAGGAGAAATCAGTAGGAGAGTGGTAGAAGTAAGAAAAGAAAAAGGAGGAAGCGGAGCAAGTATGTGGGTGAAGTCCCACAGAGGGTGGCTTCAGCTTAGTCCCATTCAGCTCCAGCCCCTGGACCAGAGGGCTGGATTTTCGTATTTCCACATCCATCATTCATCATTGCTTGAGGCTTCCCAGGAGGATGTGCATTCTCAGGCACTTCTAGCTCTCTGCATAGGAGGGCAAAGTGGCTCCAGTAGCCTAAGGGCAGCTATTTAAAAATGAGCCACAGATGCTGGCTGTTAAAAGTGAAAACAATAAAACAATAAAAATGAATCTGAGAGAATGTGGGTGGACACCGACATACACACTAGGTTGCACTGGAGATTTTTTCTTATACCTTAGTCCCTAATTGGATTTTAAAATCCTGGAGACTGAAGGACGTGGTGTGTGTGTGTGTGTGTGTGTGTGTGTGTGTGTGTTTAAGTTGAAACATCTGAAATTGCCAATATTCAGCCATTTTTGAAAAACAAAACTGGCTATTGCATATTTCTCAACTTGACACATAGATCTTAACTAACCACCATTCAACAATGGGATAGATTAATCCATAGCCTTCAGTCCCCCTATCCTGTCAGATGCCCCCTTCCCTGAAAGCTCTCAGCTGGCTAAAGACTGTTTTTCATGTGCATGCAATTACTGTTCTTACCAGTTGAGTCATATATTTACTAAGATTCAGCCAATTTTGTTGTGCTTATTATTATAGTTATGCATTTTAGTTAAAAATCACATAAACTAATGAAATATGAGTGTGAAAAACAATGTTGCATCTATGAAAATTACATTTAATGCTTTTTAAATTTCCAAAATAAGAGCTACTGAAAAGCAAACCAAAAAAATCTCCTTTTGAATTAGATGCCAATAAGACAGCTGTAAAAGACTGGAAAAAAAATCATTACAATCTAGGAGGACTGTTCATGTGGAATGTCTTAATAAACATCTCTAATGTCTCATAGCAGGTTAACAAAACCCAAACTAGGAATTGTGGTATTTCAATTAAGATGTTTTAGGCTGGAAGTAACAGAAATTCTGCTTGAAATGGCTTTAAAGGAATAATGGAATTCCCATTCTTGTGAGCCAGAAGTCCTGAGGTAGAAATGCTCCGGAGTTGTTAAACACAACAGGTTAATCAAGTCATCCCATAGCATTTCCACCTGTCTGCCTGACCACTTCTAGTTTATTGGCAACAACACTTCATGAAGCCAAAATCACTGCAGCAGAATAAGGAACCCCACCCTGATAAATCAATAGTCAACAACAGAAAGGGAACTCTGGCATACTGTCTCCCACACCCCTACATTGCTTTTTAGCAGCAAAGACATCTTTCAAAGAATTTCCCCAGATTTCTTTTGTGTCTCATTGGCCAGAAACAGATCATCGCCTAACGCCATTCATTGGTAAGCCAGAGAATCACCCAATTCACTTGGGAAAGGGAAATGCACCAGTGTAAAAGAAGCTCTTGGCAGTACATTGAGCTCCATAGAGACAGCGCCGGGGCAAGTGAGAGCCGGACGGGCACTGGGCGACTCTGTGCCTCGCTGAGGAAAAATAACTAAACATGGGCAAAGGAGATCCTAAGAAGCCGAGAGGCAAAATGTCATCATATGCATTTTTTGTGCAAACTTGTCGGGAGGAGCATAAGAAGAAGCACCCAGATGCTTCAGTCAACTTCTCAGAGTTTTCTAAGAAGTGCTCAGAGAGGTGGAAGACCATGTCTGCTAAAGAGAAAGGAAAATTTGAAGATATGGCAAAGGCGGACAAGGCCCGTTATGAAAGAGAAATGAAAACCTATATCCCTCCCAAAGGGGAGACAAAAAAGAAGTTCAAGGATCCCAATGCACCCAAGAGGCTTCCTTCGGCCTTCTTCCTCTTCTGCTCTGAGTATCGCCCAAAAATCAAAGGAGAACATCCTGGCCTGTCCATTGGTGATGTTGCGAAGAAACTGGGAGAGATGTGGAATAACACTGCTGCAGATGACAAGCAGCCTTATGAAAAGAAGGCTGCGAAGCTGAAGGAAAAATACGAAAAGGATATTGCTGCATATCGAGCTAAAGGAAAGCCTGATGCAGCAAAAAAGGGAGTTGTCAAGGCTGAAAAAAGCAAGAAAAAGAAGGAAGAGGAGGAAGATGAGGAAGATGAAGAGGATGAGGAGGAGGAGGAAGATGAAGAAGATGAAGAAGAAGATGATGATGATGAATAAGTTGGTTGTAGCGCAGTTTTTTTTCTTGTCTATAAAGCATTTAACCCCCCTGTACACAATTCACTCTTTTTAAAGAAAAAAATTGAAATGTAAGGCGGTGTAAGATTTGTTTTTAAACTGTACAGTGTCTTTTTTTGTATAGTTAACACACTACCGAATGTGTCTTTAGATAGCCCTGTCCTGGTGGTATTTTCAATAGCCACTAACTTTGCCTGGTACAGTATGGGGGTTGTAAATTGGCATGGAAATTTAAAGCAGGTTCTTGTTGGTGCACAGCACAAATTAGTTATATATGGGGATGGTAGTTTTTTCATCTTCAGTTGTCTCTGATGCAGCTTATACGAAATAATTGTTGTTCTGTTAACTGAATACCACTCTGTAATTGCAAAAAAAAAAAGTTGCAGCTGTTTTGTTGACATTCTGAATGCTTCTAAGTAAATACAATTTTTTTATTAAAAAAAAAAAAGAAGCTCTTGGGAACGTAGAAGAGGGGGAGTAGCTTCTAGACAGGCAATCAATACTGTGTGCTCCAGGTAGATTAGGCATCATGGGTTTTCAAAATAAGTGATGATAAACACCCATACTGCAAGGAAGATCTTTGCCCTACATTTAGAAATTGGTGAATGAATGTACACTCATATGTATCAAGTTAAACATAAAAATGCTTCAGTTATATATTCTTTGCTTTAAATTTTACTCACCTTCTGATCCTGATCACATCAGATAAGGAATTTCCTACTATACTTACTGCTTCATTGTATTTTTAAAAGTAGACAGCACAAGGTTCCACACAGAGTATGTAGTCAATAGGTGTTAATAGCAGTGATGATTATAGATATTTGGTACAACAGGGACCCAATCAATGTTTATTGATTTACTATACATAGGGGTTAAGAGAAGATGACAAATTGAGAGTGTTGTATATGACTATTAAGTGTCTTGCCCCTATCTGGGAAATCATATCTACTGTCAAGCAAATGTCTGGCCTATTTCAAATATTAAGTACTTTCACCTTTAGAGGATCACTTCTATTAATAATTCTGAAAGCTAATGATGGCAGAAAAAAAATGCTGGCTATTTACCAAACCATCTACTTTCTCTCCTAGGAACATGGAAAAACTATTTTGACCAGCTGCCCAGCATCTAGAAAAGGCTTTATAGTTACTTGTGGCCACAAAAATGTTGACTGAAAACATTGGCCCCCAAAGTCCCCTGGGATATTTATGCAAACACCTGCTCATTCCCTCTCTGTCATCTTGTCATTTGTAGATTTAAAGCAGAGGAACACACCTCTGTTAAAATGGCTTATAGCCAAAAGATAGGCAATAACAAATGCACAAGAGGATGTGGAGAAAGGGAACTCTCATACACTGTTGGTAGGAATGTAAATTAGTACAACCACTGTGGAGATAGTTTCAAGGTCTTCAACAAAACTAAAAATTGAGCTACCATATGATCCAGCACTCCCACTGCTGGATATATGCCCAGAAGAAAGGAAATCAGTATATTAAAGAGATATCCGCACTCCTACGTTCGTTGCAGTACTGTTTACAATAGTTAAGATTTGGAAACAACCTAAGTGTCCATCAACAGTTGAATGAATAAAGAAAATGTGGTACAATAGAATACTATTCAGCCATAAAAGGAGATTCCAGTTATTTGCAAAAACATGATGGAACTGGAGATCATTATGTTAAGTGTAATAAGCCAGGCACATTAAGACAAACAACGCATGTTCTCACTGATTTGTGGGATCTAAAAATCAAAACAATTGAACTCATGAACATAGAGAGTAGAAGGATGGTTACTGGAGTCTGGGAAGGGCAGTGGGGGGATGGGAGGGAGGTGGGGATGGTTGATGGGTACAAAAAGTTGTTAGAATGAGTAAGATCTATGATTTGATAGCACAACAGATGACTGTAGTCAACAATAATTGTACATTTTTAAATAGTGTAATTGGATTGTTTATAACTCAAAGGATAAATGCTTGAGGGGATCAATACCCCATTCTCCATGATATGCTTATTTTACATTGCATGTCTATATCAAACATCTCATATACCCCATAAATATATGTACCCACAAAAATAAGCATAAAGGAGGGAACAACTGAGGACTTCAAGGACCCAGGGTCTAACAGAGCCACCACATGCCAAACATTTTGCTGAAATGTGCTCTCTTATTGTTAAGCTCTTGAGATTGCGTGGTTATTATAGCAGTTAGCAACTTACACATGTATAGAATAATAAAACAGGCACAGCTGTAGCCATAATTGTAAAGTAAGGGATACTGGTTTTTGGCACGTCTCGCCACTTGACTTTCCTGAAAATTTGCCGTTCTTCCAAGTTTTAATGTCTTTCTTTTTACACTTTACTCCAAACACCTAAAAACATTCATGTCGCTCTGCTGAGAAATGAATCCTTCTGATATTTGCAACCATGCTAAACTGTACAGAACTTCATTTGGTTGTAGTCTTCCACATTCATTTGCATTTTAAAAGTCCTACAGAAAGACTACAATGCTTACACCTAAAGAATCTATCACTAATGGTTGAATTTCAATCATCAGAAAAATAAAAAAATTACTATACAAATTACACTATATAGGTAATAGCCTATTTCACTTAGAATCCCAGTCCTGAACAGAAATTAAGTTTACATTTTGATTTTTCATGTAAAATAACATACAAAAAAAGGCAATTTTTCTATTTAAATCTCTTTCTCCGCATGGCTTTCAATTTACACTTATTTATAGTATACTAACTAAAATTCTTTAAAACTAGAAAGGTTTTATACTATTTATTGTTATAGTTCATGAATTTTAAAATGTCTAAAATTGAGAAAGATAATTAACGAAAAGTGCATATAATTTAATTGTGCAAATGAACAATATTCACTAACTGTGTAATGAACTGAGAATTTCTTTACTTACATTCAGAAACATTTATATCAACATTTTTTTTCTCTATTTTAGACTGCAAGTAATTCCAGGGCAAGAAACGTAACTTGTACTTTATTCTGTATGTGGTGCATAGTATCATCTATCTATTCCTATTATTGGAATTAATTCTTACCCTTTGAAATAGATGACAAATGTTACATATGTGGTGTGGTAGAAATGTATACCTAGCAATTAAAACATATAAAACAAAGAAACAAACAAAAAGGAGCTCATCTACTTCTCTAAAATCCAGTAGTTTCCTCCTGAGCCCCTATATTTGCTAATGGAAGGTAGAGGAAGGGAGAGTGAAGAGAAGAGTATGGAAGACTCAAATTTAAAATCAAAGCAACTTAGTTACCTCTAGTTGCAAGTAAACTCTTTTGAGTACATAAGCAGTTAACTCAAATTTCAAATTTCCTTTAATGTTGTTTTCCCTCTCAAAATATCTCCCTAATCCGTATTTCTTCCAAAATGGTACCCAACTCAAGGGGAAAGTTTTGATATTTTCATGGCACTGTGGAAGAAGTTAGTAGGTGCTGACACCCTCTGTCCTGGAGCTGATAAATAGTCTTCCCCTTCCTCTGAAGAAATGTAGTTGCATACAGGGCACATGGCTAGAATTGCAGTTTCCACTTGTCATCTAAGCTGGCCAACTTGGTGCAGTTGTACACAGCAGCTCTGAACATCTCTCACCGGTTGAATGTTGCATTTAAAAAGAGCTTCTTTGAGAGAATTTTCAAACAGCCAGTTGTCTTTCACTCTGGATGAGAGGCGATTTATGACCACAAAGCATTAAAAAAAACAAAGCTAATTATATTCCTATATTGTCCTGAAAGTAGAAGAGACAGAAGTGGCAAAAGATAATAAAAGTATTTGTCTAATGTACTTGTGCTTGAATTAGGTGTTAAAATTCCTAGAGTTGATTTTGTTATCTGTTACTTTTGGCATACTTTACATTCATCATTTAATTAATTAGACCTCAATTTTTCTACCCTCTCCTCTCCTCTCCTCTCCCCTCCCTTCCCCTCCCCTTCCCTTTCTCTCTCTATCTCTCTTTTTTAGATGAAGTCTGTCCCTGTCACTCAGGCTGGAGTGCAGTGGCGCAATCTCGGCTCACTGCAGCCTCCACCTTCCCAGTTTGAGCAATTTTTCTGCCTCAGACTCCCGAGTAGCCAGGACTGCAGGCATATGGCACCACACCTGGCTAATTTTTTTTGTATTTTTAGTAGAGATGGAGTTTCACCATGTTGGTCAGGCTGGTCTCGAACTCCTGACCTCAAATGATCTGCCGGCCTCGGCCTCCCAAAGTGGTGGGAGCCACCACATCTGGCCTGGACATCAATTTTTCTATTAAATGAGTGTGACAATATTCCTCCTCTACTTCACATTATCTTGAGTATTAAATATGCTAATATACTTGAAAGCTCTTTGGAAATCATAATTTTTGATACAGATGGAAATTGTGTCTTTGTGTATCAACTCTATGTAAACTCCCTGGAAGCAGTGTCAATATCTCACCTTTCCTTGAATCCTCGCAATGTCCTGAACATAATAAAATCTCATTAAATATGCCATGGACTGATAACTGATTTGCTAAAGTGCAACTCAGATAACTATGCTAGCTGGTATAAAAGTATAAAGGTCTGATAAAGGAGCTCTCTAGTGTGAAGAAGAGTTTTAAAAATCCCTTTTGAATATTGATAAAACACTTCAAGAGAACTATTCAAAATCATATAAAGTGAATTTTGCTTATATTAATTAAGGAAGGTCATAAACTGTAAAGAAACAACAATCAGATTAGCAATGGTTTAAAACAGTAGTTCTCAAAGTACCCTCCAATAACTACCACCACCACCACCACCACCACTACATAAGTATCAGCATCACCTGGGAATTTGTTAGAAATACAAATTCCCAATCCCCTTTCCACGTCTACAGAATCAGGAACTAGAGTAGCGACCCAGCAATCTGAGTTTTAAAAATCCCCGCACATAATTCTGATGCATGCTAAAGTTGGAGAATCACTGGTTTCAATGATATAAACAGTTACTATCTAATCTACAAAAAACATGAAGAACATTGGTTATAAATACTAGCTGAGCTGCTGAAAATGGTTAATAAGTGCTAGGCTCTCTATGATTCCAACCCTGGGGCCTTGGCTTGCTAGTGTTGCCCTCAAATTCATCATCTTAAGTGCTGTTGCTACAGCCCCGATGATCATGTTCTCACTTGAAGCTGGAAACCATCATTCTCAGCAAACTATCGCAAGGACAAAAAACCAAACACCGCATGTTCTCACTCATAGGTGGGAATTGAACAATGAGAACACATGGACACAGGAAGGGGAACATCACACACTGGGGACTGTTGTGGGGTGGGGGGAGCGGGGAGGGATAGCATTAGGAGATATACCTAATGTTAAATGACGAGTTAATGGGTGCAGCACACCAACACGGCACACGTATACATATGTAACAAACCTGCACGTTGTGCGCATGTACCCTAAAACTTAAAGTATAATAATAAACAAAAAGAAAGCCAAAAAAAAAAAAAAAAAGAGAGAGAGGAAGAAAGGAGAAGGGACAAAGCCATTTGGAACTGTCACTTTTACTGGGAAACTAGATGCTTTCCCAGAAAGTCTCCAGTCTTTGGGAGGACAAGCCGGGAGGATCACTTAAGCCCAGGTGTTTGAGACCGGCCTGGGCAACATAGTGAGACACCATCTCTATTTAAAAAGAAAGAAAGAAAAGTCTCCAGTCTGAATTCTCTATACACATCACTGGCTAGAATTGAGTCTTGTGGCCACCATTAGCTGCCATGTGAATGAATAAACTTTTCAAACTGTATTTTGGAGGAAGGTAAGGGAGAAGGGCGTTGAGAATGCGTATTTGGTTAGCCAGTTAACAGTGTCTTCAAATAAAGAGGATTACAACATAAACCCAACAATTTAGAATATTTATCCTTGACGTGAGAAAACAAATGGAAAATGAGATATCTGTCTTTATACAATGCATTTGAAAGGCAGCCATGTCGAAGAAAGCTCAGATGTTATATGAAGTTCTATGAAGCAGAGACAATAGGTGTAACTTAGAGATCACAGATGTTGGCTCAACAATGATTAAGCCTATTCAGAAGGACATAGGATACTTATGGAGTAGAGTGCACCTTATTGCTGTATAACCATTTCTAAAAATGTAGTGGAGAGAATTCCTGCAATGGATCCCTTCCAAGTCTAAGATTGTGTAATTTAATACAATGAAGTACTGCGTGTTATGGATGATAATTACTAATACTTGGCACATGTTTACTCTACCCTGACATTGTATCAAGTATTATACATGTATTATCTCATTTTCTATTACAACCCAACTATGAACTAAGGATTACCATTATTCCCTTTTGAAGAAATGGAGACATAGAGAAGTAATACTTTGCTCAAGGTTATGGAGCTGACTTGTGAGCCCAGGTAATATTCTTGAGGAGTCATACTCGTTATACTTGCAACCATCTCCTGGATTTAATACAATCCCACAATTCTAAACACTTAAATTAAATGCCAATTCTTCATTTATACGTGAGTGGAATGCGGTTGTATACCTCATTCTCCACTAGTTATTTTGGGACAATGCTAATATTCCTATGTTTTTGTTTTCACAGCTTTCACTTAGATCATTACTCTTTCCAAATTCAATTCAAACAATTAGAGTATTATGTTCTGGTGAGCTAACCTGACCTCTCAATAATTTTCTTTTGGGAAAATTGCCCATGAAGGTGATAGTCTCTTACCATTTCTGCGTACTTACTTTGGAGTAAAAATGCTCCAAACTGACTGCTGACTGCTGTGAACACTTTCAGAAAAGAACACATCTTTATTTCCAACTCCTGGACTAAATCTTAGAATCTGGGTAAAATTAAAGGATAATGAAATTGTTACATTTACTAAAAAGAATGGGGAAGAATAGACAATTGGCAGTACCAAAATGTAAGAGGTAAACTAACTCCCTCACAAGATGCAATGGCATATGGAAATTCATGAAGCAAGAACAACAGGTTGAACTTAGAGATCACGGATGCTGGCTCAACAACATTCCAACTACAGTCTCCTTGTTGTTGTTGCTTATTGTGGTAAACTATACACAATAGTTATCATTGTAATTATTTGTAAGTGTACAGTTCAGTGGCATTATATCCATTTACACTGCTATGTAGCCATCACCACTATGTGTACCCAAATCTTTTAAATAAATTCAACAGTGTTTGATGCTAATGATGTCTCTCTTTTAACAATGATGCCACCGACATCCTCATTAGGACCATGTATTTCACTATCAAATTAGAATGTTTCTGAAAATAAATATGTTGAAAGAAAAAACATATTTCTGCAAGAGGAAGTTTATCCTCATGATGTCCAACAAGAATTATAGATGTTTAGATTCATGTCCCTAAAATAAGCACTGTAAATATTATAGATAGTGTTATTTAGAAATGAATATCAATGTGAATTCATAAAAATATAGTGGTTGGATCATTGTGCTTTTTGGCATCAAACGGACAGAAGGTGAACTGAATTTGTAAGTTATCTCTGTGAAATTTCAATAAAATGTATTTTAAAAATAAATTTGCCAGTTTATAATGCAGTTTAATAGTCAATGCTTAAATGCCAACCACGATCAAGTGCCCTAGACACTTGAGCAAGAACCACGTGTTCTCTATTTTCTGTGTAAAATAAGGGAAAAGTAGACAAAGCCCTTCAAGGACACACAAAGTCCTAATTCGACATTCAGTTTGACAGCCGAGAAATTATGGCAGACCCATCAGTTTGATGTACAGCAATCAGAAATAAAGTGTTTCTTGTAGAATAAAAACTCTCTGCTATCAGTTATGCAAAATAGACAGGCTGTAACTAGGGACTTCAAATAAACAACTATTTATGTGCACAAAAGTGGAAAGGTCTGCAGATGATAAATCTGTCTCTACAGTGACATCATCGACCTTAGAATTCTAAAGCTGGAAGGGAACTTCTGGTTCAACCTCTTTAGCAATTAAGGAAACTGGTTATCCATAGAAGCCAAGTGAATTATTTAAAGTCATACACCTGATTAATGACAAAGCTAGGATGACAGCCAGTCTAATTCGTCTATGTTCTTCCTATCTACTACTTTTCCCCCATCACAAAATGAGAAAAGGGGGGGAGAGAAGCTAACTTCCCTTCAGCACCTGTGTCATTCTCATCCACACATATACACTTTCACTTTGCTAGCACAAGGGGACATAAAAAGGTAAAACGCACAGTGCTGCTCCTTGAAGGCTGACTTCTTTAAGAACACATAAGGGCTGCTGTTCTGCACCACACGATGAGGAGGGGAAGTTTTGGCTAACAGTTTGGCACACTGATGCTGAGCCAGGTTTGCCTTGGTCCAGCTTTACTGCTAAAGAGTTCTACAGCCTTAGGCAAGTTTCTGAACCTTCCTGGACTTCAGTTTCATACTCCATAAAATCCTGAAAATAAAAGCAGCTGCCTCATGGGATACTTGTCAGCATTTAATGAGCATTTACAGCATTCAATATATGGCTAGCTGGTATTATAACTTCACCTTGTCTCGTATTTTTAGTTTAAATGCTTCTGAGCTTTTTTATGTGTGTATCTATGAGCATACATATAGACACAGCCTTGGGGATAGAGACCACAGCCTTTTGTTGTTCTTGTCTTGCTTAGCAGCAACTTAGTACTTCGCCTTGCATCTAATAAGTGTTCTATAAATGTTTCTAAAAAGGTACAAATCTGTCCCAACTGGTAGGGCAGGACCAGTAGGTTGGATGTCAGGAAGTATCCTCCTCTCACCTCACTCTCCACTTGTTATACCCTTTCAGAGGGTTTACCTTTCTATTCTTGCACATTCAGCCTCTTAGCTCCCAAATAAATTTAAATAGCGAAAAATCAAATAATACACCTCATTTACCACTCTGGGGGAGTAGACAAGCAAGAGATTTGCTACATTTGCAAAATCTTCACTCTCCAGAAGATGCTCAGGAACACCATGTACAAAACATGCACTAGTCTCAGAAGCTAAGGGAAGAATTTTTTTTCTCTCTTAAATGTTATCAGGAAGATGTGAGAAACTCAGCAGTAGCTCACCTCCCCAGTACAAAGGGGAGAGCCAAGCTGAGCCTTTCAAGACAAGCAAGTTAGCATTTGGCAGTGACTGTATAAAGAAGGTCACCTAAAGAGCAGGGCAGTGCAAGAGCAGTCCAAATGACCAGACTCTAGAAGCTTCTATTCAGGCCAGGTCTGATGAAGAGTAAACTTCTCTCAGCACATGACCCTAGGTTGTATAATATTTTACAAGTTTCTGTTGGAATAAAGAGAGCTAAGACCTGGAAATTCTTAGATATATAAAATTAGAAATGATTGCTCCCATTAATCAAGAACCTATATCCTTAAAACAGGTAGTATATAATTCCTAAAGGCTTTGAAGCAACAATTACATCTAAGAGAGGTTGCCAAGATACAGGAGGTGTTTCAGGCTTAACAACATGGAGAAAAAATTATCCAAGTTAGAGTTAACATACGCAGGCTTTGCTAGTTCTAAAGAAGAGTCTTATCAATGCTAATTCATAAGAGGCATCTCAGCCCTTTAGTTACCAAGTGGAACCTTGGGGTATCTTCTTTCTTCTAACATTCTGTATGTCAGGTACAGCAAGTGCCAAGACCAATCAGTAAGTTGTCTTGCTATTAACGAGAAAAACCAGAGTATTATGCTACTACAAATCTTACCAAATATTAAGAGATTAAATATGAAAAACCCTGCATTTCTTCCTTTAAAGCTTTTGCATAGTATCTACATTATAAAATTTATGCTGATAAAATTCACTGCAATTAAAAAGGAAAAAAATGAAACCTCCATGCCAGCATCAGGACTTATACCAATATTACTGACCAGCAAGTTTCCTAGCATCAGTAAACTTCTATGGAAAATTAATTTCATGCTTGTCTGCTCTGGTAAAACCCCTTACTGAGTTGTTATAAAAAGAGAAAATTGAGATGGGTTGTGGGAATACCAAAAAGAGTTGATGCAGCTAAAAAGAATTGTCATGTTTACACGTTTTATTGCTGTAGGGCTCTCATCCACCTAGAACCTTCAGTAAGTTTGCCTTGCCTGCTGACATCAGAGCTCAAAAGTTCTGTTCTCACAAAAAATTCCAGAAAGAAACACGTATACCCAGAGTTAGTAAGCAATAATAATATTAAGCAAGGCATGCTTAAGTCATTTAATGAACAGGTACACAAAGTTTCAGTGTGAAAAAACTGGCCAATCAGTGGCAAATACGCATAATGCTTCCTGAACAGAGTTTATACCTCTATCTTCCAATAATTGCCTTTGCTATACTTTGTTTCACAAGACTAATTCTAGAGTACATTCATTTAGCTTAGGGAGCTGCATATCTTTTCATTCTGCAGAAAAAAATTTAAGCAGAAACTAAATATTTATTTTGTTTATCTGAGGAAGAAATTTGCTTGAAGGTGAAATTTTAAAAAATTCACCTTCCAAATGATGTTACATTTTTTGTTATCATGCATTTGAAAACAGCTTGGGCATGACATACCACACCTTCTGCTCTTCTAAATAAGACTGAGGAACAGATGGCTACTGACCTTTATCTCCAATCAGGTTCTGCCTGCCTGCATATTATCTTATTTGTAAAAATTAATCTTCTTATCTTCAAAATTTTTCAAATTGGAACAGTTGATTCAACAGCCAATCAATAATCAACATAATTATTAAAACCTTGACACACATACATATTCCCCCATAAACTTCTATTTGGGAAGTGAACTTTTTAGCATTTTTAACAAACAAAATCCCAGGTGGAGATATAAGAAAATAAGTACATTTGCAAACCAGTGTGTCCATCCTAAAATGCTCTGGTACATTTATCAGATAAATGAGCAAATCATTCAAATATCAACATAAAAAAAAATTTACAATGATTCAGATTAATTTAAAAATTTACCATTGAGAAGCAAATATATTATTTTAAATCATGTTTTACTAACTAGAAAAGAAAGCATTTTATACATGAACACCCTTTGTGAGGCATATTATTCCTTTAGCAAATTAAGCATATATTTTATATAGATAAAATTGATGTGCTCTATAGGAAATATTTCTAGGATGTGTAGGTGTTTATTTCCATGCTAGGAGTACACAGATCTTGGGCAGAGTTAAGGGAGTGATAACTATATGCCTACTTAAAAAGTTACGCATTTTTTCACATATAGTTTCTTGTTTTACTTTTACATATTATGTGGTAGATGTTATATTCTGGTAGGTGATAATATAGATAACAAATAAATATTTAAACATTTGCAGCAATAGTCTATTCAGTTCAGAAGACATTTTCTTAGAACTGAAATATCCAAAATTATCTAAAATTGTACTTTGGTATGAAGACCCAAGTATCATATGACATATTCTTAGAGAATACAAAATATAATCTTTGAACAAAATTGTTCCAGAATGTTTTGTGATCAGAAAATAATCTTTCCTAAACTAACAGCGACCAATGTTATACGGATGGCTCCTGGGAATGGACTTCAGATTTTGTTCTCTCTATGCTGGAACATTTTTTAAAATAAAACAAATAAGTCAGGCAAACAAGTCTTCCTGAAACCAAAAGTCCTGGTGTTATCTGTGCGCAGTTTTCTTTTAATGCTAGCATCAGTAGTCCGATATTTTCTACTTAAGAAGACAGCAAATTTTCAGGGTGTGCTTTGCTTGGAAGTATAATCTCTTACCAATGAGCCTACAGATTAAATTCAGTATGAAAATTTATAAATAACATAAAGTAAAATGTTACTCCCTATTTGGAGACTGTCAGAACTTCACTTTTGATCCCAAAGTAACTAAAATAATGTAGACTGATGAGGTCAGAGTCCAGAATTCTACCTGAATGAGATCTCCTGAGAATTTACTACAAACATTCAAATACTCTTTGAAAAAGGAAATTATAATTGTTCACCTATTCTGGCTTATTAATAGCTTAAAGCAAAACTCAACAATTCAAGCTGCAATTATAAGAAATAATCACACTACTTCCCTAAAGTATTACTGAAAAATAAATACTAGGTTCATCACTAAAAAGTACAATGATATGGTCAAGATAATTAATATTTTAATGGGTAAACTCTGTTTAATTGGATTTTTAAAACTCTTACAAAAAGGGATCCATCTTAAAAATGATGTAAACATCTATTTAATATCATGTTTGCTCTCCTGAAGTACAACATTCATATAAACAATTTTTACTTAAAAATCATTATTATGGGCCTCTTTAGACAGGGTAGGCCTCTCTAGCTTACTAGAGTACACACTATTTCTATATCTATATCAATGCCAGTGTGATCCTCTAAAATGTATGTTCCTTGTCACCCTTCTCTAAAATCAAACTCTAACAAAATATTGGAACTCTTCTGCACCTTGGCATTCCCTACTTCTTCAGTATAACTTCTCTCTACTTTTCCATATGCATCTCCACCCAAAGAAATTACTTACAGATCCTTGAAAGCATAGTGCTCTTCCTGGGTGCACACGTTGCACAGGATAATCCTACCATCTTGAGCACCTTTGTGCCACCATTTTTGCCTAGCTTACTCCTTCACATCCTTCAGGCTCAAGAAACATCTCCCCCAGAATCTTTCTATAACCCTAGCTGGTCTGTGTCGTAGCACTCATCTCATCTACAATTATCACCTGTTTGATCATGATGTTCAAGTCTTTACCTCTATCCTACATTGCTCATTCATGTACCATTTAAGTCCTGTATCCATATTTCTGATTTTCATGTTCATACTTTTATTTTTTTATTTTTATTTATTTTTTATTATACTTTAAGTTTTAGGGTACATGGGCACAGCGTGCAGGTTTGTTACATATGTATACATGTGCCATGTTGCTGTGCTGTACCCATTAACTCGTCATTTAACATCAGGTATATCTCCTAATGCTATCCCTTCCCCCTCCCCCAACCCCACAACAGGCCCCGGTGTATGATGTTCCCCTTCCTGTGTCCATGTGTTCTCATTGTTCAATTCCCACCTATGAGTGAGAACATGTAGTGTTTGGTTTTTTGTCCTTGCGACAGTTTAGTGAGAAAGATGGTTTCCAGCTTCATCCATGTCCCTATAAAGGACATGAACTCATCATTTTTTATGGCCGCATAGTATTCCATCATGTATATGTGTCACATTTTCTTAATCCAGTCTATCATTGTTGGACATTTGGGTTGGTTCCAAGTCTTTGCTATTGTGAATAGTGCTGCTATAAACATACTGTTGTGTGCATGTGTCTTTATAGCAGCATGATTTATAATCCTTTGGGTATATACCCAGGAATGGGATGACTGGGTCAAATGGTATTTCTAGTTCTAGATCCCAGAGGAATCACCACACTGACTTCCACAATGGTTGAACTAGTTTACAGTCCCACCAACAGTGTAAAAGTGTTCCTATTTCTCCACATCCTCTCCAGCACCTGTTGTTTCCTGACTTTTTAATGATTGCCATTCTAACTGGTGTGAGATGGTATCTCATTGTGGTTTTGATTCTCTGATGGCCAGTGATGATGAGCATTTTTTCATGTGTCTTTTGGCTGAATAAATGTCTTCCTTTGAGAAGTGTCTGTTCATATCCTTCACCCACCTGTTGATGGGGTTGTTTTTTTCTTGTAAATTTCTTTGAGTACTTTGTAGATGCTGGATATTAGCCCTTTGTCAGATGAGTAGATTGCGAAAATTTTCTCCCATTCTGTAGGTTGCCTGTTCACTCTGATGGTAGTTTCTTTTGCTGTGCAGAAGCTCTTTAGTTTAATTCGATCCCATTTGTCAATTTTGGCTTTTGTTGCCATTGCTTTTGGTGTTTTGGACCTGAAGTCCTTGCCCATGCCTATGTCCTGAATGGTATTGCCTAGGTTTTCTTCTAGGGTTTTTATGGATTTAGGTCTAACATGTAAGTCTTTAATCCATCTTGAATTAATTTTTGTATAAGGTATAAGGAAGGGATCCAGTTTCAGCTTTCTCCATATGGCTAGCCAGTTTTCCCAGCACCATTTATTAAATAGGGAATCCTTTCCCCATTGCTTGTTTTTCTCAGGTTTGTCAAAGATCAGATGGTTGTAGATATGCAGCATTATTTCTGAGGGCTCTGTTCTGTTCCATTGGTCTACATCTCTGTTTTAGTACCAGTACCATGCTGTTTTGGTTACTATAGCCTTGTAGTATAGTTTGAAGTCAGGTAGCGTGATGCCTCCAGCTTTGTTCTTTTGGCTTAGGATTGACTTGGCGATGTGGGCTCTTTTTTGGTTCCATATGAACTTTAAAGTAGTTTTTTCCAGTTCTGTGAAGAAAGTCACTGGTAGCTTAACGGGGATGGCATTGAATCTATAAATTACCTTGGGCAGTATGGCCTTTTCATGATATTGATTCTTCCTATCCATGAGCAGGGAATGTTCTTCCATTTGTTTGTAGCCTCTTTTATTTCCTTGAGCAGTGGTTTCTAGTTCTCCTTGAAGAGGTCCTTCACATCCCTTGTAAGTTGGATTCCTAGGTATTTTATTCTCTTTGATGCAACTGTGAATGGGAGTTCACTCATGATTTGGCTTTCTGTTTGTCTGTTATTGGTGTATAAGAATATTTGTGATTTTTGCACATTGATTTTGTATCCTGAGACTTTACTGAAGTTGCCTATCAGCTTAAGGAGATTTTGGGCTGAGATGATGGGGTTTTCTAGATAAACAATCTTGTCATCTGCAAACAGGGACAATTTGACTTCCTCTTTTCCTAATTGAATACCCTTTATTTCCTTCTCCTGCCCGATTGCCCTGGCCAGAACTTCCAACACTATGTTGAATAGGAGTGGTGAGAGAGGGCATACTTTTAAATGGTCTATATAGATGTGTGTTACCCATATCCAAACCTCAATATATGTCCCCAAGTATCCACAAACTCCTCCCATGCTATTCCCTATTTTAATGAATGAATGTCCCAATGTTCTGGTGAGAAACTTAAGAATCATACTTGATACTGTCCATGGTGCATGAGCATGCACTCACAGATTATCAAATACAAGGCTATAGGTAATGCACCAGGAAATCCATCCCACATTTGTACTGGGGTCACAACTCTATAGGGCCATTGATGAAGTTCATCAGAAATCCTGTGGTAGATTCATTCATTCCTAGAGATAAAGGCCTCCTCAGATGGACAGCTTTAGTTTGAAAACTCCATAATAAACAACTTTGCAGAAAATTTATTGGACTCTACACCATCTGGAAAACTTCCACCTAACCTTCTCTTTCTCTTCTTCACTTGAGATCACACTTGCATAATGATCTGCCAGCTCTCCCAACCTTTCCAGCTTTTTCCCTACTTTTTTTTCACGTAGGTACTCTGCTTAATAAAATTCTTGCATGTTTAACCCCATGCTTGCTTCTGCCTCTCAGAGCATCTGTACTAACATTCTGTCTAACACCTGTTATCTATGTCCAGTTGATTATTTTTCCTAAATATGCCGTGATTTTATTCCTATTATCATTAATATTGCAGAGCAGGCCACTAACAACTTTTATTTAGGTCTGTTTAAATATAACAGCTTTGCGATATAATTAGAATACAATATTATTCACCCGTGTAAAATGTACAAATCAGTGATTTATAGTGTTATCGCAGAATTGAGCAGCTATCACCACAGTCAACCTTAGAACAATTTGCTTCTCCCTAGAAAGAAACCTCATACTCAGCAGTCATTCCCTATTTTCTCACTATTCTCACTCCTGGCAACCACTAATCCTCTATCTCTATAGATTTGACTATTCTGGACATTTCATATAAATGGAATCATACAACATGTGTTCTTTCATGACTGGTTTCTTTCATTTAGCATGTTTTCAAGATTCACACACCTTATAGCATGTTTTAGTATTTCATTGTTTTTTACTACTGAATATTTTTCCATTGTATGGATATGCCACATTTTATTCATCCATTCATAAATTGATGGACGTTTGGGTTGTTTTTCCTTTTTTGGGTATTATGTGTAATTTTGCTAAGCATATTCATGTACAAGTTTGACGTAGACATATATTTTCATTTCTCTTGGATATGTAACTAGGAGTGGAATTGCTATGTCACATGGTAACTCTATGTTTAACCTTTTTTTGTTTTGTTTGTTTTTGTTTTTCGAGACGGAGTCTTGCTCTGTCAACAGGCTGGAGTGCAGTGGCACGATCTCGGCTCACTGCAGCCTCTGCCTCCCAGGTTCAAGAAGTCCTCTTGCCTCAGCCTCCCGAGTACCTGGGGGACTACATGTGTGTGCCACCATGCCCAGCTAATTTTTTTTTATTTTTAGTAGAGATGGGGTTTCACCGTGTTGGCTGGGATGGTCTAGATCTCTTGACCTCATGATCCGCCCGCCTGGGTTTCCCAAAGTGCTGGGATTACAGGTGTGAGCCACCGCATCTGGCCTATGTTTAACCTTTTAAGAAATGTTTTCTATAATGGCTACACAATTTTACTTTCACATCAGCAGTGTATGAACATTCAAATTTCCCCATATTCTCACCAGCAGCTGTTATTACTGGTCTTTTAAAATTATATATTTCCTAATGGATATCTAGTGGTATCTCATTGTGACTTTGATTTGCATTTTTCTGATGGTTAATTATGTTGAACATTTTTTCATGTGCTTGTTGGCCATGTGTAAATCTTCTTTAGAGAAATGTCTATTCAGAACCTTTTCCCATTTTTTAACTGGGTTTTTGTGTTTATGTTATTGAGTTCTCAGTACTCTTTATACATTCTAGATACAACTCACTTATCAAGTATATGATTTGCAATATTTTTTCTCATTCTGTGCATTGTCTTCTCACTTTCTTGGTAGTATCCTTTTAAAAACAAAAATTTTAAATTTTGATAAAGTCCAGTTTGTCTATTTGTTTTTGTTGCCTGTGCTTTTGGTGTAATACTAAGAAACCATTGCTAATGAAATGTCACAAAGATTTATACCTATATTTTCTTTTAAGGGTTTTACCCTTTAGCTCTTACATTTTGTTTTAATTTATTTTGAGTTAATTTTTGTATCTAATGTGAGGAAGGCACCCATCTTTATTCTTTTATGTGTGGATACCCAGCAATCCTAGCGCCATTTATTGAAATGTCTAGTCTTTCTCCCATTGAATTGTCTTAGGATCCTTGTTAAAAATTAATAGATCATAAATGTGATGGTTTGTTTCTGGACTCTCACTGCTATTCTATTAATTTATACATCTGCCCTTATGCCAGTACCATATGGTTTTGATTACTGCAGCATTGCATTACGTTTTGAAATCAGTGAGTGTGAGTCATCCAAATTTGTACTTTTTTTAAGGTAGTTAGGCCATTCCAGGTCCCTTGAATTTCCATACGAATTTTAGTATAGCTTGTCGATTTCTGAAAGAAGCCAGCTAATATTTTAATAGGGACTGTATGGAATCTGTAAATTAATTTGAGTGGTACAGCCATCTTAACAATATTAAATCTTCTAATCCATGAACATGAGATAACTTTTCATTTAGTCAGAACTTCTTTCCCTTCTTTCAATGACAGTTCATAGTTTTCATAACATAATTTTTATGTTTATTTTATTGAATTTATTCTTAGTATTTTATTTTGATACTGTCATAAATAAAAGTATTTTCTTAACTTTATTTTCTAATTGTTAATTGCTCATGCATAGAACTACATTTGATTTATATATAATTGTCTTACATCCTGTAACTTTGCTGAACTTATTAGTTCTAATAGTTTTTAAATAGATTTGGCCTAAATTAGCACAATAACCTTCCAACTTGCCTATAGTTTTGCTTCTGTCCAATACCTTGTTCAGAGTACATCAAATAATCTTTTAAAACTAAACTTACAGTGTTCCCATTTAGAAGTACACAGTCACTCCCCATTGATCTTAGCATAAAGTCTACATTTCTCAATATGATTTACAAGACTTCACTTCTTAACATGTATCTTAACATAGCTTTCATACACCGGCTTCTCTCCACCTCCCACATTTATCTCGTTACTCCCTTCCTTGAACTGAAAACACACTATGCTTTTTTTAAATATTTTTTTCCAGGACTGAAAACACACTATGCTTACATTTTGCTCCCAGCAACATGCTGTTCCCTATGTCCAGAGCACAATTATTTTTTTCCCTCTTACCCTATAAAATTTCATTTTTAAAGATCCACTTAAATAAGTTTTCCAATATCTACCCAGTAGCCTTGAATAAGAAATCTTATTTATATTCCATCACAAGTATCTTACTAATGTCCCTGATCTTTCTCATTTTTCTTTGTGTAATTGCACATGTTCCATGAAAGATTTTTAGCTCCATTGCTATTATTCTACTTTCATCATTAAATTATTCAACAAATATTACAAATATATGACTGAATAAGATATTTATGGTTTCTGGAGTCATGCATTCTACACTGTAATAGGTTAACAATTAAACAATCAAAACAATTGCAAACTTTAGTTAAACCTACATAGAAAACAGCTCACTAGAATTGAAAACAAACATTTTTATCTTTGTCTAGGCCTACATTTCTAGCACTGTGGAAAGTCCTGTCATATAGTAGGAGTACTATATATACATGAATACATATATATGTGTACATATATATGTGCGTATATATATATGCGTGTGTGTGTGTATATATATATATATATTTTTTTTTTTCTTTTGAGACAGAGTTTTGCTCTTGTTGCCCAGGCTGAAGTACAATGGCATGATCTCGGCTCACTGCAACCTCCACCTCCAGGGTTCAAGCAATTCTCCTGCCTCAGCCTCCTGAGTAGCTGGAATTACAGGCATGTGCCACCACACTCAGCTAATTTTGTATTTTTAGTAGAGACAGGGTTTCTCCATGTTGGTCAGGCTGGTCTCGAACTCCCGACCTCAGGGGACCTGCCCTCCTCAGCCTCCCAAAGTGCTGGGATTACAGGCATGAGCCACCATGCCCAGCCACAATAAATATTTATTAGTTAAGTAACAGGGAACACATAAAGGAACAATGAGCTGAGGTGTAAACCAACAGGTTATTATGAGGAACAACAACAGGAAGCCTATTAATGAACATGGCATTTAGTCTGAGAACCAAATGACAATGGAAACTGTCATTTAAAAAATGAAAGAGCACTCTAAGGAATGAAAATAACATGTGCAAAATTCCTGATAGACAATGGATGGACAAATGGATGGGTACAGACATAGATAAATAATAAAGAGATATTATCTGCCTTTTTAAAGAATGACTCAGAAATGACTGGTATTAAGTTTGGAGAAGCCCAAATTAGACTTTTAAAGGATTATTTGAGGCTCCTACCCAACCCCAACACTTCAGTCTAAAATAAGATATTTTAACCAAATTTCTTCTGTTCTTCTCTGACCTGGAGTCCAATAGTGATCCCCACTGCCTTGTCTAGCCCACACCTGCCCACACAACAGGGGAGTCAGATTCCTGGTTCTGAACCACTTGCCCCTCTTTTGCCCATTTGACATCCATATCTGGAGTCCCCTTCTACAGGGACACGTTTCCCAGATAATCTCT
This sequence comes from Homo sapiens, assembly GCF_000001405.40. Lineage (NCBI taxonomy): Eukaryota > Metazoa > Chordata > Mammalia > Primates > Hominidae > Homo > Homo sapiens. The sequence goes on from NC_000003.12 coordinate 22,402,041, forward strand.
GATTATGTCTGTTCTATGGTCACTCCCAAGTTCTAATTTACCACATGCTTTGCAAACTATATTTGTATCACTTTGGAACTTGTTAAAAAGTACAGATTCCTAGACCTACTGAATCAGTGTCTACATTTTAGAGGACATTCTCTCAGATGATGTATATGCACATTAAAGTTTGAGGAGCTCTGCTCTAATTATTCTACTCTTCAGTTTCCACTTCTACCTATTTCCAGCATCCTGATTCTTCTGATTGGCAGATTTATGCAAGTACTAGAGTGACTCATACTGAACCTTTCTGAGTCTTCACATCCCCATGGATAATTTCTCTCTCTTTTCATTTCAGTTAAAAACAAATTCAGTCATCATGGTTGGTGGGGTAAGGGAAGGAGTTCGTTTTAGGGTCTTGTTACAGAAAAAAAAAAAAAGATAAAAGCTTGAATTGTTCTTGTTAACCTGGTTAGCAATGATTCTTATCTACTGGAAATTAAGAGAGATCCTATTAAAACGAAATAGGAGCAGTGTAAAGCCTTCTCAAGCTCTGAAACAGAATGACTTTAAATTACTACTTCAAAGCCCTTGGCCCATTCTAACATTACATGATTTGCTACATATGCTTAGAAAAACATCCTTTATTTTATCAGACCCTTTAAATATCTGTACATCATACCAACATCCTAATGCCTTTACAACACTTCCCTCATTTGGAAACAAAATAGTTGATAGACTCGTGGAGTTCTAGATAATTTCTTCATCAACAGCTTCTGCTAAATGGGAGTTTTATTAGGTTGGTGGAAAAATGGCAAAAATCACAATTACTTTTGCGCCAACATAATAAATTTCACAAGGAAAACCCATAGCCCGCTGTGAGCATAGGTGATTATAGTAAAGAGATAATCCATCAAGAACTGGTATCAGGACTCACTATTGAAGCCCTCTGTATTCACCAATCAAATTTGGGGCCTTTCAGGATTCAGAAGAAATTTAGAGCAAGCAGAGTTCAGGTGACTCACAGAAACTTAACATTTCTCAACTATACATTATCTATCAAGACCTGAAGTTAAACATAGCCCCAGTCCAAGAAAGAAGGCACTAAAGATTATACAACCTCCACTTTTCCAAAATATTCTTCAGACATCTTCTCCTAATTTCTTCTATCTGACCTTATTACCACATACATAATAAAGAGGGGAAGAAGTGATGTTTCTGATGTTTACCTGATTCAGGGGCATTATCCTGTCCTTGATTTCCATAATTTCTATCACCAAGGAAGTCATACGTAGATTCCTTATCACCTTAGGGGCTAAATCCAAAGTATTAAATTACATAAATAGTATGATACATATCAGCTGGAGTAGGCATACATATTTCACTTTCCCTACACCACATCCTTGCTCATAGCCAAAGCTGGTTCTAGGTACATGTGAAGGAAAAATAATTGCTATAATCACTATGTTTAACATCTATTAAAGTTGTAAATATGATTTTCTTCTTATGTCCCTTAAGTTCAACCTACAAATCTTGGTATTTTATTTACAAATTTAGTGATTTCAGGGTTAAATTGTAAATATTTTTTATTTTTCCTTGATTAGTTTATAAATATGACAATTGAATGTTCCCTAAATAAGTATTATCAGGTTTAGTTAAGTTCCAGCAAACAATTTAAATGTTAATCATAGTTTTCTTAAGAAATTAAAACTTACAATTTAAGTTATGTTTTTTTCTGGGGATTCCAAACACCTCAAGAAGTAGAAAAAATCTCCACAGATTATAAAAATATTTTTTAATTTATGAATTTAATTGAACCAGATGAGTTTGGCTGATTTATTTATCATCTCTATCCTTACTTTCATACTTCCACTGGCATTGTAGAGTCACATAATGCCTACAGAGAACAGAATTAACAACCTTAAACTCAACTAAGTCTGATCAGTAGAAAATTTAGGACTAGGATACAATTACAAATTTGGGCAACCAATCAGAGGGCTGTAACTGGGACACAGACACCTAGATAAAATAATAATTTGAGTAAAACTGGCATATTATGGCTAGTGTTATCATAATAATTGTTTTTTTTCCTAAGCCCATGTTTTTTCTCCAAATCATATCTGATTTTTTTCAGGAATTCAGCCCTCAGACGGTTCAGGTAATCAGAGGAATCTGCCCCATCCTTAGAATCCAGGGTGTTTCCTAATGAATCTGTCAGTGAAAGCAAAGGCAGACACCTAGAAGCTCTTTCTTCAGAGTTAAGCACAGGGCTAAAGTTGTCACACGCAGGTTGAACGAAAGCAATGGCTGGGAGGTGCTTCTCTTTCCAGTTACTGCTGAAAGTAACTTATGATCATGAAACAGCCAGCCTGGTAGGAAAGTCAGTACTGACTGCATGACCAAATGACATGGAAAGGACACAGGTGTTTGGTAAACTGGATATTAGAGCTTACCTTACCTCTTGGATGATATTTTACGTGAGATAGTACACTTTTTAAAATGATGAGGTGCCATAGAAAGCTACAAAATTTTGCAAGGAAATTCTAACTTCAGATTTTTAGCAAAATTTAAATAAAGTATGCATCCCATTCAAATTGTTCAATACAAACACTTTTTACGATAATTTATTGGAAAGTCTGCCACCTCCCTGGTTCAAGATATTCTCTTGCCTGAGCCTCCCAGGTAGTTGGGATTACAGGCATGCAGCCATCACACTCGGCTAATTTTTGTATTTTTAGTAGAGACGGGGTTGCACCATGTTGGCCAGTCTGGTCTCGAAATCCTGAGCTCAAGTGATCTGCCCGCCTTAGCCTCCCAAAGTGCTGGAATTACAGGCGTGAGCCACCACTCCCTGCCACACTTTAAAATACCTATTATTTTTATATTTTGAGTATTATTAGGGACACATAGCTTTGATTAATTATTGTTTTCTGTATAATACTCAAAATATAACAGCTTTACCTATGAGAAATTCTTTAAACTGGCTCGTTTGTGATTTCAACCATGTATACTCCCCACTTTTTAAAAAATATTTTTTCTCTCTGGAAACAATAAGAACATGGCTCATCCTAAATCCCACAACAAAACCTGATTTATTTTGGATGAAGAACAGTATTAGACACAGAAATCTGACCAGAAATATAATTGTTCCACATAATTATTGATGGTGTTTTTTTTAAGTGACACTTGCAGACCCACTTAGTAACATAGCTAGAAAATATTTTTAAAGTTAATACATTCACATTGATATTTCTGATTTAACTTTTACAAGACTAAATGTTTTAAAACCTTTATTCCAAAGTAAAAATGTTATTAACCACTCTACTTAGGTTTTTTAAACTCCTCAAATTGCAGATAGAATCCTTTTTTGCTTTCAGAGTCCTTATCATCTCATGAAACACCAGTGTGTAGTGTAGTCACTTTAATAACAGATATTCTAACATGACTACAGGCAAAATAAGACAGGAAAACTCTTCTGTAAGACAGGCCCTTTTAGCTTTAGAAAATATCAAGCAAGGGAGACAGTAATTCCAGTTTTCCAGTTATGTTTGAATATAAAGATCTCCTTATTAATATTGGGGCTCTGTACCCTAAATTCTCACCTTAATTTACTAGTCCTTATCTATACCATCTGTTTAAACCCTGAAACTTTGGAGATCTATAAATGATGAACTGCAGGCTCATCTTGCATGTGGAATTTACAATGCAGCTCTCCAGTGATGCATCTTGACTGAAATAAATACATTTATAATGTCCCATAAAAACCACCAGGCAGAAAGGCTGTATCTTTATATGCCAGATAAATTTTAAAAGTAGCTTATACTACACTCATGCAATAAACAAGCTTGCAAACAGTTAATCTAAAATGTGCCTCATACTTGGAAGAAGGAAAGTGAATATCAGAATATTGGAAATGTATCTCAATGTGGTAGTATTATTTACTAGATATACCAGCCCCATGTCTGTCTTAGAGTTTCTAAAAAGCAAAATATATATTCTTTACAAAGAAGGAGTAACCTCAGATAATACACTTTAAATTTCATTAAAAATTCTTACAAAGTACCAGTTTTATGTTACATTGTATGATACTATTGTTTACATTGCAAACACAATAATCTTATAAATTCTGAAAGTAAAAGATTCTCATATACATAAGACTGAATGTGTAACATGCAGATTGGTCCATGTCGTGTTTAATGCAACTTCTATAAGCTCAAAAAAACGACTTCATTAAATTGATTGGACACACTGTGTGTTCTCCAGCATATCCGACCAAGATGGTACTATAGCTGGGTGTTGTCATATGAATATAAGGTAGAACTTCTTCACACTGATGATTTAGCTCAACACAACAATAAGGAGAACAAATATCTCTTGGAAGGAAAAAAGTTAGTTCAGGCTAGCAAAAAAAAAAAAAAAATCAGAGTACAAAGCATTTTACCATTAAAAGAGCCTTACTGAAGGAAACTGTCGATAGATTTCCTAAATTACTCTCAGAAGAACTGAGGACTTAAATTAGACAAAGAATCTTACGTGATTCCATCTGGATCCAGCCCTTGAACTAATTTACTTGAAATCTAACAGCATATGTGATGCTCAAAGGAAGAAAACTGAGGACTACTTTGAGCCTTTAATAAAGGCACCCTTGAATCAGTTACACACAGAAATTCACTAGCATGTGTTCCACAAATTCTCTGCATCCTGAATGCTATACTTCAGATGCTTTGCTAAGGTGAGCTTTATGAAGGCTACAAAAACATAACGCCTACAAAACTATTAAAAAACAGTTTAATGAACTTCAGAACTAGTCATTTTTGGGGTTCAGATCATGACTATACTGAGAGTTATTAACTGTGTGAGTCTGATATAAGACTTAAAAGTCTATGGACACCTTTTTCTGTCTAAGTAAGCATGATAATAGTGATTGGTAGCATGATTGGAGGAAAGAAAAAATGTAATATGCAGATGCAAATGACACAGCACTTGAAGAATTAAGGCTATTTATAAAACCAATATAAATTTTCTGTCAAAAATGATAGAAAAATTGAGATTTTCTTCAAGTCAGTATTTATCATGCTGCCTTAGCCACACTCCATATAACATATCCAGAAATTAAATAAAATTATTCTCTTCAAATTATATTTGATTTCGGTATTGAAAAGAGAATCAAAAGTATAGCATACATGTATATATTTGGCATGATTTATAAAAGTCACCTAAAATAATAGTCAGGCATTCGTCCTAAATTTTATCAGTATTAAAAACAAAGAAGGAAGTATTCCAATATGCTCCTTAATATCTGTATTAGTTATTTATTGCTGCATAACAACTGATCCCAAAACGTAGCAGCTTAAAACAACATTTATTATCTCAGTTTCTGTGGGTTAGAAATCTAGGCATGGTTATTCTAGATCTCTAAAACACAATTCAGAACACACATTTAGAATATGGCAAAAGTCAATACGTTTTGTTAATCTCAATATTAATGTCATTATATGTCCTTCTACAAAGTGGGAGAAACATAAGGGAGATTAAGGCTTTGTACTTGGTCTCAACCAACATTGTACACTAGATACTTTCCCTGGCGAAGCCGAAAACGGCCACGTGTTCATTAATAGACTCAGTCATGGTATCATGGTATAGGATTCACACAGACTATGCCCCTTGCTTTGTCCAGGTAAGCTGTTAATTCTTAGTAATTCATGTTTCTTATTATAGCTTCAACACTGCTTATTTCAATATATAATTTCAAGCCCAACATTTTTATTCCAATTCCATTTGGATCATTCCTAGCCTTTTTCTCTCTGGCATTCCCCACTTCCCACCTTGCATTTCTTCTTTGATGTGTTACATAGCTTTTCTTCTTGGGGTATATACCAACCTCATACACAAAAGTAAATCTTAAGCTCAGAAAAAAAGTGATAAACTATACATCCTCAAAAAGTAGTGACCATTAACCAGGGCAGGTTGAGACTCCAGGGAGAAGACTTTGAGGTGGGATTTGCCATGCAAGAGGTTTATTAAGGAGTATGCTTGGGATCAACATTTGTGAATGGGATGGAAATGATAGACTGTTCCTACTGCCTCTGGTAGTTCCTACAAAACTTTTCTGTTTAGGCAAAAGGTGCCTGGGCAGTATACATATTCAGGCTTACAAAAGCATGCTAAAGTGAAAAGTGGATTTTTTAGGAAGTAACTTTATCCAGGAAATATTTTATTTTTCTTCCTCATTCCTCATGATATATATGTAAAAATTATATACATTCTCTTTTAAAGGAAGAAGGGAAAAATTAGAGTCAACGCATTTTACCAGTGAATTAATAGTTACTATAGTTTGGACTTAGAGTTTCTGATAATTTTGTATTTATAAAATGAGATAATAGATGTCAAAAATGAAATAAATTATAGGAAGGTCTCATATACAAGTAAGCTTTCTTTGTAGTAATAATAAAAATCAAAGAATCCATTCTATTTTAAAAGGTAACCCTCAGAAGCTTTCTTTGACAAGCTTCAACTCACCTTGATTTTTATTTTCCTATATCTAAGACTAAATCAGTTGATTTTTCTTTTTTTATTTGTTCCTTTTTAAGAATTTAATTGACAGATAAAGATTGAATACATCAAAGGTGCACAACATGATGATTTGATATAAGTACACATTGTAATGATTATCACAGTCAAATCAATGAACACATCCATCACCACCCATGCTGTACATTAGATCCCTAAGCCTTGTTCATATATATTTTTTAAAATTTTAAGTTATGGGATACACATCCAGAATCTAATTGTTCAACTCCCACTTGTAAGTGAGAAAATGTGGTGTTTCGTTTTCTGTTCCTGTGTTAGTTTGCTGAGAATGATGGTTCCAGCTTCATCCATATCCCTGCAAAGGACATGAACTCATTCTTTTTTATGGCTGCATAGTATTCCATGGTGTATATGTGCCACATTTTCTTTATCCAGTCTATCATTGTTGGGCATTGGGGTTGGTTCTAAGTCTTTGCTATTGTAAATAGTGCTGTAATAAACATACGTGTGCATGTGTCTTTATAGCAGAATGATTTATAATCCTTTGGGTATATACCCAGTAATGGGATTGCTGGGTCAAATGGTATTTCTGGTTCTAGATCCTTGAAGAATCACCAATCTTCCACAATGGTTGAACTAATTTACACTCCCACCAACAGTGTAAAATTGTTCCTATTTCTCCACATCCTCTCCAGCATTTATTGTTTCCTGACTTTTTAATGATTGCCATTCTAACTGGCATGAGATGGTATCTTATTGTGGTTTTGATTTGCATTCCTCTGATGGCCAGTGATGATGAGATTTTTTCATATGTTTGTCGGCCACATAAACATCTTCTTTTGAGGACTGTCTGTTCATATCCTTCGCCCGCTTTCTGATGGGGTTGTTTTTTTTCTTGAAAATTTGTTTAAGTTCCTTGTAGATTCTGGATACTAACCCTCTGTCAGATGGATAGATTGCAAAAATTTTCTCCCATTCTCTAGGGTGCCTGTTGACTCTGATGATAATTTATTTTGCTGAGTACAAGCTCTTTAGTTTAATTAGATCCCATTTGTCAATTTTGGCTTTTCTTACAATTGCTTTTGGTGTTTTAGTCATGAAGACTTTGCCCATGCCTAAGTCCTGAATGGTTTTGCGTAGATTTTCTGCTAGGGCTTTTATGGTTTTAGGTCTTAGGTTTAAGTCTTTAATCCATCTCAATTTAATTTTTGTGTAAGTTGCAAAGAAGGGATCCAGTTTCAGTTTTCTGCATATGGCTAGCCAGTTTTCCCATCACCATATATTAAGTAGGGAATCCTTTCCCCTTTGCATGTTTTTGTCAGGTTTGTCAAAGGTCATATGTTATTTCTGAGGCCTCTGTTCTGTTCCATTGGTCTATACGTCTGTTTTGGTACCAGTACCATAATCTTTTGGTTACTGTAGCCTTGTGGTATACTTTGAAGTCAGGTAGCCTGATGCCTCCAGCTTTGTTCTTTTTGCTTAGAATTGTCTTGGCTATATGGGCTCTTTTTTGGTTCCATATGAAATTTAAAGTAGTTTTTTCTAACTCTGTGAAGAAAGTCAATGGTAGCTTGATGTGAATAGCATTGAATCTGTAAAATACTTAGGGCAGTTTGGCTGTTTTCATGATACCGATACTTCCTATCCATGAGCATGGAATATTCTTCCATTTGTTTGTGTCCTCTCTTATTTCTTTGAGCAGTGGTTTGTAGTTCTCCTTAAAGAGGCCCTTCATGTCCCTTGTAAATTGTATTCCTAGGTATTTTATTCTCTTTGTAGCAATTGTGAATGGGAGTTCACTCATAATTTGGCTCTCTGTCTATTATTGCTGTATAGGAATGTTTGTGATTTTTCCACATTGATTTTGTATCCTGAGACTTTGCTGAAGTTGCTTATCAGCTTAAGGAGATTTTGGGTTTAGACGATGGGGTTTTCTAAATATACAATCATGTCATCTGCAGAGATGATTTAATTTCCTCTCTACCTATTTGAATACCCTTTATTTCTTTCTCTTGCCTTATTGTCCTGGCCAGAACTTCCAATACTGTGTTGAATAGGAGTGGTGAGAGAGTGCATCCTTCTCTTGTGCTGGTTTTCAAAGGGAATGCTTCCAGCTTTTGCCCATTCAGTATGATATTGGCTATGGGTTTATCATAAATAGCTCTTATTATTTTGGGATATGTTCCAACAATACCTAGTTTATCAAGTGTTTTTAGCATGAAGGGTGTTGAATTTCACTGAAGGCCTTTTCTGCATCTATTGAGATAATCATGTGGTTTTTGTCATTGGTTCTGTTTATGTGATGGATTACGTTTATTGATTTGCATATGTTGAACCAGCCTTGCATCCCAAGGGTGAAGCTGACTTGATCATGGTGAATAAGGTTTATAATGTGCTGCTGGATTTGGATTGCCAGTATTTTATTGAGGATTTTTGCATTGAACTGGAATTTTGCATATTCCAATATTCATTGGGAATATTGGCCTGATATTTTCTTTTTGTTGTTGTGTCTCTGCCAGGTTTTGGTATCAGGATGATGCTGCCCTCATAAAATGAGTTAGGGAGGAGTCCCTCTTTTTCTATTGTTTGGAATAGTTTCAGAAGGAATGATACCAGCTCCTCTTTGTACCTCTGGTAGAATTTGGCTGTGAATCCATCTGGTCCTGGGCTTTTGTTTGTTGGTAGGCTATCAATTACTGCCTCAATTTAAAAACTTGTTATTTGTCTACTCAGGGATTTGACTTCTTTCTGGTTTAGTCTTGGGATGGTGTATGTGTCCAGGAATTTATCCATTCCATCTAGATTTTCTAGTTTATTTTCATAGAGGTGTTCACAGTATTCTCTGACGGTAGTTTGTATTTCTGTGGGATCAGTGGTGATACCCATTTATCATTTTTTATTGTGTCTATTTGATTCCTCTCTCTTTTCTTATTAGTCTGGCTAGTGGTCTATTTTGTTAATTTTTTCTAAAAACCAGCTCCTGGATTCATTGATTTTTTGAAGGGATTTTTGTGTCTCTATCAGTTCTGCTCTGATCTTAGTTATTTCTTGTCTTCTGCTAGCTTCTGAATTTCCTCTTGCTTCTCTAGTTCTCTTCATTGTGATATTAGGGTGTTGATTTTAGATCTTTCCCACTTTCTGATGTGGGCATTTAGTGCTATAAATTTCCTTCTAAACACTGCGTTTACCTGTGTCCCAGAGACTCTGGTACATTGTGTCTTTCTTCTCATTGGTTTCAAAAAACTTATTTATTTCTGCCTGAATTTCATTACTCAGTAGTCTTTCAGGAGCAGGTTGTTCAGTTTCCATGTAGTTGTGTGGTTTTGAGTGAGTTTCTTAATGCTGAGTTCTAATTTGATTGCACTGTCATTTGAGAGATTCTTTGTCATGATTTCCATTCTTTTGCATTTGCTGGGGAGTGTTTTACTTCCAATTACGTGGTCTATTTTAGAATAAGTGCTATGTGGTGCTGAGAAGAATGTATATTCCTGTTGATTTGAAGTGGAGAGTTCTGTAGATGTCTATTAGGTCTTCTTGGTCCAGAGGTGAGTTCAAGTCCTAAATATCCTTGTTAATTTTCTGTCTCATGAAATGTCTAATATTGACAATGGGGTGCTAAAGTCTCCCACCATTATTGTGTGGGAGTCTAAGTCTCTTTGTAGGTCTCTAAGAACTTGCTTTATGAATCTGGGTGCTCCTGTCTTGGGTGTATATATATTTAGGATAGTGAGCTCTTCTTGTTCCATTGATCTCTTTACCATTATGTAATGCCCTTCTTTGTCTGTTTTGATCTTTGTCTGTTCAAAGTCTGTTTTATCAGAGACTAGGATTGCAACCCCTCTTTTTTTCTTTCCATTTGCTTGGTAACTATTACTCCGTCCCTTTATTTTGAGCCTATATATGTCTTTGCACATGAGATGGATCTCCTGAATACAGCACACCGATGGGTCTTGACTCTTTATCCAATTTGTCAGTCCATGTCTTTTAATTGTGGGCATTTAGCTCATTTACATTTAAAGTTAATAAGTTATCTATGAATTTGATCCCATCATCAAGATTCTAGCTGGTTATTTTGCACATTCGTTGATTCAGTTTCTTCATAGTGTCGTTGATCTTTATATTTTGGTATGTTTTTTCAGTGGCTGGTACTGGTTTTTCCTTTCCATATTTAGTGCTTCCTTCAGGAGCTCTTCTAAGGCTGGCCTGGTGGTGACAAAATCCCTCAGCATTTGCTTGTCTGTAAAGAATTTTATTTCTCCTTCACTTATGAAGCTTAGTTTGCCTGGATAAGAAATGCTGGGTTGAAAATTCTTTAAGAATGTCAAATATTGGCCCCCACTCTCTTCTGGCTTGTGGGGTTTCTGCAGAGAGGTCCGCTGTTAGTCTGATGGGCTTCCCTTTGTGGGTAACCTGACCTTTCTCTCTGGCTGCGCTTAACTTTTTTCCTTCATTTCAGCCTTGGTGAATCTGACCATTATATGTGTTGGGGTTGTTCTTGTCAAGGAGTATCTTAATGGTGTTCTGTGTATTTCCTGAATTTGAATGTTGGCCTGTCTTGCTAGGTTGGGGAAGTTCTCCTGGATAATATCCTGAAGTGTGTTTTCCAACTTGGTTCCATTCTCTCCATCACTTTCAGGTACACCAATCAATCATAGGTTTGGTCTTTTCACATAGTCCCATACTTCTTGGAGGCTTTGTTCATTTCTTTTTATTTTTTTTCTCTAATCTTGTCTTCATGCTTTATTTTATTAAGTTGATCTTCAATCCCTGATATCCATTCTTACACTTGATCGATTTGGCTATTGATACTTGTGTATGCTTCAAGAAGTTCTCATGCTGTGTTTTTCAGCTCCATCAGGTCATTTCTGTTCTTCTCTAAACTGGTTATTCTAGTTAGCAGTTCCTGAACATTTTATCAAGGTTCTTAGCTTCCTTCCATTGGTTTAGAACAGGCTCCTTTAGCTCAGAGGAGTTTATTATTACCCATCTTCTGAAGCCACTTCAGTCCATTCATCAAACTCCTTCTCTGTCCAGTTTTGTGCCCTTGCTGGCGAGGAGTTGCGATCACTTGGATGAGAAGAGGCATTCTGGTTTTTGAAATTTTCAGCATTTTTGAGCTGGTTTTTCCCCATCTTCATAGATTTATCTACACTTGGTCTTTGATGCTGATGACCTTTGGATAGGGTTTTTGAGTGGGCATACTTTTTGTTGATGTTGGTATTACTGCTTTCTGTTTGTTAGTTTTCCTTCTAACAATCAGGCCCCTCTTCTGCAATTCTCCTGGAGTTTGCTGGAGATCCACTGCAGACTGTGTTTGCCTGGGTATCACCAGCAGAGGCTGCAGAACAGCAGAGATTGTTGCCTCTTCCTTCCTCTGGAAGCTTCGTCCCAGAGGGGCACCCAACAGATGCCAACTGGAGCTCTCCTATGTGAGGTGTCTGTCGACCCCTGCTGGGAGGTGTCTCCCAGTCAGGAGGTATGGGGGTCAGGGCCCACTTGAGGAGGCAGTCTGTCCCTTAACAGAGCTTGAGCGCTATGCTGGGAGATCCACTGCTCTTTTCAGAAACAGCAGGGAGGAACGTTTAAGCATACTGGAGCTGTGCCCATAGCTGCCCCTTCCCCCAGGTGCTCTGTTCCCAGGGAGATGGGAGTTTTATCTGTAAGTCCCTGACTGGAGCTGTTGCCTTTCTTTCAGAGATGCCCTACCCAGTGAGGAGGAATCTAGAGAGGCAGTCTGGCCACAGCCATTTTGTTGCACAGTCTGAACTTCTCAGTGGCTTCCTTTACACTGTGAGGGGAAAACTGCCTACTCACGCCTCAGTAATGGTGGACGCCCTTCCCCCACCAAGCTCTAGCATCCCAGGTTGACTTCAGACTGCTGTGCTGGCAGTGAGAATTTCAAGTCAATGGTTTTAGCTTCCTGGGCTCCATGTGGGTGGGACCCACTGAGCAAGACCACTTGGCTTTGTGGTCAGCACCCTTTCAAGGGGAGTGAATGCTTCTGTCTTGCTGGGGTTCCAGGCACCACTGGGGTATGAAAAAACAAAACAAAACAAAAAAACTCCTGCAGCTAGCTCGGTGTCTGCCTGAACAGCCTCCCAGTTTTGTGCCTGAAACCCTTGGCCTTGGTGGTGTAGGCACACAAGGGAATCTCCTTGTCTGTGGGTTGCAAAAACTGTGGGAAAGGTATAATGTCTGGGCCAGATAGCACAGTCCCTCACGGCTTCCCTTGGCTGGGGTGAGGGAGGTCCCTGGCCCATTGCACTTCCCGGGTGAGGCAACACATCACCCTGCTTCTGTTTGCCCTCCTTGGGCTGCACCCACTCTCTAACCAGTCCCAGTGAGATGAATCGGATACCTCAGCTGGAAATACAGGAATCACCAGCCTTCTGCATTGGTCTCACTGGGAGCTGCAGACCAGAGCTCTTCCTATTTGGCCATCTTGCCAGAGATTTTTCTACAACTATTTCTTCTTAAATGACTGAAGCCATTTCCTTGAGGAAATGTATTTTTCAACAGGTGCAAATTCTATTTTTTGTATCATGTTACTGCCCAATACAATTATCAGCACTTAAAAGTCCAGCATTCAATTTGCTAATTGACTATAAGAGTTTGAATTATAGTACTAGATTTTCTTAATCATAAATTATGACTTCATTGTAAGTTGACCAATTCATAAGCTGCATGAAGTTGAGTAGAACACCAGAACCTCATCTACAAAATTACTGTTCAAATTTATGTAGCTTCCAAAATGCCCAATTAATTCTCAAGATATAATTTATTCCCTGGAAGAATGTATCTTATTAAATTTATATTCCTTCAAACTAAAAGATTATTTTAAAATAAGGGACATTGCACACGCAATATCTCTTTGTTCTCCATATGAGATACCCCAGATGTGACTGTAATTACCTTAGCAATGCTTTTCCACAGTATTTTATAGTTTTTAAAGTAGTTCCACACTTGGTCTACATATAATTCCTGTGAGCTGTCAGACCCAGTATTATTGACTTTATCTGACAGTGTAAAAAATGGTGACAGAGAAACAAAGTGATTTTTCTAAGGTCATACATTTACAAGATGCTTTTACATCTCTTGGCTGGCACGTGTTCCAATTCAGTTTCCATTATACCATCCTGCCTTCCTCCCATCAATATTCTTGTGATTTTATATACTCCACATGAGCCTACACACCCACACATAGTTTAGTCCTAGGCTAGTGGAATGCCATTATGTTAAAACTCCCTTTTTTTAATGTCAAGAGACACCATCTGCATTTACTACACATATTTCTTCTACGACAGCAGCAATGACCCTGAGGTAAATATGCACTAAAGGATGCCCCATTGATCAGGGTGGTAAAGGCAATGGGAGGGGAAAGAGGAACTCTTCTGCCAGTTTTAAGGACACTCTTCATTACCTCTTTTCTTCACTCCATTACGTAAACCTCAGGGCTTGAGAAAACAAATCAGCATAGCTCACAATCAGCCAGCATGTTTATAAATGAGCAAATGGGGAAGGACTCATTGTCCTCCAGAATTTGTAAGGGTGAAAAGCACAGACAAGAATGGAAAAGCAGAGCTCTGCCTGTGTCAAAGGCTCACATTCTATTAACGACTATGAAAGGAAAAGATCAAAGAAAATCCAACAGAACTTAATTTGAGTTTGCCTCTTGCCGTTCTGACAAACCAATATTTCTCAATAAAATAAAAAATAGGTAGCAGAACAAGCGTGAAAATTCCATTCTAAAGCCATAGTGGTAAGAACTGTTAAGGCAGCTGTTTTTGACTAAAATTTGGAGTTACGGCATCTGGGTTCTCTTTACGTGTTACCTTTACTTTAAACTCTTAATTAAAAAAAAGGAAAAAAGACTTCATTGTAAATAGATTTCCATTTAAATTATCAGAACTTGTCTGAAGGAGTCTTCATATTGAATGAAGGAACTCACTAATTAAATAAGAAATATGGCAAAGAAACCCAATATGAAGATTTATGTTAAAAAAAAAAAAGAAGCTAATAGGCGCCCAAAATATAATCAAAATATAATGTTATACTCTTTATTTTGTTTTGTTTTATTTATTTTGAGTGTTTTGGAGAATTTTTTCATTACAAAAACATTTTTAATATAGTTGAATGGAATAAGTTGCTTAAGCTCACTGAATCTCAGTCTCCTCATTCCTATGTACCTCAGTGGGTTTTCATCACAACTAAGCCAAGGTATGTGAAAGTGAGAGGTGACAGTGTGCCGGCAGCCCTTGCTCATTCTCGGCGCCTCCTGGGCCTCAGCGCCCACACTGGCCATGCTTGAGGAGCCCTTCAGCCCGCTGCTGCACTGTGGGAGCCCCTCTCTGGGCTGGCCGAGGCTGGAGCCGGCTCCCTCTGCTTGCAGAGAGGTGTGGAGGGAGAGGTGCGGGCGGGAACCAGGGCTGTGCATGGTGCTTGCAGGCCAGCACGAGTTCTGGGTGGGCATGGGCTCGGAGGGCCCCGCCCTCAGAGCGGCTGGCCGGCACCACCAGCCCTGGGCAGTGAGGGGCTTAGCACCTGGGCCAGCAGCTGTGGAGGGTGCACCAGGTTCCCCAGCAGTGCCAGCCCACCTGCGCTGTGCTCAAATTCTCGCCGGGCCTCAGCTGCCTCCCCCCGGGGCAGGGCTTGGGACCTGCAGCCCACCATGCCTGAGCCTCCCCCCTGCCATGGGCTCCTGCTCAGCCCAAGCCTCCCTGATGAGCACCACCCCCTGCTCCATGGCACCGGGTCCCATCAACCGCCCAAGGGCTGAGGAGTGCCAGTGCATGACGTGGGACTGGCGAGCAGCTCCACCCACGGCCCTGGCACAGGATCCACTAGGTGAAGCCAGCTGGGCTCCTGAGTTGGGTGGGGACTTGGAGATCTTTTGTGTCTAGCTAGAGGATTGTAAATACACCAATCAGCACTCTGTGTCTAGCTCAAGGTTTGTAAATGCACCAATCAGCACTCTGTATCTAGCTAATCTGGTGGGGACTTAGAGAACCTTTATGTCTAGCTAAGGGATTGTAAATACACCAATCAGCACTCTGTGTCTAGCTCAAGGTTTGTAAATACACCAATCAGCACTCTGTATCTAGCTAATCTGGTGGGGACTTGTAGAACCTTTATGTCTAGCTAAGGATTGTAAATACACCAATCAGCAGTCTGTGTCTAGCTCAAGGTGTGTAAACACACCAATCAGCACCCTGTGTCTAGCTCAAGGTTTGTAAATGCACCAATTGGTGCTCTGTGTCTAACTAATCTAGTGGGGACTTGGAGAACTTTTGTATCTAGCTCAGGGATTGTAAATGCACCAATCAGCACCCTTTCAAAACGGACCAATCAGCTATCTGTAAAACAGACCAATCAGCTCTCTGTAAAATGGACCAATCAGCAGGATGTGGGTGGGGCCAGATAAGGGAATAAAAGCAGGCTGCCCAAGCCAGCAGTGGCAACCCGCTTGGGTCCCCTTCCACACCGTGGAAGCATTGTTCTTTCGCTCTTTGCAACAAATCTTGCTGCTCCTCACTCTTTGGGTCCACACTGCCTTCATGAGCTGTAACACTCACTGCGAAGGTCTGCAGTTTCACTCCTGAGGCCAGCAAGACCACAAACCCACCAGGAGGAATGAACAACTCCGGACAGGAGGAATGAACAACTCCGGATGGGAGGAACGAACAACTCCAGACACACCACCTTAAGAGCGGTAACACTCATGGCAAAGGTCTGCAGCTTTACTCCTGAAGCCAGCGAGACCACAAATCCGCCAGAAGAAAGGAACTCTGAACAAGTCTAAACATCAGAAGGAACAAACTCCGGACACACCATCTTTAAGAACTGTAACACTCACTGCGCGAGTCCGTGGCTTCATTCTGGAAGTCAGTGAGACCAAGAACCCACCAATTCTGGACACAAAAGCACCTTGTAAATGAGTTTGCTTTACCTTTTACTCCATTGCCTCCCCAAGAGAAGAGTGTAAATATGTTGGGTGCACAGTCATACAAACTAAATCAACCATATTCTTTTTTAATAAAATATTTATGATTTGTGTTCCAACAGTGACATATATGATTATTCTGATTTACTTTAATGTTTTGGGGCAATGAAAAAGGCGTAAATTGTATTTTTTTATTTTAAGATTTTGCAGGCTAGAGTATTTTCCCTCGGTCAAATCCAAGACTCAGAGGAGCCCATCATCCTGCCATGTAGAATTAAGCAGGATCACAATCAAAGGTCTATTGATCCATTAGACAGACAGGGCTCTGTAACCAATTCAGGGATTTTTAAACCTCTATCAGTACCCAATGACTTACATGGGGCGCACAAAACTTGTGGGTAAGATTTTGAACTTTGCCCACAATTTAGATTCAGACAAATACAAATAAATTGATTGGGGCTTTGGGAGATACAATTAACAAGGCAGCCGCTGAGAGGAACAAAGAAGACCTGAAGGGGAAAATCTCTGCAAGCAAGGAAGAAATCTGACAGAGTACACTAGAGTCCACTGAGTTTCTGAGGGAAGTGATTCCAAGCTCAGTGTGAGGGTGTATGTGACCAGTCCTCATATGTGTGTTCCCTACCACAATGCCTGTGTACTCTTGGAAAGGAGAGCCCTGCGGGAGCAGAAGGAGCTGTGTCCTCAGGAGCACAAGCAGTGGTGCTGTGAGACCACCTGCTCATGGAATGGGGCACAAGACAAGATTATTTAATTGCTGTATTTTGTTTTTGTTTAGTTTTGGCTAGGAAAAAAAGGGTAAGCATGTAAGCATCATAGACAGATTTTCTCCTGGAAAAACTCTGACAGGCAGCTCAGTTTGGCCCACAAGACCACAAAAATCTAGTGAGTTCTCTGTCACAAAACTCACATACTAAAGCCTTATTCTTACAAACACCTATGACCCTCCTGGCAAGATGTCAAAAAAGGAAGTAAAGGAGTCTTTTGATAAGAATTTTATGTCAAGACAGGCCTCCTGCCTGGACTCAATTCTAGCCTGAATGAAGGTACCTAGATCCTTATGTAGCAAATAAATGTAAATAAGAGGACATGGTCCAGCACTCAGGAACCAGTGTGGAGGGCAGCAGGCTTAAGGCAACACCTGTAAATTTTTTCAATACACTTGTAATAAAACCAAGCATGCAACTCATCCAACTTATCCAACTTGTCTCCTGATTGGTTTTATGGACATGGTAGTTGAGATATATATGCCTATGGAAGTTATGAGCTAGGAAATATGGACACAAACCTATATGTATATATGTAGTGGTGTGTGTGTGTGTGTGTGTGTGTGTGTGTATATATGTACATATACACCACTACCAACGTGTCCACGTTTCCTATCTCATAACTCCCATAGCACATTTTGCAGTATTTTGTTATAATGTTGAGGCACTTTAGGCCTCAACAGCAGGCCTCAGAAAACAGAATCTCTCTGCTTCACTTTCTCCTGTCCTCCTTTCACCTGCCCAAAACAGAACTCTAATTAAATTATGTGTCAAAAGACCCTCATTCCAGAGTGGTCTTCCCCATACTCTGGAGGAAGGAATGCTGTACACACAGGCCGAAAAACATCAAAACAGAGAAGAATTGCTGGGTTTAGATCATATCAATTTTGTGCAATCATATTTCAACATGGTTGTCAATTATCCCAATGCAATGAAATCTCCATAAAAGACCCAAAGGATAGGGTTAGGAGAGCTTCTGGATAGCTGAAACTGTGGAGGTTCCTGGAGGGTGGCATGTCCAGGAGGGCATGGGAGCTCCATGCCCCATTCCGCATACTTTGCCTTCCATGTCTCTTTATCTGTATCCTTTGCAATATCCTTTATAATAAACCTGTAAATGTGTTTCCCTGAGTTCTGTGAGCTGCTCTAGCAACTTAATTGAACCCAAAAGAAAGGGTTGTGGGAATCTCAACTTGGAGCTGGTCAATGAGAACTTCCAGAGTCCTGGACTTGTGACTGGTGTCTGAAGGGGAGCCAGCTTTGCGGACCGAGCCCTCAACCTGTGAGATCTGACACTACCTTTAGGTAGACAGTGTTGAAAGACACCCAGATGGTATCCATGGCAGAACTGATTGCTCAATTACTGATGGGGAAAACTCCCACCTCCCACATTTGGTCATGGAAGCCTTCTGTATGAATGATTGTGTGGTGTGAGAACGGAGAAAGAAAAAGTTTGAGAGTTTTTCCAAAAGTAGCGGAGTAGCATTATGTGGTAGCTACCTTTAAAATTTTCCATAAAATCTGCCTCAGCAGTAGAGGACTGAGTTATCCAGATGGTCCAGAGGTGACACAGCTTTGGAGAGACAAGAGGCAGCAGCAAATACTAAGTCATGACGGGTAGGAGCTTGGATTCCAGATTTTCCAAGGGCACTAGGGGATCCAGGGGCATAAGCAGCAGTGTATGTGTGCAGTCCTGGAGATTCGGGAACTGACAATGCAGTGGCCAGCAGTGGGCAAGTAGTGGTCTGCAGTCAGCGCAATGATTAAGAGTTTAAAAGGAGGCAGACAATGGCCCAAACCCAGCAGAAGTCAATAACTGATTGAGAGAGAACACACTCATTCTTCTCCAAATTTCTTGTAGTATCTATTAACCCTGTAGAAAAAAATAATATCCAGAACCATGATATCATAACCATGAGTGATAACATGGCTATTTATATTTAGATTATTTAAAATTAAATAAATTAAAAGTTCAATTGCTCAGTCACACTAGCCACGTATCAAGTGCTCAATAGCCACATATGCCCAATGGCTACCACATTGGGCAGTACAGAAAGAGAACATATCCATTATCATAGAAAGTTCTTTTGGACAGCATTCATCTAGCAGCGACCTTACATAGGACCAGTAAACTACTGCCTAGGGGACACTTGAGTTAAACACGTAAGAATTCTAAGTGATACCTAAATTGAGTGTGTGGTACATAAATAATTGTTGAATCAATAAAAGAAGAGAAAACATCAAAAATACTAGAATTCCTATTATTCACACAGATGGGAGCAAGAAGTGTGAGGCATTGAAGTGCTACTGATAAGGTGACCCTTAAAGTACAAGCCCAGGGTTCTCCAAATGCATTTGTAATGACATCCAGATGCTCTGGTAATAATAATTAATATGAGAGAGTGAAATTACATTTGCTCACACACAGTCTTATTTCCATACCTAGAATACAATGCCTCTACACTTTGGGTGTCTTTAAAAATCACTTTGATGTGTAACTTCCCTATTGTGTATGACGTCATACTGCAATCAGCAGATTGAGAGGAATTTTGGTATGGAAGAAAAACAAAGCAATTCCAACGTTAGGGTTCAGGAGCATCTTGACAGTAGCTTATTGGTCCTCCAGCCCTCCTTCTAAAATACGGGCATTGGAAAAGAAACATGTACATTAATAATCCTTGTAAGACAAATGACGTTGGTGCTATCTTTACAAATAAGAGTTGTTTCTAACAATATATAAATATTTTCAGTATTCTAAGTTAGGAAGCTTATGTTTTGTTTTAAAAAATATTTTATACAGAGAAATATTAAACCCTAAAATTATTTTGTGGAAATACAGTCATATGCTTCATTACACATCAAATAGCATTTTTAGGAATAATTCCTTTTAAGCAACAGAAATCGACACAATTAAATAATATGCAGTTTTAGGTGTGATACTAAATACATGATCCTAATAGTGATATCCAGTCCAATTAAAACACAGATGTGTAAGCTAAAAGAGACATGTTAGTACTACAAATTATATGATCCATTTCTGTTTCCTTTGGAACTACTGCATCCAACTTTTCTACACAAAAGCAGCAAACAAGGCCTTGTGATGTTAAGAAATTTCCAGGGCTCATCTAGACTGGAGGGACATCTCACTCAGATGTGCTAAAACGGAGTTCACACCCTGGCTTAAGGGCAGACAAATAATTTAAAACAGTGGCAAGGTGTGGAAATATACATTTTATGAATTACTCCACATCCACGCCAGTGAATTCAATAAATTTACTAACACAGTTTAAATACTACATACGCATGATCTAAGCTAACAGGCACAAAAAAGCATTCATTGTTTACAAATCTACTGGTTAAAATGGTACTAATGAAGCAAAATAAAGGGGATTCTCTCTTTATATAGAAATTATATTTACCAAAAGAAGTATCTGTCCCATAACTGTAAAGTAAACCTTTTTTCCTGGCTAACTACTAACCATTGGTTTCAAGGGGCACTGAGACAAAAAATAATAATACATTTACTTCATACCAAATATGAGTTAAGTACCTATTAGTAGCTATGGCAATTAAAAAAAAATAATGCAGGAGACAGAATTTAAAGTGCTGTGCAGGAGGGGTAGGCAATTTTAAATAACATGCCAAAGGTAGACCTCCTTTTACCAGCACATGAACAAAGATTCAAATGTGTAAGGTGAGGGTGATAGCCATATGAATACTTAGGGATAGAGTATCCCAGGAAGAAGGAAAAGCTAGTACAAAGGCCTTGAAATGAGACCATGCCTGTTTCATTAAAGATCAAGGAGACCAGAGTGGTTAGTGCCAAATGAATGTGAGAAAGAGGTTTTAGAAGGAGCCAGAGAGGTAATAGGGGGCTAGATCATGTAAAGACTAGTATATCATCCTAAGTAAACTTTGCTTTGACTAGGGATGAAATGGGGAGTTAGTGCAAGTTTGACTAGAGAGAGACATTATTGGATATACCTTTAAAAAGATCACTCTGACTCCTTCAATGACAGCAGTCTATAAGGAGACAGGGGATGAGGCAGAAAGCCCAGCTAGAATGCTATTAGGGTAGTCCAAGGGAGAGATGATGGCATCTGGGACTGGTATGGTAATAGAAGTGATAAAAAGTGGTCAGATTATCAATCTATTTTGAAAATAGAGTTAGCAGAATTTTCTGTTGTCAAGTATTAACAATGTCTAATAAATTATTTGCAAATATATATATATACATAGGTATATATTCATTACACATATACCAGTATCACATCCTGATTATAATATTTACAAAGACTGTTTTATTTTTCTCCAGCAGTCATGTAGGAGGGAGGCCAGTGCCTTAAATAAATCAGGAAAATTCTTTAAAAAGATGAAGTTCATTTATAACCAAAGCCACATTCAGAAAATTCATATGGTCATAAGGAAATGAACATTTTAACCTTATATGCTAGCTGCAATTGGCCCTTCGGTATTACAGTAGTAAATGAAAATGTATCACAGCTTTTGTTGTCTTCATTTGATAATATTAATTGCTGTGGTCTCAATTTTTTAATTGAAATGCTCCTTGTCCTGAGGATACAATAGATTCCTAACTGATCCATTTTTTTTAGGTTATGCACTTGTGTTCTCTTTGATATTATCTTTCAGTAACTAAAACTGTTTAACGTCTCCCTCTTGAGAATATCTGAATCTTGCCTCTCATTAAAAAGTCTTTAATAGTCTTCCTGGGGTCTTGGTCTTGTAGAAAATAATAAAAATCTCTAAAGGAGAGACAATTTTGATGAACTTAAGAACAGATGTTTGTAGATATCTATTATAGATATAAGATATGATATATGTATGTGTGTATATATATATATATATGTATGTGTGTGTGTGTGTATAACCTCAAAGATAAACCAACTTTTAAATTTAATAAAATTAATAGAAAAAAAGTCCAGAAACTTTCCTTAATTACAGTTCTTTCAGAATAAAATTGATAGGTAAGTAGGACACCCATTAAAAAGCAATAGAAATATGAAATACATTTCTAACAGTAAGTATAGTATGGCATATTTTACGAGCATATATGCTAAAATACAGTATGTTAAATGTAGTATAAACTTTTGGAGTTGGTTATATTAGACATATAGAAGAGAAAATGGAATTTAAACCTGTGCAAATAATTTTTTGCACAGATAATAAACCCAAATAGCTTATACACTAAGGAATACAATCTTCTGCATTAAAAATTACTAATAGGAAATAATGAAACTTAAAATATTCATGAAAATTAGGCTGAAACAATTAGGTTATAACATATAATTGGAAGGCTTTTATATTTTGCAAGCAGAAAGTTCCCTACAATGGGTTTAATTAAATAATAGAAAACCAGGTGATAGAGGATATAGGCAATGGTCCTACTTACTAAGAATGTTACATGCACATGTATTTAGTGTGAGCGGACAGGCAAATATATTATGTTGTTGAAATGAGAATAATCAATAAAATTCCATGGCTGGAAATTTGCTACAAAGAAAATTAATAGAAAGGAACAAAAAGTTCACAGTTCTGCTTGATATTTTTTATTGTTGTTTTTACTTGAGAAGCGCAAATGTGGAAGAGAATAGATCAGGGCATTGTCCTTATAGCGAAGATTGAATAAATTCCTATTTACCATTTCATTAATGACTGAAGGCTAGATGCTTAGAATTAGAACTGTGTACACCAACTCAGGTATCCAAAGAGGAAGTATTAATACTACTTGTATCCCTAGAGGCCAAGGGTTTACAGAAAAAGCAAAGCTATGTTTTGCAATCTCATGTGCATTTGGGTTTTACCTCATCCAATAATGATTTCAGAGGGAGAGAATACATTTCAAGGTTAATAGGTGAACCCACCATAATCTTAGCTCACATTAATATAAGACACCCTCATGTTACCTAATCAATCCTGTCAGGTCTATTTTGTATGTTTTCTCCATCCCTAAGAAATACCTGAGATATAAAACCCAAACATCACCTCTGCTTCCAACAAATATATGGATTAACAAGAACTAGACTTATGCTGTCATGTAAAACAACCAAGATAAAACACATAAAGCAATGATTTTCAAGACACTGGAACTCAGGTAACAAAGGACAGTGATCCCTGAGAAATTGAAAACAAGATGCGCCCTGTAATTGTCCTGGTTTGAGAGACTTCCAAAGCTATAGCACATTAGGGGGTCACCCAAGAAGAACTTGATAAACTCAATGAGTTAAGAAGACAGAAGATAGAATCTGGGGAAACCAAGGCTGCACTGAAGGAGAATTCCAGAAAAGTACAGAGGGCCTTGACTTATTTTGCGAAGTACTAATCAACACATATGTGTGAATAACTTAAACCCTAGAAAAAGAATTGAAAGGATTAAATAGAACAGCGCCTGACACTCACACAGGGCTAGGAACAGAGCCTGTTCCCACAAACTATGTTAGAAAAACTCACCATTCATTGTAGTGCACTCAGGAAAGTCTTACCACAGCAGGGGGAAATAAACTGCTATAAACTGAGCATTGCTACGAAAATATTCAACATTAACAAGGTACAAATTGCAATGTTTGGCATGCAATCAGAGATTACCTGGCATGCAAAGAAGCAGAAAAATGTGGCCCATTATAGGGAAAATAAGAAAATAAAAATAACTCAGTATTGTCACAAATACTAGAATTAACAAAGATATTTAAACCTCATAATTGTATTATGTACATTCAGAGTATTAAGTAGAAACATGGAAGACATTTTTTAAAAAAACAAACCAAACCTCTAGAGACACAAACCACATTATATAATATGAAAATACACCACATGTAATTAACAACAATTAAATATTGCAAAAAAAAAAAAAAAACAGTGAAATTGAAACAGATAGGGAAAAGAGAATTTATAGAAAATGGAAACAACTTTAGTGAGCTGTGGGATATTTCAAGCAGGTTAATATGCAAATATTTGGGATTACTCAAAGGAGAAAAGAGGAAGGACACAAATTTTCAGAAAATGATGGCTGAAATTTTCCAAAATTGATAAAAATTATCAACCTGATCATCTCAGGACCCTGACAAGTCTCAATCACAAGAAACATGAAAAAAGCATATCTTAATCAAAGTACACAAGATCAGTGAGAAAGAGAAAAACTTAAATGCAACCAAAGTAAAACAATGTATATACAGAGAAAGAGAGACAAAGACGGAAATATTTCTCACCAGAAACAATGTAAGCAAGAAGACAGTGGTAAAATGACTCCATAGTACTAGAATCAAAACAAAACTGTAACATTATGCTAACACTAGTCAAAAGAAAGTTGGAGTGGCTATGTTAATATTGAAGTAGATTTTGGAGCAAAAGGTAATTACTAGGGATACCTGAAGGTCAGTTCTTCAAAAGGTCATAGCAATTGTGAATTTTTATGTACCTAATAATCAAGCTTCAAAATTCATGAAGCAAAATTGGTTGAACTACAAGGATAAATAGATAAATCCACAATTGTAATCATAGATTTCAATGCCCTTGCTCCATAAGTGATAGAACAAATAGAAAAAAAAAATAAGCAAAGATATAGTAGACTGGTACCATATTGTCAACTAACTTGACTTAATTGACTGCAAATAAATTATCTACCCAACGACAGCAGAATACATATTCTTTTCAAGTGCACATGGAACACTTACCAACATACTCTGGAATATAAAGCAAATCACAATAAATTTTAATGATTCAAGTCATACAAGGCATGTCCTTTGACCAAAGTAAAACAAATTAGATACTAATAACAGAAAGATATCCGAAAATCCCCAAATATTTGGGAACTAAACAATGTACTTCTAAATAATGTTGAAAAAGACACTCAAATGATAAATTAGAAAAGGTTTTGAACGAATAAAAATAAAACACCATATATCAGAATTTGTGAGATGGTATTAAAGCTGTACTTTGAGGAAACTTTATAGCAATAAACCTCTATATTAATAAAGATGAAAGATCTCAGATTAATGATCTCATTTTATATCTTAAGAAACTTAAAAAAATAAAAATAAGAAAAACTAGTGATACTCAAAGTGAGCAGAAAAAATACAATAATAAAGATAAAAATGAAAATCAATGAAATAGAAAATAAAAACAGTACAAAATTGATTGAATTAAAAGCTGGTGCTTTAAGGTTGTCAATAACATTGATAAAGTAAAATTACCAATAAAAGGAATGAGAAAGGTGGTATCACTCAGATTCAGAAGACATCAAAAGGATAGTATGTGAGTAGTATTATTAACTAATTCATGCCTATTAATTTGATGACTTAGATGAAATGGTCACATTTTTTGGAAGACGCAAGTTATCAATGTTCTTTCAAAGAGAAATAAATTACCTGAATAGCTGTATATCTAGTACAGAAATTCAATTTGTAGTTTAAAAACTTCCCCAAAAAGAGAAGTCCAGGCCAATATCTCTTGTTGTGCATTCTGCCAAATATTTAATGAGAAAATATTACCAAGTCTATACAAATTCTTCCAGAAAACTAAAGAGGATAAAATAATTCCTAATACATCCTATAAGGCCAGGATTGCCCTGACATTAAACTCAAAGACTAGACAAACAAAACCATAGATCAATATCTCACGTGAACATAGATGTAAAAATTCTAAACAAAACTTTAGCAATTTGAATGTAATGATGTATAAAAAGTATAATTTATCATGACCAAGTGATATTTATCTCAAGAATGCACATTAAATTTAACATTTGAAAATCAATAAATGTAATTTATTCATATAAACATATGATCATCTCTACAGGCATAGAGAAAACATTTGATGAAAATCAAAATCTATTCCTGATTAAAAACGAAAGACCAAACAAACTCTAAGCAAAGTTCTATTAGAAATAGAAGTATACTTTCTCAATTAAAAACAAAAAGGAGTTGGGGGGCGGGGGAGTTCTACAAAATTTTATGGTTTTCTAGGTAAGATCAGGGAGAAGAAAAGTATTTCTGTTCTCACTCTGTTTCTATTCAACATTGTGCTGGAGATTCTAGCCAGTACATTCTGATAAAAGATTTAAAAAAACAAAAAAAGAAGAAGAAAAACAAAACAAAATTTGTTTTGACAAATTTGACAAGAAGTCTTTCTTCACATACAACATGATGATCTATAAAGAAAATCTGATCGATTCAATAAAATAACAAGATCGATATACAAAAGACAAAGTATTGTTACATACCATATACACCATATGCTTTATATATGAAACATAAATGAAAACAATATTATTTATGATATCAAAAATATGAAGTACTTAATGATAAATCTGATAAAACATATGGAAAACTTAAGTACTGAAACTGTAAAACATCACTGAGAGAATATAAATAAATCCTAAATAAGAGTTTTGGTTTGTTTATGGGGTAGAAGAGTCAATATTGTTAAGACATCAGTTCATCTTCATCTACAGATTCAATGCAACTATAATCAAAATTGTAGCATCTTTTACAATCTGAAACACAGGGTATGTAAGTGGAGTCAGGAATCTTCAAGGTATAAACTTCAGTTCCATATAGTACATATTTTTCAGATGCTGAGTAGAAAGGGGAAAGGGCCATGTCTCTGCTTCCTTTTGCTCACCAAAAAGACCAAAACTTAAGGATGTAAAAGATGGGATTTTCTTGCATAGTGTAAGGGTGTTCTTATTCAGGGGTAAGAAACTCAAGGTGTAATACATATGGGTGTTGCACAGAATTCTATTCATGCACACACGCAGCAAGTGTAGATAGAATATGCTCCTAAAATAGACTTACTGGTGAAAAAAATGTTTCTGAAGAACAAATCACCTCTAAAATAAGCTGTATGGGTAATAATCTTGTTTTTGAGTGAGGCAATCTTTACACAAGTAACTCAGGTACTCAGCCATCTTCAATTTTATTCTGGTTTTATTTATCACCAGCCTTGATGAAGTTCTTCATAAATTCTCCATAAAATCCACCCAGAAAATAAATTACTGGGTAATGAATAATGTACCAAAAATTTCATAAGGAGCCATAAGAGAGTGCTTACCAAAACCGAGCAAATTCCATACCAAACCTAGTCCAATAGCCATCATCAGAAAAGTCAAGTATCCCAGGTGATTTTCTCATGTGCCCTGCAACATGAACTACTTGCTCTCTGCCATTCTAGTGTTCTCGGCCTCAACTTGCTCCTAAACTTCCGTACCACATTCATCTCAGTGTCTAGCAAAACAAACACCCTCTTATTAATGAGGCACCTCTTCCTCCTTGAAGATAGCTTATTGTTCAGTGAGCATGCTCTGTGGGAGTTTCACCTCCTGCCCCAAATCACTAACCAAGGTATTCCTTCCAACCACAAGCAGGTTTTTCCTTGAGAGAGGTCTGAGAGATAACATCTTTCTTATTTCATTATATGCAATGTAAATAAATAAATGAATAACTGTGTGTTATTTATGTGACTGTCCATTGACACTGACATGCAAGCTTCAATGTTCACAGATAGTCACAGCTAAACAGTTGACCTCCTATACATTTTTAGGGGGGGGTGATTCTATGAGGTTCACTCAAAAAGGCTAAAAATAAAAATATACCTGTGCAAGGTTTAGATTACTTTGTGAATGGTAAAATATCGACCATCTAGTTCATAGAAATATGCTAATTTCACTTTTAGCCCCTTCCATCGAATCCTGGGCAGATTACCCATTAGAAGATTACCCACGCATTTGGCCACACCATGCACACTACCCATGAAAGAGCTAAGCTCCAGGCTCTGTGTCCTTTTGGACCTTGATTAGAGTAACTTGCAATATGAATGGAACCATCCTTTGCAGTTCAAATCACAAAAGAAGAGAGAAAAGTTCTAGGATATCTAGTTTTAAAAACACATACATTTCTATTTTTAAAAACATTTCCTCACTCTTCAGTATGCTTTTCTAAAACTGAAACCAAATGATGGGCATATTGACTTTATTAAAATATCAGTTAAGTGACTAATATACATGATTATTTAATGTCCTTTTCCAAATATGACAAAGAGATACCCTCAAGCCAAAGAAAAAACTCTTGTTGAAAATTTGAATGCATTTGGTGCACACAATAGCATTGGGCTGAAAAATCATCTTTCAATCTGAGGCAAATTGTTCCCTATTTGTTTTTAACATACGTCATGTAAGTTAGGTTTTTTTCTATATATATAGAATAGAAAATCGAAGACGAGTTGTAGAAAAAGAATACCTCAAAATTTATCTCTAATTTTTAAAGTAAGTGAAATGAAAATTAAGTGCCTCTGAAAGACATTTATTCTCCTCATATTCATGTCATGTTTCTAGGCTTCAAAAAGGTAAATTGCATCATTGCTTGTTTCTAAAATAATTCATTAAAGGGAATTTTAGCAAATCAAGATATAGTAAAGCTAGAAGTTCCTTCAGGTAAAAAATTTTGTAACAGCTGTTATGGAAAGAAGATTACTGCTTTTTAAAAGAGTCATTTGGATAATGATATTTTATAATTTGATTTCATCTTTTATTTTGATATTTTATTTTTGATAGGTGATGTTTATTCCAGGTGCAATATATATTGGAAATGTAGCTAATCTGGCCAAACTGAACTCTTCAGTTCAGTAGTCCTGATGTCAGAATCTGCTTTTTATTTATCCAAGTTAGCCATTCAATTATTTATTGACAATATCCACACAAGCATTAATTTAGCAAATTGGTATTGTTAATCTCAGTCACGAGGGGAAAAACAATATCATTACTGTCAAATTACTGACAGCATGGTGTCTGGTCAAATTAAGTAAGTTTGCTGTTTCATAATAAACCAAGTTAATGGTTTGCTTTGCAAATGTAAGTGTTAAAATTAATCTTTTCAATGGTATAGAATCATCACTTGAAATGACATAGTTTAATGATCAAAAAAGCATTCATTGGTTTTACCTAAAACCTTGATGTTCACTAGTCAAAACAGATTATGAATTATGTTACTTACATTTAAAAATAACAAACCTAGGTTTTTAAAGTTGACATATTTTTTGAATGTCAATAATATGTGTATGTAGGTATGTGCATAATTAGAAGACAGAATAAAAAAGAACTTAAACCCATATTCACATCTTGATGTATATCAATTAGCTTACTTTATGTCTATCATATATTCAGCACTGTGATAGATACTGGATGAGAGCATGACATCTCTTTGGAGAGTGCAGTAATTGGGAGAAGGGCTAGAAACAGGAAATTTGTAATGCAGTTTGACAAGCGTGGTGAGTGACAGAATATATGAGCACATAACAGAAGGTGACAGGCACATTTTCTTGAAGAAAGGAATAATGATGCTGAGTCTTTAGGATGAATAGGTGTTGGGCTGGATAAGAGTGAGTTTCTGAGTAGGGCTGGATAAGTAATGGGCTTGGGGTGAACCTGTCCCAGGTGAATGAAGAGCTTTTGTAAAGGTTCTGTGGTAGGAACCATTACAATCAATTTCAGGAATTTTAGTATGCAAAGAAATCTGAGCATGATGAGAAAGAGGAAGGAAATAGAGCTAAACCTGGGACCAGTTTCAACACTTACAATTTTTTCCTCTACCAGAATTCCCAAGTTGATACTAATTTTCAACCTATGGTTGAATTCATTTGGCCTCAGTGCCCATCATACTTCCTTTAGCTAAAGTTTCTTCACTCATTTTTTGGTTGGGTAAAGTTTATCATCTGGTAGTTTATTTGAGAATATTTTGTATGACCAAAACTATCTGTTGCCTTTCTACTTAAATGTCTATTGGTTAATTATAAACTCAAGGGTATGTTTTATTTCTCTAACTATTTGAAGGCATCTTACCATTGTCTTCTTGTGTGGAGAATCCAAAGGCCAGACAGGTTTGTTTTGCCTGATATAGTAACTTTATGAAATTTTGTAACAAACATCAGAGGAAATTCTTGTCATGCTATCATGCTCAAATGTTGTAAATAATATTTTTAACAGGACAGTGAGTAAAAGGTTACTCTTTCCAAGCAACAATCATCACTCAGAAGAAATTTTTAACAAAGTGCTCCCTATAACAGGACCATAATTCCAGGAGACACCTCTTTATGTCTATGTTTCAGGGTTGCAAATTCATACACATTATATTCACAGTGAAGATAAAATATATATCTTTGCATATCCTTAACTAATTTTATTTTATTGTAAACTCTTTATCAAGTAGTGGGGAAACAAAAGGTTACCAGTTAATAATATTTCTACCTCATTCCATTTAAATAGTTGCATTGTAGCTTAACATATTTCTTTCAAGAAAGTACTGTCAGGATTTTTTTCAGAGGTTCCCCCCACTCCAGTTTCCACTCCTTAATGGTCCCTATAAGTATGGGGGTGGGGTTGGGGTAGGAAGAGTTTATTACACATTTCTGCAGCAGGGGTGGAATCAGAGCTGCAGAGTTTTCCTCTGTAGTGTCTCCACAGGTGAAGTTCGCCTTTCACTCTTGGCCTCTCTTGACTTCTCTTTCCCTTCCCCAGCTCCAACCACCTTTAATGTGGAGGACTGTATACTGACCTGCAGAGAATATATCTAGGCAAAGAAACTAGTCAGAAGTATATTGTCATAGTCCAGGAAAGAAATGAAGATACTCTGTACCAAGGAAGTAGCAGTAGGAATCCAGATACAAAATACACAAATATTATTTTATTTCTCTCTATAAGTCTGAGTGGTATGGAGTATCATACCAACAAGGCAGATAACAGGTTCAGAGAAACAACAAACTGTGGAAGACTTTGCAATTGATAAGTTGATCCTTCTAACCCATTAATGGATGGATTCATGAATAAGTTTATCAATGGGTCAATCAATAGATCAATGAACCAACAAAAGACATGTGTCTGGAGCTGAGTAGAGAGGACCATCACCATGAGTGTGGAGCCTGATTCTTGAAGCCCTAGTGAGCGATATTACCTCACAGTGATATTCAGAGAAAGCTAAGAATGGAACTTTTAAAAAGGCTAATGTGAAAAGACTTACAAGTATTACTAGAATGGACAGATTCAAGCTATTTATATTACCATTTCTAAACTCTGAAGAAATTCTGCAGGTGGAGCTTTGCTTCAGATGTTTACCCATCACTGATCCACAGGTCAAGATGAGCCTGAATCCCTGGCCCTTCCTGAGAGGATCCACTCAGATCCCACCAACATTTTAATCCACAATTGGAATGCCTTGTTTAACTCTTCAGATCCAGGTAATTCTCATTTGAAGGCAGGGTTCAAATTTTCCTGTCACTCAGTATTCTATTTGTTGAGTGTTAAAATTCTAAACTTTTATTGAATGCTTCAATTTGCTGTTCACTGAGTTTAATGATTTGACTATTTTCTCCTACTTGTCTGTTCAAATCTAATCAAAATTCCAGATACACATTCTGATTAAAAGTTAATGACATTAGGACTATGAGAAATTTAAAATGAATCAGGTGTTAACATCACGTAAGCTATTTCAGCTTTGATACTAAATGTGAATGACTCTCAAAAAAATCTTTAAAAATAAATCATGCTGCTATAAAGACACATGCACACGTATGTTTATTGCGGCATTATTCACAATAGCAAAGACTTGGAACCAACCCAAATGTCCAACAATGATAGACTGGATTAAGAAAATGTGGCACATATACACCATGGAATACTATGCAGCCATAAAAAATGATGAGTTCATGTCCTTTGTAGGGACATGGATGAAATTGGAAATCATCATTCTCAGTAAACTATCGCAAGAACAAAAAACCAAACACCGCATATTCTCACTAATAGGTGGGAATTGAACAATGAGATCACATGGACACATGAAGGGGAATATCACACTCTGGGGACTGTGGTGGGGTGGGGGGAGGGGGGAGGGATAGCACTGGGAGATATACCTAATGCTAGATGACGAGTTAGTGGGTGCAGCGCACCAGCATGGCACATGTATACATATGTAACTAACCTGCACAATGTGCACATGTACCCTAAAACTTAAAGTATAATAAAAAAAAATCAAAAATAAAAAAATAAAATAAAATAAAAATTAAAAAAAAAATCCTTCTTATCTCAGTCTGAGCTTCTTTGAAGTCAAATAGTCTTCTTTTTTAGCTTTTTATACCTATTAAATTGAGATTTGAGGGAGTATTTATTTTTAATGATTTTATTCCATTAGCATTGCCTTATAGGTAAGTAACATTTTTATGTGTGGCTGGTACATCTCTATGCACGGCTTTTACCTGAATCCCCTTCATTATTATCTGAATGAAAACCACTTCCTTTAATAAAAACAATTTATAGACATATATATATAGAGAGAGAGAGGGAGAGAGAGAATTAACACAATGATGAGATAATGATATTATGTCTATTAGAAGGACTAAAATACAAAACACTGTTAACACCAATTGCTGGCAAGGATGTTGAACAACAGGAACTCTGATTCATTGCTGGAGGGGATGCAAAATGGTGCAGCTACTTTGGAAGACAGTTTGACAGTTTCTTACAAAAATAAACAATCTTTTACCTTATGATCCATCAACTGTACTCCGTAGGATTTATCCATATTATTTGAAAACTTACTCACATGCAAAAGCCTCCACATAAATGTTTATTGCAGCTTTACTCATAATTGCCAAAACTTGGGAATTAACAAAGGTGTTCTTCAATAGGTGAATGAATAAACAAATTGTGGCATACCCATACAATAGAATATTATGCAGTGATAAAAAGAATGAAATCTCAAGCCACAGAAAGACATAGAGAAATCTTAAAGGCATATTGCTAAGTGAAGGAAACCAACTTCGAAAGGCTACATAATGTATGATTCCCACTATATGACATTCTGAAAAAGGCAAAATTATGGAGACAGTAAGCCCATGGTTTCTAGTAGCTGGGCAGGAGGTAGGTAGAGATGAATGACAGGTGGAGTACAGATAATTTTTAGGGCAGTGAGACTATTTTTTATAATACCATAATGGTGGATACCTGTCGTGATGATACATTTAGTAAAGCCCAAAGAATGTAAAACACACAGTGTAAACTCAAATGTAAACTATGAATGTTAGCTAATAATAATATATTTTTTCATCAACTCTAACAGATACACCACAGTAAATAAAGCAATATGTTGGTAGGGGAAAATGTGAGGAGTAAACTGGGGTATACAGGGACTCGGTACTTTCTGCTTATTCTTCTGCAGTTAAAACTGCCCGAGAAGGTAAAGTCTATTAATTTTAAAAATTCAAGAGGAAAGACTATCCTTCCTATATAATTCCATTATTTTCTTTCAGTAAAACAAGTTTGAAATAATGATTTCCATTTTGCTCATTTCTTGACTATAGGGGTAGTTTACATTTGTTAAAAATATTATTTAAATAATCACCTGCTAGAGAAATGAATAACTTCTGTACATGCAAAGCCTGTACATAAATTGTTCCAGGCACTGGGACAAACCCTTCCTATAAGATATAGAAAAAAGGCTAAGTGTTCCATGGGTATACACTTATTCACATGCCAAGAATGGAAGGTATAATATAGAAGAGTATCATATGGAAGAAAATAATTTGTCTGACACCATAAAAGCATTCCTGATCAAAATTCTAATCTCAGGTGTATAGTGCTGTTCTCAAAAAATTAAATATGGCACTCTAATGGATGCTTTTTAGGTAGAAAAATTCACACACTGAATATAAAATGAGTAGCAGACACTTTTGTTTAAGCTGAGAGGAAGAAAACAAACAACAGACAGCTATTTCTTTATTTTGTGTGTTATGTAAATAAATTTTACATAACAGTGATGATAATAAAGACTAATTTAATCACAGTTTGGCTTCTCATTTGACATTAAGTCCCAAGAATATTTGCCATATTTAGCAATAATATGAAATGTCCGTCACATTGGGTGTTTACCCAGTACTTGCAGATGTTTACAGACATTTTACATGAAGGGCTTTTATTCATTGATAAAATAGATGTTGAATCATAGAACAAAGTACTGTTACTGTTGGCAAAATTAAAAGCAGCATAGTCAAAAACATCACACAAGTTTTTCTCAGACGCTCCTTATCCAAAGAAATCTCAGCAATTTCAAAATTGGTTCAATGTTTACACAAAAACATATGAAAGAAATGTGTTTTTCTTTCTTATTCAAAGTATTCCTACATCCAACTCAAAAAGGGGAAAGTTTCCAAAAGTATTTCTTAGAATTAATATAAATCATTTATTACAAATAATATCTCTAAAAATGTATACATAGTACATGTACTATCTGCATATACTGAAATGTGATTTCTTTTTGTCATAGTAATTCTCTAAGAAAATAAATTAAAGCTGTCCAGGCATGGTGGCTCATGCCTGTAATCCCAGTACTTTGGGAGGCCAAGATGGGCAGATCACTTGAGGTTAGGAGCTCGAGACCAACCTGGCCAACATAGTGAAACCCTGTCAGCCTTTGAGTGCTTTGGGTCACTGCATGCAGGCCACAGCATTTGATAATGAGAAAATAAACCTGAATTTGTGTTCAACGCAAAAAAAAAAAAAAACAAAAACCAAAAAAACAAAAAACGACTACAAAAATTAGTCAGGCTTGGTGGCCTGTAATCCCAGCTACTCGGGAGGGTGAAGCAGGAGAATCGCCTGAACCCGGGAGGCAGAAGTTGCAGTGAACCAAGACTGTGTCCCTCTAGCACTCCAGGGCAACAGAGTGAGACTCTGTCTCAATAAAAAAAAAAAAAAAAAGAAAAAAAAGGAAAGAAATGAAATGAAAGCTCATAGTAAATATAATTACTGTGTATTTTCTATATTTTAAGAACTTCATATATATTAATCTGTTTAATCCTCATAAAAGCTTTATGAGATAGATATGATTACTTACTTTATTTTATAGATGAGGAAACTTAGTAATGTAAGATTAAGTGAAACAGTTAAGGTTATGTTAAGTAACTGAAGAGCCAGGATTCAAACCCAAGCAACTGGACCCCAGAATGAGACTTACAATCCATATATTATATTTAAGTAGTACTTGGAACAAACAGCTTGAAGGCATTCAGAAAACTCACCACTGAAAGAAGACTCTGAAGAGATTCAAATAAAAATGTCCACAGCAATAGAAAAACTCCTATATCCCCATCAAATGAAACAGGATTTTGTATCTACCCAATTTTAAGTTTAGAAGTTTCCAGAATCACTGATTCAAGCACTTTCACTAGTGTAGAAGATATGCTTTTAACCCCCCCAAGTGTTAGCATTCCTATATATGGTACACTTCTACTGATGTAACAGAGAAATACCCAAAACCTTCAGAAATCTCAAGGAGAATATCTCTAAGGCCTTTCAAAATAAAGCCCAGATTTTTATTCATATTTTTTAAAAAGCAATTCATTATGTTGTACAATGGATCTCTTGAATTTATGCCGCCTGTCTAACTGACATTTTATATCCTTTGACCAAAGTATCTCCAATTCCTCCTTACATACAGTCCTGGTAACCATCATTTTACTCTTTGCCTCTATGAGTTCAACTTTCTTAGATTCCACAAATACATGAGAAAATTTGTCTTTTTAGACGTAGCTTATTTCACTTATAATAATGTTTTCCAGGTTAATCCAAATTGTCAAAGATTATGGGATATCTTTCTTTAAGGCTGAGTAGTATTCCACTGAGTATATATATATCACATTTTCTTTATTCATTCGTTGATGGATACGTAGGTAAATTCCATATCTTGGCTACTGTGAATAATGCTGCAATGCACATGCAAGTGAAAATATCTCTTGGATATACTGATTTCATTTCATTTGGATATAAACCCAGTATTGGGATTGTTGGATCATAGGATAATTTTATTTTAGTTTCTTGAG
Organism: Homo sapiens; assembly: GCF_000001405.40. NCBI lineage: Eukaryota > Metazoa > Chordata > Mammalia > Primates > Hominidae > Homo > Homo sapiens. The sequence continues at coordinate 22,438,146 of NC_000003.12, forward strand.
AAACCTCCATAGTCTTTTGCACAATGACTGTATGAACTTACATTCCCACCAACAGTGTGCAAGGGTTCCTTTTTCTTCACATTCTCACAGACACTTGTTATCTTTCGTCTTTTTTATAATGACTGTGATAACAGGTGTGAGGTAATAGCTCACTGTGGTTTTAATTTGTGTTTTCCTGATTATTAGCAATACTGACCATTTTTCATATACATGTTAGCCATTTGTGTGTCTTCTTTTGAGAAATATCTATTTAGGCCTTTTTCCCATTTTATAATCAGGTTATTTGCTTTGCTATTGAGTTGTCTGAGCTCCTTATGTACTTTAGATATTAACCCCTTATCAGATGTACGCTTTGCAAATATTTTCTCTCATCTTCATAGATTTTCCTTTTTTTAAGAAGCCAATTTAGAAGCTTTCTAAAAAGGGGAGCATGAGAAAAAGAATATTTTTTACATAATTACATCAAATGCTGGTCTTGTCACTATTAGTGTTATTTTAAATATCCATTAATTGAACATTTATCATATATAGAAATATAGGAATAAATAAGAATATATAGAGATAGATACATAAATGTAGTTACAGGTAGCTAGATATAGATGCATACATGATTGATAGGTGATAGATTTAATAAACAGTTGGAAGTTCAAACAACCCTATGAGGCAAGGTTTATTATCTCCACTTTACAGATGAGGAAGCACAGAAAAGTGAAGTAACTTGTTCAAGGTTATATAGACAGTAATTATTGTCAAGATTCCAACCCAGGGCTCAAAAGTCCACGTGCTTTCTAGGCTTACCTTCTTTGAGATTTTTTATTTCTGGCAAGTAAATAGGAAAGAGTAACAGGCAACAGACACAGCAAAAGACTTAGCCCTTTGCATCTCTCCCTCCAAAGTGCTATGAAATAGTAAAAGTGCATAATGGGTGTTCTTAGATGCTAATGGCAAATCTTCAGGTATACAATGAGGTACGACCACTGGGAAAATAAGTGAGGTGAGAGGCAGCTTGAGGATTTACCTATGAGTGAAATTAAGCTGAGAAAAGGAAACTAGCACTGGGCTAGGGGTAAGGAAACCGAGGGTCAGTAAAGAAATAGCAGATGTTAGGATTTTCCATTTCTTTTTGTTCGACACTTTGAATGGATTCTGAAATAGGCTAGAAGTTGAGAGAGGGGTTGAGAAGTTCGCTTCGGTGTCTGAAATTATTGAGAAAAGAAAACTGAAAACGAACAAGGAAAAGTAAGATTAAAAGAGGCTTTTACTGGCCACTCAGTGAAAGGAGAAGGTGCCTGTCCATGGTGTAAGTGGCTCAAGATTCTTGAGCATCTCTTTGCAAATTGATATACATGGTGAAGGATGACTTTAAGGCATTGGTCCTTAACTGAGATAATTTTGCTCATCCCCTTCCTGGTAGACACGACAATATCCAAAGATACTTTTAGTTGTCAGGACCTGGGGAGTGCTGCTACTTGCATGTAGTGGGTAGAGGCCAGGGATGCTGTTCAATATTCTACAATGCACAGGACAGCCCTAAAAAGCAAAACATTATACAGCCCAAAATGTCAACGGTGTCACTGTTGAGATACCTTGTGTTAGAGAATCTGTTATTTGTTTCTGTGTTTGTGTAGACACAGGACCCTCAGAGGAAAGTTGGGAACAGATGGAAGAAATAAAATGGCGTCTGTTCTCTCCTCAGTCTCTTGGATAAGTTACCGGCTCCTGTGGAGAAAGGATTTAGGGCTGGAAGCTAAAAAAGCTGTTTTTAGGAGAAACATTATGAGCCTGCGAGCAATGACACTGCTGCTTGGAATTCAGGGAACAAAGTACAACCAAAGATTGAGGAAGGGGCTCTTTTCTCCACTCCCACTTGGGTCCCATAGAAATATAGCACTTTGAGGATGTCCTTGGTCAAAGCATAATCATGGTAATCATGAACATGTAAAGCTCTCGCAAATGAATTTGTGAAGAGAGGACAGCTTCAAGAGGCAGCTGGGACAGAAAGAGAATGGGGTGAGTGGGCAACATGCAGCGCCTACCACTGGTAGACTTGTGATTTAGCTACAAATCCCAAACGCCATGACTACAAAATATACTTGAAGGTGGGGATTTTGCTGGTTGGGTAGAGGACTTGTGTAAGCAGAAAGGAGCAAAAGCAGGACATTTGAGCTTTCAGTTTTTGTGGCCACATTATAGGTACATGCTACTGAAGCTTTGAAAGTGTTTTCATTATACAAGCTATACAAACATAGGACATTCATACGTGGAGAAGTTTCCATGTAAGATTTCCTTCAAACCTGAAGGCTGATTCAAGACCTTTCCATTCAACTTCTCATTATTTCATTAGGTCTCATTATCAGGCCATTACAAACAAACAGGCTTCTGGGACCTTTATGATCCAGTTTCATCATTATTCAAGGTAACTTTATAAAATGTGTTAGCTCTAGTACTTAAACGTTGGTTTCAAATGCCATTCTGTACTAAAGAGATACAGAGGAGGTCCTCATTCCAAGAATGAAAAGTAAAAGATGATCCTCAAGCAGGTTATTTGCCAGAGAGAAAGACAAGGCTCGGAGAGTGATCAGAAAGACCCAGGAGCCAGTTTAAAGGAGCTTCTAGTGACCAAATAAGGAAACATTTGAGAATCAGATAAGTAATGACAGTAAAAGAACACAACTCATTGAACAAAATAAGAATCCAGGAGGAGTCCATGTGGATGTAAACAAATTTAAGGGGAAGAAAATGTTTATTCACATTGTTAGAATGTCAACTAGCAAATGTAGAAGAAAAGATGCAATTAGAAAATATTTTGCAAATACCATGGTTAAAATTATTCAGCTAAGAGTTATCAATGAATTCTTAAACTAGTAGGTAAAAGCTTTAAAAAATAAGATATTTAGTCTCAACTTATGCCCCCAAAGTAGTGAATAATTACAAAGGAAAATAATAACCACTTTATAGTAGAGAAACTTGACAGATACCATCTTAACTAGGTGATTAAAATCAACCCCCTGCCTCCCATTTTCACCCCTTGCCCAGTAATAACTCAACATTACATGTAATAACAATCATTAATAAGGATATGCCATTTATTCTGTGGTATTTCTGCAAAAAATGCATACATCAAATGGTTCGTAAGAAAACAGCAAACAAAACAAAATATAAGGACTTTCTACAAAATAACTGGCCTGTCTGTACTCTTCAAAAATATCAAGGTTATAAAAGACAAAGATTGAGAAGAAAAACCTGTTCTGGATTATAGAAAGCCAAATGTACCATGTGATTTGGGGTCACTACATGGATCAGATTACATTATTGGTAAATTGGTAAAATTTGAATAAGGTCTGTGGATTAGATAACTTAATTATACCAATATTAACTTCCTGATTTTGATAATTATAATGGGTTATGTAAGAGATTGTCTTTAGTTTTAGACTTTTAGTATTTAGGGGTAAAGGGGCATTATGTCTACAGTTTATTCTCAAGTAGTTCAAAAATTAATTTGGATATATAACCTAAATATAGTAAGTATGGTTAAATAAACATATTAGTAATTGGGAAATCTAGGTTAAGAGAAATGGAAGTTCTTTGAGTTATTCTTGAAACTAATCTGTAAATTTGAAATCACTTCAAAATAAAAAGTTACCAAATGATATGGTTTGACTCTGTGTCCCCACCCCACCCAAATAGCACCTCAACTTTCAATAATCCCTCCATGTTGTGGGAGGGACCCAGTGGGAGGTAACTGAATCATGAGGGTGGGAGTTTCCCATGCTGTTCTCATGATAGTGAATAAGTCTCATGAGATCTGATAGTTTTATAAATGGTAGTTCCCCTGCATACGCTCTCTTGCCTGCTGCGATGTAAGACTTGCCTTTGCTCCTCCTTCACCTTCTGCCATGATTATGAGGCCTCCTCAGCCATGTAGAACTGTGAGTCCATTAAACCTCTTTTTCTTTATAAATTACCCACCCTCAGGTATGTCCTAATTAGCAGTGTGAGCACAGACTAACACATTAAACTAAACAAAAAAAAAAAATGTAATTAGAAGACTTCTAATGACAGAGTGTTAGGGGCCCAGAAATCTCACTGCTGACATAACGCTTCATGGAAAATAGTATGCTTTTCACCTCATGATTGATTCTAGAAATGTCTAAGTATATTTACAAGGATTTTCCAGAACGCTAAAGTAAAAAAAATAGCGTAATGCTTGAACATGTGCATTCCAACGTCAGGAAAAAATGACTGATTGGAAAGATACTTCTCTCTGGGCCTTGCTTTTTCCACCTTTACAATGGGATAAACAGCACCAATGACCTCCCAACATTTCTGAGAGTATAATAAAATGAGGCAAAAGAAGTAAAATGCCTGGCACATGAATATTAGATGTTATTTTGTTATCCCACATATCTCCTAAGCCTTAGCTTTCTAAGAGCTTTAGCTTTCTAAGAGCATAAGCAATTTAGAGAGAGAAAGCAAATGCTTTTCAAAGAAAATATAGAAAATGGAGAAAACATTTTTCCCATGAAGAAATCATAACTAACTTATTTTTAAAAATACATTAAGGTAATTGGTTTTACTCTAGAACACAACTGAGCATGCCTTAGAACCAACACCAGGTTGAGACACATGAGTTTCCAGAGTTTAGTTAGCTGCCAAGTCTCCAGAAGCCAGCCTTAGCTTGTCGTGCTGACATTATTTCTGAAAGGCCATAAACAGATTCCTAGAGAAATGATCTAATAACACCACCACCATTTCCCGTTTACTGGGTGCATTACACTGAGCTAGGTGCTTTGCTTACCTCTTTGTATTAATTAACTTTTTATGGGCTCATAAAGGGTCACTGAAGTGGGTATTATTAGCCTATTATGAAGTAGGCATAGTTGAATTTTGAATCCTGGCAGTAATATTTCATATTCTTTGCTCTTAACTACTACACTATATTACCACTTGGACCTGTTGCCAGTGAATTATCAGAGCAGTGGCATGGGAATCCCATGTAGGGAAGAAACTGGTAATGGAATATCTAACTTGGAAATTTCAAGGAATTCACCCAGTAGGAAGCTGGACTCCACTCTCTGTGGTTTGGGGCAAAGGAATTTAGCCCCTGAATAAGATGTAGGTAGAGGTAAGCTTATAGCAGGGACGATTTTAAAATCTAGGTCTAGAGAGCCTGAGATTCATAGCAAATTGCCAAAAAAGGACTCAATCCCAGGATTCAAGGCAGAATTTCAGTTCCAAAGAGAAGAGTAGACTGTCTATACATTTGACTTTATGACCACATTTCAGAACATTATTCAGGGTATGAGCTTTAAAGTGAGACCAGTTTTGGTTGGAATCTCAGCACTACCACTAATAGGTTATGAACTTTCATACTCGTTATATACTTTTCTCAGTCTTAGCTTCCTCACTTGCAAATAGCATGTAATAACATCTATTTTACAGTATTATTGTGAGTATTAGAGATAATTTATGTTAAAAGATGAATTTATTGTCTGGCTTTAGCAGAGAATAAATGGTACTTACTAGTAGAGATAACAGGAGCAGTGACGAGAGTCCCGGTAGGAGTGGTTCTGATCTGGGAATGAAGCTGAATCTTCAAAGGGCAGCCAAGTTTGCCTGATAGTGTGTATAGGGTAGAGGAAGTAATGCAAGGATTTAGACATCAAGCAGAGATAAAACTGAATCGCAAAGAGATTTCCCTCCAAAATTCACTATTTGTTGTTGCCACTCATCTTCCATTTATCTTCCTTCTGAGTACTAAAGCCCAACTTCTAGAAATCAGCCTTTCCCTACCCTTATATATGTGGTTGTGAGTGAAACTTCTTATTCTTCCTCACTGAGAAACAGACCTGAGACCTTGTCCTCAACCAGTCACAACATTACATACTCTCAGCTACAATAAGTGACTTGGTGATTGGCATGTTACTCTTCCAGAGCCTATTAACTGCCTAGCAGCCTTGCTAACATTTTGGATTACAATATAATTCATCTTTCTTTTTTTCTTTTTCACTGAACAATGAACTTGAGAGAGTATATGGTCTGGAGTTGATACTGTAGGGAGTACAGCCAGCTCAAAAGACATGGAGCCTAGAGACTTAACAAAAAAAAAGACAACAGGTTTCTGGTGACATGATTTGAACACTAGCATTATGCAGTGCTTGCAGCCAGCACTACTCTTTGACTTTCTACCTATGTGTCTCATTGAATTGCTTATTACTAGTATTATTATTATTGTTATTATTATTTTTGCTCAAACCAATTTGGGCCAGATTTCTGTGACTTAAAATTCTAAACTCAAACATTCCTCACATCATATAAAGGGAAAGCAAAAAATGTAAGCCTTTTTCACTTACCAGCTTCTTTTTCTTTATCCTACTGATATTTTAATTAGGAGATTCAGAACTTTGAATATATTTCCAGCCTGAAGAATATGGAGTATAAGTAATAACATATTCTCCTACCAAGAGAACCATTAAACATATCCTTGTGGTGTTTCCTATAGGGAGACATTAACTATTCAATTCTCATACACATTATGTACATGTACATGCAAATGAAGTGGAGGAATCCATGTAAATAATTTTTACAATTATTGGATAATAAGTTATTTTTACCATCTTTTGAGTAAGCTATTTGTTTTGACAGGTTCTAGATAATATATACAAAAATAATGAAAATAATATATTGGGTGTATACTCAGAATTAATCTATAATAAACACACTACATCATACTTTCGAAAGAAGCTTCTTCTAATGAGGAAGGAAGGAGGGAAGGAAGGAAGGAGAGAATGAAGGAGAGAAGGAAGGAGGGAGGGAGGGAGGGAAGGAAGGAAGGGAGGAGGCAAGGAAGGAAGGGAGGGAGGAAGGAGGCAAGGAATGAAGGAGCGAAGGAGACAGGGAGAAAGAAAGCAAAACAAAAAAACCAAAACTGACACCAATTCAAGAAGAAAAATCAGCAGTTACATCTGCTTATTTTCAGCCCAATGTAGTAATGCAGAATTAAACTAAATTTGAACCTGGCAGTCTGAATGGGCCTCCCCACAATGTCAAATTTGGAACCAGACAATGATTCAATAAAATAAAGGAAAATAGAATACATAACTTAGATTCAAAATTATTCTTTCACGTTTAAAGCCTTCAGTTTGCAGTAGATGAAGAAAGCATATTCAGATATTTTTAAAATCAGAAATATTATAGTAAGAAAGTAAATGAAGTTGTAAGTCTAATACTTTTGTGAAATTAAATATTTGATAAAGTTTTATCATCATTTGCTGACTTAAAATTTGTCAATGCACAAATAGTCATAATAGGAGGATTTAGTTCTCCAGCTACGCTGCAGGTTTAAGTAAATGTTTTAGAGGCTTTGATCTGGGGAGGCCTGGCCACAGGCTATTGAGAGCACAGTAAAAGATGACTGAGAAATCCAAATCAAAAGTGAAACCCTAGTTCTTTTAATTGTGATGTTAGGGTGTCAATTTTAGATCTTTCCTGCTTTCTCTTGTTGGCATTTAGTGCTATAAATTTCCCTCTACACACTGCTTTGAATGTGTCCCAGAGATTCTGGTATGTTGTGTCTTTGTTCTCGTTGGTTTCAAAGAACATCTTTATTTCTGCCTTCATTTTGTTATGTACCCAGTAGTCACTCAGGAGCAGGTTGTTCAGTTTCCATGTAGTTGAGCAGTTTTGAGAGAGTTTCTTAAGCCTGAGTTCTAGTTTGATTGCACTGTGGTCTGAGAGACAGATTGTTATAATTTCTGTTCTTTTACATTTGCTGAGGAGTACTTTACTTCCAACTATGTGGTCAATTTTGGAATAGGTGTGGTGTGGTGCTGAAAAAAATGTATATTCTGTTGATTTGGGGTGGAGAGTTCTGTAGATGTCTATTAGGTCCACTTGGTGCAGAGATGAGTTCAATTCCTGGATATCCTTGTTAACTTTCTGTCTCGTTGATCTGTCTAATATTAACAGTGGGGTGTTAAAGTCTCCCATTATTATTGTGTGGGAGTCTAAGTCTCTTTGTAGGTCACTCAGGACTTCCTTTATGAATCTGGGTGCTCCTGTATTGGGTGCATATATATTTAGAATAGTTAGTTCTTCTTGTTGAATTGATCCCTTTACCATTATATAACGGCCTTCTTTGTATCTTTTGATCTTTGCTGGTTTAAAGTCTGTTTTTTCCAAGACTAGGATTGCAACCCCTGCGTTTTTTGTTTTCCATTTGCTTGGTAGATCTTCCTCCATCCCTTTACTTTGAGCCTATGTGTGTCTCTGCACGTGAGATGGGTTTCCTGAATACAGCACACTGATGGGTCTTGACTCTTTATCCAATTTGCCAGTCTGTGACTTTTAATTGAACTAGAGAAGCAAGAGCAAAAACATTCAAAACCTAGCAGAAGGCAAGAAATAACTAAGATCAGAGCAGAACTGAAGGAAATAGAGACACAAAAAAACCCTTCAAAAAATCAATGAATCCAGGAGCTGGTTTTTTGAAAAGATCAACAAAATTGATAGACCACTAGCAAGACTAATAAAGAAGAAAAGAGAGAAGAATCAAATAGATGCAATAAAAAATGACAAAGGGGATATCACCACCAATCCCACAGAAATACAAATTACCATCAGAGAATACTATAAACACCTCTATGCAAATAAACTAGAAAATCTAGAAGAAATGCATAAATTCCTCGACACATACACCCTCGCAAGACTAAACCAGGAAGAAGTTGAATCTCTGAATAGACCAATAACAGGCTCTGAAATTGAGGCAATAATTAATAGCTTACCAACCAAAAAAAGTCCAGGACCAGATGGATTCACAGCCGAATTCTATCAGAGGTACAAGGAGAAGCTGGGACTATTCCTTCTGAAACTATTCCAATCAATAGAAAAAGAGGGAATCCTCCCTAACTCATTTTATGAGGCCAGCATCATCCTGACACCAAAGCCTGGCAGAGACACAAACAAAAAAGAGAATTTTAGACCAATATCCTTCATGAATATTGATGCAAAAATCCTCAATAAAATACTGACAAACTGAATCCAGCAGCACATCAAAGAGCTTATCCACCATCATTAAATGGGCTTCATCCCTGGGATGCAAGGCTGGTTCAATATATGCAAATCAATAAATGTAATCCAGCATATAAACAGAACCAAAGACAAAAACCACATGATTATCTCAATAGATGCAGAAAAGGCCTTTGACAAAACTCAACAACCCTTCATGCTAAAAACTCTCAATAAATTAGGTATTGATGGGACGTATCTCAAAATAATAAGAGCTGTCTATGACAAACCCACAGCCAATATCATACTGAATGGACAAAAACTGGAAGTATTCCCTTTGAAAATTGGCACAAGACAGAGATGCCCTCTTTCACCACTCCTATTTAACGTAGTGTTGGAAGTTCTGGCCAGGGCAATCAGGCAGGAGAAGGAAATAAAGGGTATTCAATTAGGAAAAGAGGAAGTCAAATTTTTCCTGTTTGCAGATGACATGATCGTATATCTAGAAAACCCCATCATCTCAGCCCAAAATCTCCTTAAGCTGATAAGCAACTTCAGCAAAGTCTCAGGTTACAAAATATATGTGCAAAAATCACAAGCATTCTTTTTTTTTTTTTTTTTTTTTCCAAGACAGAGTCTCTCTCTGTTGCCCAGGCTGGAGTGCAGTGGCACGATCTCGGCTCACTGCAAGTTCCGCCTCCCAGGTTCACACCATTCTCCTGTCTCAGCCTCCTGAGTACCTGGGACTACAGGCGCCTGCCACCGCGACTGGCTATTTTTTTTTTTTTTTTTTGTATTTTTTAGTAGAGAAGGGGTTTCACCATGGTTTCGATCTCCTGACCTTGTGATCCACCCACCTGGGCCTCCCAAAGTGCTGGGATTACAGGCATGAGCCACCGCGCCCGGCCCACCGGCATTCTTATACACCAATAACAGACAAACAGAGAGCCAAATCATGAGTGAACTCCCATTCACAATTGCTTCAAAGAGAATAAAATACCTAGGAATCCAACTTACAAGGGATGTGAAGGACCTCTTTAAGGAGAACTACAAGCCACTGCTCAATGAAATAAAAGAGGATACAAACAAATGGAAGAACATTCCATGCTTACGGGTAGGAAGAATCAATATCGTGAAAATGGCCATACTGCCCAAGGTAATTTATAGATTCAGTGCCATCCCCATCAAGCTACCAATGACTTTCTTCACAGAATTGGAAAAAACTACTTTAAAGTTCATATGGAACCAAAAAAGAGCCCGCATTGCCAAGTCAATCCTAAGCCAAAAGAACAAAGCTGGAGGCATCATGCTACCTGACTTCAAACTATACTACAAGGCTATAGTAACCAAAACAGCATGGTACTGGTACCAAAACAGAGATATAGACCAATGGAACAGAACAGAGCCCTCAGAAATAATGCCACTTATCTACAACTATCTGATATTTGACAAACCTGACAAAAACAAGCAATGGGGAAAGGATTCCCTATTTAATAAATGATGCTGGGAAAACTGGCTAGCCATATGGAGAAAGCTGAAACTGGATCCCTTCCTTACACCTTATACAAAAATTTATTCAAGATGGATTAAAGACTTACATGTTAGACCTAAATCCATAAAAACCCTAGAAGAAAACCTAGGCAATACCATTCAGGACATAGGCATGGGCAAGGACTTCATGTCTAAAACACCAAAAGAATGGCAACAAAAGCCAAAATTGACAAATGGGATCGAATTAAACTAAAGAGCTTCTGCACAGCAAAAGAAACTACCATCAGAGTGAACAGGCATCCTACAGAATGGGAGAAAATGTTTGCAACCTACTCATCTGACAAAGGGCTAATATCCAGAACCTACAATGAACTCAAACAAATTTACAAGAAAAAAACAAACAATCCCATCAAAAAGTGGGTGAAGGATATGAACAGACACTTCTCAAAAGAAGACATTTATGCAGCCAAAAAACACATGAAAAAATGCTCATCGTCACTGGCCATCAGAGAAATGCAAATCAAAACCACAATGAGATACCATCTCACACCAGTTAGAATGGCAATCATTAAAAAGTCAGGAAACAACAGGTGCTGGAGAGGATGTGGAGAAATAGGAACACTTTTACACTGTTGGTGGGACGGTAACCTAGTTCAACCATTGTGGAAGTCAGTGTGGCGATTCCTCAGGGATCTAGAACTAGAAATACCATTTGACCCAGCTACCCCATTACTGGGTATATACCCAAAGGACTATAAATCATGCTGCTATAAAGACACATGCACACGTATGTTTATTGTGGCACTATTCTCAATAGCAAAGACTTGGAACCAACCCAAATGTCCAATAATGATAGACTGGATCAAGAAAACATGGCACATATACACCATGGAATACTATGCAGCCATACAAAAGGATGAGTTCATGTCCTTTGTACGGACATGGATGAAGCTGGAAACCATCATTCTCAGCAAACTATTGCAAGGACAAAAAACCAAACACCGCATGTTGTCACTCATAGGTGGGAATTGAACAATGAGAACACATGGACACAGGAAGGGGAACATCACACACCGGGGCCTGTTGTGGGGTCGGGGGAGGGGGGAGGGATAGCATTAGGAGATATACCTAATGCTAAATGATGAGTTAATGGGTGCAGCATAGCAACACGGCACATGTATACATATGTAACAAATCTGCACATTGTGCACATGTACTCTAAAACTTAAAGTATAATAATAATAAAAAAAAAAAGTGAAACCCAAGCTGACCTTGTTTTTGAGGTGTCAGCCTAAAGAGAAGAAACAGAGATGCAAAATCATGTAGGTAAGATTCAACAGATATAAATATGGCCCAGACCACCGAAGACTGTTAGGAATGTAGAGTGGAAATTAGAGCTAGGGAGAGTCTATGAGCAGAAAGTTGCCAGTTTGGAAAGAACTCATAGGAGTACATACCCAAATTCCTACCAGGGTTAGACAGGTAAAGTGAATGAGTAAAGATACACAGATACACAAAAATCTCACTCTATCTTTTATAATCCACTTTTGGTAGAGGATTCCTAAGACAAAAATCAACAGTATAAACATGATGATAAATGGAAACTGACAATTTCCCCCAGTATGAAAGAGGCAATATGGAATGATGGACACTGTGAAGAGCTGGAGTTCATTTGTTCATTCATATGTATTGAGCATTTAGTGATTGATAGGTAAAGAAGAGGAAAATACAGAAATATTCCCCTAAGCTATATTTGGAAGAAATCTAACAGTTCAGTCACAAAGAACAGGAAAAGGCAATTATGTACATTCACACACACACACACACATTTTATTAAGTGGCATCTAAACTCTAAGTACTAAGAATTTAAACCCTGACAATAGTAAACAAAATTCTGCTTATAATAAGTGACAATGAACTTTTTGGTGAGTGTAAAAAGTCAAGAATTTGGCCTAGCACAGTGCCTCATGCCTGTAATTCCAGCACTTTGGGAGGCTGAGGTGGGAGTATTGCTTGAGACCAGGAGTTTGAGACCAGCCTGGGCAACACAGCGAGACCCCTACCTCTACAAAAAAATTTTAAATATTAGCCAGGTGTGGTGGTCCACCCCTGCTGTCCTAGCTACTCAGGAGGTTCGCTTGAGCGCAGGAGTTCAAGGCTTCAGTGAGCTATGATCACGCCACTGCACTCCAAACCTGGGCGACAGAGTGAGACCCTGTCTCAAAAACAAAACAAAACAAACAAAAAAAAAGTGGTCTTTGATTGCCAACAACAAAAACAAGCTCTGATTGACTTAAGCAGGAAAGAATGTGACCAGTTGGGAAATGGTTGGCTCACAGAGTCAGGGAAGACCTGATAATCAGGCTTAGAAAACAGACAGCAAGTCTTGCAGTTGAAGGTTATAGATCGAACATATCTGCATGTATACATTCATTTAACTGTAATTCCACCTGAAACATTTCTAAAATAACAGAAAAGTAAACACACACACACAGCAAAACCCACAAGGTCAAAGAAAAAGATGAGAAGAAGTGATAGCAACCACATTTGGGGAGCCAGAATGCAGATGGATAAGTGGTAACAGATGTGGCCTACTTGATAAAGCTGAATACAAGCCAGCAGAAGGGGAAGCCAGGAAGCAACACAATTCAAAGTACAGAATCTCCAAATGGTTAAGGAACTAACAAAACCTTTACCTTCAGAAGTGAGATAAAGATGACGTTGGGGTTACAAAAGAGTATGTGCCTAAGATTCCTTCTCTTTATGTCTAGGCAATTTCTCCCACAGCAGCAGAAGCTCAAAGGTTAATTTTCCATAGAGGATAATAGGAGGCTTCTGCATTATAAAACTTCAGATACACACACGAATGAAAAACAAAAAGATTAACTAAAATCTTACAGACTGAATGTTTAGACCTCCACCAGGATCCAAGAAAAATAGCAGCCAGACTGAGAACTTCTAGGTAGGGAAATGGAAGATGTTTCCTTTGGGAATTTGAGACTGGCTTAAAAGAAGAGGTCTAAATTACTGACATCAAATGTTTCCCAGTGAAACCCCTGCCAGTCTGTGAAGCCCAGAGTTGGCAAGCTCCGTGCACTCACAATTTATACCAGCCTCAGATAGCCACTCTTAAATATGAGGAGACAGGCAAGCTCACTACAAATTTGAGAAAAATATCTAATATGAAAAGTGGACACCAAAATAAAAGGAAATAAAAATAAGCCAACTTGGGTAAAATAAAGACTATGCAGAAAGAAAAAGGGCTTTAAACAAAAATATGAAATGAGATCTTGAAAATTTAAAACTGAGCAAAAATTTAAAATTCAAGAGTTTGAAGACATATTTGAGGAAATCTTCTAGAACATTAGACAAAAAGTCAGAGATAAAAACTAATAGAGGAAAAAGGAAACTAGAAAAGTATATCAGGAGGCCCAGCATTAAAATTAATAGCAGTTCAAAGAAGAGAGATAAAAGAAAATATAAGAGATGAAAGGCATCAAAGAAATACTTCAGGAAAGCTTCCTGATTTGAAGAACATGGGATTCCTTATTAAAATTATCCATTTAGGATAATGGCATCCAGCTTGCCCAATAAAATAGTAGCTTCTAGAGAAGAAAAAAGTTGATCACATGTGAAAAATGGGAATTAGAAATGAATAAACAAAAACAATGAAACCTGAAAAATAACTGATAAATAACTTATAAATTCATGAAAATTATTTCCAATTGAACCAATCTATGATAAATGTGCAGTTAGTCTAAACACATTTTCAGATAATAAAACATTCTATGAAAATTTCTATTCCATCTTAGGAAATAATTGGAGGTGTTCCGGCAAAATCTAAGATAATTTTGAAAAGAGAAATACATATCAAGGAAATAGGAAATCTAATACAAGAGAAATAAATCTCCAGGAAGATGATGAAGGAAAATCCCAAGATGACACTATGTTGAACTATAGAGAGAAACCATTCCAGATTGGAGTTAGAACACTCCAAAAAAGACAACTCTAAGATGATAAAATTATAAGAACATCTGAAGTACTTGAGAGTATTGAGATGAATTTTAAACAAATGCAAGTCTGAAACCAAGTACTTAGAAAACTAAACAAAGCAGAAAATTAGGTAACTATTACATAAGAGGGAAAATATTGGGCAAAAACAGAAAAGAAAGTAGTCAGTGCATACAACATGGCTCAGCTGAATAACATTTACAGTCATCAAATACAAAGACATTATTGATCTAAGCAAAATTATGATATAATTATATTTAGAAGATTTGGAAATAGGAATTGGACCCATTTGTGGTGTGAAGGTACAAAGTGAAGGAGAGTTAAATCTTCATTTCCCACAATGGCAAGCCAATGTGCCCAAAACTATATTATATGATGAATTAACAAAATAAATATTTTATTGGAGAGATGGAGAGACAAATACGAAATAGAAAAGCCAAGACACTTGGAGTGATTGTCTCTGAAAAGTAGAAAATGTAGTGGAGGAGGAGCAGGCCACAGCTTTCCTTAATTTTTGTAGACTCTTTGACTTTTTAAATAATTTGTGTGTATGACTGCTGAGAATAGAAAATTGCATTAAAAAATAAAATGAATAAGAACCAAGAGATTTATGCTGGCAAAACTATAGGCAAAGTCATACCACAGGAAGAGATGAGGATATCTCTGCTAGACAATGGACTCATGAGAACTGGGCAGTATCCACCAACAGAAGGATTTTAGGACAGTGCTATTCAAAGCATCGTCTTCCAGACTGCTAGCGTTAGCACCACCTTAGACATTGTTAGACAAGTAATTCTTGACCCTCACCCCAGACTCTTGAATCAAAATCTCCAGTATTGGGCAGGAATTTGTAGTTTAACAAGTCCTCCAGCTGACTCTGATGCAAGGTTAAAGTTTGAGTAAGGTTTGAGAACTCTGCTCAAGACCACTAGTTCCCAAATTTGAACCTGCATTTAGATCACCTGCAAATCTTGCTCATCCACACATTGCTGGGCCCCACTTCAGAGTTTATTATTCAGTACACCTGGCCTGGAGCCCTAGCCTTTGCATTTCTGAGAAGTTCCCAATGTTGCTGACATTAACAAACCTGAGGACTCCACTCTAGAACAGTGACACTCAAAATTTTGTCTTGAGACTTTGTACATTCTTAACATTTGCTGAAGATCTAAATAATTTTTCTATGGGTTATATTTATCAATATTTAATACATTAGAAATTGAAAACAAAGTTTTTAAAAATGTGTATTTATTTTAATTTAAAATAGCAATAAACTACATGCCAACATAATATTTTTTTGAAAAAAACTATATTTTCTGAAACAAATTTAGTGAGAAGAATGATATTGTTTTATATTTTTGCAAAATCTTTTCAATGGCTTGCTTTGAGGCCAGCTGGATTCTTTTAGTTGTTGCAGCATTCAATCTGTTGCAATAACAAATGTCATGCAGCTTCTAGAAAACTCCACTGTACACTCATGATAAAATAAGTGTTAAAGAGCCAAATAATGTACTAGTGCTATTATGAAATTCATCATGACATTGTAAGCCCCCAAATAGAGTTATAGGGACCCACAGGGTTTCCTGAACAACATTCTGAAAACTGCTGTTTAGAGCACCCTACTTTTTATGTTACTCATTCTTGAATTAAATTCCAGACAGGATCACCTGTTTGGCTGAGATTTAGATGCAATATATCAGAAAGAGCAGGCATCCGGCCTGTTTTGTTTTCTGGTAGTAGGAGGTATAGATCTGCTTCCCACTATAATTCATACAATTACAGTTTCTTCAAGCATAAGATAAAGATTCAGATACTGATCAGCCAAAAAATATATATTATTACAATGTTGAATTTTCACCAAAATTCATTCTGACAATCATCCACATGTAGCATTGCAAGGTTGCATGCAGAACAATCACTTACCTAAAAGGAAACAAAAGGAAAAAGAAAAGGCAAATGGCAAGTGAGCAATATTATGATTTCTGATGTGACATAGTACTGAAGATATTCAAAACCAGCCCATTGAAAATGTCTAATATTCTCAGAATAGCTGGTGGACAAAGAAATGTGCCAAGAATCCTAATGCAAATGTAAGATATTAGACCCTTCCTTGAAGGTAAAAGAGTTTTCCTACAAAATATGAAAATAGAAATTGCATTTTCTAATCAAGATAAGCAAATCCATTGTTCACAAGCTATCTATCCACTTCACTGTCTGTTTATAACTACTCTTTCATTTTTCTTCTTTGAGAACTATCCAAAGAAATATTTCATATGCATTTGTATCTTAGCCTATATTTTAAACTAGTTTAGAGTCTTTTTTAAAAAATGGTTCATTGGACATTTTATATGAGCTACTTTGTTTTTCAAACAACTATTTCTTTTCTGACACGGCAGGGTTTTGTTGCTTAATGATGTTTATACACTTCACTGTTCTGTAGTTAGAAGCTGCCGTCAGTCAGAATTGACAAAGTGTGTGCAATTTAATAACGTCTTAAATACTGGCGATGCTAGTCTAATGGGGTTGTTGCTATTATTCTGAGCATCGGGCAAGTGTGGTAGAAAGTTGTTCACAAGAGCCACAAGATTAAATGATTTTCCTTCAGGTGTGTGGAGGTCAGCCTCAAGAAGAATGCAAATTAGTAGAAAGCTTAACTTACAGGCTCTGTAAATACAAAGCTACAGAAATGGACTTACAAATTGGCTCCTTCACGCAGCAGTTTGATCAGCTGGCAACAGTGTGCAAAAGAGTAGGAAGAAAAAGGAAAGACTGTCTTTGGAAAAAAAAATAGTGTGGCATTTCACCAGGGTAAGAATATCTGATAGCCATCTCATTTCATATCAAATGCAAAAAAAGAGACAGAGAGAATTAGATGTTGAGAAGCATATTCTTTTTGGTATTTGTGTAGCCATTAAACAGTAAATAACGGCATCTCTAGGTTCAAAAACATAATTAGATAAAGTATACTTAAAACAGTATTAGAAAGTGGAATATGCTATGATAACATGATGGATAAAATACTGAGCTCTTCAGTAGCTTCAGTAGGTCATAGCTCTTCAGTAAAGATGAAGCTTTCTTTCCTTCCTCTCTCAAATCTTATCATTTGAAATAACCAAAAGAGCTGGGGGTTCAAGATTGTTCCCTTAAGCTGAACTTCGATCCAAGAAGACAGGTGCCCCCCAACTATTAATGACTCAGTCACTAATATTATGCCCCATAATTTTGTTTTTGTTTGCTTGTTTGTTTGTTTTTTGAGACGGAGTCTTGCTCTGTCGCCCAGGCTGGAGTGCAGTGGAGCCATCTCGGCTCACTGTAAGCTCCGCCTCCCGGGTTCACGCCATTCTCCTGCCTCAGCCTCCCGAGTAGCTGGGACTACAGGCGCCCGCCACCACACCCGGCTAATTTTTGTATTTTCAGTAGAGACGGGGTTTCACCGTGTTAGCCAAGATGGTCTCGATCTCCTGACCTCGTGATCTGCCCGTCTCGGCCTCCCAAAGTGCTGGGATTACAAGCGTGAACCACCGTGCCCGGTGATGCCACATGAATTCTTAACTACACATTTCTCTTTTAAAATGGGATTCTACCAATTACTGTATTTTGATGCCTGTTTAATAGATATTGGTGGAGGAATACACCTCGGTGTACTGAACACTTCTCAAAAGCTTGAGTGCCTTAACCTCTCTTCATTTTGACATTTGGGACTTGAGTGTGGTTTCAAAGCCCTTTGACACTAAGAGTAGAAAACCCTCCACCTCTCTTCTACTGCAGACTTCCAGTCACTCTAATCTTTCCTACATTAGAGAAAAATGAGAACATATTATGGGAAAAGATCCGTTTGCCTATCTGAGTTTTCTGCTTTTCATTCTCAGGAGTCTGAAAGATAAATAAATAAAAGATAAGTGGGAGCAAACCTGCTGACCTGTATGAATAAGCCTATGTTGCTCGGTGCCCAAGGAAGAGTCTCTTAAAACTATTTTATTGATTCATTTTGGTAGCACAGGTTTATTTGAATCAGTCACATTATAAACTAATGACTAAAAACCATGTTTCCTATTTTCTAGCACTTAATTTTTTAAAACACAGTTTAAAAGATAAGAGTCTGGAGTGGCTTTTTTCTAGAACATAGATATAAAGCAATTTCCTCATCATTATGTATGTTTTCTGGAAATCAAAATACTAGTTACTTCAATGTCAGCTTCAACTTCAGGTGCCATTTGAAGTAATTTTCCTACTAGACAAGTGTCTTAGCATTTTTGCCCCAAATCAGATACAAATCCTTATAACTCAGTCATTCTTGATGAATCCAGTGCCCTAAACAGTTACTACATTCAGGTAAATTAGAATTAATAAAGTAATATGTGAACTGCCTCCGGCAAGTAGAGTTTTCAGCAGGTGCATGTACCATGCTTGTTACAAAAAAAAAAAAATCATTTTAATGATAGGTCTTTCACTGAAAGGGAAAAAAAATCTAAGTAGAATTCTAAAATATTCATAAGTATTAAAATCCATTCTGTCGAAATGAGAAAAGAATTATAGGCTAGACAGATCTAGTACAAAACTACTTTTAAAGGTCAGTTATCTCCTGTTTTGCCCTGATCAGTGACATGTACTTAATCAAAGTAGAAGGACCATGGGATGAGACACTTATAATTAATAGACTAAACATGTTCATCATTTTGTGACAACTAAATATTTTACAACTTAACCCAGAAATCATGAGCACAAAGTATTCCAAGCAATTATATTTTTGTCTAAAATAAAGTCTTACAGAAAAACCATAGAGAGAAGAGTGCTTCAAATCTTTCCTCTCCTGAATTAACAATTTTTTCTATTACTTTATGGGGAGATACTTACAAATAGCTGCAGAGCCTCTGTCTGATTGATCTCTGGCATAGGAGCAAGCTGGTTGCCAAAATACAAAGTTAAGAATTAACTTTCTAAAAGGAAAACAATAAAAATTCAGCAAAAAATCCACCTAAGACTTATTAAAGTGGTTTTTCCCTGTCTTATTTTATTTTTCCCCCTGACTTTCAATAAGCCTTGGGTTTGTAAAGACTGGCAAAAATGAACATGTCAGTTTTCATTGCAAATCACTGCCCAGCTAAAATGGGATTTTGAAAAGATGTGCCACATGCTTCATTAATAATAACATCAAATTCTTTTTTCTTGGTTTGTTTTATAGACATATCCTTCTCTGTTCCACAAATCATTTCTTTATGTGACTGTGGATGTTAAAAAACAAGAGAAAAACAGGAAGACTGCATGTTTTCCTCTGTCACTGTGAATTACATAAATATAAGATATATAACATATATATAAGTCTTTCTGCCTTAAATACCAAGAAACCTCTTGAAATAAAAAAGAAAAAAAGGAAAGGAAGAAGGGAGGGAAGAAGGAAAAATGGAAGGAAGGAGGTGGGGAAGGAGGGGAACCTAAATCTACAAAAATACTAGAAGCAAAGATATCAAATAACTGACTTAATTCTCAAAAACATTAATGTTGTTAATTCAATCTGTTAGTTTATTTACAAACCACTTTTATTACTCATAATGCATGATTCAGAAGCCAGAATAATATTAAAGCTCACTGCTTTATGATTTTGCATAAACTGCTATCATGGAAAGTCGGTGCACTGCAGCACTTTCAAGGCACAGATGGGATTAACTTTAGTATAATTTTAATAACAATTAGCTTATCTTATGATATGTGGCTTGTCTGTAGTAATTGTGAATTGCTTTTTTTCCCCTCATCAGCATCTGTCTGCTGTTTGTATGACCCGCTTAATATATGGCATTTGTATTTCACAAGTACAACCGTCAGACTGTCAATTTTGCCTCTAGGTAGACATACAAAGTTTGAAGTGATTGTTCTCTGTAATTTCCATACCAACCTATGATTGATGGAATGCCAAAGTTATAAAATGCTGTCAGTAAAACAAAAACTTGGTCTAGGTGTTTTGTGATTTTTATGATCTTGGTTTTCAAGGGCAAAGCAATACCTTTGCAGTCAGCCTTCATCACAGCTCCAGCAAAAACTGTTGAAGTTTCTATGGGAAGATAGCAGCACCTTTCTTCTCAGTGCACGAGCCACGGAGCAGCAGCCTTCCATCCCCCGCTAGAAATACAGAATCTCTGGCTGAGCCCAGAGCTGCTATATCAAAATCAGCTTTGTGGCAGTTGCCAGGGGATCTAAGTGTGCTTAAAGCTTGAGAGACTTGCTATAGTGCTTGCCCCCAAGTGTGCAGTATATTCCAGCAGCTAAAACCCCTTCAGGTGGACTGTAAGAACAACCCCTACCAACCTGAATCCTAGGTTGTTTTACTATGCTACTTGTATTGATGGATTATTCTTTCAGACATATTCCGATAGCAAAAAATAACATTTATATTTTTGCAATTCTTAGAACTACTCTACCCGTTAATCCCCCAGTCTGATTTTCATTGGTTTGTCTTTTGCTTTTGAGGTCCTAAGCCAATTGACTTTGTGTTTCCAATATTGATGCATGATTCATTTGGTCATCTTTCAGGGCTGGTTGCTATGTGACTAAAACAGTTTGTTTAATTAATTAATGTATTTTAGACTTTGAAATTCATTTGAAATTTTCTTTATTGAAGTATAGATGACAAGTAAAAATCATTCATATTTAAGGTGTAATATATACTTAAGGTGTACAATGTGATATTTTCATATATGTTTACATCCTGATATGATTATCCCAATCAAACTAATGAACATATCCAACACATGAAATAGTTACCATTTTGTGTGTATATGGTGAGCACATTTAAGATCTACTCTCTTAGTACATTTCAAGTATATAATAATTATTAACTGTAGTTACCATGCTGTACAATAGATTTCCAAAACTTACTCATAACTGAAGTTTTGTCACCTTTGACTCAAATCCCATTCCCCTGGCAACCACCATTTTATCCTCTATGTGTTAGATTTCTTTAGATTCTACATATAAGTGAGATCATGTGATAGAAGAAAAACAATCCTACAATCTGTATGAAACCACAAAAGACCCCAAATAGCCAAAGCAATCTTGAGAAAGAAAACAAAGCTGAAGGCATCACACTACCTGATTTCGAAGTATATGATTAAGCTACAGTAATCCAATCAGTCTGGCAATGGCATAAAAACAGACACATAGACCAGTGGAACACAATAGAAAACCCAGACATAAACCCATGTATATACAGTCAAGACAAAGGAGCCAAGAATACAAAGTGGAGAAAGTATAGTCTCTTCAGTAAATCGTGTTGGTAAAACTGGACATCTGCAAGCAAAAACAAAACTGTATCCTTATCTTATACCATAAACAAAAATAAACTCAAAATGGATTAAAAATTTAAAACATAAGACATAAAACCATAAAAATCCTGGAAAAAAACCCAGGGAAAAATTTCCTTGACAATGGTCTTGGCAATGCTTTTATGAATATGACTCTGAAAGCACAAGCAACAAAAGTAAAAATAAACTAATGGAACTATAGCAAATTAAAAATTTTCCACACAGCAAAGGAAACAATCAACAAAATGAAAAGGAAATCTACAGAATGGGAGAAAATATTTGCAAACCATACATCTGATAGCAGCTAATATTCAAAATATCTAAGAAACTCATACAACCCAGTATTAAATTAAAAAATAATTAACCCAGTAAAAATTAGGCAAAGAATCTGAATGGATCTTTTTCCAAAGAAGACATACAAGTGGCCAAGAAGTATATGAAAAAGTGCTCATGATCACTAATCATCAGTGAAATGCAAATTAAAAACCACACTGAGACATTACCTCACACTTATTAGGATGGCATCAAATGATTTAACAAGTGTTGGGGAGGACATAGATGAAAGAGAGCTCTTCTATACTGTTGGTTGGATTGTAAATTAGAACAACCATTATGGAAAACAGTATGGAGGCTCCTCAAGAGACTAAAAATAGAATTTCCACATAATACAGCAATTGTACTTCTGGGTATATAGCCAAATGAATTGAAATCAGTATCTGGAGTGAAATATCTGCACTCTCATATTCATTGCAGTATTATTCACAATTGCCAAGATATGGAAACAACCTAAGTGACCACAGATGAATGAATAAAGAAAATGTGTCATATATAATACATGCAATGGGTTATTTTGTAAAAGCCCTAACAAAGAAAAAAACTCCTGCCATTTGCAAGAATGTTGATGAACCTGGATGACATTAAGATGGGCCAGATCCAGCCTAATTTTGATTTTAAAATTCTTTGACATAATTTATAAATTAAAAAGAAAAAAAAAAACATTTCACACACAGTAAATCTCATGGGCCAGCATATGTGGATCAAAGTAATTTGGTGTGCCTCAAAGTTATTTAAGCTTAGTATTATTTAATTATGCATGCATTTACACAAGGAGTCTGCAAACATTTTCTATAAAAGGCCAGATAGTAAATATTCTCTGTTTTATGGCCCAAGAGGCAAAATCATTTGATTTGTATTTAAACTTAATGTTTTCTTGCCAGGTATGATGTCACACCTATAGTCCCAGCTACTTGGAAGGCTGAGGCAGGAGGATCGCCTGAGCCCAGGAGTTCAAGTCCAGCCGGGGCAACATGGTGAGAAGCCATCTCTAAATTTTTTTCAAATAAAAATAACAACAAATTTAATGTCTTCTATCCTCAGACTATAAAAATCATTCTTGACTCTTGGCAGTACAAAACAGGCAGTGGACAGGATTTGGCCCATAGGCTGTAGTTCGCTGATCCCTGATTTAAGTCAGCAATCTAAACTGTACATAAAGAATGAGGATCTGAGAGCTAAGAGATGCCATTGTAGAGGAGGCTCCAGGAGCTACCACCATAGTTAATCTAAGGAGACAGCAGTCTAGTTGTCACTGCAGCCCCCAAACCATCCAACGTTTTGGTCTGGTGTGGCCAAGAGGCAACATGACATATGATTCTGAAGACAAAGGTTAAGGATAACATGTGTTTAGTTATCATATTTCATTGTATTAGAAATAAGTGGATCATCTCCTTGAAACTCAAAGTTTTCACCAAATCAAAGAAAATAATCTCTCTAAAATAAAGAACAAACTTAGTAGACTCTTTGCACCACGAAGTGACAAAGATGGTTATTTTACAAACCACTTCAAATACTGTATAGAAAAAAATCATTAAAGATCAATTATTAAAATTTTGTGTAATATCATAGCTGAGAAATTTATTTTGTATTTTTTTTCCAAGAAATACTCTGCAACTTAATTAATGGCAGGCTTTACACAGGCTATGCTCAAGGTCAGAGGAAATGTTTTACAGTTGTCCTTTGACTTTAGAAGTTAGTTTTAGGGGCTACTGAAAACTCTCTTTTCCTTCCACATCCTTGGCAAACATTGCTAACAATGTGTAACACAGCATAGTCCCACTAAGCCTGAACAGACTTCAAATCAATTGATTGGCATTCAAGAGGAAACCTATGGCCTTCCTTGGGCTATACACACATTTTGCCAAAGCCAAGGGCTTAGTCTAAAAAGCAAAGACAATGTCACTGGGCATGTGGGAATGTGGATTTGACTGTGGTATCAATGCTCCTGTCCTCTGTGTCAGTGACTTAAGATACTAAAGGACCCTAACATAACACTGTGTATCTCAATAATCCAGTGAAGAGTGACCCAGCTTTCTCAGGAAGTCCTGCCTTGCCCTGTGAGGATCAAGTGATATCCAGCTATCAGGATATACTACTTCTAGGATGCACTGCCTACTGCCCACCACGCAGCAATAAATAGGGTCTATTGTAAAAGTATAGCACTATATACAGAAGCCTATCTTTTGCAAGACTCTTTAGGTACTGTTAAGGTGTTTACTGTCCAAAATCATCCTGGGGGAAGCCCACTAGCATATTTCTTCTAATTTATTTAAAAAATTACTGATCCCAAGATATGTAGATTTGATGTAAGAGAGCTTGGCTCTCTTTTTCTACATGGCTGAACCCATAAGCCTTACCCTCAGTAGTGAAAGGAAACAGGAAGAAAGTGAAGGAAGAAGTTTGAGTTTTGTTAAAATATAATATCCCAGGGCTTTCCAAGGGGAGGTGACAACAAAGATGTTTGTGCTAGCTGTCATTTCAGTGAGCAGAACATTAATTCTTCTACTAGTCAAGGTATCATTTATTCTATGTGGGTCAATTTATATGCACATGACCAAAATTTGTATAGGAAACACATAAAAGCCAATTTTGCCTTTGCTTCAGAACTTATTTCTCCCCTAGAACAATTTGTATGCCCTAGTCAGTATTCATGGATACTTGCTTCCTGTATGTTCACCCAGTTCTGGTTCTGTGCTTCAGTTGCTGCTTCTTGTCTAGCCTCCTGGGTATTGTAATCTGGTTTTAGACTGTATATTCTGGCTTCAACTATTATCCTTCAGGAAATTTTTCCTAATGTTCTCTCTATACCTCAAAGTACCAATGTCCCAAATCCTAAGCTAAAAAATAACCACCCGAACCTCATTTCTTTAACTAAATAGATGATAAAAGACGAAAAATGGAAACCCACTAGAGACTTTTGACAGAGTCCATGAACTTCAACACAATCTCCAAGGGACCCAGAAGGTTTCTAACACTGTCATTTCTAACAAAAATGAAGAGCATTTTAGGTTTTCTTTGCTACTGTTATGTCTACATAGTTTTTATGCCCAAATGGGTGGTTTATTCCACAATTCCATTGCCATGTTTGGTTTCTTTTGGTGCCAAAACCTAAGCAGGAGTTATGGCCAGTTTCTGGTTTCTTTTCTGATCTGCACAAACACCCAGGTAGAAAGTCACAATACCTTGTCTAAACTCATTCAGTGAAAGAAGTTCATTGAAGGCAGCCAGTCACCAACAGAGAAAGCCCGGGATTCTGCTGCTAGCAGGAAGTAGACAGAGGAAGTGACATGTCAATTGATCACTGATGACCATGGCTCAAAGGATAGGTTGGGAAAGCAAGAGGGAAGCAAAATTCTTAAAATTACCATTTTGCTTTCCCTAAAACAAAGGAAATATTACTCAAAATATACATTACATAAAACAGAAGCTGAACAGCTTTTTTAAAAATTATATCTCTTCCATTATATTTTCCATTATATGATAGTAAGGATATCATCACCAGCTATCTGAACCACTAGTAACACATAACATATACATTTATAATATTTTCTGGGTTACTCCCAGGTTTTTAAGATTATTCACCTTGGGCAGGGTCCTCACACATTTTCTACTTTTGTCACCATTTGTGAACCTAAAATTCCCAGGATCATCTGGAAATTCTAATATAACTACTAGGAAGCATTCTCCCAGTTAAGGTTGTTAATGTATTAAATTTGACAAATATTTATGAAGCATTTACTATGTCCCAGACATTATTCTAGACATTTGGTATTCACAAATGAATAAAACAAATAAAGAACCTTGCCAGCATAGAGCATACATTCTAGTCAGGGGGAGGGAGAGTAAATAGTAATAGAAATAAACTATAATTATAAAATAATAAATAATGCATGTTAGAAAAAGAAAGACCAGATTCAGGGGGAAGGGGAGTGCAAATAATGGGAAATGAGGCTGGAAGATGATCTGTTATAGATAGTAGGAACTCATCGTTCTGTCCTTTTAACGCATAGCACCTTGCACTTCTTATTTGTAGCCACGTTTGTATTTTTTTCTATCAAAATTTTTATTGAAATAATTTAGGATAGTAGCTAAGCATCTGAATTTGGAGTCTGACCTAAGATCTAATCCTTGGCCCACTATTCATTAGCTATGAACTTTGGGCAAGTTATTTAACATCTCTAAACCTTATTTTCTATCAATTTTTCATAGTTTTATGAGGAGTAAAAGAAATTTTTTAAAAAATGGCACCTAAAACAATGCCTAGGTATACTAAGAACTAAATAAATCGTAGATAGTATTGCCTTCTGCATACAAGAAAATTATTTTATTATAAGCATTTATCTGTTTTGTTGATGTTGTTGTTCCCTAGCGGATCTGCAGAGTTCCTAAGAATAGGGCTATATCTACGCAGCAATATCTAGCAGTAGAAATCCTGAATTAATAAAAGATGGAACACTTTTGCATTCTAGCCCCATATATGGGCTTCAGATTTCTTAATTGGTAAAATGAGAACTTTCTAATAAATATTTAACAAACTGATAAAGTGAATTAAGGTATTAAAACTCTGTAGTGCAAGGTATATGATCAATAAGTGTCTCCTGAATTGAGTCAGTAAAGATTGTAACTATACTGGATTTGACTAGAGGGTATTTTCTTGATAAATAGCTGGTTTGTTCTCTGTAGAGAAAAGAGGATTAGACATTAATAGTCTCCTCGTCCTCTCTGGGATGACAGTGATTCTTTAAAGTAGGCTCTAAGATAAGACTTTATAAAAGGGTTTCCTTTGCTGCAGCATGTGGATAAGAAAGTTGCCCTGTAACTTTCAACAAAAGGAAAAAGAATATGAGGATGAATGGCCCTAGCCAAAACTCCTTTTCCCTAAACCAAGTTTAGGTGCCAGAATACCATGGGGATTACCTTCCTAGTGTTTCAGAATAAAGGATTTATATACATACCAGATTTTGCTTTTTAGAATATTTTTAAATAAAGTAGAATTTTGTAGATAATGAAATATTACTTCTCGTGTAATTGTTGTCTCTTTCACTTCTCCTAGTCAACTGGTCCAGTATTTTTTTCTCTCTTCAGCCCAGACGCTGCCTTGAGAATTGGTGAGTCTATAAACATCTCCAGAGGGACGTCCAAGGTCCTTACATTTGCAATTGCTATCACTGGCTCACTGCTGCTGGTGAGCTTATCAGAAAATAAAGATACGTTATGGAAGTTAATAACAGTCTGTCACTTTCACAGTAGAGTCACAGCTGTGTAATGTACTCAATAATGGACTAAAATTTAGAGGATAAGTAGCTTCATCATCATGTAATTGAAAGGAACCAACATGGACAGGATGAGAAAAAAATCTTGTCTAAGCAAAGCATGTGACAAGAAAAAAGTATTGGAAAACAATCACTACAGGATATCATCATTTTAAAATTAGACTTCTTTCCCAGGAGTGAAACTGCATTTTTGATTATATTTTTAGAATATCAGAGTTCTCAATAAAGGTACATCAGTATGTGTGACAAATATTTTAAGCTGATGACCCACCTGGACATCTTTGTTTAATTCTTTGTTTTTATCATGCCTTTTAAGAAGGCTCTTCCAGAGTCATGGGGGATTATACTTCTTTGACCCCTTTGAAGTTAGGCATGGCTAGGGACATGTCTGGTTAATGAAATATATGTGAAAGTAACGTACATCACTTCTGAGAAGTTTAAAACCAGCACAAGATTGTCATGTTCCCTTCATCTGAGCAAGACAATCTGGAAGGCATAGCTGAGATGGAAACTTGGTCATCCTCAATCTCTGCACATTGGCAATGAGACACCGAGGCTTAATCATTAATTTTAAAAGACACATTTTAAAACACAATGAGTTGTGATAGTTTCAGAATCAAACATTTTAAAGTAGAAAGTTTCCTTAAAAGATTGGAATAGCACAGATCAAAACACATCTCCATAGCTCTCATCTCGGAATAGTTTTGAAGCAGAACATGCAATTAGATGAAAAATCCACTTCCATATATGGCAGGGCATAAAGATCATCCCTCCACCCCGCTCTCTGACAGTGTTTCATTCAGTTATAAACAGATGGTCTCAACTATACCAATTCTATTCAATTCTTTAGAAAATCTTTGGCCAAGGACAAAGCCTAACAAGAGCCTCTTAAGTGAACAGATAATCAATTGTCCCCATTGTGGCTGCACTTGGGGAAGAGACAAAAACAGTAGGCTTGTATTTGGTTCCAGGATCCTTGAGGTAAAGCCATGGCTGGTGGTGAAATGCATAAAATAAAGAGTGGCAACTCCTTGAATCTTTCTGTATGTTGATTTTACGTCAATTAAATAATTCTTAAAAGGCAAAGAGACAAAGAAAAGCCCTTGGATAAGGAGAAAATATTTTAGGAAAGATACTTAAATAACAATATCAGACTTTGGTGGGCAAAGTTATTTACTAAAACTTTTATAGCTATGAGGGATCTTAGAAATCACCTAGCCCAAACCTCCATATATTTGATTTGACGATTCAGACTTAGGATGTCCAGAAAAGGATAAGTCCTCAAATGTCATAGGTATACATAATTTCTTCCAGTAATTAAATAATAAGTATGTATTCAGCCCAGAAGAAGTCTTTTAATAAAGTTTGTCATTTCCTGACATGCTTTGGTCTGTGCCCTGCAAATATAGAAGAACAAATTGTAAACTTCTCTGGCCATCTTTAGTCAAAAGGGGACAATCAAAATTTTAAAGGCTGATTTGCTACAGCATACTGTTATAAAATTAATGACAGCCTTAATGAAATCCTTTAATCTGATGATTAAAAAGATCCTATGAAATAAACTGCAAGCATGATTTTCAAACGTATTTTTAGGTCGGGCATGGTTGCTCATGCCTGTAATCCCAGCACTTTGGGAGGCCAAGGCAGGTGGATTACCTGAGGTCAGGAGTTCAAGACCAGCCTGGCCAACATGGTGAAACTCCATCTCTAGTGAAACTACAAAAATTAGCCAGGCATGGTGGTGCATGCCTGTAGTCCCAGCTACGCAGGAGGCTGAGGTAGGAAAATCGCTTGAGCCTGGGAGGTGGAGGTTGCAATGAGCAGAGATCGCACTATTGCACCCTAGCCTGGGCGACAAGAGTGAAACTTCTCTAAAATAATAATAGTAAATAAATAAAAGCATTTTTAGTCCTGGAGAAATGAAGGTAAGGCAAATTATCTGAGTCTCTAAAACTTTTCATTAATAATAGCTTACATTTGTGTAGGGATTTTAACTTTTCCAAAGCACTTTTGTAACATCCACCTAATTGTATTCTTACACCATCTCTGTAAAGTAGCCATAGAGGGAATAACAATTCCCATTTGCCATTGAGGAAACTGCTGCCATAAGAGGTTATTAAAGAACTTGTTCAAGGCCAAGCAAATCAGTAGGGGAACTAACACTGAAAAACCACATTTGTAACTCCAAACCCAGTCAGACAACCAATTCCAGTGGGTAATAATATCTCTTGCTCAGGGAAAATCATTCTCATAAACAAGATTGTATTACCTTGAGGGAGTCACCACTTGAAGTAAGAAAAAGGAAACTTTGAGATGGTTTAGACACAAATCATAAAAAACGATGCATGTTTGAGAAATACATCTTAGGAACGTAATGCCCTAAAACTGATTTATTGGGAAACTTTAGCTCTGTGGACAAAAGACCAACATTACCTATGAAGAAACAACATGTAGCTTTTTCTGTTTAAAACTTAAGACAGCAAGGTAAATTACATCAGAAGTTAGGGTCATGTTGCATTTCTAAGAACATCCTAGGATAAGAATTCCAGATGCTTTTATTATCAGATGGTTTATTCCAATCATTCTTAGGAGATTTTAAAGGATGGGTACAGAGCACTGCCAATTTGGGTATGATAGACTCCAAAGTCAAAAACATGCTTTCAATATCTAAACTCACCCTCATCAACTCCAACGAAGATTTTAGTCTAAATGGAATACAGAGCATTTATATGTTTCACATGTTTGTTAACTATTGAAACAGAAGTACTTTATATGAAGGGAACTTTTTAAAGATACTGACACTTTATTCTAAAAACCAAGTGCAATATGAAAGCAAAGAAGGCTCATATGATTTTTCTAACTGTAGGCACCATCATCCTAACTAATCACCAACAAGAGCTGGTCAATTCACACATTACCATGTATAATCCACTTGTAATATATAATGATCTATTATGCGAGAAACATTCTGAAGATGGCAATAGGATATGTTGGAAACAGCCAATCTACCTTTTGGAATAAGAATGATGAGGAAGTTTACTATAAATGGGATTATATAAATGAACTTTCAAAAACAGGTTTTAAATAAGTTTCCAGTTCTTCACTAAAGAGCATGTACATATCCCTTACATATCCTTGACTACGTGCCTAACATAATAAATTTGGCATAACTGAAATCTTAAGTGTTGATGGTTTATTGAGTTCCAGGGAAGGATTGAAATATGGTTGAGTGGTTGGTTAGCTACAGCCAGTAATGACTGAGATGATGTGGCTCTCTAGTCCCATCTAATCTTAGCATTCTTCATATTCTATATTTATAGCAGGGGTATATTAAATTTAGTTAGAAGAAATTCCTACTTGTGTCTACTGTTAGATGCTACCAATAAGATTCACCTCCACTAATTTAGTCAATAGTGGTTTTATGGGGGATGGAGAGACACTGCCACATCACATTCACACAGCATAAGATGCATCCTAATATCAGAACTGCTGAAAAGTATCCAAACTGCCTCTAGACTTGAGAACCATAGTCCTTCCTACTTAGAACTGAGTTGAAAATAAATCATTTATTCTGTTGTACTCCATCACTTCCTAAATTATATACACACCTCTGTCCCAATACAGGAGCACAGTGCATGGCTGATATACAATTCTATATTCAATATTGTGATCACTGCACAGGGATGGGTGGATCCCATGCAAAACTATTGCAATATCTGAACAGAATCCACTCTTCCTGCTGTTTCTGTTTCTAAAGCCTCTTCTGCTATTTTTTCATATGTGTTCTTCTCTTGTAGGCCAACTTTTAGAAAGAAAGGGCTTATCGAGAGGACAACAGAAATGAAGGATACATTACTATTATATGAGTAATTGACAATCAACTGACTGTAGGATGATTTTACTTACCTTGTACGATTGATGTGAAGATTAAATGCAACAAAATAGCACATGATCATTTAGCATTGAGTCAGGTATTTAATAAGCAACCAACAAGTTGTAGCAGTTATTTGTTTGTCTCACACACCACAGTTCCTTTAAAATTTCCTGTGAAGAACAGGAAACCAGACACTGCATGTTCTCATTCATAAGTGAGAGCTGAAAAATGAGAACACATGGACACAGGGAAGGGAACATCACACACTGGGGCCTCTCAGGGGGTGGGGGTTAGGGGAGGGATAGCATTAGGAGAAATACCTAATGTAGATGATGGGTTGATGGGTGCAGCAAACCACCATGGCACTTGTATACCTGTGTAACAAACCTGCATGTTCTGCACATGTACCCCAGAACCTAAAGTATGTTTTCAAAAAATCTTGTGAAAGTGATTTTTATTTCCATAGGGAGCCTATCATTTGTTCAGAATTCTGTATCACAAAAGTCTCAAAGAACTGGTCTGGCAATGGCAAAGCCCTCCTTGGAGACTGAGGGAGAAGAAGAACATGAACCAGCAATACCAGAAATCTTTGCTGTGAATTAATGAACGGAAGAACGAGACCACCCATGCACTCATACATTTTGTCTGTCCTATCTTTGTGACAGCTGGTCTTAGGGAGGCCATGGTGATTGTGATAAATAAGACAAGCCATTCACTATTTCTCAGAGCTCAGCTTCCAGGCTGTAATAATTACTAAATATGGTGAGTTAATAGCATGAAACATTACCTAGTATCTGTTCGCATATGGTGGTGGAAGGGAAGGGGCTGTCAAGGAAAGCTGTTCTGAGTAAGATTTATGTTGAGATTCAAGAGAGAAGTTGGAACTGGATGGCGAGGTGAAAAATATTCTAGACAGAGGAAACACCATCTGTAATGACCTTAAAATTCAAATGACCTTTTATAAAACTGATCCCCAGTGTGAATGTGACATGGTAAGAGAGAAGGATGGTGGTGCCAGGCAAGGTGGTAAGGACCACAGAGGCCATAATACGCAGGAATGAACAACTTCTGGAAGCAAGAAATCTATGACACATATCGGGTTGCATGGGCTAAGGAACCCCTTCATCAGAAACTGTCTTGGGGTCTGATTCCCCAGACCCTATGAGCTTCCTTTCCCCCATTGGCCATTTTCTCTATGTATTCCAGTTTTGGGCTGTGTTCTGCACCAGTATCCATGACAATCCTTGTAATAATTAGAGTGATTGAAATAGGCAGATAGTACAGTAGATTTAACAGAATCTATGGAGTCAACAGGCCCACATTGTATCTACAGTTTAAAAGAGGAAAATGAGAAAGACAGTATATGTGTTGTGACAGGGGAAGATAAAACAAAAGCAGCAATATGTTGATAATGATTGAAGCTGAGTGACGGGGATACAGGGTTATATACTGCATATTATTCACTCTACTTTTATGCATCTTTGAAAATTACCATAATTTTAAAAAGTTTAGAAACCCAGTCTCTGTCACATATAAGTAGTTTAATCTTGGGTAAGTTATTTAACTATTCTGAATTTCAATTCCTTGATTTATAAATAAGAAAAATACCCACCTTACAGAGTTAATGTAAAAGTGAAATAAAAAATATATAGAAAAAGGACTAAGCACTAGGCATAGCATGATGAAGGAGGTTTATAGACTTTAGAGTTCAATATTTAAAGGTCAGCATTTAAGTTTAATATTTAAGGACCCAGCATCAAGGCAAGTCTCTTGGCTCTGTAGCCCTGGTCCTTGGTCCTAGATCTTTTCTAACTTCCATGAGCAAATGAAATACCCAGAGGCTTTGATAAAATATAGATTCTGATTCCGTTGATCTTCGGGAGGCCAAAGATCAGCACTTCTAATAAGATTCCAGTGATGCCGAAGCTACCAGTACAGGGACCAGGATTTGGAAAGTAAGCCCTGACTTCTGCCTTATTTCTGAAACTAAACTTCCAATTATGCCCTCTTTTGATTGTTTTGATTGATGGGTTTCTCCTGTTCTGGCTGAGTCCCTGGCTGGATAATTTGCCCCAGAAATTCAATCCCTCCAGGACTGAGGTCCTGGACATACTATTAGTTACCCTTAGAGTCGGAAATCTTGCTCTTGAGCTTCAGCATGGAAGTTATATCTGTCAACAATGCCTCAGATTCTGATTTCCTGCTTGGATCCCTGAGAAATTTGTGCTTCTTAATCCACTGTTGTGCTACCTCTGATTTCCTTATTATGTTCTCCTGTACCTCTCTTCAACTAAACCGACACCAACCACTTACCTAGGGCAGGACTGGTTATTTGTCTTGGTATTGTGAGGACCTGCCCAGTGGAATAGCTTCCAATTTCCTGCATCTAGATTTGTCCCTTGAGCGTTTCTCAATCCCTAGTGAGTACTTTTAGGTTAAGATCCTTCCCTGTAACCCATTCTTCACCAATAATTCTTGGCAGCCTATGTTTCATACCCAGTTGTCTTAGTTGTTTTGCGCTACTATGAAAGAATACCACAGACTGGGTAATTTATAATGAACAGAAATGTATTGACTTGTGATTAGGGAAGCTGGAAAATCCAAGATCAAGGGGCTGGCATTTTGTGAGTACCTTCTTGCTATGCTATAACATGGTAGAAGGCATAACATGGGAGTGGTGGGGAAACTAGGGAGGGGGAGAGAGAGAAAAAAAAAAGAACCCACTGAACTCATCCTTTTACAAGGAACCCACTCCTGAGATAATGGCATTAATCTATTCATGACCTAATCACCTCTTAAAGATCCCACCTCTGAATGCTGTTGCTTTGGGGATTAAGTTTCCAACATATGAAATTTAGGGGACGTATTTAAACCTTAGCACTGTCTGGAGCAGTGGAGAACATTTCAACACTGGAAATGAAGGAAGATGTTTAACCCCATCAAAGATATACATTCAGTAATGTACTTTAGTAAGCAGATGCCTTATTTGAAAGCAGTCCTTAATGTATGAACATGAAACTTACATAAACAGAACTCTAGAACAAGGCTTAGATTTTTCTAATCCACTAATTATAATCAGCCTTGTACTTTTAGATGAGCTGGATATGTATGCATTCTGAAAACTTGCAAAGAAAAGAAATCCATCAGCTTTATTACTTGTAGTTGGATTATCAGATTATATTCTGGCAAGGCTAATGAAAACTTATCTGCTCTATACATGTTTTTTCCCTCTGAGAATAATGACAGAATCAAACATTAAGAATAATGCACTCATGTTTAAACATGACTCTTCCATTTGACAGGAGTAGCCTTGGCAAACTGCCACTCATCAACACTTTCTAAACTGATAGGGGTATTCCACATCTTTCCAGCAACATTAAAAGATAATTTGCAAAATTATCATCTCACAGCGAACTTGAAGGGAATTTTCTCATTCTAATAAAAATAGTATCTCTTGAAGTTCATGGAAGCTCAGTGTTCACAAACAGTTAAACGTGCTTTCTTTTCTTTTTTTTCTTTCTTTTTTTTTTTAAGATGGAGTCTTGCTCTTGTCACCCAGGCTGGAGTGCAATGGCATGATCTCGGCTCACTGCAACCTCCGCCTCCCGGGTTCAAGCGATTCTCCTGCCTCAGCCTCCTGAGTAGCTGGGATTACAGGATCCCGCCACCATGCCTGGCTAATTTTTGTATTTTTAGTAGAGATGGGGTTTCGCCATGTTGGCCAGGCTGGTGTCAAAGTCCTGACCTCGTGATCCACCCGCCTCAGCCTCCCAAAGTGCTGGGATTACAGGCATGAGCCACTGCACCTGGTCAAACGTGCTTTCTTAAAACTCACACTTGCTCTTAGAATTTATTTTGTGCATGAGTTTTTCTCCCTAATGAAGCTTTATGTTGCTGTTAGAAGAAAGTTTATTTCGGGTTTTTGGTTATTGTTGTTCTTGCTTTATTTTCATTCCAGGCCTCTTAGGGCAGAGGAAATGTGATAAGATCTAGGCTACAAGTTTATTGGCAACTGCTTTCTAATAAGTAAATTTTACAGATGTAAGTAGTAATGATGGATATTTGCTGTGCTTTGGCTATTGAGCATTTATTTCCTCTTATTCGTTTGAAGAAAAATATTCCATTTATGCCCTAAGATTGGCCGGGCGCGGTGGCTCATGCCTATAATCCCAACACTTTGGGCGGGCAGGGCAGGAGGATGACCTGAGGTGGGGCCTTCGAGACCAGCCTGACCAACACGGAGAAACTCCGTCTCTACCAACAATACAAAATGAGCCAGGCATGGTGGTGCATGCCTGTAATCCCAGCTACTCAGGAGGCTGAAGCAGAACAGGAGAATCGCTTGAACCGGGGAGGCAGAGGTTGCGGTGAGCTGAGATGGCTCCATTGCACTCCAGCCTGGGCAACAAGAGCGAAACTCCATCTCAAAAAAAAAAAAAAGAAGAAGAAGAAGAAGAAAGAAAGAAAGAAAGAAAGAAAGAAAGAAAGAAAGAAAGAAAGAAAGAAAGAAAGAAAGAAAGAAAGAAAGAGCGAGCTTCCCCTGACCCTATTCATGGAGACATTGAAGGAGCCTGGCTGTCGTTGACTCTACTCCCAGCTCCAGGGATTGGCATTTGTTCAGGCTTGACTAGGACACTGTGATTGGTTCGAAACCATTTTCAAAATGAGAGTTTTGCTGGACCACTGAGAGAATGGCAGGTGTTATTTCTTGCTCTTGAACATGAGAAAATATAGCCTAGAATTGTTTCAGCCCTCTTGCCGTCAGGGAGAAAGAGCAAATCTGAGAATTCAACAAGGACAGAGAAAGGGAAAGTGAGAAGGGGAGAGGGAGCTTGAGTGAGATTTGTGTGAGCTCCTGGCCTGAGGCAAGCCCTGTTGCTGACTTTTTAATTACCTACATCAATAAATTCCATTTTTGCTTAAGGAAGCTTGAGTTGGGTTTTCTGCCTGCAATCAAGAGGAATGCTAACTAATGCAGGATGTTAAGAATGGAGAGATTGAGAATACCAAAGAGATATAATGTTTACCGTAATGTACAGAATCTAGGAAAATTCTCAATTACCAGTGTGTAAAGAACATGGAAAAAATAATATAATTACCTTTGAAAATTACTCCTGTTTACAGTTTTAACTTTATGGGTCAAATATCTTTTCCTTTAACATATTTAAAAGTCAAGCTCTTTTTTGTGTCATTTAGACAGACACATGTTAGTTATGAAAATAAACTGTGTGGCAATTACATCAACACCAAATATATAAAGACATTTTCTGTAGGAAAATTAAAACTTAATTGTCCTTTTTTTTTTTCTTAAGACATCCGCACTCTGTCTCCCAGGCTGGAGTGCAGTGGCGCGAACTCAGCTGGCGGCAACGTCTGCCTCTCAGGGTTCAAGCTATTCTTGCGCCTCAGCCTCCTGAGTAGCTGGGATTACAAGCATGTGCCACCACATCCGGCTAATTTTTGTATTTTTAGCAGACAGGGGGTTTCACCATGTTGGCCAGGCTGGTCTGAAACTCCTGACCTCAAGTGATTCACCCACCTTCTGCTCCCAAAGTGCTGGAATTACAGGCATGAGTCACTGTGGCCTGGCCAAAAATGTCATTTTAATGAAATATTTTACTCACCATCAAAAGAAAAGTTGGGCTACTTTCAACTTTTTAAACACTGATTCTCTCAAAATTATTCTTTATTACTTTTTAATAATATATTATACCTGATATCTAGGTAATATTAAAATGTTTTACATATATCATAGTTTCAGACTATTTCTTTAAAAAAATACAAGAGGGATATTATACACACTTCCTGCCACACTGCCCTGCCCATCCACCCCAGTACTACTTCCCAAATTCTATAACTGCAGACACTGATATTCAGGGGTAATGGAGCACAGTAGAAGAACCGTATTTAAGCAGAATATGTACACAAGCTGAATGCTAGATGTGGCATAGTTTACCTTACAGGGTAAGGTCACCACTTAGCATAAATAATGTGCTACATTATCTCAGATCCCTAATATGGATAGAAAGATAGAGTTTAATATGATGGATCTGTATCTGATATTGATATAACACTGCTATTGTATAGACATGCATTTGAAACTAAACTACCTAGTTCAAGATTGCACGATAATTTCAAGTGGACATTTTCTGGGTGGTCACATCCTTAGAAGACAGAGAGAGGGAAGAGCTTACACTTTGGTCAGAGAACGCTAAGGATCTGGCCACACTCAGGTACCACTGTGTGACCTTGAGTAAGTTAATTCTCTAAGCCTCCATTTCCTCATGGTAATGATGGGAAAATCAGCATAGCTAACTGCGGTATTATTGCTATGATTGTACAGGAGATGCCATGTAAGCGGTAGCCCAGTACCTGATTAGGGGGGATCCCCCTCATGCTTTCTTCCGCTGGTATTGGCAGCTAATGGCTCTCAGCTGAGTCACCCTCTGGGAATTGCCCTCAGCCAACAAGAGACAGGTCTTCCTGGAGGTGTCTTATATCCAGGTCTTGGTCAATTAGAGCATGAAGTCACAGTTCCCTTGGTTCACTTCAGGATAATTCTGAAAGGCCAGGTCCAGAGCTGCCCACAGGAGACAGAAACCTCTCCTATGACTCCTTGAAGCCCAACTTCCTCTGTCCAATCCTGTTTTCCTCACTCTCTGAAGTGCTGATCACAAGACCATTTCCAGTTAACTTCCTGCACACAAATCTTCATCTTAGAGTCTACTTTTGGGGCAAGTTGACCCCAAGACACTGTTGCACAGTCAGAACTTGATTATTAGCAGAGATGATGATCATGATTATGAAGCTGATGGGGGTGTAGAAACATGAACTTCATCGTTTCATTCTGATAATTCAATCTTAAATATATATAGAAACTGTTTTCTTAAATTATGTTCTCTAATAGTGTAGGACAAGTCTCATGTTATAAGTAGAGCTGATGACAGTTATGACTGGCTACTCTCCACTAACAATCAGCTTAATTAGTACATTGTATCTAAATTGACACTTCCATTTTCAGCTAGTGATTGTTTGTTTAGATATTTCTATTTTGGAGCTTCTATCACATTGAGTAAGTGTTGGTCAAAATTTTTTAAATATAAAATCCTCCTTGACAACACCTTCCTTTAAGGGCCCTTTACACTCTAATATTCCATGATTCTGTAATTTTGATGATGGCAACAACTGAATAATACATTCTCTGGAAAATAAGGTCACTTAAATACCAACATTGTCCTTAAAAACAACACCTCATAAATTTTGCAAATAAGTGAAACAAATAATTCTAGTGGCAACAGGAAAACTGCAATTGAGGAAACATAAGAGTGTCAGGAAAAATAATCCTAGCTTTTGTCCTAACAGAACTGTGGGGGCAACGATGCAGAGTATGGCCTAGTTTAAGACGTTGGTGAGCTTCCAGTAATGAAGGAATAATGTCATGCAAAATTATAATGCTGGAAAGGCCACTGGAGATCACCATATCAAATCTTCTTTTGTCATTGATTAACAAACTGAGGGCCAGTAAAACTACAGGACATGCCAATGGCCTTTCAACTAGTAAGGAGAAGAGCCCTTACCCCAAACCAGATCTTCTCACTTTTCTGGCCACTCCACGTTGACTCTGCCCACATGCTCCTTTTCTCAGATCTTGGACCAACCCAAAGAAAATTCCTTGTCCTCCTCTTTTTTATTCCTGCCAATTATTCTATGTTCTCTGCCTGAGCCCAGGCAAGTCTTTTTTTCTCTAACATCTCCTTATAAAATTTCCATCTGGGAATTTCTCCAAGATACACATTTTTCCCATCATATCCAAAATAACTTTAGCTATTGTTAAATAATGGATGCTATAATAAACATACATATTCATGTACTTTTAATAAACCCATTTGCTTTCTAAATGATTTTTACCAATAGTAACAAAGCTATAGACAAATGTAGTAGAGTTAAAACAATATCTTCATTTACAGATTTATTAGTATAGTCTTTGGAACAAAAGAATAAAGAAAAATATTTTGCCTGGTTCACAAAGCAAAATATTTTTATGTAAATGTGGGCAGCAACTAGTCACAAACAATATAACATATTGTAGTTGTTTCTTTCAAGTATTTTACAAAGTTTGATAAGTAACACTCTAAACTTTACATTAAAATAGTTCTCAAAGCCACTTGGCAGACTATTAAAAGGCATGGAGAAAATGAACTTAAAAAAAGCTGAATATTAATTTTTGAAATAATTATTTTTAGGACATTCTAATTAAAAATTTACTTAACTGGCTTTGTGGATGAGAATTTAAGTTCAGATATGGGATAATTGTAACAAACTGAAATTGGATCAAATGCTCTTGAATAATAAATGTTTTCAACAGAATTGAAGAATATGACACATTTTAAGGTAACCCATATAATCTCTTAACATATATTATTTATCTACACTGAGGATGTCCTGTAAGGCACAAACATAATTTAGCCCAATGGCAGTTTCGAAAGCAGATGCTTTTCAATGGGCTGACACTAAGTGCAATCATTACATATGCAGTGAATTCCGTATAACACGGATAACTGTCTGATCCCTTTGAATTACTCACAAACTAGAGGTTTTGAGTATTTCATATGTTTCCACCTTTATTTTATAATTAGAAAACACATGCATGCTGCAGATAAGATCAACATTTCACATTTGTAAATAATCCCAAGGTGAAAAACACACTCATTATATTTTTCCAATTATTTCATTCTATAATTTTTGCCAATCCTCCTACCTTATTTTGCTTTCACAGAGATAAAAGGCAGGGATGTAAAGTATCTGTTTTGTGTTTAGTTCTTGCCATGAACTTATAATACTGCCCAGAAGGTGTTCTTCCTTTCCTATGTAGAAGGTTCCTTATTGTGTACTTTTATAAATAAATATGTAAAATAAACCCTTTCTTTTAGCTAATACACTTGAAACCGGGTTTTTTCATGCTGATATACTCCTGTGGCAAGGTAGCTATAAGAATATTTGTACTCTATTAAGGATGAGTCAATCAGAAACCAAAATAATCACCACTAGGTCAAATAAACAATTTACGTCTGTTGTGGGGAGGGGTGATAAGTTGATTTTGGTTAAAATCAATCAGATTTGGTTTTTTATGTAAGTATTCAATTAGTTCTGTCAAAGTAGTCAATTGCTAAGATGCTGCTTAAGAGAGATAATTTTAAAATGCTAAGCTTTGCTTCCAATAATTTTGTACCAGGCTCTAGTTTATCCCTTTAAATACAGAATCTCATTTAATCTCTACAACACTATTGCAAGTTAGATTGTATCATTCTCATTTCACAAATGAGTAAAATAAGACTTATAAAGGAAAAGAAGCTAAAGAAGCTGCCCAATATCAGACAAGGAGTAAATGGCTGAGCTGTGGCTGGCCCTCATCCTTATGGCTGCAAAACTTTTGCAATTTTCATTGTCATGTTACATTTCTTTATATGTAGTGTGCAAGGATTACAACAGGCATGTAAACATCATGTCATCCCAGACCTGCCTCTCTCTTTACCCAGCTCTTCCCTCACAGCCCTCTACCAACCCTCCACAATGGCATGCTGAAGACAGAAATCTGGAGGCAAAGCTGAGTACAGACACACACACACACACACACACACACAATGTTGGTCTCTAGGGGATTGTGACATGTCCACCCTGATTCAAAACACAGCACAACACAAATGGGGCTGGAGGTGTGACACCCTCTAGAGTAAAGTTTCCTAAAGGCTTAGTCAAAAGCTTAGTACATTTCTTCCCTAAACTCAAGCCATAACTCCTTATGATGATTAATTTTATGTGTCAATTTAACTGGACCATGAGGTACCCAGCTATTTGGTTAAAGACTATTTCCAGGTGTCTCTGTGAAGATATTTCTTGATGAGATTAACATTCGATTCAGTAGACTGAGTAAAGCAGATTCTCTTTCCCAATGTAGGTGGACATCAATCGATCCAGTGAGGACCTAATAAAACAAAAAGGTAGATGAAGGAGAATTTTCTCTCTGACTGACTGCCTGAGCTCAGTCATCAGTCTCCTCCCCTCAAACAGCACTGGGACTTTACATCACTGGCTTTCCTGTTCATCGGCCTTCAGACTCATCTAGAACTTACACCATTGGTTCCCATGGTTCTCAGGCCTTCAGACTCAAGATGGAACTACACCACAGGTTCTCCTGGGTCTCCAGGGTCTTGCCAATTGCAGATTGTTGGATTCCTCAGCCTCCATAATCAAATAAACCAATCCCTTATATAGTAAATACACACACACACACACACACACACACACACACACACACACACACACACAATCTCCTATTGCTTCTA
This sequence comes from Homo sapiens, assembly GCF_000001405.40. NCBI lineage: Eukaryota > Metazoa > Chordata > Mammalia > Primates > Hominidae > Homo > Homo sapiens. The sequence goes on from NC_000003.12 coordinate 22,479,772, forward strand.
TTTCTCTAGAGAACCGGAATACACTCCTTGCCCAAGCTACTGTTAGGTATTATAACCTAGAACTGTACATTCATCTCCTTTAAAATATTCAAGGATTTTAAGAGTTTCCCAGGAATGTGTAGAAGTTTGGGGAACCGAACCAGATTTATTATGAGACAAAATTTAAGAGTTCTACAAATCCTCAAGTATAGTAAAAAAAAAAGTAAGAAGGGAAGCAAAACTAATGGACGTAGACAAAGCAACCTGATTATGTGTGTGTGTGTGTGTGTGTGTGTCTGTGTGTGTGTGTGGTGGTGGTGAGTGTGTGTGTGTGTGTGTGTGTGTGTTTAGAGACAGAGTTTTGCTATGTTACTTAGGGTGGACTCAAATTCTTGGGCCCAAGTGGTCCTCCTACCCCAGCCTCCTGAGTAGCTGGGACTACAGACACATGCCACAGTGCCTGGGTTGGTCCTGTTTTTATGCTCACTACTTATGCTGGTCATTCCTGAAAGAGCAAGTGTGGCTTGGTAACAGCTTTCTATTTGAATACTGCTGTGCTAAAGAATGACTAGAGCACACATGTCAGTTGTGTAAATGACAGGCTCTGTTTATCTTTTGTTGATGGGTTTAAGCATCTATGTGTGTCTGGGTTCCCACAATCCATTGCTAAAATGAATCGTTATGCTCTGATTCACAATTTCTTCATTCCTCTTTACTACGGAATCCAATAACAAGGACAGAAAAACAGGAATCATATATATGCTGCTCATTTTCCTCTACAAGTAGAAGCAAATACCCAGTGGTGGAAACATGCTTTGCTCAAAGTTTACTCATTAAAAGAAAGGCTGGATGTATAAAACTCAGGTTAATTACCCCCAAACGACTGGGAGAGGTTGAATAAAATATAGGCTCCTTAACATTCAACAGTGCTGCTTAGAGAAGAGATGACTGGAAAGAAAGATTAAAGTTAGATGAGAACAAGTATATTTTCAGTATTTGATTTGGGTTTTTGAGCATGAATTTTTCCTGTATTCCAAATCAAATTTTGTTGATAAGCTATTCACAGAAATACAGACTCAATGATAGATCCCTTGGGTTAAAATTCTGGCTTACTAGCTGCATATCTTAGGCAAATTACTTAAGTTAGCTGAGCCTCAGTTTCTTCCTCTATAAAACAAAGGCTATGATGCCATCTACCTCATAGTGTGGTTTTTGATGACGAAATAACTTAGAACGCATGTAAATTACTTAAACAGTGCCTAAAACAGAAATATTGGTAAATAATAACAGCGGTGACCTGGAGAGCCATTTTATCACATGGGACAGAGAATTTACAGTTTTTATTCCTTGATAGTTTCCACTATTTTTAGTAGTCTTTCTATTTTCAGAAGTTATTTATTTATTTATGAAAGATTTTGTTGTTGCTGCTATTTTTTGAGAGCTGGAAAACATCCCTCTGGATAAAAATAAAATAGCATAGTGAAAGTATTTTTGAAAAGCATTAAGTGTTATGTAAGTGTAAGGAAAGGGAGCAGTGACAAAGGAAAGCAGGTGCTTGTGCCTTTTTAGCAAATAATGACATTTACTAAGAAACGGTAATAAAGATTGTACCACTTGTTTGTCTAATCGATAGTTTCCAAGCTGCTACTAGGTTGTTATCTTCAAACAAACCATTTCTAGAAAAGAATTATGCCATCTACCTTAATGCATGAGAAAAATGTTGGTTATCTTCATTCCCTATTTTCCAATGAATAACTCATGATTTTCAAAAGTCAATTTGATTTAAATGCTGCACTCACTTTGCTAATGCTGATAACAGTGCTGACAACATAGGAGTTGTGTGCCGGGGATAGTTGTCTGTAGTTCATTTTGCACCCTTTGAACATTCTGCTCACTTAGATGACTGCAGCTCAACACAACTGATGAAAGATGAGATGATGAGTGAGCACTGTGACATAGCACAAAGGATGAAAGATAATTATTCATTATGACTTATGTCAACATGTGGCCAATATATCACCTCAGCATTATGCCTAAATATGAGTGGCCATATATCATAATCTCAATATATTATAATCTTAGGGACTGAGATCTCATGGTCTCAGTTTCCACCCTTATTTGTATATTAGGCTCATATGATTGTTATAAGTTCAGACTGCAGTTTAAAAAATCAAACAGTATAAATTTCTCTGGGCTTTAAGATTCCTAAGATGAATCTCAGATTCCTGAGCACCATGTCCTTGAACAGGACACACCCTAGAATATAATCTATATGATCTGTTTCTGTGCCAGGGGAAGCTTTATTGTATTGGGTTAAGTCTCACTGAAAGCCCCCACTTGTATGTCCTGACTGGCATGTAACACATCATGGAGGACAAAGTCAGCAACATATTGAATTTAAAATGCTGGGACATACTTTGAAACATTGAAATGGATGCAAAAAGCCTAAGACTTCCTTGTCATTGCTTTTATTCTAGGACTTATTTGTTAGGCATGTGTGTGTGTGTGTGTGTGTGTGTGTGTGTGTGTATCTACACATATATACATATATATACATATATATATATACACACATACACATCTATAGTAATATACATATATGCTTTCCACACCCCTCCTGCCTTCCCTCAGCTCACAACCCTATTGGGAGTCTAAAAAATAATCAAAATATTTTTGTGTTGCTGCTAGCAGACAAACAGAAAATGAAACTATACGGAAAGTAATTTCTTAACAACCTAAACCATGTAAAAATTGCAATGTAATTTTATTTGTATCACTTTCCAAAGATAGGATATTATCCTCTTAAAAATATATCAGCCTCAATTAGGAAAAGAGAAAGTCAAATTGTCCCTGTTTGCAGATGACATGATTGTATATCTAGAAAACCCCATCGTCTCACCCCAAATCTCCTTAAGCTGATAGGCAACTTCAGCAAAGTCTCAGCATACAAAATCAATGTACAAAAATCACAAGCATTCTTATACAGCAATAACAGACAAACAGAGAGCCAAATCATGAGTGAACTCCCATTCACAATTGCTTCAAAGAGAATAAAATACTTAGGAATCCAACTTACAAAGGACGTGAAGGACCTCTTCAAGGAGAACTGCAAACCACTGCTCAATGAAATAAAAGAGGATACAAACAAATGGAAGAACATTCCATGCTCATGGGTAGGCAGAATCAATATCGTGAAAATGGCCATACTGCCCAAGGTAATTCATTGATTCAATGCCATCCCCATCAAGCTACCAATGACTTTCTTCACAGACTTGGAAAAAACTACTTTAAAGTTCATATGGAACCAAAAAAGAGCCCGCACTGCCAAGTCAATCCCAAGCCAAAAGAACAAAGCTGGAGGCATCACGCTACCTGACTTCAAACTATAATACAAGGCTACAGTAACCAAAACAGCATGGTACTGGTACCAAAACAGAGATATAGACCAATGGAACAGAACAGAGCCCTCAGAAATAATGCCGCATATCTACAACCATCTGATCTTTGACAAACCTGACAAAAACAAGAAATGGGGAAAGGATTCCCTATTTAATAAATGGTGCTGGGAAAACTGGCTAGCCATGTGTAGAAAGCTGAAACTGGATCCCTTCCTTACTCCTTATAGAAAAATTAATTCAAGATGGATTAAAGACTTAAATGTTAGATCTGAAACCATAAAAACCCTAGAAGAAAACCTAGGCAATACCATTCAGGACATAGGCATGGTCAAGGACTTCATGTCTAAAACACCAAAAGCAATGGCAACAAAAGCCAAAACTGAAAAACGGGATCTAATTAAACTAAAGAGCTTCTGCACAGCAAAAGAAACTACCATCAGAGTGAACAGGCAACCTACAGAATGGGAGAAAATGTTTGCAACCTACTCATCTGACAAAGGGCTAATATCCAGAATCTACAATGAATTCAAACAAATTTACAAGAAAAAAACAAATAACCCCATCAAAAAGTGGGCGAAGGATATGAACAGACACTTCTCAAAAGTAGACATTTACACAGCCAAAAGACACATGAAAAAATGCTTATCATCACAGGCCATCAGAGAAATGCAAATCAAAACCACAATGAGATACCATCTCACACCAGTTAGAATGGCAATCATTAAAAAGTCAGGAAACAACAGGTGCTGGAGAGGATGTGGAGAAACAGGAACACTTTTACACTGTTGGTGGGACTGTAAACTAGTTCAACCATTGTGGAAGTCAGTGTGGTGATTCCTCAGGGATCTAGAACTAGAAATACCATTTGACCCAGCTATCCCATTACTGGGTATATACCCAAAGGATTATAAATCATGCTGCTATAAAGACACATGCACACGTATGTCTATTGAGGCACTATTAACAATAGCAAATACTTGGAACCAACCCAAATGTCCAACAACGATAGACTGGATCAAGAAAATGTGGCACATATACACCATGGAATACTATGCAGCCATAAAAAATGATGAGTTCATGTCCTTTGTAGGGACATGGATGAAGCTGGAAACCATCATTCTCAGCAAACTATTGCAAGGACAAAAAACCAAACACCGCATGTTCTCACTCATAGGTGAGAATTGAGCAATGAGAACACATGGACACAGGAAGGGGAACATCACACACTGGGGCCTGTTGTGGGGTGGGGGGAGGGGGAAGGGATAGCATTAGGAGATATACCTAATGTTAAATGATGAGTTACTGGGTGCAGCACACCAACATGGCACATGTATACATATGTAACAAACCTGTACATTGTGCACACATACCCTAAAACTTAAAGTATAATAAAAAATATATATATGTCAGAATCATTGTCTATACTCTGTGCTGAGCAATAACTCAGGGCCTCAGGGACACTGAGGTAATTAACACTTGACAGTGTGACAATTCCTGCAGAGGTGTAATTGCAGCCCTCTCATTTTCAGCATTGCAAGATCCCTAATTGGAGATTATGGGCAGTGGTTTCTGGACCATTCTCCTCTCCCCTCTTAAAGTGAGCACACTTTCTTATCAGTGATTTTAGCAGATGTCCTATTTAAAGTCATATAAAAAGATTCCTAGGAAAGCAATCTTTGGTAAGATGGATTACAGAGAGAGCATAAAAGAAGAAAGGAATTTATTTAAGTTCTTGCCTCCATTTCTTACTAATTTAGTAAGATTTCAGTGGTTATTCCTTTACTGAGTAAAATACTTTCAGTAATAATTGCCTGTTGATTTCATAGGGCTATGGAGAGAAACAGAAGAAAGGAAACGTGAGCCAAAAAGTATACTACAAATAGATGGTTATTTTTATACCTCTCTCCCATTCTTTTTTCAGAAATATAGCACCTTCATTACAAGGCTCTGAGACACTCTTGCTATAGAAAAGACAAAGATAGCTGAAAGGATGATCCTTACCCACCCGGATATCACCCGAGTTGGGATTATTAAATAAGGCACTGAGAACTCCTAGTTGAGAGCATGTGCTCCTTCTAGAGCGACAGGAACAGATGACTTCATCTAGGAAAAAGCACATTAAGCCAACATGAAAACAGGCAAGGAATAGACAGGAGATATAGTTTGTTTATGTTTGTTCAACCTGGGGTCTCTTCTTAGGTTAAATTCAAGCCTTCTAAAACTATTCTTCATCTCAAATCAGAGAGGTATTGTCAAGATTAGAGGAAGTGAGAGAACTGAGAAGCCACACAAAGAATGATGCTCTTTATAAAGACATTAGCAACTGCAGCAGGCTCTTTAAGCATATTGATGCTGAATCACCTTAAATTCTACAAATACACATCTTCATGATAAATGTAGTTGATGAGGATTACATATTTAATATTGGACTTTTCAGAGATGGGTGCTCTTCGGGTACTGATAAATGCATCTCTGTGCGTGCTTATATTTATTGTATGGGAAGCTTCTATAGTCCTCCATTATTTGTGGAGGTTTAGTAATTCATTATAAAGTCTTGTGTTAATGAGAGCTAGCTAGATAGATGGATAATTTGGACTTAAATTGACAGTTTCAAATGACAGACTAATTAGATAAGCAAGCAGCACCTCTTACAAGAATGGTGTCTTACCAAAGCTTAGTGCTGTCTGCCTCTGCTACAAGTTATATATACTCTGTGGAAAGTAATTTCTTAACAAAATAATATATAGATTGCAATGAGATTTTATCTGCATCACTATTCAAAGACAGGACCTAATACTCTTACATTTATGTCAGGGTCTTTACCTATATTCTACAATTTCAATTGTGCCAAGATACATCAGCAGGATAGACATTCTGTGCTACTTGTACAGGGTGGTTACATCTTAGTTACCCAGAGTTCATATCTAGCTATAGTACAGAGCCATGTCCTGAGGCCATTTACTAAGAAGTCTATGTCTTAAAGCTAACTGGCCCAGGTAAGAAACGAAACGTCTAGCCTTAGTGTCAAAAACAGGAAGTTATAACCAATTGTGCTAACCTGCTAACACTAACTACTAAAATTTAGCTAAGGAGAACTATGACATTCTTCAATCTCAATATGTAATAATGTTTACGTTTATTTCTTCTAGAGGACTGTACTTACATTAGTAGCAAGCCTAATTTTTACAGATTTATTTCATTCTTTTGCTGGTTTAAATAATTTTTCACTTAAAATGAACTGTATATTGTTATTATTTTGATTTCTAGGAATATAATCAAGCCTGTTTTGTCCATTTACTTCATAATATTAGGCACACACACATATACAGATCCACACACCTACATACTCGTGTCATAGCAGGACTATAAGAAGACGTTGCAGGGATCTATGTATATAGCAGGTAGTCTTTTTAAATCACATTCTTTCTGGGAACTTACTTTCACCTGCCAATTCAATTTCCTTTCAAATTACATTTGATGGTTTCTTTCCCTCGATTCTTCTATATGTCTCTGATTTCTGATCCACTAGCTTTCCTATAATTTTTTTCAACTCAACATATCCAGCAGAGGCATTTTATTACCAGGCAAAAACAATATTTCTCCACCTTTTTTCTTTAGTACCTCTAGCTGAACTGACAGGGTACTTTATAGAAATGAACTTTGCAAGAAGAATCAGGGGCATCAAAAACCTTGTCAGAGCATGTACACTCTTGCAATTAGGTTAAGAGGAAAAAAATAAAACCTGTTGAGCCTTTGTAACAATATAGCCAACAACTCAGATTTCTGCCAAGCTTCTATTTGAAAGATTTTCTTTAAAAAAAAAAAAACTCTACCTACTTATGATCAGAAATGTAGGAGAAGAAGAGATTCTTTATTTTCATCTTCCATTTTGAAATTACTCTTTCAAAGCATCCTTTCCATCCAGTGGAACATGGAAAGGATATGAATCCATGACTGGCTACTCAGTTACCTATATGGCTATAAAGGAAGCTTAGGGAACTGAGAATGTATTTTCAATATTTCAGAGAATTTAATGAAAATTTCTGATTTCCAAGATTGGCACATGTAGACTGACTAAAACTTGCATGGGCTATAATACATTAACCTGAGGACGTTATTCAGTTTCCTTCATGGTCATTAGAAATTCTGACTTCTGTTTTATGTGTCTGTAAATTTAACATGAAAAGACAAGAATTTTCACTGCATAATATTTTTTGCTTCATGGGCATCATTTTACAAAATTTGTTCATTCAGAAATAAATAATATAAGACTTCTTCATTGCTATAAAACTTGGAAAATGATAAATCTTTGAGACCCTGGTCATTAAACCTGACTTTGAAATTCCTTTAATTATACATATTTGAAACCTTCTTTAGAAGTCTCTTGGTTTCCTCTCAAACCACATGAGATATAGGCTCCTTCAAACACAGATATTAGTATATCTTTCTTTTCTATCCCTTATATAAGCAGACTAGAATTCAGTATTCATCAAATGCAACTACTGACCAATAAGAACAAATTCACTTCTTAAAAATTCCAAGGGAAAAAACTAATACTATACAAATCCATGTGTTACCTATTTCACCCCATTTCTATTGTACTCTGACTTAGCTACTGCTCTGTCTCCTATCTATATTCATCATCCATTCAGTCCAAACCACAACACATGCTGTCTTATATTTTATTTATTTATTATTCCTATCAGTTCCTTGACTGAAATGTGTTTTCGTTTCTGTTCTTCTCCCCAACCTCATCATCACAAACTGTAGATGTTTTGCCCATCAGCATTATAAACACCTTTTGCTACTCTATATTTGGTACCCAGGTCTCTCTAGGATTGATAATATCTTTTCATTCCTAAAAAAAAGTTCCATCATGAGTAACTTTCTATTTGTATGTCCCAAATTTCTTCTTAGACATTATTTCTTAATTTTTTTTCTGCCGATTTTCTGGCCCTGCCTATACAGTGCTCTGTGAAAATCCACACAGCAGCTGACAAAACAGAATCCTGCAAAGTGTGAACTATCCTAAAATAATGACACCACCAAAAACACCTTTCTCCCACTGAAATGTTTGAGACATAGCCATAAAAAGCATCCACTTCTATAGTTAGAAAACACTGATGTCAAGAGAAAGATATTCTTTCACAGGAATCAGAAAAAGGGCGAAAGAGTAACCCCCAAAGCTGGAAGCAGCCAGAATGTAACCATAATCACACAAAACCTGCTATAATTTTATGAAAAAAGTTTTCAAGTGGCTTTTTAAATGATAAAGCAAGAGCCTGAGATATGAGTGAATTGTCTAGACACAAAACGAAGTGTCAAATATATGCAGCTTCTACACTCTAAAAGCCTAGTGGGAGCTGTGAAAGCCATCAGTCAAATAAACACTCAAAAGGTGGGGAGAGGAAGATTTAGCAAAGAGTTGAAACTTATAACCTTGGAACCAATGTGCTCCGGAAGGAGTTAGTGAATGTCACATACTGCACAAATCCTGAATCTGAATTCATTAAAGATTAAGAAAAATCAGCAAATGTGCCACGAAAAAATCTATATAGAGGAGCAGTGCTTATGTGTTCATATGCAAAGGTAGGTTAGATAATGTATAACTAGTTGTAAGCACCCAATTAGGTAGCTCTGATCATTTCAACAGTAAATACTGATTGTTAGGGGCAGGAAGTAGGTGAGTTGGATAAACCATCAGGGCAAACCTAAAAGGTGACTAGCCAGGAAAAAGTAAGATCATGCCAAGTGTTTGCATCAGCTTTTTCTGTGTCAAGGCCGTTATAAGCATGCAACCAACAAATTCCAAAAGTATCTGTAGGCAAATTATTTCTTGCTGCATCAAAGTACACCCTTTGAGAAGAGCTCTGGGTTAGCTAACTAGGTAGTCTCCCCACACACACCCACTTTCTCCCATATCCAAAATTTTCTATCCCTTCACTGGTTTTATGCTCAGATCAGGTGTCACCCACCTGAAAATAAAAGTAAATGCCTTCCCTGAATTCTCATGCCTTTAATTCTTGCCCTAGTATTTTGTGTGTGTGTTGTATGTGTGTGTCTGTGTGTGTGTGTGTGTGTGTGTGTGTGTGTTTCCTTTCAGAGTTAAGCTTTTCAAGCATTCATACAAGCCTGGCTTCGTTTTGACATCAACACAGTCTGCACCCTGACATCAATTGACAGCACTCAACCAGCTCTAAATCAGGGAGTTTACTTCAATTTCTCTCCCTTTTGACCATGGTTATTCAGCATCTTAAAAGTTATTAAACTCTACTTTATTCTTCTTCCAAATATAGCTTTCTGATTCAAGCTGTTCTCCTCAGGAAAGCCCTTTTCTCATTCCCTTACCTTGTACTTACAAAAACAGCCTTCTTTGATTCCTTGTCTCTGGTTTCTGACCTATTCCACTCCATTATTCACACATGGCTGCCAAAATAATTTCCACAAACCTTTTCCATTTCACTCCTTTAATCAAATATTACAGAGGTGACTTCTGGTTAAACTTGGCAAATTGAATACATGCACTTATCTCCATTACTTCCTGAAACCCCATTAAAATGACAGTAAAGACATTTCAGAAAATATAGCTAGCAAGGACAATGAAAAAAGAAAGGGAAAAGGAGTGGGGGATGAATGTCCTCCAGTTTGGAGAAACTGAGAAGCAGAGGTAGGAGTGTCATCTGACTTAACAAGGTAAACAATGTACACACCAAAGAACTATGGGACATAGACACAAGTCAGAGCTTCAGAAAGTCTCTGTTAGTTGAACCACTAAAAAGAGTAAAAAACAAGAATGGGTGATTGGGTTGAAAATAAGAACTCTTATTAAAAATCTTCATAAGGAACAGTGAGACTCCTTTAGGTCTCCTCCTTTCTTCCAACTAATTCAAGCAACAAAATGAATAGAGGTTAGGTAGTCAAAAACCATAGAGATCCACTATAGGATCTGCACTGTAAAAATAACTATGTACAATTGGCAACTTTAAATATATTAGTCTATTAGAGCACAACAACATCTTCATTAGCTTCTACTCCAACACCGGGTATAAGGATGAAGAGATGTTGGCCTATCCACGAAAGTGCCTTGCTCAAGTTCACTGTCTAGTCGAGGACAATACTAGTATTTACACATAGGCCTCTTGACTCCTGATCCAGTGCTCTAAAGTGGCTTTGCAGCTATAAGCCTTAAGATTATAGGATGAGAAAATGTGTTCAAATCAGAATGTCATCTTGGTGATAGTAAGGAGTAGAGGGTAAGAATGAGTTTTCTCTGTAGCAGCTATAGGAGATGATATTTTTAAATGACTGGCTTCAGGTCTTTAGATAGATAGTTCCAGAGTCTGAAATAACAATTTATCAGCTTACTTTTGCCAGAAAGGATATCAATTTTCTTTGATGAGATGGAATATGTGGGAAGAAATCATAAGCTTTATTTTATCTCCTAAGCTGAAATAACTTTCAATGCCAATGCTTTCCAATCCCCCTACCTCAAGACCCTCCATACCCTGATCACCTGCCAGGTTCTAATAGGTCTCAGGCAAAGTGGATTTCCTACTATGAAATAACTCTGATTTATGAGTCCGTCTCTATGACTTGTTTATCATGCCTCAGCTTACCAGAGACTGATTACATCATGGTGAATTCATAGAATTGAATGCCTTTTTCTGTGAACCTGAGTAAAGACACCTGAACCAAAGAGCAACTGCCAACCTGGCCTGAGAGAGTCAAGAACTCCCACCCTGACCTTCATCTTTCAATTCCTACTGCCTCAGTCATGAATTTTTGGAGCTGCTCTACTCTCCTTTCTCACTATTTCCCAATAGCTAGAACCATTTATTTCCTGACTAAATCTGGCTTATTCCTCTATGTTTTCATAACTTTGTTGAAGTTATCCTGTAATCCTTTTGAGGCTAAGTTCAAATTCCGTTTATGCAAATAGCAGCACCTACTTATTCTGATCATTTCTTTATGAGACCTCCCTCTGTGGAAGCCTGAGATCTAAACCCCAGTCCACTACTCATGTGTTTGGACAAGCTAGTTTACCTCTGTGAATTTCAGTTTCCTCAATTATGAAACAGGAACAACTCCATATACTTAAGGGAGAGGTGTAAGAATTGAGACAATAAATATGAATGACCTTGGCAAGACACATCACTAGTAAATTTTTGCTCCTACAGCTAGAGTACAATGGTGTACATCAAAATAGAATGGTGACATTTCATGAAAACTGGAATTAGAAGTTCCAGAACAAGCACTGTTAACTGGGTAAATGACTCAAGGTAAGTAACTCATTTTCTCTGATTTCCATTTGTATCATCTGAAAAATGTACTCATTAAACAAATATTTGTTTTGAGACTGCTATGAGCCAGGCAACATTTGAGCGTCTTGGGAAACATTAATAAGCAAAACAGGCAAGGATCACTGCCCTCATGGGAGAGGAGTGACTATAAAACCTACCTCACAGTATAATTGTGAAGATTAAGAGACATGATTAAAGTGAAAGTGCTTTATAAATAGAGATGTGTTACACTGATGTTAGTTATTGTTGCTTGCCTTGGTAGAATCATAAGCTAGAGTGTTCTAGTATGTAAGATTTAATCAATCTCATTCTAGAGATAAGGAAACTGAGACTTAGCTGTGAGTGGCATACAGGATCACACAGCCATAGAGTTAGTGCTACAATTTGAGTCTCCTACCTACCACAGGAGTCCTCTTTCTCCCCCATCATAGCACCTCATTCAGTGGGGTACCAAGTGTGCAGTGATGGGCAGGTGAGGGCAAAAAGAGTGAGCATTGTAAAAATATAGAAGTAATATCACAACCAAGTAAAAATTGGCCTGCTTTCAGGATTCAAACAGATATTTGTATACCAATGTTCATAATAGCATTATTCACAATAGCCAAAAGGTAAAAACAACCCAAATATCCATTGACAGATGAATGGATAAACAAAATGTGGTATGTAAATCAATGGAGTATTATTTAGACTTAAAAATAAATGAAATTCTGATACATGCATGTACAAGATGGATGAACCTGAAGGATATTATGCTAAGTGAAATAAGCCAGACACAAAAGGACAAATATTGTATGACTCCACTTATATGGGATACCTAAAATAGCCAAATCACAGGAACAGAAAGTAGAATGATGACTGTCAGGGCTGGGGAGAGGAGAAAATAGGGAGCTACTGTTTAATGGCTACAGAGTATCAGAATTAGACGACATAAAAGTTCTGGAGATGGATAGTGATGGTTGCACAACAACGTGAATCTACTGACTGCCACCAAACTCTATACTTAATATGATTAAATTATGCTATATATATTTTACTACAATAAAAAAGGAAAAAATGGTTTGTTTTTATTAGCAAACCAGCAATTTTAAACAATGTCAGCAAAATACTCCATCCCCCCAAAATCTTTTGTTTCCTTTAAGTTCTACAAAATTGTTACACTTACTGTTATAATTTAACTAGATAAATACATAATATAGATATAGATGTGTATATAATTGTGTATAAAATGATGCAGTTATATTTTTATAAAATATATAAATATGCACATTTTATGCTTCAAATTATTAGCATTTTTATTGTGTTTTAACAAACCTTGCATACTACATGAAAGTTAATTTGGAGGAATCCCAGTCTCCAACATATGCAGACTCAGCTACCTGTGCTCATTTTTGAAAGTAAGTTCAGAGTAGCTAAGAATCATCCAAGTCAGGCATGGTGGCTCATGCCTGTAATCCTAGTTGGGAGACCAAGGCAGGCAGATCACCTGAGGTCAGGAGTTCGAGATCAGCCTGGCCAACATGATAAAACTCTGTCTGTAATAAAAAAACAAAAATTAGCTGTGCATGCTGGTGCACGCCTATAATCCCAGCTACTCAGGAGGCTGAGACAAGAGAATTGCTTGAACCCAGGAGACGGAGGTTGCAGTGAGTCAAGATTGTGCCACTGCCCTCCAGCCTGGGCAACCCAGAGAGACTCTGTCTCAAAAAAAAAAAAAAAAAAAAAAAGAATCATTTAAACACACTTCAGGCATAGTTTGTGTCTCTGACCCCTGCGATACTAAGATTACCGAATGTAAACTAGATTTAAGACTACTAATAATAACATAGTGATTGATTGTAAGGACAAATAAATGGAACTCAGGTTAATTTATTTTTTCTCTTTTTGAGACGGAGTCTTACTCTGTTTTCCAGGCTAGAGTGCAGTAGCACAATCTTGGCTTACTGCAATCTCCACCTCCTGGGTTCAAGTGATTCTCCTGCCTCAGCCTCCTGAGTAGCTGGCACTACAGGCATGCAGCACCACTCCTAGCTAATTTTTGTATTTTTTAAGTAGAGATGGGTTTCACCATGTTGGCCAGGGTGGTTTCGAACTCCTGACCTCAGGTGATCTGCCAAACTCGGCCTCCAAAAATGCTGGGATTACAGGCATGAGCCACCACCTGCGTTGACCACTTGGAATTTTTGTTTATGTTTTAAGTTTAAAACAGTGAAACAGAATATAAGCTGCAAAGTGTAATATTTTTATTTGTTAGTGCAAATCCTAATTATATGTGTATATTTCTTTCTCTTTAACGTTATTACTGAAAATGAAGTTAAAATATATGGCAGAAAGAAGGGTGTTGAAAAATGGTCTGCTGCAGGTATCAAATATGTTAAATACAGCAATACCTTAATAAACGCCTAATGACAACAGTGAGTGAATGAATAAACTCAAAATGCAAATAATAATGCCAAAAACATATCTAATCCTCATCTGAAATAAATAAATCATGTACTTTTGGAGGAAATTGTTATTATTACTATTATTATTTTGAGGCAGAGTCTTGCTCTGTCACCCAAGCTGGAGTACAGTGACGCGATCTCAGCTCACTGCAACCTGGGCTTCCCAGGTTCGGGTGATTCTTATGCTTCAGCCTCCCAAGTAGCTGGGATTACAGGCATGCACCACCTCACCCAGCTAATTTTTGTATTTGTAGTAGAGATGGGTTTTTGCCATGTTGGCCAGGCTGGTCCTGAACTCCTGGGCTCAAGTGATCCACTTGTCTTGGCCTCCCAAAGTGCTGGGATTAGGGGTGTGAGCCACCACGTCAGGTCCTGGAGGAAATGAAAATATTCGGAGATTCTACCATATGGCAACATCTCTAGCGCCACAGAAACACCAAAGGGAAGTATCATTTGAATGATTGTTTTTCTTTAGTCAGGTAATATATGTTTGAAGTATCAGCCATGCTTCTGAGTTCTCTGGCATGTCTTGTTACCAAGGAAAACGCACACATACCCAAACATTTGCACACTTTTTTCTATCAAGAATTTCCTAGTTTGGAACTACTACACGCAGTTTTCTTGATAGTTCCCTCAAAAGTTTGAAAGAAGAAAGAAGATACTACAAATTCCTTCAGTCAACCAGAAGTATTAATTAACTAGCACTCTTGAGTTGTGCCATTATAGATGAAATTTATAACGATGACTCCGAGGCACTCTGAAACATCGAAAAGTTAAATTATGTGCAACAAAATTTTGATTTTAAAATGGCCCTCACCGTGTTGTTTTAACAGCTTTATTGAGGTATGACTGATATACAACTAATCATACATACTTAATGTATACAACGATGAGTTTGGACATGTCTATACACTTGTGAAACTGTCACCATGATCAATGTAATAGATATATCCATCACCTTCAAAAAAAAAAAAGATTCCAGTCTCATTCTGCTGATATAATTAATGTTTTAATATCAATTATATTTTCCATCTTGGAAATAACAATGAAGCTATTCCTTTCCTGGAAAGATGGGTCAATTCTTCCTTTTCTCAGAATAAAGAAGAAAATTGGGTCACCATGGGAAGATTCAACAGACTACAAATTTAATGCCATACCACCTTCTCATACACACACTCCAGGATACATTTCAATCAATTAAAACAACCTTTAAAGTAAATGACTGGCTTTCATTTCATCTTTTTGAAGCATATGGTATATGAAATTTAATTGATTTTTCTTCTTTTTAGCGACTACTGCAGAGGAAAAGTGCTGTATACAGACCATGTAACTTGATTATTTGGATCTCTTTCAGTTTCTTTAAACAGTTACTATTTACCAACAGCGACAAGCTGACAGTGAATATTGCCTTCAACCCTAAGGCCAGATAATATCACTCAGGAGGTCAAAACTAATATCTTGTGTTATGCACAGTAACTTCTAAGCTAGTGCACCACCAGGATCCAAATCTCCTTCATTCGTAAAACAGTGTGGACACTTACCTTAAACTGCTAGAGAGACAATAGGCATCCAGGAACACTAGCCTTGCTGAGTATAGTATTGATTTGAAAAACAATGTTAGGTAGTATTTGTTTAGGCCTGGGAGGAGATTTCTTCAATTGGTAACCCACTGTGTCCCAAACATTGAATTATAAAAAGGAATGTTTTATTTGGATCTGTATATTCTCAAAGAAACACAAATTATACTTTTTTAATGTAAAATTAAATGTACTCACAGTTCTTGTGGTGTGGTTTAAATATGTTTTCAGTATTTCCTCCAGAAATACACAGAGTGTAAAATGATTTGCACAGCTTGAGTTTCTTTTTTTTAATGACATAGAATTAACTCTGCTGACTTCATAAAACAAAACTAAATTAAGCCAGAATTACATTAATTTAAAAAAAAATAGCTGCATCAGCTAAGATAGCCTTAGTGGAAATATCCATTTTATGCTTTAT
Source organism: Homo sapiens (assembly GCF_000001405.40). Lineage (NCBI taxonomy): Eukaryota > Metazoa > Chordata > Mammalia > Primates > Hominidae > Homo > Homo sapiens. The sequence continues at coordinate 22,495,888 of NC_000003.12, forward strand.
TTAACTCTGTGGAATTTCTCTCTCATTTAAGTCTAAATATTACACTGCTTTATTTGGATTTTTTTTTGTTTACTTATTAGTTTGGCAAAGGAGCAGTTTGGCTGATGCATTTTTTTCCTCTTTATGGATTCAAACATTCCAAAATATGAAGATCATTTGGACTGGCCAGGCCACTCAGAAAACAGAACAAAACAAAAGATAGCTTGTAGTAGAAGCAAAATTCTAAGACCTTTCATTTCCCTTTGGATGCAAAGACGTCCCATAAATATATAGTCAATGATACAGGTACCAAGTCCCTTCACAAGAATTCTCATAAATACGTAATCAGTAATACAGGTAAACAATCCATCCCCTTTCCTTAACAGAGTATTTCTGTCGGAGCCCACCTTAGAATCTTGCTCCATGATTCAACATCATAACTAATCAAACAGGAGATTTTTCTCACTATTCTTTTTTTAATGTTATTGATGTTTCATTTATTTATTTGTTTGTTTGTTTTACTTTAAGTTCTGGGATACATGTGCTGAACGTGCAGGTTTGTTACATAGGTATACATGTGCCATGGTGATTTGCTGCACCTATCAACCCGTCATCAAGGTTTTAAGCCCCTCATGCATTAGTTATTTGTCCTAATGCTCTCCCTCTCCTTTTCCTCCACCCTCCAACAGGCCCCGGTGTGTGATGTTCCCCTCGCTGTGTCCACGTATTCTCATTGTTCAACTCCCACTTATGAGTGAGAACATGCGATGTTTGGTTTTCTGTTCCTGCGTTAGTTTGCTATTCTTAAAAAGCATTTTATGCTAAAAGTATAACTTGTATCCCCCTATCCTTGGTCACTATGTCAGATATCCAATGCCACACAGTGTTGCATAACAAACCAAAACAAAACATCAGAGTCATACAACAATTGTATATTGCTCATGCATCTGGAATTGTTGGCTAGGTGGCCCTGCTGATCTTGACTGGGAACATTCACATATCTTGGAGTTGCCTAGCTGTCAACTCATTTAGGCTGCACTTGGCCAGGAAGACTAGGGCAACTCAGCTCTGCTGAGTACATTAGGCCAGTACATTAGGGTTCTATTGCTACTTAGCACATTGCCACAAACTTAGCAACTTAAAACAACTCAAATATGTTATCTCACAATTTTGTAGGTGAGAAGTCTGGGTTGTCTTAGCTGGATTTTCTGTTCCAGGTTTTAAAACACTGAAATCAAGCTGTTGGCCATCTAGGCTCTTGTAAGGCTCTGGGAAGCATCTACTTCCAAGCTCATTCAGGTAGTTGTCATGATCTCTTTTCTTGTGGTTATCCATGACAGAGCTGGAAGCAGTGCACTGAATCCTTCTCATACCTGGAATCTCTTCATTTTCCCTTCTGCTCTATCTCTCTCTTCACCCATCTTCTGACTCCAGCCTAAGAAGATTCTCTGCTATTACATAGTGATCACGTTGGCTCCATCGATATAACTCAGGATAACCTCTTTATCTTAAGGTCTGTAACCTTTATTACAGAAATTTTTTTAAACATCCCTTTTGCTATGTATCATAACATATCCACAGATTCCAGAGATTAAAGTATGGACATCTTTGGGAGCTGTTCTAACTATACCCAAGAATGCTGTCTTACAATGACAGAGGCATGGGAGAGGGTCAGCTTACTCACACCAGTACTTTTCAGTCTCCAGTGGTCAAATCAAGTTACGTTGTCTTGTCCAGTATCAGAGTGGAAGGGCACCACACAGTTACATGGCAAAGGATGTGGATACAAAGAGGCTAAGAATTGGGGCCATTGTTATGATCTACCATAGACTCCTAAAGACAACAGAGTGATGGCAGTGTTTGGTATGTTAGCCATCTCCAAGCACCATGCAGTAGACAGGAGTAAATGTCTTCGCATCCTAGAAGTGGCCCATAATACAGAATCAGCTGTGCAATTACCAACAGCTTTAACACACCATAAGTAACTATTAGCCAAAGACTGCCTTGTCCCTCACTACTGGCTGGCATATGGCAGATGCTCAAAATAAAAATAATATTTATGCTAATACCCTATGCCAGAAACTGCCCTAGGTAGTAAACATGTATTAACCCATAAAATTTTATGAGGTAGATATTAGTATATCCTCTGTACATATACACTTTATAGATTATCAAACTGAAGAAAAACAATTATAAAACTTATCTAAGGTCACACAACTAGTAAGTGGTAGAGCTAGTATGCAGATCCAGAAAGTAAATGAATATTTGATTTATTTTTTTTAAAAAAAAGGATCCATCTGAGATTCTCACAATTCTTTTGAGGTATTGGATCACTTTGAGTTTCAAAAAAAAATTTGCATTAATAGTTTTGATTTTTAAAGCACCCTAAATGTTACATCACTGGATAACAGCCATCCATCAAGGATAGATTCAATTAATCATCAATCATTCATTGAATTCATCCTATGTAAAGCTTCCAGATCAATGTTTTGGGGTTTTAAAGATGTCTTGCTGCCCTTGAGATCACTAAAGTACATATTAGAAGCCTCAAGTATACCAGTGGGTATAGGTCTGTTGCTTAATAAAGGGGGTTTGGCTGAAGAAGACATATACACAGAATGAATAAAAATACTTATACTATAAGTGTATGATGCGTGAAGGTGACTGGAACTCAGGAGTAGAGAGATTAAGGGCACCTTGTTAGAGAAGGTGGAATGTGACTATAGACTTGAAGGGAGTCTGGAAAGTAAACAGAGTTTCCCCGAGAGGGGATTTATAACTTTATCCTAAAAACAATGTGTGTTCAGACCTGTGTTGCATTTGTGCCTCACTCCAGTCACTCATTCATTCATTTGAAACATATTTATTGAGTCTCAGGATTTGTCCAAGTCTTGAGGATATAACAAAAATGATATCCCAGCTCTTACAGAAAGTCTATTCAAGCAGAGAGGCAGACATTGTGGAAACAGTCACACCAAATAACTACGTGCAGTCAAGGAAATTAATATGATTCAGTAATCATAATTAATATGATTCAGTAATCGAGAATAACAATACTGGCAGCACCTTATTTTAGATATTGTGATTGTCCAGTCCCCTCTGAGAGGGCTATTTCAGCTGCGATCTCAAATATAAAGAAGGAGTCAGCCATGGGAAGAGCTGAGGCAAAAGCATGCCAGACAGCAGCTGCAATGGTCTGGAGGTGGGAGAGACCAGGAGTGTTTTTGACATTGTCTGAGGTTGCATATGGCCAGAGTACAAAGAGTAAAGAAGAGAAAAATGCCTGATGACCCTGCAGAAGTGGGCAGGAGGTGCAGAGAGCCACACCCTTTGCCTCTGAGGGGGAAAAAAATGGATTTCTAAGCAAAGAATTAATGTAATTTTTTTAAAAAAATGTAAGATCTCTTAGTATTATGTAGGGAATTAATTTGCATAGAACAAGAATGAAATCTGGGAAGCCAAGTAAGAGACTATTGTGCTCATGGGAAATCACCATGGTCCAGACCAGGGTGATGGTAGTGGAGGTAAAAATGAATGGACAGACTTGAGATCTATTTCAGTGGTATGGTCAGCAATATTTATCAGGGAATCAGGTGGATGGGAAAAGTGAAAGAAAAAGAGGAAACTCTAAGGTGATGCTCAGATTTTTGTTACGACATAAAGGCTGATGGTGGTACTAAAAACAGGCATATCTCATTTTATTGTGTTTCTTTTTATTATGCTTTATAGATGCTGCATTTTTAACAAATTGAAGGTTTGTAACAACTCTGCATCTAGCAAGTCTATTGGTGCCATTTTTTCAATAGCATGTGCTCACTTCATGTCTCTATGTCACATTTTGTTAATTCTCACAATATTTCAAACTTTTTCCTTATTATTATATTTGTTATGATGATGTGTGATCTGTGATCTTTGATGTTACTCTTGTAATTGTTTGGGGGCACCATAAACCATGCCCATATAAGATGGCAAACTTAATCAATAAATGCGTGTGTTCTGACTGCTGCATTATCCAGTCTTTCCCCCATCTCTCTTCCTCTCCTTGAGCCTGTTTATTCCCTGAGACACAACAAGATTGAAATTAGGCTAATTAATAACCCTACAATAGATGCTTAGTGTTCAAGTGAAAGGAAGAGTCACACATCTCTCTCTTTAAATCAAAAGCTAGAAAGAATTAAGCTTAGTAAGGAAGGCATGTCAAAAGCTGAGATAGGTTGAAAGCTAGGCCTCTTATGCCAAACAGTTAACTAAGCAGTGAATGCACAGGAAATGTTCTTGAAGAAAATTACAAATGCTGCTCCAGTGAACACAAAATTCTAGCGGTCTGGACAGAAGATCAAATTAGCCACAACATTTCCTTGAATCAAAGCCTAATCCAGAGCAAGACTCTTAACTATCCTGAATTCTATGAAAGCTGAAAGAGGCGAGGAAACTGTAAATGGAAATTGTGAAGCTAGCACAAGTTAGTTCATAAAGCTTAAGAAAAGAGGTTATCTCCATAACATAGAAGTACACAGTGAAGCAGCAAGTGCTGATCCAGAAGCTGCAGCAAGTTATACAGAAGCTGTAGCTAAGATCGTTGATAAAGGTGGCTACTACACAATAGATTTTCAATGTTGGTGAAACAGTCTTCTATTGGAAGAAGATATCACCTAGGATTTTCCTTGCTAGCAAGAAGTCAATGCCTGGTTTCAAAGCTTATAAGACAGGCTGACTCTTGTTAGAGACTAATGCAGCTGGTGACTTTAAATTAAGGCCAATGACCATTGACCATTCAGAAAACCCTAGGACCCTTAAGAATTATGCTAAATCTACTCTGCCTGTGTTCTATAAATGGAACAAAGCATGGATAACAGCATAACTGTTTATAGTATGGTTTACTGGATATTTTAAGCCCACTATTGAGACCTACTATTCAGGAAAGAAAATATCCCTTTCAAAATATTACTGCCCACTAGCTCTGATGGAGATGCACAAGAAGATGATTGTTGCTTTCATGCCTGCTAACACAGTATCGATTCTGCAGACAATGGATAAAGGAATAATTCTGAATTTTAAGTCTTACTACTTAAGAAATACATTTCATAAGGCTATAGGAGACATAGAGGGTGATTCTTCTGATAAATCTGGGCAAAGTAAATTGAAAATTTTTGGAAAGAATTCGCTATTCTTGGTGCCATTAAGAATATTTGTGATTCATAGGAGATCAAAACATCTACATTAATAGGAGTTTGGAAGAAGTTGATGCCAACCTTGATGTATTACTTGGAGGGATTTAAAACTTCAGGGAAAGAAGTAACTGCAGATGTGTAGAAGTAGCAAGAGAATGTAATTAGAAGTGGAGCCTGAAGACATGAGTGAATTGCTACAGCCTCATAAACAAGCTTGAGCAGATGAGAAGTTGCTTCTTATGAATGAGCAAACAATGTGGTTTCTTAAGATAGAATCTACTTCGGGTGAAGATGCTGTGAACATTGTTGAAATAACAACAAATAATTTAGAATATTACATAAACTTCATTGGCAGGGTTTGAGAGAACTGACTCCAATTTTGAAAGAAGTTCTACTGAGGGCAAAATGTCATCAAACATCAACGCATTCTATAGAGAAATCTTTTGTGAAAGAGTCAATCAATGTGGCAAAGTTCATTGTTGTCTTATTTTTTTAAATTGCCACAGCCACCTCCAACTTCAGCAACCACCATCCTGATTAGTCAACAGACATCTACATCATAGCAAGACACTCCAACAGCAATAATATTATGACTTGCTGAAGGACCAGATGTTTATTAGCACTTTTAAGCAGTACAGATATTTATATATTTATTTATTTATTATTTATTTCTGTAGAGATGAAGTCTCACTATATTTCCCAGGTTGGTCTTGAACTCCCAGCCCAGAGCAATCCTCCAGCATTGGTCTCCCAAAGTGTTGGGATTACAGGCATGAGCCACCATGTCTGGTTAAGTAATTTTTAATTAAGGTACATTGATTTTCAGACAAATGCTATTGCATACTTATAGACTACACTATAGTGTAAACATAACTTTCATATGTACCGGGAAACCAAAAGATTCATGTGACTCACCTTTTTTGCAGTACTCTGTGCAATATCCTCAAGGTATGCCTGTAATAATATAAAGAAAGCTGAAGTGAAGGCATAGAGCTGTGTGTATGTGGTGGCTATGGATTCAGTATTTCTGTTTTGGATGTGTTCCACTTAAGATATATAGGAGGAAGTGTTGAATTTGCATACCTGTAGCTCAAAGAACTCTAGACCAAAGATTTAAATGTTGAAATTATCCAATAGAAATGATATTTAACCCTCAGAAATATGCTGTGAAATCACCTTGGCTGAAAGTGGGGAGATGGAAAGAAACAGGCACATTTCCAAAGCTGTTATTTGGAGATTAGGTAGAGAAGGAGAAACCAGCAAAGAAGACTGAAAGGTAGAGGAAGAAAAGAGATTAATGTGGTGTCATGGAAGTCAAGAGGTAAAATTTCTCAAGAAAGAGGAAGAGATTGTTTGAAACATGCTGAGAAGCAACTGAGTTAAATGCATGGAGATAAGTTTTTCATCGATTTTAGCAAAGTTGAGATTTTGCATGACTTTGAAAAGGACAGTTTCCATAGAGTGGTAGGGAGTGAAGTCCAGATAAAAAGCTATATGGGAGGTGAGGACAAATAATACAAACAATATTTTTTAGGAACTTTGTCATGGAAAGGAATAGAAAAATGAACAGTGGTTGTAGAAGAATGAGAGGCCAAGGTCAAGTTTTACTTTACGTTGGATTATTCTGGAGCAGTGATTTTCAGACTGTATCTTACCTCAGAATTACCTAATGGGTTTATTTGGAAAACCAATGACTGCTCTTCAGAGTTTCTGATTGAGTAGGACTAGGGTAGAATATGAGAATTTGCATTTCCAACAAGTTTCCACAAGATACTGATGCTATTGACTCGGGGACCACACTTTGAGATCTGCTACTCTAGAATATGTGTGTGTGCTGCAAGAAATGGTCCTATATAGAGGAAGACATTGGTGAGGCAAGAAAGGAAGAAGTTTAGGAGCAAAGTTCTTGAAAATATTAAGGCCTGGGATGCATTGCACAAATGTCTTTTATTGTAGCAGGGAGACTGTCTCTATGTGGACAGGAAGAAGAGATTGGCGCTCCCCATATTCAGGTCCCTTGACCCTTCTCTGTAGGTCCTTTCTGCTTCTAAATGTAGGTCTAACCTGCACTGGTTAGATGCAGTTAAAACTCCTTATATGGTTCATCATACAGGGGTTTTAGGGCAACACTGGTCAGTTACTCTAACTGCTAACACTCATTTGACCTTCTGCCTCTTCCCTGCCCACAAGACACCAGCTTTGGCATCAGTAAATCTGCATGTTCCTTTCAACCAGGACTTTAAATACTTGCCTAGTGGAACCCTAGGGATGTCGAGAAATTACTTTGGAGGTTGCTACTCTACAGGAAGGAGTGAAGATCATGATATCTACAACTAGAACACCTCTACTGGCATGTAACTTATACATTGAGATTCTGAATGTTTCGATTTGAAATAGCAGAAAATGATTTAAAATGCACAGCCTTGTAGATGAATGTGTGTCTCTAAGTCCTAGCTGCCTTCTCTAACATGAGTTATTAACTTTATAACCTGTGATACCTCAGTGCCCCAACACAGATTCCTATCCCTCAATATTACCCAGGGACTGGAGTCTACTCCTGGACCCCAGTTTTATGTTTGAGACTCTACTCCATGTTGATATTTGCCTGCATGAATCTAAGCACAGTTAATACTTTTTAACTCTCATGCCCATGATCTGCCAAAATGAAATGAGATGTATATCTTTCTTCATTGGACGTTTTTTAGTGCCACCTGCTTGTCTGGATGAATGTCACATTCTGTCTATCATTGAACTCATGAATAGGTAAAACTTGTTCCTGGATGTTTCTCCCCAGTGTTTTCTCAGCTACAGTGGCTGAGGTTGATTTCGGTTGTCTGCTTCTCCACTGCATCCCAAGCACATTTAACTCTTCAGTGTCACCATACCTTAGGAGATGGGCCAGTAGGGAAACAATGAATGATTTGGGGCAGAGGTTTGTATAGGAACCTCTTTGGCTTAGGGAAACTTACGCTGTAATCACATGCAAGACAAACAAGGATGAAGAGGTGGTAAACAGACAGACATCTATGGATAAGGCTGAAACAATAGTCTAAGTGAAAGGTTAAAAGACCTCAAAGTGACAAGTAAAAGGAAGAAAGGAATTAATCAGGAGATAAATGAATACGTAGAACTTTGTTGTAGACATTACTTCCTGGCACACAAGAGGGTTTAACTCAACCATCCTTTGAAGGTAGATATAGCCATATAATCTGCTTCAACTAAAGAAATGATTTTGTAACTTCCAGGTAAAAGCATTTAAGAACTGGAGCAAGGTTCTCCATGCCCTTTCTTCCCTCTTCAACCTGGAGGTATGTATTGTTTACGAGAGCCAGAGAGCAAAACAACCTGGATAATGAGTCTTCATTGGGAGAATTGTCCTGGAAAGCCACTCAGATGCCCATTAAACTAGGGTGTTATGCTAAATACACCCTTTGCTGAAGGGAAGAGAGGAAAGAGAAAGAGACAGTTTCTGCAAATAATCTAGCCTAGCCTGTCTGGTGCAAACTTTATCAAGTATTATTTTACTTCTTGGCAAAGTACGACCAGAAATTTAAACAACACAACCCCTCCACCATCAGCCAGTCTTTCACTTGCTCAGTCATTGCCCATTTCTTCTCAGAAAGCTGAGTGCATGTGTTTTTGCAATGCCCTAGATAAAATAAACTTTATAAACATCTGCTATTTCAGCACAATATAGTATGTGTTTCCCTGTTTTTCTTTATGCATCTCTCATTTCTGATGTAAGGCAGTCCTTAAACATTCCCAGGGTCAGACCTACAAACACCTGAGAAAGAGAGAAAAAGAGACCTAATTTTCATCCTTTTGTTCTTTTTTTAGTTTCTTTAAACTACAGTTCAAAATTTGGCATTGCCATTTTTATAATGGATTTTGTCTTTCCCTTGGGCAGTTAGTGACCTAAGATCCTTTGAGTTTGAAGGAAATCAAAATTGTGGAACCTTTCTGAGGCCTGGGTCTAATTGTCTCTCTAGTTAAATTCAGCAACAAATTCTTTGTTAAAATCTTTATTTGAAAATAGCACATTATTGTTAGACAATAAAATAATCTGTGGAACTCACAAAAGTCCACATTTATCCTCTCCAAAACATCCTGACCATGTATCTTCCTGAAAACTTTCTGTTTCTCTTTAGGACATGGTTAAATAGCTTTTCACTTCAATGCCTCATGACACTAGCTATTTCAAGCACTAGAAAATGCTAGGCATTGTACATTAGAATTACTTTCCACAAAATATCAACACATTGTCAACCAACAATACATTCAAAATAGTGACGCAGTGTATCTGCAATAGTGAGGATAATACCAAGTAAAATATTGGGATAAAACTGGAGAAATTCAACATAGAATTTATTTTGATTAAAAATGCAAGAGGATTTTTGTAAATTGCTAACATTTTAAAAATATGTGTATTTTAAATTATATTCTAAGACTTACTGATAATTTAATATATAGAATTGCTGAGCTTATAGCTAGAGAATTATTTATAAAAAGAAATTGTGAGAAAATTGCAAGCTGACTTAACAACCACCTCTTTATAACCCTCATTCTTTTTTTATATAATACTCATTCTTGAGGCAATACAACAATACTACAGGATTATATTTGACCTCTTTGTGGCTAAATTGGCTGTGTGAGGTCTGATAAGAATTCTGAGAAGCCTATGGTTTTCAAGCAAGTGTTCATTATTCCCATGAGGATTATGATCTGTAATGCATACTTATCATATTGATGTGGCCAAATCTTGTGTACATATAATATTGTCTGAGAGAGCACAAAAGCTGAAACCCCTGATGGTTGCATTCATTCTGTGGCACTTTCCAGACAAAAAGAAAGAGCTCCACAGACTAACACACTTCATGAGAAATTAATCTGCTGCAACATGTACATGTACATGGGCTTCAGCCTGGATTGGTTCTGAGATTGGTAGAGACAGGAATAGGGACACCAGAATAGCCAGGAGTGAATTCTGTGAAGGTAAGAGAAGCCTATAAAATACATTGGGTGATAAGCCCTTGATGTCCAAAATGTGGTCCATGAAACAGCAGAATCAACATCACCTGACAGCCTGTGAGACATGCAGAATCTTGGGTATCACCCTAGACCTCTGGATTCAGATGGCCTTTTAACAGGATCTTCAGGTGATTCTTTTGCACACTAAAGTTTGAGCAGCACTTGCTTGTACAGAATTAGCTTTTAAGATTAGGTCCTAAAAGAAATCACGTTGCTTCCAAATAAAACTTCAGATCAAGTAAGAATCAATGGCCCTAGCAAAATTGTTACTTCAGCTACTATTATGTTCCTCCTTAGGTTTGGTAAGGGAATCTGCTTAAACTTCTGGGAATTTTGAATGATACCGCTACACCAGTGGTGTCGTCTAATCTGCTTAAACTTCTGTCAGTATCCCCTTGGGTTTTGTGCTGTTATAAAGGTGATGCTAATGTGGTTACTTTTCTTCTTCTGTGAATTAGCTGTGAATAATGAAATTAAACATTTAATATAAAAGGAAGAAGACAGTCAATCAACATTGCTGCAATACTACATCCCTTCCATGTTCTGTGCAGAGCATTTTTAATTCATTAATTTATTCATTTGACCTATTTTATTAATCATGTAGCTTATGCCAGGCACTGCACTTGGCTCTGGGAACACAGTGGAAGAATATATTCCTCAGCACCATGTGGCATCCTTTGCTAACTATTTAATGTAAGAAGATAATAAATAGTTTTCCAGGATGGGGATTGTAAAATGTGAAGGGAGATTTTGAAGATTATTTCTAGGTGAGTGGGTTTGTTTGTTTGTTTTTTGTCCTTTGTAATGTCAGGGCACATTTTAACTTAGCAATTTGTATAGAATTCACAGTATTCTCTATTCTTTTGGGTATATCATCTCGTTAACCAGATGATATGCTCCTCCAATCAAGAGCTCCCTCTTCATTTGCCCTAGTGCCTAGCAAAGCACCTGACTTAGTAAGTGCCTTTGATGATCTGAACTAGCTTCTCTTTGAGAGACTGCTGGAAACCTGCCTTTGGCATGAGTCAATATTGAGCTCAATATTTGACATCCTATTCAAAGTAACCACTTGAACAGTAACTTCATAGCTAGTGCCACTGTTTTAGACAGTGTTTATGATTTCTTACCAAGATGACAGAAAATGATGCTAATTAAAGAAGAGAACAACCACTACCATTAATTGAGCCACTAGAAGTATAAAGCACCTCATTATTTTGAATATATAATCTTCACAATGTTATAATATTTTAAATTATTTGTGATATAATGCATCTTTTACAGATAAGGAAATTGAGGCTGAAAGAGCTCAAATGACTTGCATATTATCATAGGACTAATAATGGGCAGTGTTATTATTCAAGCTCAACTCTGACTCCAAATACGATACTAATTGTGCACATCAAAATTAATACCCATAGTTATAATGACCACAGGTATTTTTATATAATTTTATTTTCAAAGTATTATATTTAGGAATGAGGAAAGAGAACCCATTTCCTTCAGATATTAGAATTTTGAGAAAAACTTCTCCCCTTGCACTGAGCAATTAATGTGCATTAGGAAGTGGGTCAGGAAAAGTTTTCAATAAGCAAGATTTTCAGCCCCATCCTTTCAAAGACAATGTTTCACATTCATTTATTAATTCATCCAACAAGCAAATTCTTAGAGTATATTTGCCAGATGTCCTTGGCACCAGGGACTTCAGGATGAACAGACTCAATTCCTACCCTCAAGTTGCTCTCACCACTGGAGACATACTCTATGACCTCCAAACCTTAAAATATTTACTAGCTGGGTCTTTATAGAAAACATCTGCTGACACTTAGAATACATAAATGTGAAACTCAGAAAAGAGGTCAGATCTGGGAATTATTAGAATATAGAAACTATTTAAAGCCATGAGACAGGATAAGATCACTGAGGGAAGAAGGAAAAATCTGAGAATTGAGCTCTGGATCACAGCTGTGCTCTGCTCAATGTGGTGGTTGAGGGCAAGGAGTGTGACATAAGAGACACTAGCAATTGAATACATCTCAGTTAACTACCAGTTGTGTTTCCTTGGGCTAGTTATATAAACTTTATGAACCTCAGCACTCTCTAAGCAAATTAAGAGTAAAAGAATCCACCTTCTATCATGGACAATAAGGATGCTAATTCGTATAAAGTACCTGGCTTTTTAACGACAGGCCTATAATGGTTAGAAGCACAGACAAGTGGGTTGGAACCAGAGCTCTGCCACTTACTAATTCTGTGAGCCTTGTCAAGATCTTTATTCTCTCTGTGCCTCCATTTCTTTAGCTGCAAGATGGGGATAATAATAATAATACTTGCCTTATTAATTTTTGCAGACGACACTGAATTGATTCATGGAAAACATTTAGAACAATGTCTTCCAAATAGTAAGATCTATATAAGGGTTAGCTACAATTAAATAGTTAACAAGAGCTGTTGTTAGTATCTGCTCAAGGGGCCACACTTCTGTCTGTGAGGGCTTTTCCAATAAAGAAACATACTGGAGAAAACCCACAGGGGAAATCAAACTGCACTAACTAAGCAAGCTCTTCCCTTGAAGCAGAAACAAATGGGTGCTAGAGATAGAAAAGGAAGAGCAAATCAGGCAAAATTCAATAAGGTGCTGTTCCACCAGAACAAGCTGAGTCTCGGAGAGAACTCTAAACAGGGCACTAAACAATAGAAATTGAGTTTCAGGCATTGAGCCACAATTTGAGTGATTCAGCACACACACAGGCCCTGGTGTTAGAAGTTTGCATCACTAGGGCAAAAGTTTTTACTTAAAAAAGTCATTTATATCTTACACTTGGTTTTATTCTAAACTAATAAATGATGGGCATTCAGTCCATACTTTCCCCCTCATTTCCCTGAGTAATTACTCGAAGTGAGCTCATCTGTAAATACTCACCATTCACAGAGTCTGCCACTGTTTTCTCTTTGGCTCACCAACATTTTGAGAGGTCAGTGGGTCTACTGTAGTCACTCAAATGGAAAATGTGAAAAACGCCTGAAGATTAATGGATTAGGAAATTTTGAGCACAAACTCCATTTGGCACTGCACATACATCAACTTAGAGAATGATATAAAAGAAAATAAGAACCCAAAGAGGGCTCTTACTCTCCTTTCAAGGTCCAATAGAGCCAAGGGCTAAGAAATTGGAAAACCTTCTTAGCCTACCTATATACTTTTCTCCCATAGCATTATATCGGCAACTCTGTTCCTTTTCTGCTTCTTGCGACCTAGAAAATCCCCCTTCATCCTTCAATACTCAGGGCAAATGTCACCTATGATGTTATGCATTATCATTCCCCCAAAACTGAATTAATTGCATCTTTGTACTAAGCTACCTTCGGTTTTGGTACTTTTTACTATTACATGTTGTGATGTAGTACACCTGGAAGTTCCTACCACTAGACCATAATTTCCTGCAGAACAATAAGATTACTCTGTCTTTATCTCCAGTGATTGTGAGTACACTAACATGGCCCCCTGAATCTGTAATCATGGATCAAGAGTTTCTGTATTCCCAACCATGGGGGCGGAGCAAGATGGCAGAATAGAAGTCTCCACACATCGTCCCTTTTGCAAGGACACCAATTTAACAACTACATCTACAAAAAAATTAAAAGCACCTTCATAAGGACGAAAACCAGGTGAACACTCATAGGACCTAGTTTTAACTTCATATCATTTACAGAGGCACTGAAAAGGATGCCTTGAATCATGGATGCCACCCCACCCTCATCCGCCTGCAGCAGCAACATGGTGTGGAGAGTGTTTTGGTGCTCTGGGGAGAGGGAGATCACAGCATTTGTGAGACACTGAACTTACTGCTACCCTGTTATAATAGAAAATAAAATCAGACCAAACTCAGCTAACACCTGCTCATGGAGGGAACATTTTTTTAAATTATACTTTAAGT